>NC_000006.12:83273261-83898261 GCF_000001405.40 Homo sapiens | reverse complement strand
TCTTTGACAAACCTGACAAAAACAAGAAATGGGGAAAGGATTCCCTATTTAATAAATGGTGCTGGGAAAACTGGCTAGCCATATGTAGAAAGCTGAAACTGGACCCCTTCCTTACATCTTACACAAAAATTAATTCAAGATGGATTAAAGACTTAAATGTTTTTAAGTCTTTAAATGTTTAAAACCATAAAAACGCTACCATAAAAACATAAAAATGTTTTTAAGTCTTTAAATGTTTAAAACCATAAAAACCCTACAAGAAAACCTAGGCAATACCATTCAGGACATAGGCATGGGCAAGGACTTCATGTCTAAAACATCAAAAGCAATGGCAACACAAGCCAAAATTGACAAATGGGATCTAATTAAACGAAAGAGCTTCTGTACAGCAAAAGAAACTACCATCAGAGTGAACACGCAACCTACAGAATGGGAGAAAATTTCTGCAATCTTCTCATCTGACAAAGGGCTAATATCCAGAATCTACAAAGAACTCCAACAAATTTACAAGAAAAAAACAACCCCATCCAAAAGTGGGCAAAGGATATGAACAGACACTTCTCAAAAGAAGATATTTATGCAGCCAACAGACACATGAAAAAATGCTCATCATCACTGGCCATCAGAGAAATGCAACTCAAAACCACAATGAGATACCATCTCCCACCAGTTAGAATGGCCATCATTAAAAAGTCAGGAAACAACAGGTGCTGGAGAGGATGTGGAGAAACAGGAACACTTTTACTGTTAGTGAGACTGTAAACTGGTTCAACCATTGTGGAAGTCAGTGTGGCAATTCCTCAGAGATCTAGAACTAGAATTACCATTTGACCCAGCCATCCCATTACTGGGTATATACCCAAAGGATTATAAATCATGCTGCTATAAAGACACATGCACATGTATGTTTATTGTGGCACTATTCACAACAGCAAAGACTTGGAACCAACAATGATAGACTGGATTAAGAAAATGTGGCACCTATACACCATGGAATACTATGCAGCCATAAAAAAGGATGAGCTCATGTCCTTTGTAGGGACATGGATGAAGCTGGAAACCATCATTCTCAGCAAACTATCGCAAGGACAAAAAACCAAACACCGCATGTTCTCACTCATAGGTGGGAATTGAACAATGAGAACACATGGACACAGGAAGGGGAACATCACACACCGGGGCCTGTTGTGAGGTAGGGGGACGGGGGAGGGATAGCATTAGGAGATATACCTAATGATAAATTATGAGTTAATGGGTGCAGCACACCAAAATGGCACACGTATACATATGTAACAAACCTGCACATTGTGCACATGTACCCTAAAACTTAAAGTATAATAAAAAAAAAAAGAAAATGGAACTCACACACTGTTGTTGGGAATGTAAATTAGTACAACCATTATGGAAAACAGTATGGAGATTTCTTAAAAAACTAAAATATTAATAGAACTACCATAGCAATCCCACTATTGGGTATCTATCCAAAGTAAAATAAATCATTACATCAAAGAGATACCTGCATTTGCATGTTTACTGCAGCACCATTCACAATAGCAAAAATATGGAATCCACCTAAGTGTCCACAAACAAGGAATGGATAAATAAAGAAAATGTGTTATAATATATGCATACAATGGAATACTATTTGGCCATAAAAAAGAATGAAATTATGTCACTAGCAGCAACATGGAAGGAACTGGAGATCATTACATCAAGTGAAATACACAGACACAGAAAGACAAATACTGCATGTTTTCACTCATAGGAGCTACAAAATTTGATCTCATTGACATAGAGAATAGAATGATAGACATCAGAGGCAGGGAAGGGTGCAAAGCAAGATGCATGTTGGGAATATTTACCCTGATATATTCTTTTAGGACCTCACATGCCAGGCTAATGAGTGTAAATGTACTTCCCTGTCAGGGGTGAGCCACTGAGAGTTGCAGAGCAAGGTACTAAGATGATTGTCTTTAAGAAATCTAATCTAGCTGTCATGTTACCTAAATTGGTAATGAAGGTAAAGATATCAAGACAGTATTAAAATAATATGGCTACAGTGAGTGAACTAAGGTAGTGGGAAGGGAGAAAAAGACAGATCATAGGATTTGGCCAGTGATTGGATACTGGGGCACAAGCAGAGATGAAAAAGATTACTCCGGGAATTCAAGCCCCTATTACAAGAAACAGGAAACAGAAGGAAAAAGAGGAAAGAAAATGACTTGATATTATTTGAGGGCATAATGAGTTGAAGTATAGGGCATTAAATTGCCTATCAGGTATTTGGAAATGCAAGATAAGAGGTCAGCGGTGGGATAAAAACAGAAATAGGACAATAAGGAAATTACTATTATTTGTGCAGCTAAAATACTGGGCACAAGTAAATTCTCATATTGAAAAATGCAAGCGTCACTGTAGTTTCTAGTTTACTTCTGTGCTGAGCAAGTCATAAATAATTAAACATCACTGGTCTTATTAAAGCCAAGAAGAATGCAATCTAATTGTTCTGAATCTAGCAATCTAGTAAATATTGTTTTAAATACTAGAAAACTTAACAATATAGCACTTCTTGTGAATTCTCCAAAACAAGCTTTCCTTAAATAAGGTCTATATGACCTCATAACACTCAAGAACAGAAATAAGACTAGACTTTATTGGAAATTCTTCTTGTGGCACAGTACATTCAACATTAGGAGGTTACAAGGCAGATTCAAGAGAAAAGTATAGCAGGTAAGTTTTTAGGCAAATGTTCCTAAACCTTTCTATTTAGCTTGCATTGCTAGATAACAAATACCAGGCCAGGCGCAATGGCTCACACCTATAATCCCAGCATTTAGGGCGGCTGAGGCAGGCAGAGTACTTAAGGCCAAGAGTTCAAGACCAGCCTGGTCAACGTGGCGAAACCCCATCTCTACTAAAAATACAAAAATTAGCCAGGCGAGATGGCACACTCCTGTAATCTCAGCTACTCGGGAGGCTAAGGCACAAGAACTGCTTGAACCTGGGAGGCGCAGGTTGCAGTGATCCAAGATCACACCACTGCACTCCAGCCTGGGGGACAGAGCGAGACTCTGTCTCATAGATACACAGACAGACAGCAGGCAGGCAGACAGAGAGAAAGCAAATACCAAATAACAATGGGAACTTGCCTTAAAACAGCAATAAAAACCTTCCAAGGAGAATGCTGTTATGACCAAGAGTAAACATGACTCTTCTCCAACCCAGGAAGAACATTAACAGCAAATGAGATCCTGCCATTTAAGCAAATGCACCTAAGTGCTCTCAAACACAATGGGCCCTTGAACAACACAGGTTTGAACTGCAACCGAGTCCATTTACATATGGGTTTACTTCTACCTTTGACACTTCAAGACAGAAAGACCAACCCTCCCTATTTCTCCTCCTCCTCCTCAGCCTACTCAAGATGAAGATGAGGATGAAGACCTTCATGATGATCCACTTCCACTTAAGGAATATAAATATATTTTCTCTTCCTTATGATTTTCTTAATAGCATTTTCTTTTCTTTAGCTTACTTTATTGTAAGAATATAGTATATAATGCATATAACATACATATATATGTTAATTGACTGTTTATGTTATAAGTAAGGCTTCTGGTCAACAGTAGGCTGTTAGTAGTTAAGTTTTTGGGAAGTTAAAAGTTATACATGAATTTTCTACTGCATGGGAGAGTGAGGGTGTTGGCACCCCTAATCCCTGTATTGTTCAAAGGTCAACTATATAAAACAAATTCTATTTCTGGCAACATGGTCAAAAAACAAGTCCTAAAATGGATGAGAAAATAGGAAGAACAGAAATCAAATTATATTTGATCAAAAAAACAGCTATAATATAACCCAACCTGATTCAGGTATCTCGAATGATAAAAATCCAATATTACAACATGGTTAATCATCATTAAAATACAAAATAAAGCATATATGAGACAAAGGCAAATTTCTATCTTTCTAAAGACTGTTGTCTCAGAATACTCAGAATTACTGAGAGTAATCAACATTCTGCATAACTTTAAAATAGTTTAAGAGCTAATGCTAGTTTTTAGTAAATATAAGGGGAAAAGTGACTAATTTAAATATCTTTTGAGATAACCTATACAGAATCTCTGCCATCATGCTAGGAAAAATAAGTTTCTATTCATTAATCACCATCGGCTAACTTTCTACATGACATGCAAATTCAGTATATAGCAGTAGGCTGAATATATAGCAATCCCTAGGTGACAAAGGACTAACAGAAAAGAAGCTAAGTTACTTGTTTAAAGTGATTCAGCAAGTTAGCAGCGGATCCCAATGTTCCTTCTTCCAATTGTCACTACCTCCCATAAGCCGATCATTATCAAAACTAATCAAGACTGAATAAACACTTACCAACAAAGGAGGCAGCGAACACTTAAAAGAAGACCCCTAGTCGCAGATTTGAAACATCTCTAAAATTTTAATAACTCAAAGGGCAAATTAAATGAACAGCTGCTACTTGTGAGCATCTTCCCACACTTCAAAATTCAAGCCAATGCATCTGGAATTTATGCAACTATTTCCTTTCTTTCTACAAATGTCACACTGATAAATCTGAGTACTCTTCCACCGGAATACTTTGGTTACTTTCAGCACATCTTACCTGATCAAAAAGTTCAGTACCATCTGATCCTGCTGCTCTCATTAGTTCATCTTCTCCACCAGGATGATACTCCATATAAGGGCTGACATTATAAACGAAACCTGTACCAAAGCAAACAGAAATAATATCCTAAATGAACTTCTCAAAAATTGTAAAACTTATAAATATAAGTTTCAATAAATCTTTCCAAATACATTCCATTTAATTAATCACTGTTATTTCAAAGTATCAAGAACTAACTGTAAAGGATCTGAGATTTCATCACACTTGCAAGCAAACAACTTAACCTGCCACTTTCATGGGTCCTGGCAGATAACAAGAGACTCCTAGGTCAGAGACAAAGAAGAGTTTAGCACTCACATCAATAGCAGTAGTCAGAATATAAACATTTGTGTCAGTTCACTGAACTCTAATTCACTAGAGTGCTATGTGAAGAGGGCCAGGTAACACCTGTACACTTAATGCGCTGCATTACAGAAGAGGAACTCTGAGCTCAGGAAACTGGAATCTTTTATAAGCATGCCTGCCCTTGCTCCTGAGGGAGATATTTATTATACAGAAGAGTAAGCAAAGCTGTCCTTTCTTCTAGAGGGAGACACTAACATTCAAGGTTGTTCACAATGCAAATATCCTTTAAAAGACTGTACAAAAAGACAGTGCCTCTACTCTCAAGACATGCAAAAATGCAAAAGAAAATTGTCTCCCAACACAAAGAAATGAAATACTGTGTATATAATTTTTGAAAGTACACACACGCACACAGAGAGAGAGAGAGAGAGAGGAAGAGAGAGAGAGAAAGTGACTACTACAGACATAACATTTCCATATTGCCCTGGTAGAAGAATCTGATGAAAAAAGAATCAAGCTCTAATCCACGTCTCTGATCATCTCAGCAAAGGTTAAGCAATGGTGACCACTTAGGCACGCTCTGTGAAAAGGAAGCCCAACTATTCTCAAAGATTATTATTCAGAATTTAATCATTTTGTCTTCTCCAAATATTTCTTTCATCTATTCAACTGTTATTTATTTTTATCTTTTAAGAAAGGAATAGGGAACAACAAACACAAAATATCTCAATGCACAGCTCTCCCAAGGAAGTAAGTTGCTTTTTCATTCTTGAAAACTAGATAGATACCAGACAAATCTAGCCCTAAAGACATCACGAAAGTGCAATAACAACGACTGGTTTTTTTTAAATATCCAGGACTATTTCCTCTTTATATGATGACTTCCATGAATTTAAATAACCTCAGATAACTTAAAATGTTCATCCTATATAATAATCTTGGAAGAAAAGAAGAGGTTGGATTTCAGACCCAAGAAAAGTACTGCAGTTTTTTGACCAGCTATATATTAGAAAATAACCAACCAGTCCAGCTTTATAAAGTCTCTTAAAGGTAAGCACAAAAGGAAGTAAATTCACAGAATTTCTTTCAGCAGCATTCCAAATAAGTCTGAACAAAACTAGTTAAGTTCCCTCTTTTTTCCTTCCCCATATGCCTAGAGTCCCACAAGATTTAGAAGAATTTTTTCCCATTGTTTAATGCTCCAAAATCCAGAGACCAAAAACGTGAGTGGTAATGATTAGGATCAGAATTACTCCCAATAGGCTTTTTTAAGACAGAGGATGCCTCCCAAACAAGAGTTCCAAACTTTCTCTACAATCAAGTCCTGACTGGAGTTCTACAGTTTCTCAAGAACAAGAAATCTACAACCCATGATCATTTGTGATGGAATTCCACGAGTTTCAGCAACCAGCTCTTCTGGTAGCTTAAATAGCTATCCATGATGAGCACATAAAGCCTAAAACATTCCATACATGTTCTCTGCTAACCTGCTAGCCCTTTACATTGACCCTTATACTGTCACAATCTTATCTTTCTTTCTGATAGGGGCTAGGATCACTCCGTGGACGTGAGTAGTATCCCATGCTTTCCAGACGAAAAAAACTAGGAATGTCTATCCCTTACCACAAGGAATTAACACTGTTAAATAGTGTCTCAGTCCAAGATGCTTTAGATCAAAAAGCACTTGGCTGTGTTAGTAATTTGCTAATTATGAAACTTAAACCTAGCCCCAAAACAGAACAGGTGCATTTCTTCTGATTCAGAGGCTCTTCTTTGCTCTTTCTCTCCTTCCTTATCTCCCTTTTTTTCCTTCTCAAAAGTATTTCTGAACAACTAAAAACTTGGACCCCTGGATGTGGCAGAGAAATACAAACATAAAAAAACAAACTTTATGCTTTTTCTTCGTGCTTTATTATACAGGTGTACCTCAGAGATATTGCAGGTTTGGTTCCAGACCACTGCAGTAAAGCAAATAAAGCAAGTCACACTAATGTTTTGGTTTCCCAGTGCATATGAAAGTTATGTTTAGGCCAGGCATGGCGGCTTATGCCTGTAATCCCAGTAGCTTGGGAGGCCGAGGCAGGAGGATTGCTTCATGCTAGGAGTTCAAGACCAGTCTGGGCAACATAGTGAGATCCTGTCTCTACAAAAAAACCCTAAAAATTAGCCAGGCATGGTGGAGTGTGCCTGTAGTCCCCCTGCTACTTGGGAGGCTGAGGTGGGCGGATCGCTTGAACACAGAAGTTTGAGGCTGCAGTGAGCCATGATCATGCCACTGCACTCCAGCCAGAAAAAACAGTGAGGCCCTGTCTCTAAAATAAATAACAGTTATGTTTACGCTATATTGTTGTCTATTAAGTGTGCAATAACATTATGTCTAAGACAATAATGTACATACCTTTATTAAATATACTTTCATAAAAATGCTAATATCATCTGAGCCTTAACTGAGTTAAACGTTTTGCTGGTGAAGTGTCTTGCCTTGATGTTGATGGTTGCTGACTGATCAGCATGTTGGGTGCTTAAGGCTGAGGTGGCGGTGACAATTTCTTAAAATAAGTTGACAGTAAAGTTTGCCCTTCAACTGACTCGACCTTTCATGAGAGATTTATCTGTAGCATGCCATGTTGTCTAACAGCATTTTACTCACAGTAGAACTGCTTCCAAAATTGATGTCAATCCTCTCAAACCCTGCTGTTGTTTTACGAACTAAGTGTATGTAATATTATAAATCCTTTGTTGTCATTTCAACAATGTTCACAGTATCTTCCACCAAGAGTAGATTCCATCTCAAGAACCACTCTCTTTGCTCATCCCTAAGAAGCTACTCTTCATCCATTCAAGTTTTATCACGCAGCAATTTCAGTCACATCTTTGGGTTCCACTTCTAATTCTAGTTTTCTAGCTGTTGTCACATCTACAGTGACTTCCTCCACTCAAGTCTTGAACCCTTCAAAGTTACCCATGAGGGCTGGAATCACCTTCTTCCAAACTCCTGTTAATGTTGATACTTTGTTCTCTCCTCATAATCACAAATGTTCTTAATGGCATCCAGAATGGTGAATCTTTTGCAGAAGATTTTCAATCTACTTTTCCCAGATCCATCAGAGGAATCACTATCTACAGCAGTCATAGCCTTATAAAATGTATTTCTTAAATAATAAAACTTGAAAATCAAGATGGCTCCTGGATTGATGGGCTGCAGGATGGATGCCGTGTTAGAAGGTGATATAGTTTGTATATCTGTCCCAGCCCAAATCTCATGTTGAATTGTAATCCTCAATGCTGGAGGTGGGGCCTGGTGGAAGTTGTCTGGATCATGGGGGCAGATCTCTCATGGCTTGGTGCTGTCTTCATGAGAGTTCTGAAGAATCTGGTCATTTAAAAGTGTGTGGCACCTCCACCCCTCCTCTTTCTTTTTCTTGCTTCTGCTTTTGCTATGTGATGTGCCTGCTCCTGCTTTGCCTTCTGTCATGAGTTAAAGCTCTCTAAGACTTCCCCAAGAAGCTGATGCCAGCACTGTTTCCTGTATAGCTTGCAGAACCATGAGCCAATTAAACCTCTTTTCTTTATATATTACCTAGTCTCAGTCTCAGGTATTTATTTACAGCAATGCAAGAACAGCTTAATAGAGAAGGCATGACGTACAGTGCTATCAGACCTCTTGGGTGACCAGTTGCATTGTCAATGAGTAGTAATTTGAAAAGAAACTTTTTTAAAGAGCAGTAGGTCTCAACATTGAGCTTAAAATATTCAGTAAACCATGCTATAAACACTGAGGTACTGTCATCCAAGCTTTGTTGTCCCATTTATAGAGCACAGGCAGGGCAGACTTAGCATAATTCTCTAGGGCCCTAGGATTCTTGGAATGGTAAATGGACACTGACTTCAAGTCACCAGCTGCATTAGGCCTTAACAAGAGAGTCAGACTGTCAGACTGTCCTTTGAAGCTTTGAAGCCAGGCATCCCCTCTCTAGCTGTGAAATTCCTACGTGGCATCTTTAGCCAATAGAAGACTATTTAATCTACATGGAAAATGTGTTGTTTCGTGTATTCAACTACATCACTGATCTTAGCTAGATCTTCTAGATAACTTGCTGCAGCTTCTACATCAGCATTTGATGCTTCACATTGCACTTTTAAGTTATGAAGGTGGCTTATTTCCTTAAACCTCATGAACCAACCTTTGCTAGTTTCTAACTTTTCTTCCACAGCTTCCTCACCTCTCTCAGCCTTCCTAGAATTGCAGACAGTTAGCATTCTGCTCTAAATCAGTTTTGGCTTAAGAGAATGTTGTGGCTGGTTTAATCTATCCACACCACTAAAGCTTTCTCCATATCACCAATAAGGTTGTTTTGCTTTCTTATATCATTCGTATGCTTACTGGGATAGCACTTTTAATTTCCTTCAATAACTTTTCCTTTGCATTCACAGCTTAGCTAACTGTGTGGCACTAGTGGCATAGCTTTCAGCATTTTTCAGCTTTCAACATGCCTTCCTCACTAAGCTTAATCGTTTCTAGTTTTTTATTTGAAGTGAGAGATATACAACATTTCCTTCACTTGGAACACTCAGAGGCCAATGTAGGGATATTAATTGTCCTAATCTCAATATTGTTGGGTCTCAGGGAATGGAGTGGCCCAAGAAGAAGGTGAGACAGGAATTGTCAGTCAGGGGAGTAGTGAGAACATATACATTTGTCCATTCAGTTTACCATCTCATATGGGCTCGATTTGTGGCACTCCAAAACTATTACAATAGTAACATCAAGATCACAGATCATCATAAGAGATACAATAATAATGAAAAAGTTTGCAAGAACTATCAAAATGTGACACAGAGACATGAAGTGAGCACATGCTCTTGGGAAAATGGTGCCAAAAAGTTGTTAGACACAGAGTTGCCACGAATCTTCAATTTGTAAAAAATCCATTACCTGCAAGGTACAATAAAGTGAAGCACAATAAAACAAGGTATGCCTGTACTCTATTTGTACTATATATGGCTTCTAGAAATAAAATCTCTCATGTGTAAGGTTCTAGCCTTCTATGAGTTCCACCTGGTTTTTAGAAACTAATTTTGAAACCATCTAAATTTTCCAGTGATGCAATTTTATTAAGTTATTCCCACATCTCTAATTGCTCTGGTCTGGCAGATCTGAGCATCCAATTACTCACTAAATATAAATAAATAATAATTATGGGCCAGCAGATATAATCTCAAATTGATACTAGGCTATTAGTGAGTTCTGCAAAACCTAAATCCTAATAATAATTAACAGCAAAAATGGGCTTAAACAGATTCATGAAACACCAATCCTCCATGGTGTAAAACTGGACTGTAAATAAGGACTCCTGGTCACAATCCAACTGGTATTTTTAGATCATTGACATGGGTGCTCTTCAGTGGCAAAGGGGGGATTTAGGGAGAATATCTATCTATCCATCCATCTACCCATCCATCCATCCATCTATCCATTCACCCACCCACCCATCCCCTCCTTTATGCTGATACTTTATTTTTGTGTGTGTTTTGTTTTTTAAACTCTAACCAGGAACAGACCCAAAAAAGGACTGACTGAGAACTGTTCAGAAGAGCCACTTATTAAAACTAAAATACAACGGTTGTATTAGGAAGGTATACTCCAATGTTTAAATAAATCATTTTTAAATGCCCTAGCAATATTAGGGGTACACTGTATAGCTAATTCATCATAGCAGAGAGGCAGCACAATTTAAAACACATATTCAGAACAATAACTACACTGAGTTTCTCTAGGCAATGTACTGGTAGTACCTGTTCTTAATATCTTTTCATACTAAATTACCTCTTTTGTGTTATATCTGGAATTCTGAGCTCTCAAACAAGTTCTCTGAATAAAAATTACCCATTTTAAAATTACCATTTAGTACTTTGTGTTGTCAGAAATGTAAACTTCAAAATCACAGAATGATAGTCTTAAAGACTAGGAGAACTTTAAGGCAATTTTTAGCCTCATCCAGCACAGGCTTTATCTCTATAATATCTTACAGACAAAGCATCATCCAGCATCTGCTTGAACAGATCCAGTGCCTAGTAGCTCACCACTTTTTTAAAAAGCTCAGTTCAAGGATATCATTTTTTTACCTAAAAACGAATATTGCCTTTTTATACAGAAAGAATTCTTTCTCTCTTGAAAGACACTGCCTATAGTTTTTCATTTGTGCATTTTATATTTATTTGTTTTCAATTTAACCCCAATTGCCTCTGATAAAGACTGTGGGCATCCTACAATAAAATATTTAAATTCAAGTTTGTGAAAGTCTGTGTGTAAAAACTTAAAAACCCACAACAAAATGTGTATTAGAAAAGAAAGTATACCAATTGTCTAACCTCACTAACAGCGTTACTGTGAGCATTTAATATAGTCCTGAACTTCCTAGCAGCCAAAGCCAACAGAGGCACTAGTAACAGTGGTCTCATTATCTAATTTTAAAATTTATTAAAAATAAAACAAAGAAGACTTGCTAGCTCATTAGTTCTTTAAAAGGGAGTAACTCTTGATATTGTGAAGAATTATGAGTCCTCATAAAGGGAACACTAACCACATAACAGATATTACAATTTAACAGTACACAGAAACATCCTTACATGGCATTACTCCCATCCACCCTACCCCTAGGTAACCACTAGTCTACCTTCTGTCTCTATAGATTTGCATATTCTGGACATTTCATACAAATGGGATCATACAATATGTGGTCTTTGTGACTAACTTCTTTCAGGTAGTATAGTGCCTTCAAGATGCATCCATAATGTTGCATGTATCAGTATTTTTTCTTTTTAGGGATGGATAATATTTCTTCTATGGATATACCACATTTTATTTATTTATCAGTGGATGAGCATTTGAGCTGGTTCCACTTTGCTATTGTTTAAATATTTGTCCCCTCTAAAGTTCATGTGGAAATATAATCCCCAATGTGGCAGTACTGAATGGTAGGGCCTTTAAGCGATTGGGTCATCAGGGCAGATTCATGAATTAATGGATTAGTGGGTTCATGGGAGTAGGACTGGTGGCTTTATGAAAAGAGGAAGAGAGAACTGAGCTTGCATGCTCAGCCCCCTTACCATGGGATGCCCTATACTGCATTGGGACTCTTGCAGGGAGTCCCCACTAGCAAGAAGGCTCTCACAAGATGTGGCCTGTTGACCTTGGACTTCTCAGCCTCTATAACTGTAAGAAATAAATTCCTTGTCTTTATGAATTTCCCAGTTTCAGGTATTCCGTTATAAGCAGCAGAAAATGAACTAAGGCACAGTTTTTGGCTATCATGAAGAATGTTGCTATTAACATTCATGTACACGTTTTTGTGTGGACTTATATTTTCGTTTCTCTTGAGTATATACAACTAAAAGTAAATTTGGTGGGTCACAGAGTATTCTATATTTAACCTTTTGAGGCACTGCCAGACTGTTTTCCATTCTTACCAGCAATAGTTAGAGGTTCCAATTTCAGAGAGCTCTTTTTTAGTCACTATTCCAACTCTCCACAGAGAAGAAAAGCCATCTATAAAATCTGAATCACATCACAAATAGCTCAGAAGACCGAATTCAGAACTGGATTACAGCATGCTCCAACTTAATCTCACACCCAGCTCTATATGATAGGGTTTGGTTAAAGGTAGTACAATGCAAGATTAAAGCGACATTTTATACCTACTAATCTATCTTCCAGATGAAGTTCCCACAAATTTTCAGGTTAGGTAACCATACATGTGAACCATAACGGCTCACCAATAAGGAGTGAACTGTATCACCATGGTTCAGGCCACACATCCACTAATTAATAATTTTTCATTTCTTCTTTGTTTACTTCTGAAAGTCAGAGAGTCTCAAAATATGGTCTAGGGACTCCTGAGGGAGCTTAAGACCTTTTTGGTGGCTCAAGGTCAAAAATTCTTCATAGTAATACCAAGATGTTATTTGTCTTTTTCTATTCTCATTCTTTCACAAGTGTAACATTTTCAAGATACTACATGACAAATAAGATAGAATATCGAAGATGCCATGAGAATACAGTCGTCATCTATTAAGCCACACATTAAAGATATTTGCCAAAATGTAAAACAATGCTACTTTTCTATTTTTCATAAACATAGGTACTATTTATAACATATAGTGGGCTCATTATTTGTAAAATTATTTTAAAAATATTCTTTACATTTCTTAATTTTTGAAAGATAAATATCAATAGATATGTCCTAAACAATAGTCCTTGGAGTCTTCAACAATAAAAGAGTAAAGATATTTTAAGACCAAAAAGTTTGAGAACCACTGCTTTAAGTAAAAGCGTTATTTCCGTGATAAGATTAAAAAATAATTTTGGGTTTTGAAATTCAAACAAATATTTAATTCTAAAAGCCCCACATTATATTCATTCAACAAAAATTCATTTAATGCCTATAACGTATATACCAAATATTATGCCAGTATACTGTAGCATTCTTGCAATTATTCACCACTGTTCATTTCCTGTCTATAAAATAAACGAGGAGAAAAGATGTGTTCACACGATAAAATTATGGCATATTTCACTGTATTGAAATGCACAGGTCGATTGTTACAATTACTGTGACTACTTTGCCATCTTGTGTTCAGTAATGAAATTGCACATTATTGTAATTACTTCCTGTCAACTGCTGAGGAAAGGTGTTAAAATATGCAACTGTAGTTAAGGATTTTAATTCTACCCCTCAATTCCATCAATGTTAGCTTCATGCCTTTTGAATCTTTTCTATCACAGGCATAAACAGTTTTCCTAATGAAATGACCCTTTTTATCATTATAAAATGTCTATACCTCTGGTAAGATTCTTTGCCTCATAATCCTTTTTATCAGATACTAATATAGTCCAACCAATAATAAAATTTACTAGCTGGATAGCATACTTTTTCCCAAACATTTACGTTTAGCCTATTTGTGTTTTTAAAGTATACCTCTTATAGACATCATGTAGTCAGGTCTTGATAATACATACATCTACACATGGGTGCACACAAAGAGATAATCTCTATATTATCTATAATTAAGATAATTATCAATAGATAATTATAATTACATGATAGATAATTATTATAAACTATCATTTATAATAGTTTTAATTAGAGTGCTCGATTCATTTACACTTAATTATTAATATGGGAGATTTTACTAATCTCCCTCCCAGCCCCAAGTTTTCTGTTATATGTCTCTGTTTCTCTTTCCCTGCCTTCTTTTGGGTTAACCAAACTTTTTTTAGAATTTCATTTAATCGATTGGCTTTTTGGCCTTCCTCTTTAAATTATTTTTTAAGTGATTGTTCTAGGAACTGTAGTATATATCCTCAACTTTTACCTGCTTACTTAAGAGTTAATATTGTATGCCTTCCCACGTAATATAAGAACCATTTACTGCTCTCTAACTCCTATCCTTTAACTCCACAATACAATGTTATAACTTTTAAAGTCATGTATTTTTTATATGTATTTTTATAAAATGAAGAGGACAAAAAGTAGTATTTTCTCTTACATATTTACCACCTCCTAAATATCTGAACTTCTATCTGGTATCACTAACTTTCAACCTGATGAATGCCTTTTAGCATCTATCTTATATTGCAGATCTACAGGTAATAAATTTCCAGTTTTGGTTTATCTGAAAAAGTCTTTATTTCATCTTTATCCTTCAAGAATTCTGTCTCCCTACGGGTATAGAATTCAGGGTTGATGGTGTTACTTTTCCTTCAGCAGTCGTTTTTATTATTTCCTAGTGTGTTTTCTCTGGCAGCTTTCCAGATTTTCTCCTTGTTAGCTTTTAGCAGTTTAGGATGTGCCTAGATGTTATTTTCTTTGTATTAATTATGTTTAGATTTGCTAAGCCTCTGAATTTACAATTTATGTCTCTCACTAAATTTGTAAAATATATGGCCACTATTTCTTCAAATATTTTTCTGCCCCATTCTTTCATTCCTTTCCTTCTAGAATTCCAATGACACATTTATTAAACATTTTTATTTTGTCTGACAGGCCCCTGAGTCCCTGTTCATTTTATTTCTGATAATTTTCCTCTCTGTTCTTCAGATTTGACATTTATATTCATCTATCTGCAAGTTCATTAAGTCTTGTCTATGTTGCCACCAATCTGCTATTAAGCTCATTCAACAAATTTGTTATTTCATGTATTTTTCAATTCTAAATTTCTATTTTTTAGTTTCTATTCTTCTGAGAGTTTCTATTTTTTATTCATTATATCCATACTTTCCTTTGTTTGTTTGCTTTTTTGAGATGGAGTCTCACTCTGTCACCCAGGCTGGAGTGTAGTGGTGCAATCTCGGCTCACTGCAACCTCTGCTTCCAGGGCTCAGGTGATTCTCCTACCTCAGCCTCCCGAGTAGCTCAGACTATAGGCATGGTCTAATTTTTTGTATTTTTAGTAGAGACAGGGTTTCACCATGTTAGCCAGGATGGTCTTGATCTCCTGATCTCGTGATCCACCCACCTCGGGCTCCCATACTGCTGGGATTATAGGCGTGAGCCACCACGCCGGGCCTGTATCATATATTCTTTTACTTACTTACTTAGCACAGTTATAAATAGTGCTTTAAAATACTTGTGAACTAAGTTCAACATCTGGATCATCTCAGAGTCAGACTCCAATAACTGCCTTTTCTCTTGAGTATATCTAGTAACTTTGGATTATATTCTGACCTTATAAATATGTTGTAGAAACTTTGGATTCTGTAATATTCCTGCAAAGATTATTGACTGTTTTAGTAGGCAATTAACTCGACTGGACACAACTCCAAACTGGTTCCCCTTTGCTGGGGTGAAAAATGAAGCCTCTGTTCAACGTTTTCAGCCTTCAGGTAGCATAGAGTCTGTCCCGTATACAAGATTTAGACAGTTTATACCCTTCTCTGAATCTTTTTCTGGATCTTCTCCCCTTCCAGTTACCGCAGATGCCCCAACTTCTGACATCTAGTTATTCAAGCCAGTAAGACTTTGAGTCTCCACCTGAGTTTTCACCTTCACAGCACGAACACACACACATAACCTCAAGTTCAATGCCATAAGAAATGGGAAACTCACACAGTGACATCCCTTCTTCTACATATAGATGACTGTTCACCAGTCATCTTCACCAGTTTTGATTGTTCACCAGTATCTTTAGATAGTATTTTAAAATATGTGGTCTGAGTTTATAGTTGGCATTTGTTGGAGTCTTGATCTAACAGGAGATAATCAGCTATAATCACTGAAACTCTGCATATTATTTTAGAGCACTCGGCAATAAAACTTTCCAACTTCAATGAAGACAAATGGAAAATAAATTAATGAAAGACAAATTGATTTTATAATAATTTAAAGTAAATGTGGTATCGGTATATTCAAGAATGTTAACTAAAAAGGCTTAAAAGCTGCTAGGACAACAGAGAACTTAGGACTTCCGAATTAAAAGCATTCATTTGTCTCCCACATGCTGAAAACTTTCTAAAATGGCTGTAAAGGATAAATAAGACATAAAATCACAGAGCTACAGAAATCAGAAGAGATGACAGCAACTAAGTTCTGGAAGCCTGAAAACCAAACAGATGAGTAATAACATACTTAGAAGAATGAAGAAAGGTGAAACTAAAGCTTATGTATAAGGTGGAGAGGAACTTCCATAAAAAACAATTTGTTCAACAGAACCCCCAAAAGGTACAGGAATTAGATTCCAGGCAGCTCCGAAAGTCATAGTGTAAGAAGTTATCGAATTCAATACAAGAAGCAGTATGAGGCTGGGTGTTGTGGCTCATGCCTGGTAATCCCAGCACTCTGGGAGACCAAGGAGTGGTGGGCTGCTTGGGGACAAAAGTTTGAGACCAGCCTGGGCAACAAAGCAAGACGCTATCTCTATAAAAAATTTAAAAATTAGCCAG
The DNA here is from genome assembly GCF_000001405.40 of Homo sapiens. NCBI lineage: Eukaryota > Metazoa > Chordata > Mammalia > Primates > Hominidae > Homo > Homo sapiens. Next base: position 83,881,333 of record NC_000006.12, on the reverse strand, counting down.
GTATGGTAACATGCACCTGTAGTCCCAGCTACTCAGGAGGCTGAGGCAGGAAGATCACTTGAGCTCAGGAGTCTGAGGCTGCAGTGAGCTGGTACTGCACCACTGCACTCCAGCCTGGGTAACAGAGCAAGACCCTGTCTCTAAAGAAAAAAAAAAGAAAGAAAAAGAAAAAAAGGCAGTATAATCCCCAAATCCTCTGTGGCATATCTCACATAACCAAGGAACAACCCTCTTACCCAACCCTATGAGAAGTGTAGGTGTGCTCTCTGGAGAAGATAAACCAGAGAGACATTACACTCAGGGAAACAGACATACTTGAAGTGAGGAAATAGAATGAACTAAAAACAAGAAGCAAAGAGACTGCATGTCAAAACATTATGATCTACCTCCTACCACCACCACCCATTCCTAAACAGCTCCCAGGACACTTATTTGCAGATGACTGTAGGATTCTTCTTAGTGAGAGTAGACCGGCCCAATATTGATGCCAATGCAGGAGGAGAAATATTTTTAAATACTACCTCCTTAATAAACAGAATGTGATAAAGGTCTCTAAGCACTTCAGAAGATTAACTAGGCATAATTATCAAAGATCATCTTATGTGACGTTATTACTACTTGGAAAAACAGCCCTGACATTTAACTAAATGGAAATTGACCAGTAAAAGCATAAAAAATTAATCAGTAATCTAAGCAATCAGTTACATACTAAATGTTTTGAAAAAAAAATTATAAACTTCTCCTAGGGAGACTAGAAGTCATTAGCAATAGCCACATTTACAATAATTAAATCGGATTTACAACTTACATCAATATTACACAAGTATTCTCTTTAAAAAAAAAAATCAGTTTCCCTGCCTTCCTCCATGTCTTTTCAACTTCATGGGTTCATTTTCCTGACTGTCTATGCCTTAGGTTTAACAGTGACAGTTAGCAGCACTTAACTACCTTTGCTGTTAGTCACCTGGATGGCAAAAAAAATTAAAGCCAATGAGTCCTTCCGCTCTTGGCTATTTCCTATTTTCCAAAACAAGTCAGCTGCAAAGATTCATTAAGATAAAATAAACTTAAGAAGTAGATTGTACGTTCCCATCACAAAGAAATGATAAATATTTGAGGTGATCAATAGCTAATTACCCTGATTTGATCATTACACAATGTATACATGTACTAAAATGACACATGGTAGCCCATAAATATGTACAATTACGTGTCAATAAAAAACAAAAATTTAAAAAGTGGGAAAACAGTAGAAGGCCACAAGAAAACACTGCTCTCACCCTTAACAACAAGGCAGACAATCCATTAAAAAATCATAAAATTTTGAGCCCATCAGAGAGGTGAGGTCATAAGGCAACCAGATGATCTAAATTCCAAAGGATGACACGCCCCTCTGAGGAGATGAACCACATGAACCCCTTCAGCTTCAGCAGAGCACAGAAAAATGAGACGTCACCACAAAACAACTGAAATTTTAACAAACTTTAAGGGCCAAGTGCGCACTAGAGCCAATTTGGAATCCCTGAGAACCTCAGACACAAGGGGATTCTGTCCCCACTTGCCAACTCTTTTTTCATAATCTTTCACCTCTTGAGATGCTCATGAGAAATACTATAGGCAAAGCAGACACGAGAAAGGCCCACTGGTAGCACAGCTGTGTAATATCTGCAGCAAGATTAGAGGGTAGTGCAAGAGTACAAAGAAAAGTCCATCCATAGTTTAAGGCCTACAGGAGTACAAGGTGTTAATGAGCTACTGCCAGGGTAAAGGGAAAATTTCACCCATACCACAGATCCTATCTGGAGGCAAAAGCCATCTATTGATGGAAAGGGGCAGTAAAGCCTCCCACCACCGGTCCCTGTACTGACAGGAGGCAAATACTAACTGCTGCTGGAAAGAGTGTAAAACACACACGCTCCCTTATCCTGCACTGACACTAGGCAAATGCTAGCTAAATACTGGGAAAGAACAGAAAATGTACTCAGACCCAGATTCGGTGTGAATACAAAACACTGATACTCTCACACTGGAAAAGAGACAGGGAAACTGCTCACATCCTAGACCCTTTGCCCTGCCCTCCCCACCTGATACAAGGCAAAGTCCAGCTGCCACAAAGGGAAGAGGCTCATGAAACCTGCCTGCATTCTAGATGCTGCATTGAGTACGATGCAGGAGTTATCTGCCCTTGGGGAAGTACAAAAGCAATGAGAAAGCTCAGCCCCTGGGGCTCAGGTGCATAAAACCTGTCTAAGACTGAGGCTGAAACAGGAAAACTGCAAAACCCCTTCTGCCCCCACTACAAGTCTTACACCAAGTAATAAGTAACAGCACTGCCTTTTGGAGAGGGGGAAGAGCAATGGAGAAAGATCCTGCAAAGATATATAGGGTAAGGTGTCAGCTAAGAGTAGAACAAGAACAATGGGGGAAAAAAACCCTCTAGCATTGCAGGCCCTGAATTAAAACCAAGGTAGCAGTGGCCCACCACTGGAGGAATTTGAAGTCTGTGGTACACTGATGGTAACAATAGCAAAATACACTCCAAATCTAGCTCAACTACTTACTAGATTGATTCAACCTAACTACCTGCCAGAAAAAAAAAAATGTACTACATGTCTGAGTGTAAATACCACAGTTTCTATTATTCTTCTATATGTAATGTGTGACATTCATTCAAAAATTACAAAACACGGCTGGGCGCGGTGGCTCACGCCTGTAATCCTAGCACTTTGGGAGGCCGAGGCAGGTGGATCACAAGGTCAGGAGATCGAGACCATCCTGGCTAACACTGTGAAACCCCGTCTCTACTAAAAATACAAAAATTGGCCAGGCGTGGTGGCGTGTGCCTGTAGTCCCAGCTGCTGGGGAGGCTGAGGCAGAAGAATGGCGTGAACCCGGGAGGCGGAGCTTGCAGTGAGCCGAGACTGCACCACTGCACTCCAGCCTGGGTGACAGAGCAGGACTCTGTCTCAAAAAAAAAAAATTTACAAAACACATCTTTTTTAAAAGATACAACAACTCATTGTCAAAAGAGAAAACAGCAACACAACCAGAATGTATTGGAACTATTAGACATGTCAAAATACCTATGATTGATTTTTTTTTAATCTAGTGGAAAATGTGGATGACATCTAACAGATGAGAAATTTCCAGCAGAGAGATGGGAACCATAAAACAAAGTCTAAAGGAAATAGCAAATTGAAAGACATGATATTAGAATGAAGAATTTCTTTAATGGGCTTATTGGCAGACTGGAAATAGAGGAAAGACTCTGCAAACTTAAAGAAAGAGCAATAAAAATTATTCAAACATAAACAAAAGAGGAAAGAGTGAGATAATACAATGCTGCATCTAAGAGCCCTGGGACAATATAGGCTAACATGTTTGTAACTGGAATCCCAGAGGAAGATGCAAAAGAAATATTTGAAGAGATAATGGCTGAAAATTTCCCAAAATTAATTTGGAGAACCCCAAGCAGGAAAAATACAGGGAAAACCATATCATAGTCAAACTGCTAAAAACCTAAAAGAAAGTCTTAAAGGCAGTCAGAGAAAAAAGAAATCTTACTCGCTGCTATGATTTAGACATTTGTCCCCTCCAAACTTCATGTTGAAATTTGATCCCCAGTGTTGGAGGTGAGGCCTAATGGGAGGTGTCTGGTTCATCGGGGTAGATCTCTCTTGAAAACATTAATGCCCTCTTTTGTGGGTGAGTTCTTACTCTATTAGTTTCTGTGAAAGCCGATTGTCAAAAGGAGCCTGGCACATCCTCCCCCACCCACCCACTCCTGCCCTTCCCCCTCTCTCACCATGTAATCTTTGTACACGCTAGCTCCCTTTCATCTTCCTCCTTGAGACCCTCACCAGATGCAGATGCCCAATTTTAAACTTTCAAGCCATCAAGAATCACGAGTCAAATAAACCTTTTGTCTTTATAAATTACCCAGCCTCAGGCATTCCTTTATAGCAACATAAAATGAACTAAGACACATACTATGGGAAAAAAAGAATGATGGTAGAGTTCTCATCTATGCAAACTAGACGATAGGGTGACATATTTAAACTGACGGAAAAAAGAACACTGTCAATCTAGAAATGTATGCTCAATGACAATATATCTTTAAAATGAAGGCAAAATAAAGACATTTCAGAAAAAAAGTGAGGGAATTCATAGCCAACAGACCTGCACTATAAAAAAATGTTAAAAGGGCTGGGTGCGGTTGCTCATGCCTGTAATCCCAGCACTTTGGGAGGCCGAGGCGGGTGGATCACAAGGTCAGGAGATCGAAACCATCCTGGCTAATGTGGTGAAACCCATCTCTACTAAAAATATAAAAAATTAGCCAGGTGTGGTAGCACACGCCTGTACTCCCAGACTGGGGAGGCTGAGGCAGGAGAATCCCTTGAGCCTGGGAGGCGAAGGTTGTAGTGAGCCAAGATCGTGCCACTGCACTCCAGCCTGGTGACAGAGCAAGACTCTGTCTGAAAAAAAAAAGTTAAAGGAAGTTCTTCAGCAGAAATCTGGATCAACAAAAAGGAATAACAATCACAGAAAATGGTAAAATGTGGGTAAACATAAAATATAATTTTTTAATTATCTTTATCTCTTTGAAAGATAAGTAACTGTATAAAGCAAAAATAGTAACATATTGTGGGGTTTTCAGCTTATATAGAAGTAAAATGAATAACAACAACAGCATAAGGCACAGAAAAGGAAAATGGAAGTATATTATTAAAAGGTTATTATACTATATGTGAAATAGTATATTATTTGAAAGTAGACTGATACATTAGAAATGTATATCATAAACCCTTAGAGCAGCTGCTAAAAAAAAAAAAGCAAAGAAGTATAAAAAATAATAGTGGAGAAAAAATGGTTTCATTAAAATATAATGATAACTATGTCAACAATGGATGAATCCAGGCAGTTGAAGAATTTATGGAATTCACTGCATCACACTTGCAACTTTTTTGTAAGTCTGAAACTTTTTTCAAAATAAAATACTTCATTAAAAAGTATTTAATGACAAAAATGACCCTTAAGAAATCTTCAATATTTACCCAATCCCCACAGTGTGCAAAGTCTACAAAAGAAAATACAAAACTATACAAAGGAGAGAAACCATATGAAACCTATCAGGCTGTTGCTCACATTTGAATTGATAGACCATGAATCTATATTAGAGAACTGTCCAGAAATAACGAAGTTTCTTATTAAGGAACTAGTATATTTCCCAACTCCAGGAGCCAACAATATGGAAACACGAAACATGGAAGTCCCTCAGCTGGGTTCTATCTTGTGATAACATTAGAATATCCCTACTGTCAGAGGCGTTCGAACCAGAGCGACTCCATTTTGAGAGAGGGCTAGGAAAAAGAGGCTGGGACCTGCCAGGCTAAATTCCGAGAAAGTCAGACATACCTAGCCTCTAGATGTTTGTGGTTAAGGGAACAAATTAATAGTATCCACTAAACAGACCCAGACTTGGGAGTATCCAGATATCCTGATATCTGGAGAACAAAGGCATTCCTAATTTTTCTTCAAAGATAATAATATTGATTCTTGCAAAATGTAGTAATTAAGAAAATTAATCCTTTATCACAAACCCTTGTAGCAGAGCACATCTCCACATGTATACAAGCATTGTACCTAGGGTGGATGCGTTCCTCCTCTTACTCTCAGGAACACCCTACTCTGTCCTATGGAGTAGCTGTACTTTCACTACTTTACTTTCTTAATAAACTTGCTTTTACTTTGCACTGTGGACTTGTCCTGAATTCTTTCTTGCACAAGACCCAAGGACCCTCTCTTGGGGTCTGGATCGGGAACACTTTCCTGTAACCACAGAAGGGACCACAGTGCAGAAATCCTGACCCAATGGCTACCTTTGGGTAAGTGGTGGTGGTCCTGTAACACTACCATAATGTGGTTTAAAAGTCCTGCACATCCTGTAGTCCTAGCTACTCAGGAGGCTGATATAGGAGGACCGCTTAAGCCCAGGAGTTTGGGTCCAGCCTAGGCAGCATAGTGAGACTCAGTATCTAAAAAAACATTAAAATTTTAATTAAAAAATAAAAAGTTTTGCACATATCAAAATCTACACATGCCTCAAAGAACATTTACTGAATATTAACCATGAGCTATGCCCTCTGCCAGATGCAAGGGATATAGGGAGAAAAGTGGTACATTAATATCCTGAAACTTAAGAATAAAGACGGCCGGGCACAGTGGCTCACGCCTATAATCCCAGCACTTTGGGAGGCTGAGGCAGGCAGATCACAAGATCAAGAGTTTGAGACCAGCCTGGCCAACATGGTGAAACCCCATCTCTACTAAAAATACAAAAATTAGCTGGGCTTGGTGGTGCACACCTGTTATCCCAGCTACTCAGGAGGCTGAGGCAGGAGAATTGTTTGAACCTGGGAGGCGGAGGTTGCAGTGAGCCAAGATCGCGCCACTGCACTCCAGCCTGGCGACAGAGTGAGACTCTATCTAAAAAAAAAAATAAAAATAAAAAAATAAAGAATAAAGACAAAAATATAAAAAGTGGCCAAGAAAACGAAACAGATGTTCTAACAGAAGTCCTACATACCAGGTACAGAGGAAGAAAGCCTTGGGGAAGAAGCGATCAGGGAGGGTCAGAGTCAGGTTTTCAAAGATGAAGAGACTGAAGGAAAGAAGCTGCTGGAAGAATGAAAGGCAAGAATTGAAGATGTCAGACAATAAAGGACGACCAATGGCCCAACATGATAAAAAAGGCTGGAAAGGACTGGTAAGAACACATAAAGGGATTAGCCTTAGGGGGAAAAAAAAAAAAGGTCTGAGAAAGAATGAGGTCTTTGAGGCCTGGCACAGTGGCTCATTCCCAGCACTTTGGGAGGCCAAGGCAGGAGGATTGCTTGAGGCCAGGAGTTCAAGACCAGTCTGGGCCACACAGTGAGGCCCGGCTCTACAAAAAAATAATTTTTTTTTTAAAAAAGTAGCCAGGTATGTTGGTGCACACCTGTAGTTCCAGCTACTTTGGAGGCTGAGGTGGGAGGATTACTTGAGCCTAGGAGGTTGAGGCCACAGTGAGCTATGATCATGCCACTGCACTTTAGTCTGGGTGACAGAATGAGACACTGTTTCAAAAAAAATAAGAGGGAAGGGAAGGGAGGGGAGGGGAGGGGAGGGGAGGGGAAGGGAGGGGAGGGGAAGGGAGGGGAGGGGAGAGGAGGGGAGGGGAGGCAGGCAAGCAGGCAGGAAGGAAGTCTTTGAAAGAAGTGTCTTTCTGATAAAAAGGAGAAGACAGAATATGGCTACCACTTCAAGTTCCTTATATTCACTGTAAACACCTGCCCATGTACATAATTTCTTTTATCACAAAGAAATCACACATAAACACACCACCCATCCTTTGCATGCTTTTTCCTGAAGCCTGGAATAATGTTCCCATTCCTCTCCTTGCTTAGTTAACTCCCATGTATCCTTCAGGTCTCAGCTCAGTCTTCTGCGATCTTCACTCAGCACAGCACACCTCCTTAACAACACCTAACAGACTGGATTAACACTTTCTGTTCCCCGAGCAGATTGTCAATTCTATGAGAGCACAAGCCATCTCTATTTTAAATTTGTATTACCCTCCAGAACCTGGTGTAATGCACACGCATAGCAGACCCTTGAGAAATATTCATTAAATGAATGAACCAACAAAGGAAACTTAAAACCTGTCTTCTCTATATTTTATGAGCGACAACTACACACAGTCATACGAAAAAGCAAAAACTATGTTTCATCAAATTACTAAAGATAAAAACTGTCTCAGAAGGTGGCTCATGCCTGTAATCCCAGCACTTTGGGAGGCTGAGGCAGGTGGATCACTTGAGGTCAAGAGTTCAAGACCAGCCTGGCCAAGATGGTGAAACCCCATCTCTACTAAAAATACAAAAAATTAGCCGAGTGTGGTGATCGGTGCCTGTAATCCCAGCTACTTGGGAGGCTGAGGCACGAGAATCACTTGAACCCAGGAGGTGGAGATTGCAGTGAGCCAAGATCATGCTACTGCACTCCAGCCTGGGTGACAGAGTGAGACCCTGTCAAAAAAAAAAAAAAAAAAAAAAAAGAAGGATACCCTATATGATTCTTAACTAGCAATGTTAATTAACACGAGAAGAGTTATAAGTAACAGACACCCCATGATAATTTCTTAATTAATTTATGTTATGTCACTCAAAGTGAGAAACACACACAAATGCTAAAGCATGATTAACTTTAGAGCTGAATATAGTAAAACAGGAGGCAGCACAGTCTATAGTTTAAGTGTAAAGGCTTAGAATAAGGCTGCCTAAATTGAAACAGTGGCTCCATTCTCATCAGCTATGCCTTTGGCAAGTTACCAGACTCTCTGTGGTAGACATTAATGTTTTCCCCTAGCATCCAATCCCTTCTAGCAACAGTATCACTTTTTGTTCAGGGAACTACTCCCTGTCATATATGCTTCAGTTTGGTCCCACACTAGGCTACAGGATGCAGTTTGTGACCTAGGTTTAAGTGAGTAAGTATACCGTTTTCCCTGAAATAGAATTACTGTACCAGCAATGGGAACTTGATCAAAACTGTTACAATCAAAGTCAAATCTAAGACCTTTATCTCAGCTATTAGAGAAACAGAACAGAACTAGAAAATAACTAGGGTTGAAGTTTCTGTGATCATCTTCAGGCTATGAACTTAGCGTTAATCCTAAAACACAGTGATCTCAGAAGGGAAACCAAAAGATAATGTGAAAGCAGGTCCTGGGGACTTGGTCTGAGCCCCTGCATCAATCCTCACCTCTAACTTTTTAGTAACTTTTTGCTTCTGCTTAAGCCAAAATAGTTTTCTATCATTTACATCTATGACTCCCCACTAATAGATTTTATCAGCTTCAGTTTTCTTATTTGGTAAATGCGGATTCTCTAAGCTTCAGTACCCTCAATCTGTGAAATGGAGGACCTACCTCATTGGTCTGTTGTGAAAATTAACACTTAGCACATAGCATATAACTGACACATCAATAACCCTGCTAGGGTACTTAAAAAAAGGAAGCACTTTCTAAAAAGAATATTTAACTATATATGAGGTTTTAATTTAAACCTGAGAATTATGTGACTGGGTAATACATCTGAATGTGCAAAAAGATAATGGCAACAGCCAAACCATAAATAGGAGTAAAAATTGCCACTATCAAGTAATTCAGGCAATAACCAGGAATATAATGAGAGTTACTGCAGACTATCTCTAGAAATATAAGGATGCAAATGCTGAAGAAAAAAAATCTTAAACTAGCTATATCACTAATAAAAGTAACAAAATAGAAAACAACAAGTAATGAAACAACAAACAATGTAACAGAAAAGAAGCAACAGAGAAAATACAAACCAAAATTAGTTTATTCAAAATGTTAATAAAATTGATAAACTTCTAGTAAGACTGATCAAGAAAAAAAAGAGAGAAAAAATTAGCAACACCAGGAATGAAAAAGGATATATAGGGTATATCATAGAACTTAAAGACATTAAAGAAATAAAAAGGGAATATTACAAATAACTATATGCCAATATATTAAATGAGATAAAATTAATGAATTCATTGAAAAACACAACTAAAACTGACACAAAAGTAAAGAGAAAATTTAAATAGCCCTATATCCTTTTTTAAAATTAAATTTGTAATAAAAAAGAAAAACTTTCCCACAAAGAAAATTTCAGAATGTTGGCTGCAATTTCTAAACCACTGTGTCAACCAAACAGAACACCTGAGGGTTAGATAAGGCCCTCAGATCAGCAGTTTTTCCTCTCCACTAAATTTTTAATGAATGGGAGAGAAGTACAGAGAGAGAAAAAGTGAAAAAAAGGAGGAGAAGGAAAAGAGTGAATGACAATTTAGGAGATAAAGACAGGGTAAAAGTAAGAGAAAGCAAATAATCTTAGATGTTAGTAAGACAGGAATTAATACAATCGACAAAGACTAGATTATTTGCATAATCATGTGAAATAAGGCAACTTGAAAAATCTATGGGTTAGGTTAGAATTCAATGAACAGGCCAGGTGTGGTGGCTCACACCTGTAATCCCAGCAGTCTGGGAGGCCAAGGCTGTGGATCACCTGCGATCAGGAGTTCCAGACCAGCCTGGCCAACATGGTGAAACCCCCATCTCTACTAAAAATACAAAAAAATTAGCCGGGCATGGCTGCAGGCGCCTATAATCCCAGCTACTCAAGAGGCTGGGGCAGGAGACTCGCTTGAACCCGGGAGACGGAGGTTGCAGTGAGCCGAGATCGTGCCATTGCACTCCAGCCTGGGTGACAAGAGTGAAACTCCATCGCAAAAAAAAAAAAAAAAAAAAAAGCAAACAATGAAAGAAGGGACATGTACCACTAAAATAATGTTGATTTTCTTCCAGGCAGAACATTGTTGATTTGTATTCAAGGGAGAACACTGCCTTCTTTGACCTCAGCTAGGAACCTGCATGTTGGGCAACAAAGATTTTTTCACTGCTCTCTGCGTGTCTTTGAATGTCTAAAAGCACTGTGAGTACTGAGTTTGAGGTTACAAATACAGTGGGTTTTAATCTAACCTAAACAAGAAAATGGAAGAAGAGAGTTGTTCAAAAATCTGCCAAGAAAGTAATGATGATAGTACACAAAGTAAACTACAGAATGGTTGAACTAACTGTAATAATAATATATTATTATTTAGATAGTATATTACTGGGTTAATATGTTCTATTACAAATTAAAACATTAGTTCCAAATTTGAAAAACTGCTCCTAAAAGAGCAGGTAGAAAAATTTCCCTGCTATGGACAAATAACACTGCAGTTTCTGAAAACAGAAATGAACCAAGGAGCTAAGGAAACCTAGGAAAAAAAAAAAAACGGTTAGATAAATCAGCTCTATTTTTGGTGGGTCTGAATTTAACCCAAAAAGTACAAAGCTTTCGTTATCATTACTGAAGTATAAATAAAAGATAATCTAAAGAAATATAGTTGGTTATCCTTGTTCATAGCAATCATTTCCATAAAATTGCTGCAAACACTGAATTAGTAAATACTGACCCATTGCTCCTTGGAAAAAACACAAAGTTGGGTTCCTGTATGCTGCAAACACTGAATTAGCGAATACTGACCCATTGCTACTAGTAAAAAATACAAAGTTGGGTTCCTATGAGCCTATAATGACAACATGTTTGTCAACCAATCAATACATAAACTTGTTTAATGTGTGTTGCTGTTTAAAGACACCTTCTTTAATATATATTGTTGATTCATGAACATTGAACTCACAGACAACAGCTGTAACTCACTATAACTCAGGTCTGAATGAAACCTATCTGACATATATTTTCTCCATAAGGCATACTACAGCTTTCTTGCCACAGCACTTCAGCACTATTCTTGGGGGCCATTTTAAACAGTAAAAACACCAACCAAAAACACAAAAGTGTAAAAATTATGGCACTAAACAGACCTCAAAAACAGACACTTTTTTTTTTTTTGAGACGAAGTTATGCCCTTGTCGCCCAGGCTGGAGTGCAATGGTGTGATCTCGGCTGACTGGAACCTCTGACTCCCGGGTTCAAGCAATTCTCCTGCTTCAGCCTCCAGAGTAGCTGGGATATGTGCCACTATGCCCAGCTAATTTTTTGTATTTTTAGTAGAGCTGGAGTTTTGCCATGTTGGGCAGGTTGTTCTCGAACTCGTGACCTCAGGTGATCCGCCTGCCTTGGCCTCCCAAAGTGCTGGGATCACAGGCGTGAGCCACTGTGCCTGGTCAAAAAGACACTTTTTTACAGTATAAGAACTAAAACAAGAAGTCAGAACATAGCCTTGTCTAACCTCAGCTAGGAATGTGCACGCTGGGCAACAAAGATATTTTTCACTGCTCTGTGTGTGTCTTTGAATGAATAACAGACACTGTGAGTACTGAGTTTGAGGTTATGAACGCAGTTTAGCAAGTAGGTAAACTTGCAAATATAAAGTCCATGAATAATGAGGATCAACTATATTCACAAAAATTTACACTACCTTCCTATGAGTAAATTTTAAAAGGTCTGTTGTAAATGAACCTAGAAATCTAAATAACTGCAATGGAAATATAACAGGACTAAATACTACTTCTTAGGATCCACTTCACAAGTTTTAAAAAATAGTTATGAAATTAAAAATACAGACCCATTATAAGCCACTTTTGCAGTGGCATCAAGCAGGCCTCTTCAATTTACTAGTATATGACAATCAGCATAAGGAGAAATCAAAATGTGTTCATTTCTAAATAAGTAAAATCCATTAAAATACCATTTGGAGAACCTAATCTGCTAAATTTTTAGCAACAGGGACACTAGTCCTTTGGCTGTAGTCAACTTTTTTTGAAATACCATTTATTCAAATGGACTGTTATTGAGTATCAAGCCACACTTCCCTTACCCTCACTAAGATAAAAGGGTGAACCATGCTGCCCAAATGATGATTTCACTACTTAATGCATCATTACTAACACTGACTGTACTACAATAAAACATATCATATTACAGTAAAAACAGTCTGATCTAGGCTTGACAGAAGAACTCTCAGACGAGTGATTTAGCTACTTGCTCAACACTTTACATATCTGTAAATCTTTAGTTCTTGAGAAAGAGAGGGAGAAACAAGAGAGAAAAATATAAAAGCATGAATTAATGGTAAATTCAAGTTTTTTAAAAAAGCAGTAATCCCCCTACAAACCGATTTCTTCAGCATTCCAATTAACTACTACTGCATTACAATAATTACATACTTTACAGAAAATGGTGAAAATTAAATGAAAAAATTAGGAACTTGATACACGTCTTAGAGATCATTCCAAACTGATGCTCATTTTTTATATCCCACTGTCAGCCAAGTGCTGTTTTTATACCATCATTTTAAGGTATGTGACTAGGCTCGGCACACCTGAACATGAAGCAGAAATGCTGCTACTTATTCAAAAAAAGAAAACAGTCCCCAAAATATTAGTCATAAAAACCCATACCAAATTGTATATTTTCTAAGATTTCCTGAAGAAACTGATTGTGTCTCCCACATTGTGATCAGTTGAATTCAGACCTAATCTAAAAATGGGGCAATTGTCACAAAATGAAGGAATTAGTACTTTAAAAAAGGGAAAAAAAAAAGGCACTATGATACCATGCTTCCCTGTGGCACAGTTTTGATGAAAACTTGGGTCCAAACACTATCTCTAACCTTCAAGACTAAAGTTGGCACACACATTCCCCCATTAAGAAGCTATCAGTAATATTTTAAATTAGAACAGCTGTGAAGAAAAAGGTAATTTTGTTTAGTCATGTTGTCAGGTTCTAACTGAGGTCTGAGGGGAGTGGGTGGGCAAGTGGAGGGTAGCTGGAAAAACACTTGAGGAATCGCAGACAGTTTCAACATGGCTTTACTCTCTCACTGGGTGTGAGCAAGCTGTATGTACAGCGTAAGCAGGGCAATTATACTTTTTACAGACAATAGTGACTCAGAGCCAAGCACGAGCTCACATGACATGGTTACATAATGTGCGAGGTTATGTGCCTGCGCTCCAAACCCGCTGAGTCATGCTGTGCATACAGGCCACCTCGGCCTACTCCTGACTAAAGCACAGCCATTTCCCTTACACATGTAATTTTAGTTTCATTGGGATCGTGCTAGAAGTTACCAGTAATCTGTTTGTCTCACATTCATCCTATTATTCCATGACCTTTGTCAACATCCTGGTTCACCTCCTGTTATCATCCGAACTTCTGTAAGAAGATAAATGCTTTCCTTACCCTATTTCAATTCACCACACCTACCACCAGATTAATCTTTCCAAGGCATACTCTTATAACACTGTCCCCACATTCAAATCCCTTCAAGAGTACACACTGCCATCTATATGAGGAACACATTTCCCAGTCTGGCTTTCAAGGTTGTCCACAATCTGACCTAACATACCTTTCCAGCCTTCCTTCTTATAATTCTCCAACAATTAACCTAAGCTCCAGAACACCTCAAACTTTCCTGTGTTTGTACCTTTGTTCAGGCCTTTCCTTCCACCTGAGTGCACTTCCTCATTTCCTATTGAAATCCTGTCTACTGCTTCAAGGCTTATCTCTACCACAAAAGCATCCCTGATTTTCCTAACTCATGTGTCTCCCTTCCAACAGTCTGATATCACTTACACTTTGTAGCCCTCTTAAGGTGCTTCACTCTGCCTGCTAACAATAATTTATCCTTCCTCCATCAGCAGGGTCTAAACTGAGTATTTCTTGATAAAATAAAAGACCAAACTCTGTAAAAAGATTTAAAAAAAGACACATCTTATTTCTACAAAGAGGGGAAAACATCTTACTATAGATAGAGTAGAACATGTTCCCCAGCAGAAACCTCTAAAAAATTCATGGCCAGGTATGGTGGCTCATGCCTGTAATCCCAGCACTTTGGGAGGCTGAGGCAGGAGGACTGCTTGAGACCTGGAATTCAAGACCAGCCTGGGCAACAGAGCAAGACCCTATCTCTAGAAAAATATAAAAAATAAATAGCTGGGCATGGTGGTGCACACTTGTCATCCTAGCTACTTAGGAGGGTGAGGCAGGAGGATTACTTGAGCTCAGGAGGTCAAGGATGCTGTGAGCCAAGATCAAGCCACTGCACTCCAGCCTAGGGGACAAAGCGAGATCCTGTCTCCTTTATAAAAAAAAAAAACAAACCATGATTAATTCAACCACCTTACCAGACGAGGTGCTATACATTCAAATCATTACAGAGGATATGGAACCGGGAGCAGTGTAGAGGTTAAGTATCCCAAATTCATAAATCTGAAATGCTCCAAAATCTGAAACTTTTTGAGCTCCAATATATTTAACAGAAACACTCAATGGAGCATTTTAAATTTCCGGTCTTTGGATTTGGGATGCTCAACCAGTAAGTATATAATGCAAATATTCCAAAATTTGAAAAAATCCCAAATTCAAAATACTTCTGATCCCAAGCATTTTGGATAAGGGATACTCAACCTGTATCACTTTTCAAACACAGCAATCCAGTCCCTTGTCCCCATCAATACATCATATGAATAATAAAGTCTAACTGTATTCTAATAATGCCTCAATTATCTAATATCACTAGGATATGAAGGGTTCACATAATCAAGTTTTCTAAAGTGGTTTCCTAGTGCAGAAACAGAACTCAGGCATGCCTGCAGCCTGGGCCAGCTGAAAGGTGTTCTTGGGAAATTAATCTTGACTTCACCCTATCTAGCAGAAAACACTCAGGCACAATGGGGAAGTCATTTTGTACCAGTTACTTGCAGCTGGTAAACAGATAGGGAGCATGAAGGAAGGATAAAGAGGGTGGCAAAAACCCTATAAAATGTCAAAAGGATCTTTTTGCACCTGCCAGAATCCTCATTCCAGATTGCTGGTACCATTCACATTTGTAGGTCTCTGAGGAACTTTGGGGAGCTGAACACCTGTTATGTCTCAATATAAACTACGTCATCACCTGCTGGAAGTTTCCATACCCTTTGCCACTGAAAATTTCACACTCTAATTGTGTCTGTTATGGGTGGAACTGTGTCCCCCTCCAAATTCATAGGTTGAAGTCCTAACCATCAGTAGCTCAGAATATGACCTTATTTGGATATAGGGTTGTTACAGATGCAAAATTAAATGAGGTCATACTGGAGTAGGGGAGGTCCCTAATCGAGTATGATTAGGGTCCATATAAAAACAGAAAATCTGACCACAGACAAGCACATAGGGAATATGCCACGTGAAGATGAAGTCAGATATTAGGGTAATGTTCTATAAGCCAAGGAACTCCAAAGATTGCCAGCAAACCACCAGAAGCTAGGTGAGAGGCATGGAACAAATTGTTACTCAGTCATCAGAAGGAACGAACCCTGCTGACACCCTAATCACAGACTTCTAGCCATCAAAACTATGAGACAAATTTCTGTTGTTTAAGCCATCTAGTTTGTGGTCCTTTGTTACGGCATCCATAGGAAATTAATACAGCATTTATTGGTGTTGATATCACCAATCCACTGTGAAAACCACCAGATACCTCTTTAAGTGACCATACTTCTTAAAAGTAAGTGTTACACTCATTGAACAAATACAAGTCAATGGCCTCTATGTGCCAGCCACTCAGGACAGAGCAGTAAGACCAACAATGTCCCTGCCCTCATATAGGTTATAGTGCAGTCAGGATAACTGACAACAAACCAAAATTATACAATGATAAAATTACAATTGCATTAAGAACAAAAATGATATATTTCCCTTCCTCTCTAAACAGATGGTAAACACAGTTAACCATGCATGGAGCCTCATGGTATAGTTGGATGCCTTTCATTTTTATTTTTGTTCCCCTACTAGATATCAGGTTGTTGGCTACCACAAAGTCAGCTTTTATCAGCTACCTTCTTGTCTGCCTGCTCACCTCCTCCAATACATTTATATTTAATTTGGAGTTTCTAATGCACTCTGAGCTAAACAAAATCAAGTAACTAATATTGCTAAGAAACATATACCATGTAATGAAAATTGCTGCAAGTGAAAACTGAAGATTTGGCTTTAATGCAGGACTTTCAGGTTTACTTTAGATTCTCAGAGATTTTTTTTTTCCAACAGAATTCTGTTATAAGGCTCTGAGACAGAAAGTTATTGCTATATAAACTGGATTTTACCAAATAATTTTGTACTATATTGCCTGGCAAATGCTTGTTTCCTTTCAAAGGAAATGCAGTACAAGGAAGCAAGAAAAACTTTTTCGTATCAGAAGTTCACTGTTTTCTGCATCAGAATATAATGGTTACCTAAGGAAGAAATACTATCCAAAGTCAGAATTATATAAGTTATTGTCAAGCACAAGGCATATTTTTGTTAAATTGTCAATTGTTTAAAATAACATGACTGTGAGGTTATGTAACATCATAATTGGAAAGTTCAGGCAACATTTTTTGAAGGACTTAATAAATACCACCTACCTCTTATGCATATCCAACAATCATCTTTTTTGTTGTGTTTCTTAAGTTCTTCTTCAGTTACTTCAATTAACCTGCCTTTTAATCCCGTTAGATCCTTTCCACTTTTGGTCAGTCGAATCCAATCCATAAGGCTTCTGCCCTGTTTTAAAGGTACCTAAAAATGGAAAAAGGAAGAATTAAATCTAGCTTCATTACTTTTAATTCCATTTTAAAAGATAATAAAACTCAAATCTAACACTTCTATAAATCCTTTTACAGTTTTAAGAGGCTGTCAACATTGTTTATGCTGTATTTGAATTATAAAAGGTAGGGCTTAGAAATTCTACCACACAAATTTTCACCATATTGATGTCACAGTACAGTAGTCTATCAGTATTCCTGGGGGACTGGTCCTAGGACTTCCCCCTACCCTATACCAAAATCCAGGATGCTCAAGTGTCTCATATAAAATGGCAAAGTACTGACATATAACCTATGAACATTCTCACATATACTTTAAATAATCTCTAGATTACTAATAATACCTAAAGCAATGTAAATGCTATGTAAATGGTTGTTGTATTGCATTGTTTTATAATTCTTATTTTTTTATTGTTGTATTGTTATTTTTAATTTTTTTCCCCAAATATTTTTGATCTAAAGTTGGTTGAATCCTTGGACGCGGAACCCAGGGCTACACAGGGCTGACCATATAACAGGAATGGTATTGAACCAGAAACTAGAAAAGAGGTTCTGGTCCTGGCTCTGACATTAATATGTTACAGTTAACCAGTTTGGACCAAAATTTCTTCACCTTAAAAATCAAAGAGATTTGACAGAAGAAAAGGTAAAGAGACAATTAACTATAGTTGATTTTCTGGACTGTCAAGATAAACAGACTATTAGAAATCATTAGATAGCAATCTTATCTAAGAATCCATTGAGTAACAAAGTTTATCAAATAATGGAAAATAAAACTTGTAACACTGTAGGGAAGGGGTGGCAAACTATGGCCTGTACCTGTTTCTATACAGCCCTTGAGCAAAGAATCGTCTTCACATGTGGTGGTAAAGAGCCTGAAACCTTATGAGGCTCTCAAAGCCGAAAACACCACCTGGCCCTTTGCAGAAAAAAAACTGCCAACCCTTGCCTAGGGAACTTAGTAACAGGATGGTTTGGGTTTTTATTTTGTTTTGTTTTATAAAACACATTTTCAAAGTTTTCAGACGAGAAGTATTATTAGTACTTTGACCAGAACATTTTCAAGATATCTCTATGGAACTAAGCTTGTCTGACTAATTTGTAACGTAGTAACAGAAGAATGTTTAATGTAAAAGCAGACACATTCAAGGATGTTTACATATCTCACTTTCCTGAATCATATCTATTTTAGACATCCATTTACTCCCAAAGTAACCAAGTTAATAGGTCTGTGGTGCCTTTCACATTCTATCCTATCAATCTACATCATTCCATTCTGGCTATCACTGAAACTCTAGGTCTCTTGATCCCAATAAATGAAGTGTGAGAAAATGACCTTTCCCATCCCAAACTAAAATCACTCACCTCTCTCCATTCCATAATCCACAGGATAGTTAAAGCAATCTTTCAGAAATGCAAATCTAATCACAGGCTCTCCCTCCTTCAGTGGCTCCTCAGGTCACCTTACAACAACGTCTCTAAATTCCCTAGGGATTTACCAGGTCTTCACAATCTGGTCACAGTTGACTGTACTAGCTCCATGTTCTAACTTTTGCTCCTTTCCATTATATACTTTAGCCAAATGGGAACTGATTATTTGATTCCTTTATTGCTGTCAAGTACTTGCTTATAGTAGTGTTGCTTTCCCTGCATGGATCAACCTCACTCCAACTCCCATTAATTCCTCTGGAAGGCTTCTCTGATCCTCAACTCCTTAGTGGTCATACCACCCTGTTGTAGTACTTATGACTTTATAACTGAATGTTCACTATTTCATGCAACCTATGAGACTAAACACCTTGAAATCAGAGACCAAAAACTCCAGCATATGGTAGGTTCTCAATAAGTATTTGTTTACCAGTATTAATAGAAATAATAACTATCATATGTTGAGTGCATATTCTGTGTCACACTCAAGTCTGTGAGATCTGAATAAAAGCCTCAGGACAAGTAGCATTTACTGGGTGCTTACCAAGGCTGTGCTAAGAGAAACATTATCTCATTGAATCCTATGAACAATCCTATAAAATGGGTACTGTTATTCTCATTTACATCTGAGGAAACAGACTCAAAGAGATTAACTGGCAGATATGGTGAAAGAATCTAGGTCTTTCTCACTTCAAAATCTGTGCCTTTAAAAAATTACAATAAGCCTTCACTTAAGCTAGTCACTAGGTGCTTGGAAACTAAACTATGTACAACGAAACTAATTTTACCGTGGGTTAATTGACAAACAAAATTTCCTGCAGCATATTTCTGGTCACAAAAACATCACCAGACTTCTAAATAAAGACCAAAATACTTCTAATATTAAACACTGAAAGAAATGTTAGCTATATATACATTTAAGAAAGATTAATTAAAAAACAAGTAAGATAATTATTTACCCAACTATTCCAGTTCAATGTCACAGGTAGTCAGAGCCTATCCCAGTAGCTCAGGGCACAAGGCAGGAACCGACCTTGGACAGGATGCCATCCTATGGCAAGGCACACTCATACACACCCAATATTCACACAGACTGGGACCATTTAGACACACCAATTAACCTAACTTGCATATCTTTGGGCTGTAGCAGGAAACCAGAGTACCCAGAGAAAACCCACGCAGACACAGAGCATGCAAACTCCAAAGACAGTGGCCCTGGCCAAAACGAATTTTTTTTCTCATCAATATTATAACTAAATGCTGTTGAATGAAACAACACTATTTGAGAACCTTTTGTATAATACACGACCTTCCCAACTTGGTTCTATTTTCTCAACCTCTACCCATTTCATCCAAACCTGACTCAGTTTTTACATTCTCAGCATCATCTTGTTTCACAAAGAAAAGAGGAAGAAGACTGGAGTCTGACTTTTCCTTAGAATTGCACAATAATCTTATTTTGTTCTCTTTTTGGACCAAAAACTCACCTTTGCCATCGCCCCCTGTGTGACTTTTTGTCTTTGCTTCTAAGTTTTCTCCTTTAAATGGATGCTAAGAACACAGTTGGTATTTTTAACGAAGAAGGGCAGTAACTCATATTCTAATTCAGAGATTCTTTCTGGAAAGACTGTTATTCAGTCAAGTATTTAGCTTCAAGAAATAGGTCAAAAACCAATGAGAAAAATATACATGATTGGATGGCTAGATGATTGATATATGAATCAGTAAATGAAATTTCACAGCAGAACCACAACACAAGCCTACGCAATTTAGGGCAATATTTCTTAGCCAGTTTCCTTTTCTGCGAAATAGAGACAATAAAAGCTTTCACTTCAAAGGATAATTGTGAAAATTAAAGTTAATACATGCAAAGCACTGAGAATATACACGGCCACCCGTAAGTACTTAAGAAATCTCTGGAAAGCTAATGAAAACCACAGATCCCTGAACCTATATTCATTCTGAACTAGAATCAGAACGCCAGGTCTAAGTGGAGAAAAATAAGAAAATCGATAAGGGTTCCAAACGATGCTAAGACTCAAGAGTTAACCGAGTGGCCCAAGTTAAGTGGAAGTGTCACAAACGAAAGATAAAGATATGGTTACAGAATGAGGAACTAACAAATAGGAACAAACAACATTCGCAAAAGAACAAAGAACACAATTTTTATTGAATTCTGCAAATATAAAATATATCTGTACAGTATTCCACCTGTTGCTAACAGCAACTGTGCTCAACAAGAACTCAAGAGTATTATTATATTTGCTTCGAAGTTAGCAAGTGATACTAGTAGAAAAGGCAATGACAAAACAATCAGGTACCAGAGGAAGAAAGAAAGGCAGTATGTCTTGGATAGTGTCTGTAAACCTGACCTAGCTCCCCAACTCCAGAAGTCCCCATCCTTGCACGGACGGTCACTGTCGCCACTGCCAAGCCTTTCCCTCCTGCGAGGGAACCCACATCGAGTGATGTGGTACAACTCCTTCAGGCAGTGAAGAACAAAAGACCAGGGAGAAGATGAGGTTGAGGGAAGGCGGCTAATACCGAGAGCCTATAATACCGCAAACACAGTGCCTGGCTCTGTCATATAAATTTAAATCGCGGGAAAGGACTTGGAGGAAGGGAACGGATAGAGCGGGATAAAGGACCAGAAAGAAGAGGGACTGCTAGGGGAAAGGGAGGAGGTAAGGAGAGTTTAGGGACTGTAGACAAAGTGGGATCAGAAAGAGGTTGCAGGCAAGGACAGCAGGGAACGACAGCTTAGAGAGGGGTGCAGGAGCTGGGAGTTGGGGCGGAAGAAGAGAACACACTGCCAGAGCTCGAAACGCAGCGAGGGGAGAGACTCACGGAGCCACCCGCTTACCTTGCTACGCCCCCCGGAGGCGACACGCTGCTGCGACCTGGGGGCCGGGAAAGACTGGGAAGGGACGTTCAGCATCTTCAAACCCCGGCCCCGGGCCCTGCCCGGGGATCGCCGCCAGACGGGACAGCACCTCCAGCTCCGGCTCTGTGGCCGGGCAGAGGCCAAGCCCCCGACCCACTTCCGGGGTCGCCAGGGGTGAGGCGCATTCTGACGCAGCACGTCCGCGGAGGGCGGAGCCAACGGGACGGAGGGAGGGCCGGCAGGGAGGAAGTACGCATGCTCAGCTAGTTCCGCATCCCGAACTTCAGCACCGGAGCAAGGTGACAGCTATTTCGTGGAAAGATTAGAGAGTGAAGCTGTTCCTTAGCCTTGGTGCTGACCGAATGTGGGAACAAATTCTTAGTCCTGTTAACCCGGAACAGCAATGTCTGTTCATTGTTAAGCAGTACCATCACACTACTTGAAATATGGACTAAAACACACTACTTGAAATATGGACTAAAACGAATTTTAGTTTCTCTGAAATTCTTTCCTGTAAGGCACTAGGCTGTAATGCAAAGAGCATCTCACACCTTTAAGAGCAAAAATATCAAATGTCAACAGCCACTACTGTGGGGTAAGAAGAAAACCTCACCTTTAATCATCCTTAAACTTCACCTTTAAGCATGCTGAGGGCTAATGAATGCGCGAAAGACGTTAGTAAAGTCACCTTCTGCTCTATTCACCCACTCACAAATTCTCCCTCCTTATGTAACTTCCTGTCTTCACTGGGAATTGTGTACTGATGCAGCTCACCTCCAGCTGTGGTGATGAAGTAACGTTTAAAAGTCAGATTTGGTTTGCATGCCATCCCTGCACTTAATGACTGAGCTGTCTTATGCAAGTTACTTTAGTATCTCAAAGTCTCATTTTCCCCATCTGCATAATGGGTTTATTAAAGATTAAAGGATCATGTGTAAACTACATACTGCAGTGCCTGATTAATATTAGGTACTGAATAAGTGGCAGTGGCTGTTTGTGCTATTCCAACATATTAATGGGAAAAGGACCAACACTGTGCAGGTAAACACCAGGCTCTAATGCTCAAAATCTGATGGTTTTTGTTTGTTTGATTGATTGTTTTGTGTGTCCCTTGGGGAACACATAGATCTTGAGAGTAGAATCCAATAAGGGAGAAAGTTTTCAGGAGAAGAAACATAGTTCTAAATAATCCTCCCCATCCTCCTTTAATTACTAATTTTTCCTAACTCTGAACATATTGTCATGCTTTAAACTTTCTCTGTTTAACTACTTAGTTCTTAAAGTGCCTAAAAAATCAAGGTTATGTTTGCAGAATCAGAAGAAAAAGTGTGTGACTATATGTGGCCATTCAAATACAAGCATTCAAATAAGGTAGCCACCTATGACATTCACCTCTATCCATTTTTATTTGCAATTGAAATGCTTATTATGAGAAGACTGAATTTGAGCTAAAAGAACCTCATGACTATAATTAACTGTATTACTTTGACTTTGCAAATTGCTTCTGTGTTCTCTCTCATTAAATGATGACATATTCTTCTAGAGTCTACACAAGAAAAACTAATCACTGAGATTTATTTCACTTCTCGTGAGAAAACTTTTACATAAGAATATCAAAAGCAGAGAACCAGAGCAAGGAAAAGTTAATATTGTTGAAGAATGTTCCATGCTTTCCAAATTTCTTAGCTCCCCTTTGTACAGAAATGGAAGATGCTATCAACTTCTGGCCTTTAGACTCCACTTTTTTAGACTCCATATCAATCACTCAAATTTAAACGTTTTGTTTTAATTCTAGGGATCCCTCAATGTAGTACATTAAGTATTAAACATCCATACTATTTTACTACTGGATTTAAGGACTGAAGAGGAGTATTAAAATATGAGTTACTTTGCTCATCATTTATTTAAAATATCTATAATTTAAAAGCCCTAAGATTGATTCCCTTTTTCAATTACAGGTAATGATTTAATGTGTTTTTCTCCATCTGCTAAGAAATCTTTACTAATAAATGAGTGATTTCTAACATAAGTCTATTTTCTTCATTATCTAATAAGATAACATTGATATGTAACTACAACATCCAACTGGCATCAGTAGGAAATAGCAGATGTTAAAAGATTCAGTCTTGAGAATTAAATACTGTCATTCTTTGCAAAATTATAACTAAATATAAATGTGCAATTTAACGAAAAGAAAAATGTATTCTTTGTAAGCCCCAAATATTTATAATACAATCAAGACATTTGTAGATGGCACCTGTTTTAGATTCCAACATTCAATTCTAGTGTAGGGATAAAGAAAAGGCCAAATACCAGAATAATTACAAAATATTTCATTTTATTAATAATTTATATACAAATAAATTAGTTTAAAATAATTATGATACATTTGTACACTAAATTTAAACCCCACAAGCTTTGGATATAATCAAAAGTAGCTAATCAGATTAATTTTCACAGGTCAGATCCTCAATTTCATCTTCGCTATCAGAATCTTCATAAAATGAAATTGTGGCTTGAATTGGAAAATTTTTCAGAAGAGCTTCTGCTTCTTGATATAAGTAATCATAACATTTTGATTTTGGCCAAAATAGTCTGAAAGAAGCAGACAACATGTTTTATTTTTTCACATTCAGGATCTTTAAACTCATGAAATGGTCAAATTTCAAGAGCTCCATATATTTAACAATTGACTTATACATTTGGATATAGCCTTAAGATACAGAGTTAAAATATGCTACTATCACAGCCTTCATGGAATCTACCTGCCCAAGTATCAATAATTGTTTGATTATTGTAAATCTTTATTCAAGCTGTAAATTGGATCAAACAAATTTACACTAAACCCTGGATATGCATAAGATCAATGTTTACCTTACTTTGTACATTATGGATATATTTATTCTTATAATATATAGAAGATTTGTCTTCCAGTTTCTAAATTCCTTTGGAAAAAATGAATTGAGTTCTACCACTACATTAAAAACTTTAATGATAGCCAGCTTTATAAAGATGACAAAATATTATGCACCTTACAAAAAGGTGGAAATAACCTATTATCTTATTTAAAACTCACAGATTTAACTCTTATAGAAGTAGACAACGTAAGTTTAAAAATGTATAAAAACCAGTATTTTAAAATTTTTGTCTATGCACTCACAACTTGAGGCATAGAAAGACTACTTCTGACCTCAACTTTGATTCTATGTGCCTGTCTTCTCCCCATTCAACTAAATTTGTGAATATCATATGAAATGTTGAGAAATTATATATGTTTTATACAAATAACTGGCATGTAAGTATTATTACCTCAGAATTTCAAAAATCTGACAAATACTAATCTTGCCTTCTGGTCTTCATCAAGGAAAAGAAAGAGGAGAGATAAGGCTGAATCACCAAGTACAGTGCAGTCATTTTAGTGCAGGGTAAACAGCCCATATATCCATACAATGGAGTCATCCCAACAAATGGAAGATTACATTATGTTCAGTATGCTCCACTTTAAAAGGCAGAAAAACAAACAATGCAGTTTATAAATGTTTCCAGCAAAAATCATAAAAAAAGTTTATATTTTTGATGCTTAAACAAGTAACTATCAATTATTCAGTCGTTCAATAAATATTTTAGTGATCCCTTGTGCCAACATAATTCACAATTTAAAGATGAATAAATCATGGTCCCTACCCTCAAAAAGTTGACAGCTGAATAAAAAGAATAAAACACACCATATTAGTCAAGATATAAATGAATAAAAATAAAATATAAGAGAACAATTAAATTGTAACCGTACTTCAGAAAAGAAAGGAATTTCTTATATAAGAAACAATTTATTTCCTAATGCGTAACTGGAACTGGCAAACCCAAAGAATGCTAGTCATTATGATACTCTGTCCAGAATTTCTCACTGTGGGCCATTTTTCTCCCAGGGCCCGCATACTTTTCTGAGTTTCTTCCTGTTCTGATTCTTCTCCGTCTCCTTGTGGACCTCTCTTTCTCTGTGTACTGGTTAGATGCTGGCCTTCCCTCAGGTTTTCATTGAGAACATCAGCCCTCCCTCTAAACAAACTAGGATGACCTGGCCCACTGTCATGATTTCCCCACCCTACATTTACCATGGACTCCCAAGTCTGTATTTCCACTTAAGATCTTGACTCTGGGCCCCTAACTTACGTACGCAGTTCTCTACAGGATATCACTCTTTGGATGCCCCATAGGCACATTAAATATGATAAGTGGAAAACTTGACTCATGATCTCACCTCCCAAATCTGTTTTCGGCCCTAATTTACATTCTTTTAGTACAGCATTCACCTGCTCACCAGCCACAAACTTAGGAGCCATTCTGGCCTTTTACCTCTTCTTCACCTAACATATCCAATACGTTATAAAGCCTAATCTATTTTGTCATTCAAGTATTTCCTAGATTCACCCAGTCTCACCCTCACTTCCACTGTCTTACAATGGTTCATCATTATTTCTTACCTGAAAAATTGCAGAACTTCCAGTTTTACTTTTGATGCCCTGACTAAGCCTATTTAACATATAACCCCCAAGACTACCTTCGGAATAAAGCCCATGGGTTCCCAACACTACATACAGGATCAGGACAGAACTCTGTACAAGAGTGTGCAAGATTTGGCCTCTGATTACCCTGCTAAAATGACCACAACTTCACACACCTAAACTCCTTGGAGTTCCCGCAAGGAGCCACACCGTTTCATGATCCTGCTTCTCTTTTCCAATGCTATTTCTTTTGCTCCCACTTCCCATTCATCTGACTAACTTTTCCAAGACTCAGCCAGGTAACCACAACTTATAATATACACTTCCCTGACCCTTCCCCCTACCACTGACAGATTTAGGCACTTCGTGCCCTGCCCATACTTGTAAAACTAACCAAACTAAATTCCATTACAACACTTGCCATGTGCTGTGACTACTTTTTCCTGTGTCCTTCACCAGTGCTAGCACACGGTAGGAAATTAGATGTAATGACTTCTATGTGTTATTTATGACCAGGGGCACTTTACAAACATCATCCAGCTCTTCATTTAACAGCTCTCGGAGGCAGGAAAACTGCAGAATTCTTAACATTTCACCTGAATAAAAGTGACACAGAATCTTAGATAAAGGCTGACTTCCTGTGACTAGGAACAGTAAACTAGCTCCGCAAGTTAAATAAACTTTTGACCCTTTCTATAACCATTCTCAATAATCTTTAGGATTTTCATTACATTTCTATTTTTTCCTACTCGGCAAACTTGTAAGACTGTAACTGTTAATCCCATTCTTCCTTCCAGATTGCAAGACAAAAGCAGCATACACACTCTGCCTGATGCGAAGTCAATTTCATTCGAACCCTTTAGGATTTAAAAATAAAAACTGTTTTGCCAGCACAAGATGTCACCGCTCTCTTACCATATCATCCCCTTTCCCTCTTCGTAATATATTCATCAAGTTCACTGAGTATGTATTCATCAACAGTCCCTTTACGTGGGACCGTGAGCCCCTACCTTTTTCAATTTGATGAGTGAGAAGATAAGTAACCTTGAAGCCAGATTTTCAGAGAGAGAGAGAGAGACTGCAGGACCAGCTGCGGAGCTGGGCTGCGCGATGCCCCTGGCTCCTCCCTGGGGCTGGAGGAGCGGGAGACCTTCGGCGAGGCCTGTCACTCACCTGACTGGGTGCCTGAATTGGTAAAGCTTTCCTGAGGCTGCGGTCATTCCAGGGCCATCGGGCATCTGGAGAGGAAAGGAAGTGAATCCAGTTATCACCCACCTCCTTCTAGAAAGTGGAAACGTGCACGACCCAGTGTTCCTCGTGCCCGCTGGGAATGTAACCCCAGGGCTCTCAGCAGCCTCGCTCCCGGCTGGGTGCCTGTGGCCCATCGCTCCAGAGGACACATCCGCCGCGTCGGCACCTTTATGGCCACCGGCAGGCGGGATGTTAAGCGAGAGGCAGGACCCGGTGTCTCGCATGTCTCTCTCAGGCCCTGCGTCCCGAGAGCCCTGGTCGATCTTCTGCACCCGTGGGAGGCGCGGCCTGAGACGCGTGGCTCACTCACCGCCTCCGCGGCGTGGTTCGGCGTCTCCTCTTCTTTCTTGCCTCCGGCGTCCACCCAGGGTCTCCAGAAGCCTGCGTATCTGCGGGATAGGGGAGCACAAGGCGCGCAGAGGAGACGTGAGCCCAGACCCGGGAGAATCCACCGAAGCCGAGCGCTGGCACCGGGCAGTGGGGGATGGAGAGTTGGAGGGGAGGAGCTGGGGAGGCGCAGGAGGGAGAGACGGGGGAAGCTGGGAGGCGCAGAGCAGCGCGGGGAAGCCTACCCGGAGTCCGCGCCCGCGCGCCGCGTAGGGCCGTCGGTGGCCGCGCACGCCGCAGCTCCACTCTCTGTACCCTCTGCGCCTCCCGCGTTCTCCATGACGCCGCAGAGCTGGGCGGAAGGCCGCTGCCAGCTCGCGGGCAATCTTGACCAGTTCCAGTAGGTCCGAGACCCGAGCTTTATATAGCCCTCGCGGCCTGCTGCACATTGAGAGGTTCGCTGCCTCTCCGCCCCTCTCCCTGCTAGCCGCATAAACAAAAAGGCTGCGCGTGAAGGCGCACCGGGCTGAGCCCCGGGTGTGAACGCGTGCAACTCCCAAATGGCCCGGGACAGGGTTTTGTCGAGCGAATGTTAATCGCCCTTCGACACATGGCTGCGGAGAAAAACAACATTCGCCCGAGCAGCCAATTTCCGTGTGAAGAGGCCAGGAGGAGATGGAATTAAGCGAGTCTACACGTTTTGTGGATTTCTGCAAAAAGGCCAAGTGACTGGTTAATTGCTTGATTCGCTGGAGACTCAGGACTTGGCCTGTGGCAAATCAACTGGTTCTGCATCCCGTGTTCTAAAAGCTGGGATGCAGACTAGAATTCAAAGGAATAAACTTAATTCCTCTTCATGGAACAATTTTCTAAAAAATGGGGAGAATGCATGGACTCCTTAAGAGAGGAATGTCGGTTTTTTAAAAAAGTATTGATAAACTAGGTTCATACTCCAGCCTATTATTATTTGAAGATAATAGAAAATTATTGGCAACAAGAGGTAAATTGTAAAAGATTCGCTGTTCTGGCTAAGAGAGCCAGAGACTGGAGTCATGTGATTTGGGCATAGAGCTCTAAATTATCTTCTCGTGTCTTTTGTGATTTTCCCCAACATTTTATCAGTGTCCTCCTACAATAACTTTTGAGTTCGTCTATACACCTCTGTCACTACTTGGTATTTTGTCACTCAATGGTAATTACAAAATTCTTTTTTGAGGGCAGTGTTGTGGAATGATAATGAAATCTTGAAAAGTTATGATATGAGACAAGTTAATCAAACGTCTGCACCCCTGTTTCTCTGATTTGAGTTACCCCTCACTTATCTACCACTAAACTTTGTAAAAAGTGTTATGCATCGAGGAAAAGATGATATATAAATGTTATAATTTTTTTCAAAATGTTTTAAATAATAAAACTGGACTTTCTCTTAAAAGTTTAGACAAAAATCTTGATTGTAAACTATAGTTGTCTCTGCTATTCATTCAGCTACTGCATAGGAAAATAATTTAATTATTAATAGTAGCTAAGAGCCTATAATGATCTACCTGCCAGGAAGGTGAGATTTGGGTTGCTTCTGATAAGAAAATCAGTAAGGATAGATACCTAATGCATGTCTGCATCCCCTACAGTTATTGTTAGGCTAAATAAAATAAAGCTTATAAAATGCGTTTTGCAGTGCCTGGCATATAGTAAGCCTTCAACAGATTTTAAGCTACGTAAAAAAATATAAGGCCTTAACAGATGTTAACCTTTCTGATAAAATGGCTTATTATTTCAGTTCCATAATGTAAACTAGTTAAATCATTGTGGAAGATGGTGTGGTGATTCCTCAAAGACCTAGAACCAGAAGTACCATTTGACCTAGCAATCCCATTACTAGGGATATATGCAAAGGAATATCAATCGTTATTTTACAAAGATGGCATGCATAATGTTTGTATGCGTATGTTCATTGCAGCACTATTTGCGATAGCAAAGATATGGATTCAACTCAAATGCCCATCAGTAATAGACTGGATAAAGAAAATGTGGTACATACACAACACGAAATACTATGCAGCCATAAAAAGGAACAAGATCATGTCCTTTCCAAGGACGTGGATGGAGCTGGAAGCCGTTATCCTCAGCAAACTAACGCAGGAACATAAAACCAAACACTGCATGTTCTCACTTATAAGTGGGAGCTGAATAATGAGAACATCTGGACACAGGGAGGGGAAAAACACACACTGGGCATGTCAGTGGGTGGGGTGGGAGGAGAGAGAGGATTAGGAAAAATAGCTAATGCATGCTAGGCTTAATACCTAGGTGATAGGTTGATAGGTGCAGCAAACCACCATGGCACATGTTTACCTATGTAACAAACCTGCACATCCTGCACATGTACCACAGAACTTAAAATGAAAATAAAAAATAAAAAAAAATCTTTTTGAGGTGGCTGTAATGTGCTAACTACTGTGCTTTCCAGATAAGGACAGTAAGGTATTCCTCCTATCCTTGAGAAGGTTACAATTATTCCAAACTCTGACCACTACAATAAACACATAAGCAAAAAAAAAAAAAAAAAAAAAAATTTAAAGTGACACATTCAATAGTAAAAGCGCATTTTAGGCAGATAGGTGGGAGGAACTTAAGAAGTCTGTTTGGGATAACCAGGAAAGCCTTCTTAGAGTAAATCAAATCTAAGTTGATATTTTTGGAAGGATTAATCAAAGAATGGTATTGTCTGGGTTGTTCAGGAGTGAGAAGAAAAGGGACTGGATATCTCTGGAGCAGAGATGCTGTAGAGATAGAAGGGGTTTGGACTATCAAGAGCCTAAAATTCTATGCTAAGTCATTTTCACTTTATTCTGTAAGCACTGATGAAAGATTTTAAGCAGGAAAGTGGAATGGCATTTTATAAAAATCACTCAGGCAGCCATATGGAAAATGGATTTAGGAAAGGCTAGAGATAGGGAGTCCATTTAAAAGGCCACTGTAATCGTCTAGGCAAGAGATAGTAAGATGTGCACTAAGAATGGAGATGAAGGGATAGATTTGAAGGATACTTAGGAAATAGAACCTGAGGAACTACTTGAGTCATAAAATGTAGGAGGACTTGAAAGTGGAGTCTGGATATATTCCCAGGTTTCTAGCCCGATTAAGTGAGTAAATGGTGATGGCTCAAACACAGACATAGAAAACAGGGAGCATAGGATAAAGAGCAGGTGAGATCCTCTTATGTTGTTTTATTCTGTTAATGATGTGCAGGAAAAAAATAATGAGTTTGGTTTTGAATCTTAAATCAGTCAGGATGGGCTGGGCTATTTGGTGGTAACAAATAATGCAAAAATCTCACAGGCTTGAAATAGCAAGGGCTTATTTTTCACTCATGCCCTACATCCATTTTTGGTTGGTGTGAGGTCGGCTCTACATCATCTTCACTTAAGGATGTAAGCTGATGGAGCCTCTTCCCGCTGGAATGTACAAGGAGAAAAGAATAAAATTATTTGCCTACCAGGTTTCAGAGGCTTCTGCCTAGAAGGGACACACATTTCACTGGCTAAAACAAGTCACATGACACACCAATTTCAAAAAGCAAGGAAGTGCAATTCTACCATGTGTTCAGAAAGTGGAGAAACAGAAATAAACAACATATAAGAGTGCCATAATCTGCCCTTCTGGCTACTAAATATTCAGTTTGTCTTCCTTCCTACATGTAAAATACAGTCACCCCAAGGAAAAGAACTCAGAATAGATCTGAGACTTTGGAAGGCTCAGTAACATGTAGGTGGAGAAGATATTCAGGGGACAACCAGAGACATGAGGTCTGGAGTTTAGTAGATAATTTAAGGCTAAAGATTTAAATGTGAGAGTCATCAGCAAAAAAAAAAATGGCGATTAAAACAATAGGAATTGATTCGTTTTCCCAGGGAAATTTTGTAGCTTGAGTCCAGGACCAAGGACAGTAGCCTAGAGATCAACATTTGATTGTAAGGTGAGAGGATATGCAAAATAAAACAAACAAACAAACAAACAAACAAAAAAATCCATCTCACTGAAAAGGAGTGGTGAAGCTGGTAGAAAGTGCATCAGTAGGCCAGGCACAGTGTATCACTCCTGTAATCCTCGCACTTTAGGACACCAAGGTGGGAGGATTGCTTGAGCTCAGGAGTTCAAGACCAACCTGGGCAACATAATGAGAGCTCATCTCCACAAAACAAAATTAAAAAAATTAGCCAGGCATGGTGGTTCATGCCTGTAGTCCAAGCTACTCAGGGAGCTGAGGCCAGAGGATCACTTGAGCCTGGGAAGTTGGGGCTGCAGTGGGGTGACAAAACAAGACTGGAAGGAAAGAAAGAGAGAAAGAGAGAGAGAGAAGGAAGGAGGGAAGGAAGGAGGAGAGAAAGAGAGGAGAAAGAGGAGAAAGAGAGAAAAGAGGAAAGGAGGAGGAGGAGAAGAAGAAGAAGAGGAAGAAGAAGAGGAAGAGGAAGAAGAGGAAGAAGAAAAGAAGAAGAGGAAGAAGAGGAATAAGAAGAAGAGAAAGAGAGTGTTTCAGTAAAGCAAGGTGCGAAAGTGCTTTAGTAAAGCAGGTGTGGTGGAAACATGGGATGAAAGAACTCCAATAAGGCAGAAGAGGTCCAACGCAGTCAGGGCTACCAAGAGGTCACATAAGATAAGGACAAGTGTTAATTGGATTTGGCAATATAACCGCTTTAAGGGGTTATAAGTGAATTTAGAACAATATCGTTTGACTGTATAGGGACAGAACCTTTTTTTTTTTTTTTTTTTTTTTTTTACAGCAAGTTGAGTTGTAGATTAGAGGTGAAGAAGAAATCAAAACAGTGAGTTGAGCTACTCTTTTGAGAGGAAAAATAGAGGGAGAGTGCTGGGTCCATAAAGGGATCTTGGTTTTAGGGTGCAGACAAAAGTATGTTTAGAAAATGAGGAGAGGAGGCAGGAGAGGAGATGCTTCTGAAGAGACAGGGGCTGGATGATGGTTCATGGTCCCCAAAGAGGAAGGAAAAAATGAGATCAATAGCCCTGAAGAAAATCCTCATAAGAATGGAGTGTGTGAATCAGTGACGACAATAATCCAGGTCTGGGAACTCCCAGGAAACAAGTTTAATTAAGGTGACTAGTTCTGGCATGGAGAAGGAGGGATCTACTGTAGTGATGAGACTTGAATCTGAGAAAATATCGGTTGTCTTAAAATTGTGAAAAGAAATGCATTACTAGAAAAAAAGGAGAACCAATTAATAAAAATATGGCAAGATTTTTACTTGACCAAATTTAAGTAAACTGAGAAACAGAAATATGAATTATTAGAAAGATCCTAAACCTACCATTTATACGTTAATTTAATGTATGCTACCTATTTATACAGATCTTGAAGATGATTTTCATGAGGCCAAGATCAATATGCTATTTTTCTTTTAGTTTTTTTTTTTTTGCATGTTTATCATTTCCATCAAAGATGGAATTTCTTAGCTAAATCATTAAGGAGGATATTAACTATAAGCTGTGCCTAAAGAAGAGAAAACCAGTACAATTTTCAGGGACATTATATTTATTTTAGAACATAGATATGTACTTCTTATCCAAGCTGTATGCAATATGAGGACGTAAAGCTCTATAAAATAAATATAAAGAGATACAGAATCATAAAATAACATAATCTGAGGTATAACTTAACTCATTTTACAGTTTAAATTTACTTTAGAATTGTATACTGAGTTCCACTTGTACATTTTTAAAATGTATTTTATGTTAACATATCAACACACTTTTCATAACACACCAATGAGGTGGATCAAACTTAATAGTCCATTAGGACAAGCATTTTTTAAAACTTCATTTATTTAACAAGTACTATTGAATACCTACTATGTGCCAGGCACGATTTTAGGATCTTGGGATATGTTAAATGCACAAAACTGACAAAATTCTTATATTTTTGTGTAGCTGCCTTCTAACAGACATCTGTGCCACCAAACTTTGTATTTTACTAAGAGAAAATATTATAAATTTACCTTATACCTGGGGCTTGCGGGCCTAACACTCTTTTTTTATTTTTATTTTTTAATTTATTATTTATTTATTTATTTATTTTTTAATCTTTGGCTCTTTGCATTACTATAAGATGTGAGAAAGGAAGTATACTCTGGCGAAAGGGTGCTAAATGATGGTCCCTGAGGAGGAAAAAGAGAAGTCAAGATCACATTTAAAACATTCATATGAGCTTCTGTATAGCCAGAGAACAGTAACCAATTAAAAGAAAAATTGGAGCTTGAACTGGGCTCCCACTTTGAATGTAACCTGGTGTTTCCCCACCCTTTTTGATGACCTCAGCCCAAATATGACTGATTCTCCACTTAGAAAGTAAGGTGAAAAACAGAAGTGTGAAGGAATGAGAGGAATATAATGACTCACAGCTGCTGTTGCCACCATGTGCCTCCTAAGTAATGTCAGATTTGCTTATAACAAGAGCAGAGCTAGTCTCAGTTCATACACATCTCCTCTTATTCATGATCTTATGAATATTATTTAAGGAAAACTAGTATCTGCTTAATTAGCTGGACTCCTTTTTAAAAAGTTGTACATACAAAATTTGCTGTTTTCCAGGCAAATTATTTAGTTGTGTCTGAATGCCAGCTGTCAAATTTATTAACATTTTTGGTATTCTATTTCAATTATGGCATTATGTTTTCACACAGAAAAGCTGTGGAAAAATTAAATAGAAAACCCTAAACATAATGCGTATGGGGGATCTTTTTGGGGTGATGGAAATCTTCTAAAATTGGATTGTGTTGATGGATGCACAATTCTGTAAATTTACTAAATGTCATTCCTTGTACAGTTAAACTGGGTGATCTTTATCATATGCAAAGTGCAGTTCAGTATAAAAACCTTAGATATGACAATGAAGGATTGATTCTTAACTGCACTCAGTCTGGGCTTGTAGAACTAAACACCACAGTCAAAATCAAGCCTACTTTAAATTTTCCTGATTTGCAGGTTTTTAAAACACATATTTTTGGTAGAGAAAGTGATTGTCATAATATCTCTTATAACTTTAGAATTTGTTTTAAAACTTACATTGTGTTTACAGTTCTCTGGGCAGTTCTAGGTAGTTTTGCTACAGTGCAGTATTCTGAAAATTCCACTTGAATGCTCTGATTCGTGGTGATCAGAACAAGTTCTTTAGAAAAAATTGCACCAGGTCTGCAGTAAGGACCTAGGCTGTCAAGCTATGGAGTGGGTTATTTACTGCCAAGTCTTTTCCAGAAAAGTCTCCACTATTGCTGATTCATCAAAACCCAGGACCTCACACTGGGGCCACTATAAAAAGAGGTTTGTGTCACTGTAACTTGAAGTTGAGCTAAAGAGAAGCAAGGGAGCTCAAGTGACTAGGAATTTCATTTAGGATTGTTAGAACAATAAACACATGAATATGTCCTAAACTAACTAGTAAGCTGAATATTCTCTATTTTTTTTCCTTACAAATGGATTAGAACTTTTTTGGTCAACACTTCATGCCAATAAAATCTCATTTGAGATAGTTGATTTAATATAATTCTTTTTTCAGTTTAAGTAAGGTTCAGATCCTTGGTGAAAGGTGGCATTTCCAAGCTTCAGGCATTTGAGAATCTTCCCAGGTTTAAGATAAAGATAACAGTTGTGGTAAAAACTGACTTAGAACTGAGCAGAGCTAGTGTGTGTTGTTTTAAACCAGGAAGGTGCTCACAGATGGCTCAGAGAGAGATTTAGCAAGTCTGTGCTAATCACACTCATACATGGGAATATCTCCACTGAAAACAGCCAGATTTCACTGTGCTTCTCATGTAACTTTCCTATGTAGTTAATAACAGAAATAAAGTAGTTAATGTATTTACTTAGTAAAATACTTAATGCCTTAAAATAGTTCATGTTTCTTATTATTAGTTACAACTGAATATTTAATAAAACCACAATGAGAGCTCATGAGAAGTGGTTTCAATTCAAACTATATTGAAGACACAAAATATTTGCAAAGTTTAGCTTTGGCCAAATAAACTATCGTGGGTTCTTGATGGCTTCACTTCTAGACATTTTAAAATTTCTGTGTTAACCCCAAATAGATTAATTTATCATACCTAATAAATTATGTAAAATAAAAATACAGTGTATAAACAGGTACCATCAGACATAAAAAGAGATTTATCTGTTCCATTATAAACTATTTTTTACAATGTTTTACCACATTTGACACTTAATGTTAAATGTTCATTAACTACACAAATTTAATATCTTGTATTATTAAATATCATTGGCCAAAATATGACAAACATCAAAATTTATTTTAAAATTTCTTTCAGAATAGAACATAAAATGTTTCAATGAGAGGTGATTCAGGAAAGAAAACTAAATTCAATTAACAAATATTTATTGATC
The DNA here is from genome assembly GCF_000001405.40 of Homo sapiens. Lineage (NCBI taxonomy): Eukaryota > Metazoa > Chordata > Mammalia > Primates > Hominidae > Homo > Homo sapiens. The sequence goes on along the minus strand of NC_000006.12, from coordinate 83,845,344 downwards.
AGTCATTATGAGCCAGGCCCGAGATTAAGCTTTGAGCATACAGTATAGAATAAGACTAACATGTTTTCCAGCTCTCACAGTGTTTACATTCTAGTTGGGAAATAGAAAATAAACAAATACATTAAGGAGGTAATTGCAGGTTTGCAAGACTTCTATAGACAGAATTAGAAGAGTGATTTAATAGAAAACAATTGCAGGAGGCATCTTTTAAACAAGGTGGTCAGAGAAGGCCCCAGAAGAGATGACATTTAAACTGAGACCTGAAGGAAAAATGACAGAGGATCATTTTCTAAATTAGCTGTAAATTAACAAAATCATAGCAGAAAATATCTCCCAGCCCTAGTTGGCTCATACTATTAGTAGTAGAGCAGACAGCTGGTATGTGGGTTGTTCCAGAGAAAGAAGGCCATATTGGATAATATATTTCTGTATTTGTTTCTAACTTTTATTAATTACTCAGATTAGATAATTACTTGGCTTATAGAATGAAATTTTTATTTTTAAAATCTATAAATGACCCCAGTTTAATGAGAGAGACAAATTTTAACTGGAAGTATTAAGTTTAAATGGTAGGATACTATAATGTCAGCAATGACAAGTGTGTGATAATTTAAGTAAGGAAAAAAAATGGAGTAGTATGAGATTGAATAGAACTGACTTTTCGTTATTACTGAATGAAATATGTATGAGAACTTACAGACAACTACAAACTAAAATTAGCTACCAATGAAGATTTTAAAAAATGAAAGTACAAATTTTTAATGCTGTTAGGCATTTATTATATTAATTGACCGAAGGAAAATGGGCAAATATGATCTTCATAAAACTCCGAATTTTTATTATCCCATGATAGTCTTAGTTATTGCAATGAGACATTCCAGTTTTTGTAATTGTCAAAGACTTTACTGATTACTCATCCCATAGCTACTCCCCACCCCACCCTTATTCTTACTAAAAGAACAGCAATTTTGTGCAGATATCAGGAAGTGGAGTGCTTTTGGAAAAGCTGGGTCCTTCCTCAGCCACAAAGAGAGAATCATGATTTGTCTAAGCCAATCACGATAACCTCATTTCCCTTACCAGTGATTAATTTGAGCAGTCATATGATACAATACTGACCAAGGATACTTGAAAAGGAGCCAGTGTTAAGGTGCACCATGCTTCTGGGAAAAGTCTTTCTTACAGCCTAAGAGAAAGACTCCACTCGAGAAGTACAACTACCCCATGTTGCATTTACTTTTGATGTCAGGATTTGGAGCTCATGGAAGGAGCCAGTTTACATGAGCCAAGTTGCTGAAACTAGCAGATTGGAAGGATGTAAAGATCCTGGGAGTATTTTGATGCTGTCACACCTACGGAATAGCCATCTGTGGAAATATCCAACATCTGGACTTCTTGTTATATGAGAATATAAATTTGCTTATTTTAATTTTAGCCTCTTTTAGGTAAGTTTTAGTCATATGCAGGTGCATGGATCCTTATTCAGTGACTAGCTCCTGGTCTCAGATATTATTCAATGGATTAACTGGACATACTCTCTTGCAATCCAAATATGCAGTAGATTTCGTGTTTCAGCATAGATAGGACAAACTACCTTTCCCAGCAATTAGATGGGTTTTTCACAATGCCATGTTCTTTGTGTACATAACTACAAGTTATTATAATTATATCATTGGTCCTTAAAATCTTCCAGAGAAAATGTTATTTAGTAGTTATCTCCTTTGAAAGGCTAAGTTGAAATTTACCAAGCAAGGTGTTATCTAAGATAGTGGTCCTCAAACTTTTGGTCTTGGGAACCCTTTAAATTCTTACAAGTTACTGAAGATAATTAGTTCAAAACAAAAAGCTAAAACAAAAATTATTAAGGACCCCACAAACCTCAGGTTTATGTGGATTATATCTATCAATATTTACTGTATTAAAATTAAAACAAAAATTTGTATATATATATATATTCCTTTAAAATAACAAACATCTCTTGCATATTAACATAAAATATGTATTTTTTAAATTCCTGTATTTTCCCACAACTAATTTCTTTGAAAATCTCTATAAATTTTTGCCTAATATGAGGTGAGTGGTTTCTCATGTCTGCTCTACATTGTTTGTTACCGTATGTTGTCTTGGTTGAAGTACATGGAGAAAACACAGTGTCAAACAGACGAGTTTGGAAAAGGAAGGATTTTGTGGACCTCTTAACTGCATTTTCTGGAGATTCCCCTAGAATTCCGCATACTTCTTAAATCACTGATCTAAGGTAACATAGTCAGACTACAATGATAAGACTTTGAAAAGTCATGTTGATTTGTTTTTTATCATCAGCTAGTTACAAGATAATACTGACAGATTAGGAGAGTTAGATCTAATTCTCCAGCTTCTCAGGAAAATTTCACTTTCCATAATCAAAGTGAATATAGCTGGCTCATTCTATTAGCCAACCAAATCTTTCTTACCTCTAAAACTGTATTAAAGCAAATTTTAAAGACTGAAGTGAGATGATATGAGCTCAGAATTACTTGTGGGATACTATATCTGGTAGGTTGTGCTATCCAGTAATTCTGGGGTATTCATGCTGAGTACATGGTAGGATTTCACTGTCTGCCCCTTGAAGTTAGATATGACCATGTGACTTTAGTCAATGAAATATGAGTGGAAGTGATGTGTCTGATTTCTCAATGGAAACCTTAAGAACCAGTGGGCAAGTTGTCATGTTCTCTTCCTTCTTGAAGGAAAAGATTCCACTGGCCTGAACATGGAAGATATGGAACAGAGCTTCCTGCTCACCTGAAGTTAAACCTTTGTTGTTTTAAACAGGCCATGTGACGTCAATCAATGAAATATGAATGGAAGTGATGTGTCTCATTTCTGAATGGAAATCTTAAGACCCAATGGGCAATTTGTCATGTTCTCTTCTTCCTTGAGGGAAGAGATTCCATTGGCCTGAAAATGGAAGATAGGGAACAGAGGTTCCTGCTCACTTGAAGTAAACCTTTCTTGTTTTAAACAGTGAGATTTTGGAGTTGTTATTGTGGTATAACTCAGCCTGTACTTTATGATTCACCTTACTTTATGATCTATTAATGAAGAGTTCTATAGAAGCAATGATATAATAAAAAATTGTCTTTATACTTTCAACCAGTTAGAAGATCAGATAGTGATTATATTGTTTTTGACCAAAGATTTATAGGGAAAGAAATATATTGAATTTGCTCTTTGTAGCAATTTATAATTCTCAAAACAGTACCAAACAGAGATGAATTTCTAATATTGTTGCAGGTAACATTTTGAAATTGTTTTTCCAAAAAGAAACTTTGTTCATTCTAAAAATGTTCATCAACTGAAACTATGTGAAGACTGCTAGGTTCTAGGAAGATACATTGATGGCCTCCACCCTCATGGAGTGAACCAACTCCCAAAAATGTCATTGGGGTTAGGAGTCTAAGTGAGACCTTAGTCCTCCCCTTTTTTTTCTTGAAAAACCATCTGTTTTGTTATATATAATAGAAACTCAAATTCATGGTGACTTATACAAAATAAAAGTTAATTTTTCTCTCATATAAAATAGTCTACCAGGTAGACATTCCAGGGTTGGTATAATAGCTCTTTTTTAATCAAGTTCTTCTGTCTCTCTGCTTCACCATCCCTAGGGTATGGACCTTGCCTGTGTTGCCCAAGATAACTGCTAGAGATCCAGGCATCACATTTATACTCCAGGTGATAATATAGTAGCAGAAAAAAAGAAAGGTAAAAGGGCTTGTGCCTGATGTCTTTTAAGGAGGTGTCTTGGAAGTTGCCATGTTACTTTTCTGTTTGGTCTCCTTTGTCAGAATTTAGCAATTTAGCCACACCTAGCTGCAAGGGAAGCTGTCAAATATAGCCTTCATTGTGAGCAAACTTATCTCTACCTAAAAATCAGGGTGGTCATTACCAAGGAAGAGTTAAAGAATGAATATTGGAGTGGCAAATAGCAGATTCTGCCACATTGTTGTATAGAAGATATTACTTAAAACTACTTGCAAGAAGTTTTATTGGAAGAATAATTTAAAAAAAAAATTGGTTCCCTACCTTCATACTTACAGACTTAGTGGAATCTGGGAGTCTAGAGCTATTTGCCTTTGTTCATAGCACTGAGCATAGTTTGAGCAAGTTTTCTCAAGCACTGAGCAAGGTTTCTTTAAGTTTGGAAATATGAGATAACAGGATAAATTGATCCACTGTGGTCACCTGAATCATCTAATGCCACCTGGAGAAGATTATATTTGAGAGGCAATCTTTTGGCCATGGCATTTTTTTAACTTTTAATATTGTGTAATTTCAAACTTATGAAAAGATTACAAAGACTCCTATATGTCATTTGCCCAGGTTCACCAATTATTAAACATTTTGCCCTGCTTGATTTCTTGTCCTATCTCTATATATACACATACATATTTTTCTCAACTATTTGAGAGTAAGTTGCAGACATCATGCCCCTTTATCCCTAAATATTTCAGTATGTTTATGCCAAAATCAACAACAATCTCTCATAACCACAACACAATTGATAAAATCAGGAAATTCTACATTGATACAATAACTATTATCTAATCCCCCTAGTCAGTATTCAAATATCATCAATTGCTCCAATAATGTCTTTTATACCTCTTTTCTTTTCCTAGCCCAGGATTCAATCCAGGATCATGCACTGAATTTAATTTGCATGTTTCTTTAGTTTCCCTTTGTCTGTGACAGCTTCTCAGCCTTTCTTTGTCTTACATAACCTCAGCATTTTAAAGAGTACTGCCCAATTATTTTGTAGAATATTCTACAATTTGAGTAAATCTGATGTTTTTTTCATGATTAATTCAAGTTATGCAAATTTGGGAGGAATAAGTCAGCTGTGACATTGTATCTTTTTCAATGCATCCCAACAGGTGGCACATACTGTGGCTTTGTCCTACTATTGTGATATGAACTTTATTCACTTGCTTAAGTTAGTGTCTGTCAAGTTTCTCCATTGTGAAGTTATTTTCCCTTTTTAATTAATAAGTAGTTATAGGAAGATATTTTGAAACTTTATAGCTACCTGTTTCTCATTAAACTTTTACCACTAGTTTTAGCATCCATTGATGATTCTTGCCTAAATTTATTACTATGATGATTGTTTCAAAATTATGACTTTCTAGCTCCATCATTCATCCTGAATTCATTAGTTGGCATTCTAGACCTTAGTATTTTGATTTGTAAAAATACAGCAATCCTATCATTCAGAATTCTGTTTGATATTTAAATCTATGGGTGTGGAAAAGAATAAAGCAATCTGTAGTATTTGTAAAGTGAAACTCTTGAAATTCTGTCTTTGACAGCAATATAATTCTGAGTGGTTTTCTTTTTTATACAGAAAACTGAGGTATGTCCTAGGCATATTACAATAAGGATTTGGAAGAGGCCGGGCACCGTGGCTCATGCCTGTAATCCCAGTACTTTGGAAGGCCGAGGTGGGTGAATCAACTGAGGTCAGCAGTTTGAGACCAGTCTGGCTAACATGGCAAAACCCCGTCTCTACTAAAAATATAAAAATTAGCCGGATGTGGTGGCGTACACCTGTAGTCCCAGCTACTCAGAAGGCTGAGGCGTAAGAATTCCTTGAACCTGGGAGGCAGAAGTTGCAGCGAGCCGAGATCGCGCCACTGCATTGCAGCCTGGGCGACAGAGCCAGACGCCGTCTCAAAAAAAAAAAAAATTATTTTAGATAAAGAAACTGAGGCACTAAGGGAAGTTGAATAACTTGTCCAAGATCCCTTAAGGGATAGGTAAACACAGAGCTTAAGTTTGGACTCAAGCCATTCAATTCCAGGGACTGCTCTGTAACTACTGTGTTATAAATAATCAGTGGCTAGAATGGAGTACTAGAAGTACACACTAGACCACACAGCATCTAGGTGGCTTGTCTATGAAAAACAGGGCTCCTTTTCTGGGCTTATGAGTTTATGGTTATGTTTTCATCCAGTTCCCAGAGCAGATTATCAGGAGCAAGGCTGTTCTCACTTCTGTGAGACCCTGAAGTTGTATTTGTAAGTGATAGCTAAGAAAAGTTGTATTACAATAGATACCTAGATATTAAAAGTTCTGGAATTTATATACCCATTGATTATTTGCAGTCTATCTAAAATTTTTAGAGTATAAGACAAATTCCTGACAAATCCGGAATTTGTCAGGGTCGACCTTTCCAATCTTCAGCTGTGATCGGGAAAGAGCATTTACCTGGTGTATGTCCTGGGGAGGAAGAGTCTAACTGCTGCAAATACAGATTTTCAGCTAATTCTGTTTTCAGCATCTCCACACTTTCTCATCTTCAACAGTACCGGGTGCCTCCAATCTCTAAGCCGTCCCAGGGCTCTACAGCATGAATCAGCTTGTTTCTGGCTGTTTCCTTCTCCCATTGCTGGTTTAGGTATCGGCTTTCTTCAGACTGATGAGTCAGTAGCTGGTCCTCCATCCACTCCTCTTCTCTTTGTCCTTGAACATGTATGCATTTTTGTTGTCGTTGTTCCTTTACCATCATCTGAGCAGGATTCATGAGAGACCTGAGACAAATGCGTGGGTTCAATCCACATTTCCATATCTCTTTAATCATATGACTGAAGTTGGACTGAAGCAAAACCAAAAAATCTCTAGGTCAGTATAAAATCAGAAATGTGTACTCTTATTCTGATAGACTATTACTGATAAACTGCTGAGGCAGAAGCTAGAGGGATTTTTTTTTTCTTAATCAATGTTAATTCTAGCAAGATGGTGTCAGAGCTGGTTTCTATTGACAATTCTACTGACAAATGTGCCATAATAAACATAATACATATATGTACACATAATACCCACTGGTTTGTTGACACAAATTAGTAGTGAATCACATGATGAGTTCAAACGTGATTGTTTTGGGAGGGTGATGAAATTACTTCTCAACCTTTGCCCTGCGAGTAGCCCTGTCTTCTCTTATTTAATAATTGTTCTATCAGAGTCTGGCTTAAGGAAAAGAGAATTTATTGGGATAATATCAGGGGCTCATAGACTCAATGAGAGACTAGAATTCAAGCTATGGAATGACAAGAACACAGAAACTCAAAATGGCTGGTGCTGGAAACAGGAAACAAAGACTGTCGCCCAAAAGGGACAGGCTGGTCACAATGCTGCTGCCGAGGCCACCACTGTACAAGATTGACCACCAAATTGCTCCCGTCCTTTGCTGTATACTCTTGAGAGACACTCAAGGTCAGGGGATGCCCTCTCCCTGTCCTAAGCTACTATAAGGGGATGTTATTAAGTTGTGCACTACTGTGAGAAACTGGACTTGATCCTGCCAGGACCTTCTGATGCGTGTGTAGCCTGCCTCTCAGGCTTATTCACTCACCAATAAGGTGAGCTTAGGTCAGGCTGAGGACGGATCTCTACCCTTGGGTTTCAGCTTCTGAGCAATGAGACATCAGAGCCAGGAATTCCTAGCCCCCCAAAAATCCCCATAAAGAGATCAGGGTGCTTTTGGGAAGGGGAATGTGCATCAGACACCTGCTTCACATCCTGCCAGCCTCAGCACTGTTTGCAGCCTTGGCTTTGGCAAACAGTACTGTGTAAGATTCAGATAGTTTCACACTGACAGCACCTTGCCTCCAGCATGCTCTGAGCATCTTTTGCTCTCTGCCTGGGGGAAACTGTTTTAACACCATGGAAGACATCTCAGCATGCTCCAAGCACAGCCCTGAAGTCAGGGGAGTCAGTGCCTTCTGGGGCCACCTCAACCAATGGGTTATGGATAAATAATTCTCCCTGTTGAATTGTCTATCCTTCAGTAGACAATTCTAAAACAGCCTCTGCATGCTTCAGCAGATCCTGGTGGGATCAAGCCCCAGCTGCCCACTGTGGAGAATAACTTGGTATAAGACCCTTATGGTAGTTTTTCTCCTTCCTTCTTTTATAATTTTTTTAATTATAATTTTTTAATTTATAATTTTTATAATTCTGGTCCCTTCCTCTTGCTTCCTATGATCACATGCTAGATAAGCCTCCTGTACACAAGTCCTTGTTTTAGGCTCTGTTCGGAGAAAACCCAGGCTAAGACAGACTAAATGTTTAGGAGACCACACAAAGTCTGATCAGGGATCATGTCCATGAAATCAATGAGCAACACTTACGTGGGTCCTGTTTATTCTAATCTTAAATATTGCAAACATAATACAATGTAGCCAAGGTATCAGTAACTGGTGTCCCATCTCAAAGGAGTGAGGACAGTTCAGTCTTCCCAAGTACAGATGTTGGACCTTTCTACCATCTCACTACCTTACTAGGTATCCAAGATGTGACTTCCCTTGGACTCACAGGCATCTTAAGTGCAGTGTGATATAACCAGTGGATAATCAGAAGTAATCTCATAACAGTATTTCTTACAAATATGTCCCTCCTACTGTGTACTCACTGGGTATGATGCTGGGGCCCCTAGGGTGAAGTTCTCTTGGGAATTAAAACTAAAATCCACTGGGTTTTAGTCATGACAGGCTAAGCCATGCTGCAGTAACAAATAAGCCCTAACATTCACTGACTTTACACAATAAAAGTTTATTTCTCACTTAGGCAAAATCCAGTGCAAATGTTCCTCATCAGGCAGCTTTCCAGGGCAGGTGTCTTCCAAGTGAAAGGGAAAGCAGAATCAAGCATAGATAATTTCTTATGTTCCAGGCCAGGAAGTAGCCTTCTTTATTTCCACTCACATCTAATGACCCAGAGCAAGTCATACTACCCCACCCAGACCCTTGCGACTAGAGACCTTGTGTGAGCCCAGGGGGATATCTTTGATAGAATGCTTTTATTCAGTGAGGGCTGGACCATCATAGAAGAGGACTCCTGTCTCTCCTCTGGCCCACTCTTAGGACTGGGCATTTTTCCTTATTGGGCCAATTCCCCCAGGTCAATTCCCCAGGCTTCTGGGGTCCCATCTAGTATCACTTATCTTTTGCTCCTTTGCTCTTCAGTCTTCCCCATCCCCACAATCTCTTTATCCTTCTCCACGCCCTGTGTTCTCTCACAACAGACTTCAATGGCTCATTAAATCTAGAGCCTAGATTAAAAGCTGCAGAAATAGCCAACTCCCTTTCTTCAAGGGCATGAAGAACTCAGTCTTTGAACTCCCCCAGGGAGTAAAAGGAAATTATTATATTCCATCCTTCTAATTCAGCAAAGAAATGAGAAAGAATAAAACACACTTTCATTCTTAAAAGGACCGAATATTTGTATTCTACTATGATTGTTTAATGTTCCCCTTTTCCCATTCCTCACCGTCTCTTACTTGGTCTTGTCCTGAGTCTTGTCCTCTACCCTACAGATATTGTTGTCCTCTAAAATGAAAATCTGACCAAAGCATTCCACAGTTTAGGAACCTATAGTAGTTCCCAATAATCCTAAAGATATATTATCTTTATTATATCTCAAAACACTCAACAGGATACCTGTGGTAGACAGCATAATGCCTCCTCACGCCCGCGCCTTCCACCCAGCCAGAGCAGGATATCCACATCCTAATCTCCAGAACCTGTAAATATGTTATCAGACATGGTAAAATGGGCTTTTCAGATGTGACTAAGCACCCTGAAATGGGAGATGATTCTGGATTATTTGGATGAACCAATGAAATCACAAGAGTTCTTATAAGAGGGAGCAAGAGGATAAAAGTCAGTAGTAGGAGATGTGGTAACAGAAGCAAGAGCTTGGAGTGATGTGAGGAAGGGGCCATGAGCCAAGAAATGCAGGCAGCCCCTAGAACCTGAAGGAGGTAAGGAATGGATTCTCCCCTGCAGCCCCCAAAGGGACCAGCCCTGCTGACACCTTACTGTTACTCCATAAGACTTATTTTAGACTTCTGACTTCTAGAATTTTAAGAGAATAAAGTTGTGTTATTTTGAGCCAGTAAATTTATGGTACTTTGTTACAGCAGCCATAGGAAGGTCCCATAGTACCCAAGCTCTTTCCACCCTGGTTTCAGCCTACTTTTCCAACATCATCTCCAATCTCTCTCCCCTCTATATCTTCCAACCACTGTAAGAGAATCACTGTTTATCAAATATCTTGAAACTCTGCCTTTGCTACTCCTCTACTCCCACTCTTATGCACCTAATTACCCCCTGGTTAAACCTCTAATCAGGCTCCAAGGCTCAGTTCAAAACTCCCTTTGCTCAGGACAGCCCTGGCCTATTTTTTTTTTTCTCTTGCTGTTTCCACGCCACTGTGAATATACCTAATCATTTATTTAGGTCGTTCTCCTTGCCAGAGCCTGAACTTCTCTCCAGAAAAGATCATTTAGGTACTTCCAGTTTTGAAATCAGTGCCTAAACTACAAGAGGTATTAATAAATGTTTGTTGAGGGGAATTCAGTTTTACACACTTGTCCATATGAAGTGTTTTAGATTAAAAAAACCCATTTCAATGTGATAAGGAGAGAATTTTCCAGAGATATGGACTTCAAGTTCTGTCCAATGTTAGGCAATCTTCTTACCAATACTACCTTCCCTCATTTTTAAATTATCATAGAATCAATAATAATAATGTGTATTAGTCCATTTTCATGCTACTGATAAAGACATACCCAAGACTGGGCAATTTACAAAAGAAAGAGGTTTATTGGACTTATAGTTCCACGTGGCTGGGAGGCCTCATAATCATGGCAGAAGGCAAGGAGGAGCAAGTCACATCTTACATGGATGGCAACAGTCAAAAAAAGAGAGCTTGTGCAGAGAAACTCCCATTTTTAAAACCATCATATCTCGTGAGACCCATTCACTATCATGAGAACAGCATGGGAAAGACCTGACCCCATAATTCAATCATATTCCACCAGGTTCCTCCCACAACACATAGGAATTATGGGAGCTACAAGATGAGATTTGGGTGGGGACATGGAGCTAAACCTTATCATTCTGCCCCTGGCCCCTCCCAAATCTTATATCTTTGCATTTCAAAACCAATCATGCCTTCCCAACAGTCCACCAAAGTCTCATCTCATTTCATCATTAACTCAAAAGTCCACAGTCCAAAGTTTCATGCAAGACAAGGCAAGTCCCTTCTGCCTATGAGCCTATAAAATCAAAAGCAAGTTAGTTACTTCCTACGTACACTGGGAGTACAGGCATTGGGTAAATACAGTCATTCCAAATGGGAGAAATTGGCCAAAACAAAGGGGCTACAGGTCTCGTGCAACTCAGAAACCCAGCAGGGCAGTCAAATCTTAAAGCTCCAAAATGATCTCCTTTGACTCCAGGTCTCATATCCAGATCACACTGATGCAAGAGGTAGGTTTCCATAGTCTTGGGCAGCACTACCCCTGTGGCTTTGCAGGGTACAGTCTCCCTCCTGGGTGCCTTCACAGGCTGGTGTTGAGTGTTGTGGCTTTTCCAGGTGCACAGTGCAAGCTGTCAGTGGATCCACCATTCTGGGGTCTGGAGGACAGTGGCCTTCTTCTCATAGCTCCACTAGGCTGTGCCCCAGTAGGGACTCTGCATGGGGGCCCCCACCCCACATTTCCCTTCTGCACTGTCCTAGAAGAGGTTCTCCCTGAGGACCCTGCCCCTACAGCAAACTCTGCCTGGGCATCCAGGCATTTCCATACATCTCCTGAAGTCTACGCAGAGGTTCCCAAACCTCAATTCTTGACTTCTGTGCACTCACAAGCTCAACACCAAGTGACAACTACCAAGGCTTGAGTCTTACACCCTCTGAAGCCACAGCCTGAGCTCCATGTTGGCCCCTTTTCAGCCACAGCTGGAGTGGTTGGAATGCAGGGCACCAAGTCCCTAGGCTGTACACAGCACAGGTACTCTGGGCCCAACCCAGGAAACCACTTTTTTCTCCTAGGCCTCCAGGCCTGTGATGGGAGGGTCTGCCGCAAAGGTCTCTGACATGCCCTGGAGACATTTTCCCCATTGTCTTGGTGATTAACATTTGGCTCCTCATTACTTATGCAAATTTATGCAACTGGCTTGAATTTCTCCTCTGAAAATGGGATTTTCTTTTCTATTGCATTGTCAGGCTGCAAATTTTCCAAACTTTTATGCCTTGTTTCCCTTTTGAAACCGAATGCATTTAACAGCACCCAAGTCACCTCTTGAATGCTTTTCTGCTTGGAAATTTCTTCTGCCAGATGCCCTAAATCATCTCTCTCAAGTTCAAAGTTCTACAAATCTCTAGGGCAGGGGCAAAATGCTGCCAGTCTCTTTGCTAAAACATAACAAGAGTCACCTTTGCTCCAGTTCCCAACAAGTTCCTCATCTCCATCCAAACTGTTCCAGCCTCTGCCTGTTACCCAGTTCCAAAGTTTCTTCCATATTTTTGGGTATCTTTTCAGCGGTGCCCCACTCTACTGGTACCAATTTACTGTATTAGTCCATTTTTATGCTGCTGATAAAGACCTACCTGAGACTGGGCAATTTACAACAACAGAAAGAGGCTTATTGGACTTACAGTTCCACATGGCTGGAGAGGCCCTACAATAATGGTGGAAGGCAAGGAGGAGCAACTCACATCTTACATGGATGGCAGCAGGCAAAAAAAGAGGGCTTGTGCAGAAAAACTCCCATTTTTAAGACCATGATATCTCATGAGACCCATTCACTATCAACAAGAACAGCACAGGAAAGACCCACACCCATAATTCAATCATCTTCCTCCAGGTCCTTCCCACAACAGGTGGGAATTATGGGGGCTACGAGATGAGATGTGGGTGGGACACAGAGCCAAACCATATCATAATGTATTGGATAAAATCATTTAATTAATCTGGATTAAATTTAGACATCTCCTTTAAGGTAATAGATAATTTTTACATACAGTTTTTATGACATCTACAACATCACATTTAAATGTGAAAGTATGCAAGATCTTCAGGGCAATAATCATAACAAAGTTTCATGTAATGAAGTTAACTAATTTCTTTGAGTGAACATTTTAAGCACTTAAAGCCCTCCCAAAATTTAAACATGTCAACTCTAATTGAAAGATAAGTTTTTGTATAGGCATTATGCAAAGATATAGGCTTGTAACATCAAACCATGAGGTTATATTATCTAGACACTGCTGCTAAGGAACTGATCTTGGACAAAAATTTCCAAACCTCTAACTTAAAAAAGGAACCCTAAAATGTTATGCAATACAACTCAGAAGAATATTTGGAGCTTCGATAGTGTTATCCCTTCCTTTGATTGAACAAGAAAGGCAAATTTGGAAACAAGCTCCTGTAGCAATCTGATGCTTTAAACATTTACAGGAATAGCAAGAAACATTTTATAATCTCAAATTTATCCACAGAGTCTTAGAGGTATATTTTAATGATAATTTTAGTGTCTACTTATTTTGATGAAAAACTCATAGCTCTATTAATGATGAAGATTGGATAATGTTAGGATTGAGTAGGACATAGAGAAAAATGGAAATGGTTACCTATTTTTAAATACATACTTGGAAAATGAATTATGAATATTTATCTATTAATTTTTGATTTTTCCCATTCTTACAGAAACATATATGCCTAATATCAGTTTTGGGGAATTTTTAGGCACATGGATGTGGATTCTGGTCAAAGTCTATGACAATGCAATCGTAATCCTAGCTTTATGTTACAGGTTACTAAAATTTTCTATGTTTAGTAATATGTTTGTTTAGAGATGGTTCTTTGAAAAGCTCAAAACATTTCTGCATACACTATATGATATAGATGTTTGTTACCTATGGCACAGGTATAAAGAGAATGAATTTTAACGTTAAATTGACCAATTTCCACTATCACACTCACCTCCTTGGTTACTTGAGAATTTTGACCATTTCTGTATCAAAACCCAGTGGCATGCTGCAGCAGCCTCTCCACTCCCTCCCTCTCTCCTTCCCTTTCTCTCTCTCTCTCTGTCTGTCTCTTTTTCTCTTTCTCTCCCTCTCAGTCTCCACCTCAAGAACTGATTGTTAACATTTGACTAGCCTGCTGTTAAACCGCTGGTAGCTTGAAATCCAACATGGCAGGACTATCTACACCATGTAAATTGGCAAATTCTACAAAGCGGGGTCTTTTTTTCTTCCTCTTCTTATTTTTGGAAGGCAGGGTCCAAAGAGCCTGTCCACCAGCACACCAACAAAAATCTCCTAACTCCAGTTTCAGACCTTCACATCTGCAAACCAATAGGAGAAGACCAAGAATCTTGGTATAATAGTTTTTTAGCTAACATTTTCCCCTAATGATCTATAAGTAATAAAAACTGATACTCCTAATATTTAGATAGAGAAATGCAACAGAGAAAGGATAATGTCATATCATTATTGTTGAATGCAATAATGCAGCCTAGATCTTGAGACTCTTGTTCAAGTGATTACTAGATAGAGATCTTAGAATATACTAAATTAATGGGGATTTTATAGAAAGCCTACATGTTTATTCACAGAAATGTATTAATGCCATGCATACATGTGTGTATTGTCTTGGGACTGAATATACAGTCAATTTAAGCTAAATTTATATTTTAAGCATGACCCAGAATAAGGATTTTTGTGTCATTTTATAAATCTGTGTCATTTGTATTCAATGTAGTAGAGCACATAGCTCAGAGCAAGAATGCAATAGTTTAGATTTTTAAAAAATTTACTATGAGACCTAGCAATAAAAACATGAAGATAGAAAAATATCATAATAGAGAAAAATCTAAAAGACAATATGGCATGTTGGGCTTATTGCCTGCCTAATAACAATAAAAGCAGGATCCATCACTGTAGAAAATACAACATATTCCTATGGAAATTTCTTGCAAAGTCTTTTGTTATAGCAAGCACCTTTTAAGTAGTTTCCAAAAATAATGGATTTAGAGTATATTGAATTAGCTGGGATAAATGTTTTGCAATGAATTGAATGTGCTCCTTAGAATGTTTCTTGACAATACTCCACAACCAAAATGGATCTGTCTGCTTTGATTTTAAGCCAAGGTAAATATGATAGTGGAGATAGACTGGGTTGGAGAGGGTCATAACCTGCCTGACAAAAAATATTTCTCCACTTTCATTTATTTCCTTCAGACATTTCATGGTAAAATATATCAATCAATGAAAACCTAAGATATAACCAGTTTATAACTTGCAGTATTCAAATATAATGTGGAAACCAAATATTAATTGGGGATCAAGAATAACCCAAAATATATATTATGTCATGTGTCTGAATTAAGAGAGTCATTCTGGGAAAGGAGGATGAGATCAGTGCACCTGCATTAGAGAACAAACTGTCCTCAGGAGAAACCAGTCCAGCCAGGGGAACAACTGTGCATCTAGTGGGAACACTGAGGTAAAGATGAAACCAGGACAATGGATAGCAAAGTCCTTGGCCCAGAGAATGGAAGACTAAAGATAATGGGTTTGGATGAGATTCAAGGGACAAATTCAGGGTAGCTTTGTGCTGTGACGACCCTTTACTGGGACATCTTCTTTAAGCTGGAGGGAATGGGCAGAGCAAAGTATGGGCAAATATTGGTTGATATTAGTTGTCCTTTTAGAACACAGAAAAGGTGGGCCATCCAGAAACACCTGTCTAGATCAGATCAGCTACTATTACAGGACCAGGAGCTGCCTCCATGATGCCAGGAGTCTGGGATCTCCCAGCCCAAGTGTTTCAGCATTAACATTAATTCACATAGGTCTTTCAGCTGAGTAAACTAGATATCATTATCCCTATGTGCAGAGGTGGAAACTGAGGCCTAAGTACATTAAACAATTTGTCTAAGGTCATATAGCTAGTATATACCCAAAAATGAATTCCAGGTTCATGTAATTCTAAATTTTCTGCTTTTAAACTCCATGTTATATAGGTTTACAATTACATTCTATATGACTGTATTTTTATAAATGTGAGCCCACTAAAGAGGCTGTGAAGCCAGTATCTTGAAGAAACCCACATGCTTGTCACTAAAAGGATAATCTGCAAACCAGCAGCATCAAACTTATCTGGAAATTTGTTAAACTTGCAGAATTTCAGATCTGCTCAGATTTGCATTTTAACAAGATTCCCCTAGGAGATTCACAGATACATGAATGTTTGAGAAAAATTGCTCTGAGAGACTTCATGGCCTGAAAGGTATAGGCTTTGGGCCTTGACTACCACCACAAAGCCTGGCAGGTGCCCTTATAATCTTTGAAAGTATAAAACTAGCATCCTCCAAAAGCTCTGATAGGAACCTTCAAGCATCAACCTGCTCATCAGAATCAACGTTTGCTGAAGGCTTTTTATGTATGAGGCCCTGATCTAAGGCCTAGAAGACATGGCATACTCTTCAAAACCCTTGAATAAGATTTTATTATTATCTCCACTTCACGGATAAGGAAATTGGAACAAGGAGGCTGAACAACTTAACTCTAGATCCCACAGCTGGTCAATGGCAATGCTGGAATTTGAGCTCAGGCAATCAAGTCAACTCCTATCGTCTCAACTATGAGGCAGCACAGTAATAGGCCTGTCTGTCACTGCCTCCGGACAGGGTCACCGTTTTCTAGGTGACCTCCCCAGGAGGGTGACTTCTAAACACCCCAGTGGTCACATTGAATAGGTAGGGATTGAAATGGGCTAATCAGAACATGGCAGGTGTGAACACTCTTGTCTCTATTGTTGGCCAAAGCTGTTTGGGGCTTCAGAGGTCACACTGGAAGATCCAGGGGCTCAGGGCTCTTATGAATGTCTCTGTGCCCCCAGTGCTGACTGCTGCAATTGGAGGTTCCTGTCCACAGACACATGAGTGGTGTGTGGGAGTGTTCTTTCTGTGACAAAGATAATGGACTCCAGATTCCACTCTCTAAAGCATGTCTGCTCCGTGATATTAGATTTAATTATTTGAAGTTAGTTAATAGATAGAAGTTTAATTTTTAAAATAAAGTGGATTTTATTAATGAGGGTCTAACATATTTAAATTTTTAATAACCATATTTTCCTCATAAAATTAAACAGAAAAGTACTATTTTTAAGAAATTCCTCACCTTGATGGTGTTCTTGCCCTAAATAACATTTCTGGGCTCTCATTACTGTAAGCCTTGACAGTGGAACCAAGGCCTTTTGGATCCACAGGAGGGTGTGGACAGCAAAGGCCAAATGAAACTCCATCATAGGTTCAAATTCATGTCCTCTCTGAGGGCTGAATCTTTGACCTGGAGACATTGTATTCCTAGGCTTGGACTTGTTGTCTCTAGTTTAAGAAGCTTTCCATGGGCGAGACACTTATCCATAACCTTGGGCTCTGGGGTGGCCATGCTTAGCTAGTGGATATTTGCTCTGGCAACCGTTAGTACCTGGCTCTGAGGTCAGACATAGCTTAAGGGATGCACTGGAAGTAAGTGTTTGGGAAGACCAACAGACTAGGGTTCAGCAGCACCTCCTCCATGACCGCTTTCCTAGTCTCCTCACCCCTCAAGTAGAAATATTATAACTCACTTCCTCTCTCGTGCCTCCCCTATTCTATACGCACTCTTGACCTAGCACCATTCATGTGATATTATAATCATTTGTTCACATCTATCACTTTATAATAGACAACAAGCTTCTCAAAAGCAAATACCATGTTTTTACCTTATTCTGTCCCTGCTGCCCAACAAGATGTCTGAAACTAAAATTATGGAGCTACTTAATAAATGTGTGATTGATGAATGAATGGATGAATGAATGGATTTTGTAGGAGATCCCCTTCACACCCCAGCCAGGATTTTCAGGAGTAAGAATTTGTGAATGATGGATCTGCATGACAGGGCATCCATCCATCATGCTCACCTGAGGCAGGCTGGGCAGGTGGTTGAAGCAGTTCTACTGGAAGTCCAGTCTGAGAATGCTCAGAGGCAAGAGGTAAAATGAGACTGAACCTGGCAGCTTCTCCTTCCTATGTACTCTAGAGGCTTTTTGGCCTTGAAACTACCTGGAGGCAGAAACCAAGAGCCTACTTTGTGCAGGCTGTTTGAGCTTTTTACACTAGAAATAGGGCCAGATTGGTCAGTGTGGCCAGTGGCAACCTGCTCAATAGCTAAGGCATTAGGCCACCAGTTCAGCAGCGATGTGCAGCAGGAGAGTGACTCAGTCCCCTCCTCCCCACTAGCGCTGTGACTAGCTATGCTCATGTTCTCTGATTTCAGAATGACAATGGGGTGGGAGAAGGCTCAGAGACATCTTCTGCAGCTTTTCCAGGAATCCTGTTCTGTCATTTCTGAGTATGGAGAATGGAACTTACCAGAGCTTGTTATTTTGCCCTTGATTTTACTTACTAGTTTGTAAGAACTGTGTTCTCAGCCTGCAAAAGAGAAACCTCTTCCCTCAGAAAAGGACTAAGTGTAAAGTGAGATCCATGCTTTACATTCAGTTAGAGAGAAGATGCATATAAATAGGCCAGAGCCTTATTCACAATGAGCATAAAAATGTACATACAAGGATGTACACAAACAAATAAGTGGTGAAATAAACTATGCAACATCCAACTTTCAGAATGCTACTATAGACTTTTTAAATGAGTGAGAAATTTTGATGACTGAAAAGTAAATAAGTCCATAATATACTTTTAAGTAAAAAAGCAAGTGATCTAATTTATGTTCAAAGAATATCTTATAGATGTGCATGTATGTCTGTGTATTTTGTAAAAGTAAATGTAATTGCATAAAAATATGCATACAATACTGTTGGGGTAGAGGTGAAGGGTAATTTTAATATTTTTATTGTACACAATTATAATTCATTTGAGTTTTATAATGAGCATTTATTTTTAGTTTAAAAACCAAAAATGAAGAAAAATATCAAATTAACAACAAAAAATAGGCAAGGGAAATAAACAATTTTTGAAAGAAAACATACAAACTGATACTCTTCCAATTACTGTCATTATTATTTTTAGAGACAGGGTCTCACTCTGTCACCCAGGCTAGAGCTGGAGTGCAATGGCGTAATCATAGCTCATGGCAGCCTCAAAACCCCAGACTCAAGTGATCCTCCCACCTCAACCTCCCAAGTAGCTGGGAGTACAGGTTCATGACACCATGCCTGGCTAATTCTTTTTTTTTTTTTTTTATGTTTTGTAGAGATGGAGGTCTCGCTATGTTGCCCAGGCTGGTGTTAAACTCCTGGCCTCAAGTGATCCTTCCACTTTGGCCTCCTCAAATGCTGGGATTAGAGGCGTGAGCCACCATGCCTGGCTAGTGGTGCTGTTTTTGGCATATCAAACTGGAAAGTATTTTTAAAATGTTAATCATTAAATCTGAATGAAAATGTGCTGAGATAGATAGGCCCATTCTTTTCCACCAGTGGTGGGAGTTAATGCAATTTACACTGGAATATTTATTCAAAATAGTAAGGGAAAAACATATCATGAACTTTTAAAAGGTTTATATTTTACTCATCAATTCCAATTCCAGAATCTATCAAAGAAAATAATCAGAGATAGGTTCCAAAATTGATGTATCAAAATTCTTATCACTGTTATCACTTACAAGAACAAAAAATTAAAAACAACCTACATGCTCAATACTGTTGAATTTGTTAAAGAATATTATGTAGTCATTTAAAATCTTATGCTCAAAAAGTGTTTAGTGACATGTTAATATCTCATTTTATAATGTTCAGTGAAACTGGAGACAAAAAGTATTTAAGGTGTAAATTCAACTTTTCAAGTAAATATCTAGATATTACACATATGCATTCATGCAAACATAGACAAGAAACTAGAAAAATAGACCAAACCATTAAAATTTGTTACAATTGGGGTTGCAATTTCTGCAATGTATTTTTTACACTTTTTATTTTTTTCAACAATGTTTATATATTCTATCTATAACCAGAAAAATACGATAAACTTAGACTAAAATGATATAAAAGTAAAGAAAAAACATAGCTCTTTTTGGCTAGCATCAAAGAGATAAACCCCTGGTCATGTTTATATTATGTGCTACCCTTAGTGAAATATGTTTTAGGGGTGAGAAGATTTTTAAAAGCCAGTAATGTTTACTTCTTCCAATTTTTAATAAACTTCAATGTAGACTATCTTATTTTATTTTTTGAATTTGGAATTGCATAATTCAAACACACAAGTAAAACTGCTTTTGACAGTTCATTCATTTTTATAACCTCCAGGGAGTTCAAGTCAATTCAGCTGGATTATACCCTCCATGCCACAGCCAGTCACATATGTAAAGATCTTGTTGGGAATGATCTGTGTGTTCACTGTTTGGTCCCGTCTTTGATTAAGCCCTGCACTAAGACGGTTTTGAGTCATGTGTATTTTGGATCAAGTGGACAAAAGAGCTCACTTTATCTCATCACACTCTGCAGGAAACAAATGCTGCAGATACAGGCCTGGCACCAGCAAATGCTTCCCAGTTGTTTCCAGTAATGCCTCTTTTTAACATAAATGTTACTTTTGCTGAGTTTTTTTTTATATGAGGAGAGAAGATTCTTGAAGAAAATGTTTTTAAAAAATCACTTGCTTTAAAAAGTATTTATTAAAAACATAATGCCGTATACTTAACACAAGTGATGTTACACAGTCACCATTCTTGATAGGAAAATTCCTGCCAATTTCCTCACCTTTCCCCTGGGAGGCAGAGATCATAGGAGAAAAGGGATCTGAGTGAATCTTGCTATTTTCTGTCCCATTGCTCTACTCATATCAAAACACATTTAAGAAAACAGAAATCACAGCCAAACTCGTTTGGAGACCAGGCAGTCTAGTCCAGATTTGGTAAACATTTATACTTTGCACTTCTTTTAAAGTAAACAGAAAGCTTTAGTGTTGCTGGAGATTTGCCTCTGCGTGCTAATGAAAACACCCCACATGACTCAGGGTATGTGATAGTGTTACTCACACAAGTACCTGGGAAAATACAGTGCTCCCACAGAGCACAGGCAGCTTTGTCCCGTTAATGTGATTCATGAATGCACTTTAAAGTTTAAACATTTAAACCTTTGGTTTCTCTAACTAGTCCTGAAGTATATTTGATTCTCTCTGCCTCTAGTTTACAGTGTCCTGCCATACATCACTTTAATACTGCCTCATAGAGAGTGAAAGGTTATTCAGTATTTGGAGTAAAATAGACTGGAACTTAAAATCCTACATTTGGCTCAATCTCCATGTGACATTAGGCATCTTTTTACCATGATACCTAGAAACCACTATATCGATGGCACTTTGTAGGAACTTTCTTTACTATTTGTGCATTATTTAATTTCCAAATTACATAATCAATGGCAGAGTAATGCCAAGACATGTGTAAAGTCTTAGCAGTTGCTAATAATATGTGATGTGCCAATGGCATGCCTTTGTATGTAGCATCCACATAGGTGATATGTGTGGCATATCTCGGTACACAGACTCCCTTCTTATGGGCTGTCAGGTCAGTCTGTGCATTAGGAAAGTACTGGTCCCAGGTCATATGTTCTTTATTCACCAGTCCTATATCAAAGCTCTTTGAATATCCTAAGGGAACAGAAACTCTTTGAAACATGGGATTTTGTTCCTAGTGGGTTATGTAAGTCTAACTTCTTCATCTTCTACATTCTGACCACAGTGACCTAGTTAGTGAAATAAAATGGCATTTTATGGAAGATATTAGATCTTAGTGTAATTACGATAGGTGGTGTCAGTTGCTGCTGCCGCTGCTGTTAAATAAAAATAAGTTTTCAATGGCCTATAGAAGCTCCCAAAGCCCCTTTTGTGAAAGCTGAATGCCTCGGGTTAACACATTGAGCAACTGGTGCAGAGACCCAGCTGTGTGTGTCCTCTCCTCTGGATGCCTTGCTTCCCAGGTCACTTGCTTCCCACATGCCTTTATTGAAATGACACTGTCCTTGGAGGTCTTTCTTAACCCGAGGACCAGATACTCTTTATAATGCAAGCCCATCACTTTTCGGGCTTGTTTCCCCCATTTCCAGAGTGTTAAATATATGGGTTTGAATTGGATTCTGCCTGACTTTCAACAATTTATTTCACCTTATCTATAAACCCTTGGTTTACTTATCTATAAAATACCTGTCAAGTCTATGGTAATAATTACATGAGGTAAGGAATTTAAAATTATATTACAAAGCTATACAACTGGCCACCAAATGTATGAAAAGATGTTCAACATCATTAGTCATTAAGGAAATGCAAATCAGAACCAAAATGAGGTATCACTTTGCACCACCTAGAATGGCTAGGATTTTTTGGAAAATGAAAAATAACAAGTTTGGTGAGGGTGTGGAGAAATTAGAAACCTCATACATTGCTGGAGGTAATGTAAAGTGGAAACTGAAAAACAGCTTGGTGTTTCCTCAATCAGTTAAATATCGAATTACATATGACCTAGCAATTCCACTCCTGAGTATATACCACAAATGATTGAAAACAGGAGCCCAAATGAAAATTTGTGCACGAGTGTTCAGAGGAGTGCTATTCACAATAGCCAAAAGATACAAGCAACCCAAGTGTCCACCAACTGACGGATGATAAACAAAATGTGGTATATCTATAAAATGGGATATTATTCAGCCATGAAAAGGCATGAAGTACTGATACATACTACAACATGGATGAACCTTGAAAATACCATGCTAAGTAAAAGAAGCAAGACCTAGAAAGCCACATATTGTATGATTCAATTTATATGAAATATCCAGAATAAGCAAATCCATTGAGACAAAAAGCAGATTAGTATTTGCCAGGGGATAGGGGAGAAAGGGAAGTGTAACAGGCATGGGGTTTCCTTTTGGATGGATGAAAATGTTCTGTAACTAGTTAGTGGTGATGGTTATACAATACTGTGAATATACCAAATAACACTAACTGTAAATTTTATGTTAATGTGTGTTTTATCACAATAAAATATGCTTTTACAGAGTGAGCATTCAATACACATCAGTTATTACAACTAAAAAAACCTTTGGCATTTTTATATGCTCTCAGACCAATATTATCATCCATTGGGTTTTATTCCATCATTGTCTAATTGATACATTTCTTATCTTTCCAACTATACTCTATGCTGCTTCAGTTCTCAACAGGACCTCATTACTTCTTGCCAAGCCATCCCTGTATGTAGACAGAACTGCCTGTGTGATTTGATTTGTGAAATGTGGAACATCTTATCTTCCCCAGAGTCTTGGTCCCATAGGCCCACTCTGAGCTCTGAAATTCCAGCATGAGAAGGACTCCATTGTGTAAGGCATGGTGTCACTACAGTGCTCCTCTTGAAATGCAAGCTTAATACCTGGAAGAGTTAAGAACATGTACACACTGACCAGAAAATTTAACACCTTAGCATTAATCAAGCCAGTCACCAAAAAAACACCTGAGGAAATGGGAGCTTGCCCAGGAGATTTTTGGTGGGGATGACTAAGGTGACAGTTTGTCTGTTAACGTAAACTCCAGTGAGTGATTCTGAACCACCAGGGCAGTGGGGATAACAGTACTCTAGACCACGGGTCCCTAATTCCCGGGCAGTGGAAATCTACTGGTCCCTGTAAGTTGCAGGCCAGTGAGTGTTACCGCCTGAGCTCTGCCTGCTGTCAGATTAGCAGGCATTAGATTATCAGAGGAGGGCAAACCCTATTGTGAATTGCTGCATGTGAGGAATCTAGGTTCCGTGCTCCTTATGAGACTCTAATGATAAATGGAATGTGCTTGAATCATCCCCAAACCATGGGGACTGCTGCTCTAGAGGAGGGAAGCTGAAAGAGCGAGAAGCTTTTAGATGCAAATATCCCTATTTGAGAATCTCACCAAGATCTTGTGTTGTTCCCAAAGCAGTTATGTCTACCTCAATACAGTAGGCATGCAATATGACAATCTGTATACTTCCTTTGAATGAAGAAATAAATGGATGATTGATGTCTGGAATAGGCTTTAAAACGCTCCCTTGTGTACCCCTCTCTCCTATTACCACTGTAACTAGAATAATATCAACATTGACATTTGTAGAGTTTACCATTAGCTAAGCACTTTCCCCATTATCCACAGTTTTGCTTTCTGTGGTTTCAATGGTTTTCATGGTCAATTGCAGTCTGATGATATTAAATGGGAAATTCCAGAAATAAACAGTTCATAAGTTTTAAATTGCATGCAATTCTGAGTAGCAAATGAAATCTCACACCATTCTGCTTTATCCCTTCTCTACCACAAGAAAAAGGGTGAGAGCAGTACAATAAGATACTTTGAGGCCAGGCGCGGTGGCTCATGCATGTAATCACAGCACTTTGGGAGGCCAAGGTGGGTGGATCACCTGAAGTCAGGCATTCAAGATTAACCTGGTCAACATGGTGAAACCCTGTCTCTACTAATAATACAAAAAGAAAATTAGCTGGGTGTGGTGGTGGGCGCCTGTAGTCCCAGCTACTTGGGAGGCTGAGGCAGGAGAATCGCTTGATCCTGGGAAGTGGAGGTTGCAGTGAGCCAAGATCGCACCACTGCACTCCAGCCTGGGCAACAAGAGTGAAACTCCATCTCAAAAAAAAAAAAAAAAGATATTTTGAGAGTGAGAGACCACATCTACCTAACTTTTATTACACTAGATTGTATAATTGTTCTGTTTCATTATTGGTTACTGTTAGTAACCTCTTACTGTGCCTAATTTATAAATTAAACTTTATTGTAGGTATATATGTATAGGAAACAACAGAATGTGTATAGGGTGCCATGCTATCCATGGTTTCAGACATCCATGGGGGTCTTGGAACATATTCCCCGTGGATAAGGGGGACTCCAACATATACGATTTTATTTTTACTTTTTATTTATTTTTTGAGACACAGTCTCACTTCATTGCCTAAACTGAAGTGCAGTGGTGCGATCACTGCTTATTGTAGCCTCAACCTGCTGAGCTCAAGCAATCCTCCCATCTCAGCCTCCTGAGTAGCTGGGACTACAGGCATGTGCCACCATGACTGGCTAATTTTAAATTTTTTTGTAGAGACGGCATCTCCCTATGTTGCCCAAGCTGGTCTAGAACTCTTGAAATCAAGGAATCCCCTTGTGTTGGTCCCCCAAAATCCTGGGATTAAAGGCGTGAGCCACCATGCCCGGCCTATCTATGATTATTTTATTCAGTCTGCCCACAATCTTGTAAAATAATTACTGTTATTATGTTAATTTACACAAAAGGAAACTGAGACTTAGAAAAGTTAAGCAACTTACCCAAGCTGCCAAGCCCAGACAATTTGCCAGCCCTAGTGGAGCAGAATTTCAACCCATTCAGAACCTCCACTCCAACACTATACTGACTGCCCTAATGCCCTCTGTCACCCTCAGTGGTAAACATCAGCATGGGTTAAATGGTCTAAGAAAATGAATAATAACCAACAGTAGCAAATAGCAAAGTGAATATTTTTGATCATCCTCCTCTCTGCACCTGCATCACCCCACACTCCCTACCCAGCTTGGCAGCTAAAATTGTTAATTTAAGTGTAGCCCCTATGAGGAGAGCATATTAAGTGCTCATTCCAGTTTGAGTTTTCATTTTTTCTTCATGGAAAACAAAACTAAACGAAAAGGTATATTGAAATAGTTGATAAAAAGTAAAACGTATAGTTGGTACAACTCTCATTCGTTGTTGAGTGATATTCATTGCAAGTGCTACGTTTGGCTTGTGTGAAGTATCTATATCCTATTTTATTTCATTTATTTTATTTCAACATACATATGGAATGGCTTTTCATGAGTTGCAGTATGTCTACTATGCAATCTATACTTCCTCAGTGACTTCTTAGGACAGTCTTATAAACAGCAACTTCAGACAATCCAAAAACTCTGGGTTAAATATTTTCTATCTTTGGCATTTATTACAGTATAAATTGGACCAGTCCTCCTTTTATCTATGAAGATTTGTTTATCACATGTATGTAATTTCAAAGCAGTTGAAAGAAAAGTAAAAAGCTGGATGCAAAACATCTGGGTGCAATGTCATATAACCAAATAATGTGGATGATTTTTGGAATTTTTCACTTTCCATCCCAATGTTTGGGGAGTATGTACAAACTAATCTGCATATACATAATTTGGGAATACATACATAGACTGAGACTATTTTGCATACATTTTTTTCTATATTTTTCTCCCCACTGGCTCAAAAACTCTGTGTAACTTTCATCTAGAGTTGTCATTATTTCTGTGAACTGTAGAATTTTACTTTTAGAGCTGAGGAATTGCTAGGCTATAGCTTTTCACCCAGTTAATTGTAAAACATGTATATCATCTATGCTTGATGCTCTCTGGAGACACCAAAATAGGGATGTATTAGAATTTAAACCCAAGAGTGTTGTGACCAGGAGCAATTGTCTTTTTCTTACTTGAGCACAGTGGTGGAGTGATAGGGTGCACGTTGCAAACCTGACCATGCACATGTGGTAACGTGTTACTCCAAACACCCAACAATCCTCTGCTGCCCCACACACCCCTCACTACACACACAAACCCACATGCTGGCAAATGGCAAAATCAATCCAACCAGATGGATGAGTGACCTGAGAGTAGCTCAGACCATATGATGCAATTAGAGATTTTATTTGATGGAGGTATTAATTACTTTGTGTTCAGACAAATACTATAATGTATGGATAGAGAAACTATTATTTGGGGTTGACTCCTGCTGTAAAGAAGCATGAGCTGTCAGGAAGCTGCTCTGGGTGGTAGCTTTAGGATCTACACCCTCAGCAAGGCTTCCTGAAAAAGATAATTAAAGGACTCTCAGTTTAGCTGAGTACGTAATGTTTACATCTGGCAGATATAATAAAAACAATCTCAGTCTCAAAGTTTGTATTTTGGCTTCTGAGTTCTGTAGGAATCTACACAAAGTGTGTTAAACTTATGTGTCTTTTGGCTCAGTGTGCTGCTGAACTTTTTAAAATATTTATTTATTTATTTATTTTTTGAGACAAGAGTCTTGCTCTCTCTCCCAGGCTGGAGTGCAGTGGCATGATCTTGGCTCAATTCAACCTCTGCTGCCCAGGCTGGAGTGCAGTGGCATGACCTTGGCTCACTGCAACCTCTGCTTCCCAGGCTCAAGCGATCCTCCCATCTCAGCCTCCCAAGTAGCTGGGACCACAGGCACAAGCTACTATGCCTGGATCATTTTTTGTATTTTTTGTAGAGACATGGTCTTGCCATGTTGCCCAGGCTGGTCTCAACCTCCTGAGCTCAAAGTGATCTACTCACCTTGGCCTCTCAAAGTGCTTGGATTACAGGCGTGAGCTACCATGCCTGGCCTGAACTTTTCTTATTTACAAAATAGGTAGCTGTTTGTGACTCTGAAATGTACCTAAAATAAAGACATAATTTGAAGGCACAGGAAATGTCCCAAACACCAGTTAAGGATTCAACCATCAAACACATAATTACTGAGTGACTGCTATGTTTTTAAGACCACTGTGCACTCTGGGGGATAAAGATGTTATTTCTTCCTTCAAGGAAACTACAGTCGAGAGTAAAAATGCAAGAGTGGGGCAGACATTCCCTAAGCCTATAAAAGAGCCATGTCTCTCTTTCCCAAGAAGATTCCAATTTTGTTTGGATAGCAATATACTCTGCCCCAAGTGATGAATTGTCTAAGCCAATCATGAAATCCCTCTTCTCCTTTCCCAGGCATTCCTTTTTCTGGCCTCTCTAGCTAGGGATGACACAGTTGCCATGGATACATTTTTACACCTTGGGACAATTATATCAAGATATAATGCCTGGAGCTACAGCCGCTATCTTGTGATGGTAAGTAAAAGTACCTTACCTGCTCTATCACTTAGGTAAATGGATGAAAGTCCAACAGACTGAGAATGGTGAAACCAAAGGGAAGAAAGACATTTTTGAGCTGTTGATAAAAACTTGGAAGAATACAGTAAATATCCCTAGGGTTTAATCTTCCATAAATGTGGTGTTCTATGATATGTGATAACTGAAGGCTTTCTAAACTGATATATATTCATAAACTAATTATCAATCATGCAATAGACAGTTTTAAAATGTGATTCTGAATATCAGAGAAAGAATGACAAAGACTGAAATATTTATAAAACACTTATCTCGAGCCAGGCATTATGCTTGATATTATTGAATATACATATTGCAAAAGCATTAACCCTATGAGGATATTTAAATTTAAATTAATTTAAATTAACTAAAATTTAAAATACAGTTTATCCATTGTACTAGCTAAATTCCAAGTGTCACATGTAGCTAGTGACCACTGTAGTGGATGGAATAGATTATAAAACATTTTCATAATTACAGATAGTTCTGTTGGACAATATTAGTCTTTAGGTTCAGGGGATTATATTTTTACAGGGTAAGAACATGCTACATCTTCTATCTACAGATCTCAATGTCTCTGTGTAATGCCAGAATACTCTGATAATTTGTTCTTTTGCTTGTGTCATTAATTTAGATTTCTACCTAATTGAATTATTATTAGATGTAGTTAGGGCAATTTTCCACTATTTTAAGATGTCTCTGGCAAGTATGAATGTCTATCAAGTTGCTATTACGTTGTCATAACATTTTATTCATATTCAAGGGTCCAGATTCCCTATGTATTCCTTGAATATCAAGCCTCAGTTTATGATATGACATAAAAGGAGAATATGAGTGTTCACCAGGAAACCAAAATTTGGTTTTCATGCTTTTATCTGACTTGAATATCTAAGCACACTATAAAGGTAGCATGCCTGCATATAAAGAGAACACATTCTCTGTCTTAAGCACATGCCTAAGAGTCAGTGTCTACTAGACTGTAGACAAAGAGACATGTGGTGCAGATCAAATTAACAAGAGCATTAAATAAATAATTGAAACATCTTCGACTAAATAACCAAGCAAAGTAAATCAATAAACCCTAAATTGGCAGGATATTCTTGGCAATCCTAAGTCCAATCAATGTTTGCTGATTACCAGTATTCTTGATGCAATTAAAACACTGTTGTATGCCTGTTGTATGCATATGTTGTACTCTAATTTTTATAGGAATGCATGTTTTTCTAGCAAAGGATGATTTAATATAATGCTTGGATTATGCAAAATTGCAATATGCAACCCTGATACCTTTGCTGTATGTTGCTCTTCTATTGTAATCATCTATATGTTTATATACTTTCCATCTTTATGATGTTTCTCTTCAAAGATATAAAAGAGAAATACATAAGAAGCCTAGTTATAAATATTCATGTTTCATTTTCTGAGTTCTGACTATACCTTTCCCCTTTACATACACACACTCACATACATGCACATATTCACACATGTACATACATCCTGGAGTTACAGCTGGGAAGAAAACCTCCCAACAAATGCACTTACAATGTAACAGCATCCTTTCACACTTCCCCGTGTACAGACCAGAGAAAACTATCAGCATTTCTGTTCTCTTCAGAACTTAATGAGTATTATTGAGTGGTGACTGTGGGAAGGCATTTCCATCCTCTTTCTCTTATCTCCCTATCTTTCAGGATGCTCAGAAAAAGAATGTTACGCTTATTTTTCCTTTTAAAAATCATCCAGTATTTCCTGTGAGTCATCAGCTGGAGGTGTAATGTTATTCCAACTTATGGCTGAGTAAACACAGAGATCTGATTTCAGGCTAGGGACAAATTTCAAAGCACAAATATAAATCACATAGTTAATCTTTTTTTTTCATCTTCTTTGCAATCCTGCCAGGCATCCAACAAGAGGGTGAAAAATCACACTTCTTAGTTAGGCATGTGATTTCCTGATTTTCATCACCTTTTTCATTGTTGTTGTTGTTGTTAAAAGCCTGACATTTATTTCTTGAATTTTTTTCAACTTGGGGAATCTTTATGATTAATTTTTCAAAATTAACTAATTTTAATTAGTTGTGTTTGGATAATGAGTGAGGATGTTTCAGAACAAAGCATCAAGGTACAGCCTGAGAAAAAGTTTAATATGAATAAAAAAGAGGCAAACTACAAGATATACAAACAAATCTATTTTTCTAACTATGTGAGTGTATGACTGAGAGAAAGATGAATAAAAATAGGGTTCAAGGGCAGGTAGGGATGGTTGAAATGTCCTTTATGTCTTCTAATCACATGAGGATTTATCTCGTTACTACATATCTTTCACTCCTGAAGAAGTACATGCAAATTCTAACCTACAGCTACAAGGAAGCAAGAACATTAAAGAAGAAAAACATCTATTTGGTCATTTGGCCATTTGGCCAATTTGGAAACTTTTATGTGAAAGAAAGAAAAGAATGAGACAAATTTGAAGGCAAGTGGGAATGGCAATGTGTGTATCTTAGAGGACAGTGAGTGAGCTGGAGCAGGTTTCTTACTCCAAATCTTCCCATCTCCTTGACCAGATATGGAGTCAGCTCTGGCTCAAGTTAAATCATCAACTCAATTTAAGACCAATGATAAGCCACTTGGTCTCTCTCAGGACTGCAAATCCCCTTGCCTCATAAATAAGGGATTTGAAGGCCCACAGAAATTTAGGGTTCATGAATAGATAAAGTAAGAAGGATAAATGGCTTCCTCCGATGACCATGAGACCCAAAACAGTAACAATCAATTTACCTAAGGACTGGAAGAGGAAGAGACTTTCCAGACTGCATCCTGATATATACATATATATTTTGATGCAGAGTCTCGCTCTATTGCCCAGGCTAGAGCGTAGCGGTGTGATCTCAGCTCACTGCAGCCTCTGCCTCCTGGGTTCAAGTGATTCTCCTTCCTCGGCCTCCCAAGTAGCTGGAACCAGAGGCGCATGCCACCACATCAGACTAATTTTTGTATTTTTAGTAGAGACGGGGTTTCACCATTTTGGCCCAGCTGGTCTTAAACTCCTGGCCTCAAGAGATCTGCCCACCTCAGCCTCCCAAAGTGCTGGGATTACAGGCATGAGCCACTGCACCCAGCCCTGATATCTTCAATAAGGGATACACTCAGTGTATTTTGCTTCTTGCACACGTCTTCCTGCTAACTCCTCCTCTACTGTTCTGTGCAAGACATCATGTGTTTAATCATCCAGAGCAGCTTGAAACAGGGAGTCTGAGCATTGCTTCTGTGAAGGCCTCACACAAACTAACATGATAAAAAAGTCTCATTGTTGGATAATTTGATCTCTTGTTTTCTTATTTCCAAGAGTAGATGATGTTTTGAACGTAAAGATTTATAGAAAAAATAGTCCCTTTTACAGTGGAAAGTAGCACAGAGGAGAAGCGTAGCATATGCTGCTGGATGTCCCATCGCCAGCACCTGCACCAAGGGCTTTCTCTTGCTATTGGAGTGCACTCTGCCCTCCAGTATGGCAGGCCTGACAAATGGCAGAGTTGTTGCCCCTCACCAGAGCAGCCCTCATGCAACGCCTGAAGGAATGGGCTGATGGGAGTTAGTGTGTAAATGTCCTAGCTCCCTCGCTCTTCTGAGGAACATGGTATACACTGGCTTTCAGGATTTGCCCAGTGGGATTAGGCCTCACTCACAGGTGATAGCAGACTTCATACCACATCCTTTGTTGCTGCCCTCCCTCCTTGTCTCATTTCCTCACTCTCTTCTGATCATGTCCTCCTCTGCCCAAACTGGTTGCACTTGAATCCTCATCTCAGGGTCTGTGTCTGCAAGAGGCCAAACTAAGATAGGAGATTAACAGCAATTTGGCTTATTATATATTAGTTTTAGTTGTATTAAAAGGAAACTTTTTTTTTTTTGAGACAGGGCCTCCCTCTGTTGTCCGGGGTGTGCAGTGATGCAATCATGGCTCACTGCAAACTCGACCTCCCAGACTCAGG
Source organism: Homo sapiens (assembly GCF_000001405.40). Taxonomy (NCBI): domain Eukaryota; kingdom Metazoa; phylum Chordata; class Mammalia; order Primates; family Hominidae; genus Homo; species Homo sapiens. The sequence continues at coordinate 83,813,586 of NC_000006.12, read as the reverse complement.
TTCTCCTACCTCAGCCCCTTGAGTAGTTGGGACTACGGGTGCCTGCCACCATGCCTGGCTAATTTATGTATTTTTTGTAGAGAAGGGGTTTTGCCATATTGCCCAGGCTGGTCTCAAACTCCTAGGCTCAAGCAATCCACCAGCCTCCGCCTTCTAAAGTGTTTGGGAGGATTACAGGGGTGAGCCACCGTGCCCAGCCTACAAGGAAACCTTTTAAAGATAGCTTGTGCTAGGTGCCCCTAGTCACTTTACAATCTCATAAATCCTTTCAAAACCTTCTAAGTTTAGGTACTAAATAAAATTTGTCTATTTAGATTTTCTGTAACAGTAGAAAATAAATACTTTCTATTTTTTTCATTTTCAACAATGAGCTAAATTTCAAAATAGACAAAACCATAGCTTATTAAGGTTTTTAACTTATTTGTAAAATGGTATACAAACTGAGATTGCTTAGGAGATAAAAATGATAAATTCCTAAGTATGTCAGTATTTTACATTGTTTTCAGTTATAGTTCCTTTATGCTTGTTTCCTTTATTAAAGCTGAAGTGATTGTAATAGTTATACCTACTTTTATGAACTTTAAGGACTTTATTGATATTTTAATAATACAGCTAATTCATCTTATTCTGTCTATATAATAAAAAAATCACCTAAAATACATTAAAATGCACCATAGTATATTAGCATAGAATAAGAATGAAAGTTTCTTCATTAAGATGTGAAGTCTGAAGTGAGATCACCTGGGTTCATATCCTGGTTCTGAAACTTTCATACTGTGTAACCTTGGGCAAATTGCTTAACCTCTCTGTGCCTTACTTTCCTCATCTGTCATATTAGGATAATAATCATTCCTAATTCATAGACTTTCTGTGTGGATCAATGAAATAGTAACTGTATATAGCACTTAAAGGTGTCTGGCACATATTAAGAACTCAACAGAGGGTAGCTATTACTTTCATTGTTTTTACTGTCCAGTTTGGGTTATGCAGTCTCAATCTCCAGTTCTTTTCAGAAGCATTTTTCTTTTTCAGGGCTGGGTTATTTCCCGAAAAAATATGAACAACCATGGATCAGATGCTTCTGTCTGGGTGTAACTACGTTTCTGTGAGTAAGTTAGGGCTTCCCAACTCTTTCATTTTGCCCCCCACCATTGATGGAAGATTTAACTAAGAAATGAAACACAATCATATTATTGAAGCACAAGAACTCTTCCTGAAATTGAACACTTTCTTGACTCTCAGCAACAGTGGGTTGCTAATGATGAGGGCAGAGAATAATTTAGTCATTCTCTCCCTCCCATCTTCTTGTCTTGTAGCTTGGCAGTGACATGGCAACTGGGTAATCACCATTGGTCCTCCACCCCCTTCTCGTCCTCTTCTCCTCTTTCCTCTCTGCCCTGCCATTGTTTTACACTCTATTACTCATTATATAATGTGTCGCCTTTTAAACCTGTATCCCTGTTGTGAGTCATCAATTGACTTAATTTGAGTGTGTTTTTAAATTTTGTAATTCTTTGGATGGCAGATGGTAGTGTTTCACAGATTTTCTCATCTTAATGAAGGACCAAACAGTTGGAGCATTGTGCATGTGTCATCTTCATAAATCTTAGTGATTTTCTCCTTATTTCCCCATGTTTTAAGATTTCCAGGCCGGGCGCGGTGGCTCACGCCTGTAATCCCAGCACTTTGGGAGGCCGAGGCGGGCGGATCACGAGGTCAGGAGATCGAGACCATCCCGGCTAAAACGGTGAAACCCCGTCTCTACTGAAAATACAAAAAATTAGCCTGGCGTAGTGGCGGGCGCCTGTAGTCCCAGCTACTTGGGAGGCTGAGGCAGGAGAATGGCGAGAACCCGGGAGGCGGAGCTTGCAGTGAGCCGAGATCCCGCCACTGCACTCCAGCCTGGGCGACAGAGCGAGACTCCGTCTCAAAAAAAAAAAAAAAAAAAAAAAAAGATTTCCTGAAAGTTTAAAAGGTTTTAAGCTTGTAAAGTCAGTTTTTTTTAAAAAAAAAAAGGATGAAAATGATCTATTTCTTTACAAGAAATAGATGTATAGAATTTTTCTCAACATTCTAGAGAATATTATTTAATCTGCACATGTTTACTGAATATCAATTGTATAGCCAGCACTGTCTAGGAGTCGAAGGAAGAAGAGGAGGAGGAGAGGGAGAAGGAGAAGAGGGGCAGGAAGGGAGAGGAGGATACATTTCTAAGCCTTCATAAACTTATATAGTATTTTAGGAGATGACATAATTAGAGGCCAGTGAATAATTAGGTAGTACAAATGGCATAGTACACATGGGGTAAGTTGGGATGAATGAGGATGAAGTAGGTTTTGAACATCTGGTTTTTAAGGTGGTGATGAGACATTGAACAGGCTTGTTATTCAAATGGATGGGAAAATGAAATTGGAGCATACTAAAAGGTTAAGATGAGAATTAGAGATTTAGAAATCATCCAGGTAGAGGTCACAGCTGGAGCCATGAGAGCTGAGAGTTCTCTCTGGAGTTCACAGGATGATGAGTATAGAAGGCAGAGAAGAGAACTGTAGGGATCCATATAAGGTGGGAGGTGAAAGAGAAAGACAAGCCAGGAAAGGGCAAAGAAGGAAGGCTGCAAGGCTACAAGACAAATAGGGAACTAAGGAGTCACCAGAAAACAAAAGGAAGGAGGAGTTTCAAGGAGCATGTGATCAATGGCCTAGTATGTGATAAGATCAAGTTGGACCAGAATTGAGGAAAAGCAGTTGAATGTCAATGCATTCAAGAGAGCAATTTCAATATCGTGATGGAGCTAATAGTCAGAATGTAGGGAGTGGAAGCAGAGAAGTGACGGGAGTTTGAGTGGGAAAGGAAGACAAACAATGAAAAGAAATGAGAAGCAGGAATTTTAGATGAAGCTAATGAAGCTTATGCTTCAGGGCCCCTTACACAGACTCCTTTCAAGGCCTGGGAAGGGCCCTGACCATATATTCATGCAGTCATAAGTTTCGTACACTTTGCAATAGCAAGGTATTTTAACTGCAGTTGGCAATAAGACCATTTTCTCTTTACTGTAACTTTCCGTTTTTAGTATGAGGTGCAATTAAGGGACAGTTGAATTGAAGATATATTTTGTTTGTATTTAATGGGAATCATGGTGTGCAAAGTCACATCTGGGTATAAATTGCTGGCTGAACAGTTTCTAGAAATACTACTTCTTATTCTGTCCAGCATCAGGACATGACAATATCAATAAAAAGTTGGTCCATTGTTGCCAATTTAAAAGTTATTTAAAATTTTTCGCTAGAGAAAACTTGGAATTCTTCCAAATCTTGAAATGTATAATTAAATAAATTTGATAAATAATCCTCTAAAATTGGCAACAATTCTAAAATTTAACCTGCCATTATCAATAACCAGTTATGATCCTGAAAAATAATGTGCAGACTAGACATATTAAAAACCAAAGTTCAATCAACCATGCTGGGAAAAAAGTCTGATTTTTTTTTCAATATAGAAAAATGCTATTACAAAATTGCTGACAGATGAAGTGATCAAAAAGTATGATGCTTCATTTTTTAATCAGCTTTTTAAAAATTTGTAATTTGTTATGATTTATTTTCTCCTCTAAGTGTATATTTTTAAAACTAATTTTGTATTCTTAAGCTTTACACCACCAAAAACCAGAATATACTCACGATGTACCCAGGTTTTATTGTTTTGTTGTTTTGAGGGTAGAAGGGAGATTTGAAAAGAAGAAACAGCTACCGTACCCCTACCTACTAAGTGTGACAAACATTATTTTCTGATTTCATCCTCAGAACACCATTTAAATTAAATTTATTATACTTGTGTAAATGATGGAACTGAGGCTCAGTTTCCAAGATCACGCTGCAAGCAAGTAGTGGAGCTGGATTTGAAGGCAGACCTGTAAAATTTCAGAGCCCGTGCCCTCTCTATCACACTACATGGTAAGGTGGAAAGAGGCTGATAATTAGAACAAGATGAGGAATGCTAAGGACATGAAATATAGTGTTTCAAGGTAATAATTGTTTGCAGGAAAATTTATATTAATTTTACTCTTCTTTTTTTTTTTTACAAACTTTTCTAATAGACCATTCCCATGCAAATGCTCAGATTTCTCGCTGCATCTTAAAAACAACAATGCTATGCCTATAATATTGAAATATTCAGTATTTCTGGCCACATATTGCAGTTCATTTATTGGCGTATAATAAAATACAACACTGCACCTATGAAAGCGAGAATATGGATTGTTTTTTAAAAACCTTAAAGAAGTGGATAATAAAATGTGTTTATAAAGTCATAAGGCCTATGTCAAAACTAGAAAACGAGTTGAATATCTTTCATTAAAACAAATGTTTTGTCCATAGTCAAAATGAAGTTTGCTAATTTGGACTTCCTGGCTTTTTCCCACTTTTACTCTGCAAGCATCTGTCGATCCTCTGTGGCAAGATGTCCATTGGCTGACTCCCATGCTCTTATATAACAGGAAGAAAACAACTCAAGCAAATTCATGCTCTTCTAGAATGAGACTCTTTAATGTGTATAAATATATTCCTTCTAAGGTCTTTCATTGTATTATATGCTTCTACCTCTAGAAAGGGGCTTTTAGCATTTTATGCATCTGATGCTAGAATATTTCGTGAAAGTGAATGTGATTATTCTTTTTGAGTTCTTTGGCATTTTCAGAAGAGAACACATTTTAAAATCTGATTATATTTCATTGTTTTAGCCAGATCAAATGTCGCCAGAATGCCATAGTGTGATATTTCTATGTTTTTATTTTTTTGAAATAGGTCTCTTTCTGTTGCCCAGGCTTAACTGCAGTGGTACAATCATAGCTCACTGCAACCTTGAATTCCTGAGCTCAAGGGATCCTCCCACCTCAGCCTCTTGAGTAGCTGGGACTACAGGTGCGCAACACAACACCTGGCTAATTTTTTTTTTACTTTCGTAGCGATGGGGTCTTGCTGTGTTGCCCGGGCTGGTCTTGAACTCCTGGGCTCAAGAGATCCTCCCATCTTGGCCTTCCAAAGTGCTGGGATTGCAGGTGTGGGCCATGGTGCCCAGCCTTAGTGTGACATTTCTAACCACCGTGGATTTATTTATAGAGTCTGAACATACCAAGATGATGGGAAATAACCTATGACAGATAAATTTATAGGAGGTAATTGTTACTGGATTGGAATCAGCATTTTTTCCCCTGAGATGGACTATATGTGAATTTCTGGGGAAGTGAATCCTCTTATAGTATTTATATATTTCCTGCACTAATCTATATAGTATCCATTTTTAGAATGAATTCATCAAGTTAGGATATTTTAACAGCTTTTAAAATGACTTGTTTCCAACAATCTTTTTACAAGATAGAGGTAATGACTGAATTACTGCTCTGAGACATGAGCTAAATATAGTGTCCTTTTGTAGCTCATTAAATGCAGAAACTTGATCTGGGTCTCTATATGGCAAATTCTTCAACTGCTCTTGGCTTGTGCCTTAATGTAGAACTGTAACATAAATGATTAAAGCTTTTGTAGTAAGCTTACATTTCATATCATGACTTCAGTACATTTCATTAGCATCAGGGACAAGTACCTTACCAATCTTGAGTGAATAATATTTCAACATTTTGGTGATTTTTTAAAATTTGCTTTATGTATATATGAGAAACTAGCAAGAATTGTATTATACTATAACAAAATACTTGGTTTGGTGTGAATCCAAATATAGTTTTATTAGTGTTGTTTTCTTTTTTCTTAACTGACTTTGCTGTTGAATAGAATTTTGTTTAAATCTTGACTACATGTTGTCCCTATATTGACTGAATCAACTGTTTCGTTTGGTAGTAGTTTATTAAGTAGTTTACCACAGAGTTCATGTTGTGGAATTAGGGACATTAATAAAATCAGAAAAAGAACAAATTTAGGTCTTAAAATAATTACTTGACTCTAACCCTGGTGTTTACATACTGCCCAGTACCTACTAAGCACTAAGAGCTATTATTTTTTAAATGGCAGAAGGTGAAGATATTATTTAACTACATCTACTTGATAATCATGGTGAGATAAAAGCAAAACAGAGAACCAATGGAATATGTGAATGAAATGGGGATTAATTTGTAGCATAAATTATGTACCCTATGATATTTAATTTTTCATTCTTTAAATGCTGACATAGTTACCACCATATCCTGAAGAGGAGGCAGGAATCTGAAGAGTCAGACACAGGAATGTGGGCATTACTCAGGAGGACTGAGGAACCTACCAGAATGGGGAATTTAAAAATAGGTCAGTGTCTCTTTCTCTTCAGATAATGTAGCACATAGGTTTAGAGGTGGGCAAAGCGATGGACTTAATCATTTCTCAAGGAAGCTCTCATGCCATTGATTCTTGCCTCAACTTTGTTTCATTTAGCAGAATATATTTCTGTATAAATTTTAAGTAACAACCAGAAATTATTATTCAGAATCCACACATTTTATTATGGCCTAATATAAAACCTTAGGCATATAGAGATATTTAAAGTCATCTCTAAAAATCTTTATTATATTATATATTAATATAGGTTTAATAATAATTATGAGAAGAACATGTGAATAATGTTTTCCCATGCATGCCAAACTGAAGGATATATATGGACTTTGACGGAGTCTATCTGTATCCATATTTTCTTATCAAAAAGTTCCTATTATGCAATTAAGCATTCCTTTCTGTTATGAGTACTATAAACCTTTCATAACTACCGAGTTCTAGTGATCCAAGAGAATGTAAACATTACCAACAAATGAGAATGTTCAAAGAACATTCTTCTATGATTCTTATTTGTCTGAATTATGTTACAAACGACTAGTATTAACTAGTTAATACGACTTTCTCCTTTGGACAGGACTTTAATATGAACGTTAAAGTACCCTAAATTTCTCACAGATTTTCAGGGACTGTGAAAAATAGTGTTTCTACTTGTGAACAATGCAATGTCATAGTTAGGATCAACTAATGAACCAACCAATGAAGAAATATTTGGCTAACCTCCTAGTCTTACAGATGAAAAAGTGGAAGACCAGACTGTTCACTGGCTTGCCCAGTCTCTAAGCTGGCTGGTGAAAGCACACCAACTAGAATCCAGATCTCTTAATTCTCAGTCCTCTCTGCTTTCAACATTGCACAGCTTCATATCTACATTGTCTATTGGATTTTCTTTTTTAAAAAATCACACAGAAATGAAAATGTGCTATATTAAAAGAAAATGGACTAGAAATTTTCCATGAAGAATATCTCTGGTCTCCAACATTATTGGCAGAACATGGCTATTTTCCACAGTGTTATGGTATCACCCTGCTATGGTTTGGCTGTGTTCCCACCCAAATCTCTCTTTGAATTGTAATAATCCCCACGTGTCAAGGGCAAGGCCAGGTGGAGATAATTGAATCATGGGGGTGGTTTCCCCCATAGTCTTCCCATATTAGTGAATAAGTCTCCTGAGATCTGATGGTTTGATAAATGGGAGTTCCCCTGCACAAGCTCTCTTGCCTGCCACCATGTAAGATGTGACTTTGCTCCTCATTTGCCTTCTGCCATGATTGTGAGGCCTTCCTCACAATCATAAGGTGAGTCCATTAAACCTCTTTCCTTTGTAAATTACGCAGTCTCAGATATGTCTTTATTAGCAGGGTGAGACAGACTAATATACACCTCATCCTATGAGTTCTATTTTAGGGGCCCAGCCCAGTGGCTCATATCTGTAACCCCAGTTCTTTGGGAAGTTGAGGCAGGAGGATTGCTTGAGGCCTGGGAAACAAAGTGAGGACTCATCTCTACAAAAAATTTAAAAATTAGTCCAGGGAAAGCAGAGTGGTGGCACACACCTATAGTCCCAGCTACTTGGAAGGCTGAGGCAGGAGGACAGGAGTTTGAGCTTACAATGAGCTATGATCACACCACTGCACTCCAGCCTCGGTGACAGAGTGAGATTCTGTCTCAAAAAAAAGAATTCTATTTTGATTTTCCAATTAAATGTAAAGATACACTTGAATGTACTGGCTTGTCAGTAGTTATAATGTATGTAGTAGCCCAGGAAAAAATAATCATAGCATCTTGTACACTTTTAAGTACAAAACTCATGCTCTGTAAATATTTGATGATAATGATGTTTAACATCGATTTGAAACCTTTTCAAAGTAAACACAAAATAGTTATGTTGCATGATTTACTTCTCTCCTTCAGACATATGCTTAGGGTAGAAATCTATCTTCTGGATTGACTTAGGTGAAGTGCTCATTAGAAGCAATAGAAAGAACTGGATACTTCCACCTCCTTTCTGGATCTATGTTTCTTTTATTCAGAAGAGTTCACCAGTTTTTAAATGATATATGTTATGCCACAGTATATTTTTAGTTAATTTCTGCCTCTCTGATAATTCCCCAATCTTCAAAAATGATGGAAGGAGCTGGGAACAGGACAGTTTGTAATTCAAGTAGACCCCACTAGAGTGCACCATATGAACCAAAAAGTTAATTTAACAAATTTTTTAGGTCTAAGGATGGTATCATTCATCACAACCCTAATCATCAAGTAACAACTTCTAAACATATAAGCAAATATGTGTATAGAAAAATATTGACTTGAAAACATAAGAAAAAAACACAGGATTTATGTTTACTGAATTTATACCTATTCTACTCCATGTGACCTGGCTTCAGGGAACACTAATGTTACCTTTTGCAAAGATAAAAATCATTTAACATGTTTGTGGCATGATAAACAAGCATAGATGTACTTACATGAATGTGACATACTACAGACTCTTATACTAAGGGTTTGATAGGCATCAATTTTATGTCCTGATAGAATGCTGGGGAGAGGAAAGTTGAATGTTTCAGAACAAAGAGAAAACAAAATCAAACACCAGAAAACCCTAGCATTGAAACAGAAATCATGGAAGACTAAAGTCAGCTGAAGGAACTAAGCACTAAAGCTTAGTTTCTAGTTATAAATGGTCTTAAATGAAAAGATAAATGCTTCCAGAGCCCTTGAGGAAAAAGGTAAGGAAAATAAGAGATCCATCTGGGAGGACTCTACAGGGATCATGATCTCAGGAGGAGCAGAGGCCATGGTGGCCCTGGAACACGATGGCATGCTATGTACTCTTAGCAACCTGCTGTGGCTCTAAATGTTAATTTTTAAAAAAGAGTTGATGTAAGAGAACATATCAGAGTAGGAAAAGGAAAAGAGATGGTTTAACTTTTAAAGGAAGAAAATTGCTGCTACACAGCTTAAGCAAAGAAGTCTTTATACTCTTCATTCCTCTACCAAATCACTGAAATCCTTCTCAGGGGGCAAATCATACTCCTGAAAATCACTCCTCAGGAAAAGTAGAGTATGCTCAAGGCTCAGAAGGAAATAAAGGTGAATTGGGAGAAATGTCTCCCTGGCTACAAAACTCTGAGAAGTATTAGTGAAAACTGCTGATGATTCCATTAAAACTGCTTCTCCAGTTATATGGAATCAACAACTGAATAGATCACAAATGGAAAGAAAAATAAGGATTTACAAAGAGAAGCAAAGAACATCAAAAGCACAGGCCATTCAAGCAGAAATTATATGAATGCAGCAGCCATATGCTCACCTGCAAGTTTAAATTAATTCTGATTTTAAAAATTATCTTTACCTGGCTGAACCACAGAATTCACATGCTTAGAAGCAATGAGAAGTTATCAAATCTTTGTGTTTAATTTTAAACCAGATACATCATTTTACCGCAAGGGACCCAGAACCAGCCACGTATATAAGAAATGAATAGAGTTACAGCTTAGGAGGAGGAGCCAAGATGGCCGAATAGGAACAGCTCCGGTCTACAGCTCCCAGCGTGAGCGACGCAGAAGACGCGTGATTTCTGCATTTCCATCTGAGGTACCGGGTTCATCTCACTAGGGAGTGCCAGACAGTGGGCGCAGGTCAGTGGGTGCGCGCACCATGCGCGAGCCGAAGCAGGGCGAGGCATTGCCTCACTTGGGAAGCGCAAGGGGTCAGGGAGTTCCCTTTCTGAGTCAAAGAAAGGGGTGACGGACGGCACCTGGAAAATCGGGTCACTCCCACCCGAATACTGCGCTTTTCCGACGGGCTTAAAAAACGGTGCACCACGAGATTATATCCTGCACCTGGCTCGGAGGGTCCTACGCCCACGGAGTCTGGCTGATTGCTAGCACAGCAGTCTGAGATCAAACTGCAAGGCGGCAGCGAGGCTGGGGGAGGGGCGCCCGCCATTGCCCAGGCTTGATTAGGTAAACAAAGCAGCCTGGAAGCTCGAACTGGGTGGAGCCCACCACAGCTCAAGGAGGCCTGCCTGCCTCTGTAGGCTCCACCTCTGGGGGCAGGGCACAGACAAACAAAAAGACAGCAGTAACCTCTGCAGACTTAAATGTCCCTGTCTGACAGCTTTGAAGAGAGCAGTGGTTCTCCCAGCATGCAGCTGGAGATCTGAGAACAGGCAGACTGCCTCCTCAAGTGGGTCCCTGACCCCTGACCCCTGAGCAGCCTAACTGGGAGGCAGCCCCCAGCAGGGGCACACTGACACCTCACACGGCAGGGTACTCCAACAGACCTGCAGCTGAGGGTCCTCTCTGTTAGAAGGAAAACTAACAAACAGAAAGGACATCCACACCAAAAACCCATCTTTACATCACCATCATCAAAGACCAAAAGTAGATAAAACCACAAAGATGGGGAAAAAACAGAACAGAAAAACTGGAAACTCTAAAAAGCAGAGCACCTCTCCTCCTCCAAAGGAACGCAGTTCCTCACCAGCAACAGAACAAAGCTGGATGGAGAATGACTTTGACGAGTTGAGAGAAGAAGGCTTCAGACAATCAAATTACTCTGAGCTACGGGAGGACATTCAAACCAAAGGCAAAGAAGTTGAAAACTTTGAAAAAAATTTAGAAGAATGTATAACTAGAATAACCAATACAGAGAAGTGCTTAAAGGAGCTGATGGAGCTGAAAACCAAGGCTCGAGAACTATGTGAAGAATGCAGAAGCCTCAGGAGCCGATGCGATCAACTGGAAGAAAGGGTATCAGCGATGGAAGATGAAATGAATGAAATGAAGCAAGAAAGTCTAGAGAAAAAAGAATAAAAAGAAATGAGCAAAGCCTCCAAGAAATATGGGACTATGTGAAAAGACCAAATCTACGTCTGATTGGTGTACCTGAAAGTGATGGGGAGAATGGAACCAAGTTGGAAAACACTCTGCAGGATATTATCCAGGAGAACTTCCCCAATCTAGCAAGGCAGGCCAACGTTCAGATTCAGGAAATACAGAGAACGCCACAAAGATACTCCTCGAGAAGAGCAACTCCAAGACACAAAATTGTCAGATTCACCAAAGTTGAAATGAAGGAAAAAATGTTAAGGGCAGCCAGAGAGAAAGGTCGGGTTACCATCAAAGAGAAGCCCATCAGACTAACAGCGGATCTCTCAGCAGAAACCCTACAAGCCAGAAGAGAGTGGGGGCCAATATTCAACATTCTTAAAGAAAAGAATTTTCAACCCACAATTTCATATCCAGCCAAACTAAGCTTCATAAGTGAAGGAGAAATAAAATACTTTACAGACAAGCAAATGCTGAGAGATTTTGTCACCACCAGGCCTGCCTTACAAGAGCTCCTGAAGGAAGCACTAAACATGGAAAGGAACAACCGGCACCAGCCACTGCAAAATCATGCCAAAATGTAAAGACCATCGAGACTAGGAAGAAACTGCATCAACTAACGAGAAAAATAACCAGCTAACATCATAATGACAGGATCAAATTCACACATAACAATATTAACTTTAAATGTAAATGGACTAAATGCTCCAATTAAAAGACACAGACTGGCAAATTGGATAAAGAGTCAAGACCCATCAGTGTGCTGTATTCAGGAAACCCATCTCACGTGCAGAGACACACATTGGCTCAAAATAAAAGGATGGAGGAAGATCTACCAAGCCAATGGAAAATAAAAAAAGGCAGGGGTTGCAATCCTAGTCTCTGATAAAACAGACTTTAAACCAACAAAGATCAAAAGAGACAAAGAAGGCCATTACATAATGGTAAAGGGATCAATTCAACAAGAAGAGCTAACTGTCCTAAATGTATATGCACCCAATACAGGAGCACCCAGATTCATAAAGCAAGTCCTGAGTGACCTACAAAGAGACTTAGACTCCCACACATTAATAAAGGGAGACTTTAACACCCCACTGTCAACATTAGACAGATCAACGAGACAGAAAGTCAACAAGGATACCCAGGAATTGAACTCAGCTCTGCACCAAGCGGACCTAATAGACATCTACAGAACTCTCCACCCCAAATCAACAGAATATACATTTTTTTCAGCACCACACCACACCTATTCCAAAATTGACCACATACTGGGAAGTAAAGCTCTCCTCAGCAAATGTAAAAGAGCAGAAATTATAACAAACTATCTCTCAGACCACAGTGCAATCAAACTAGAACTCAGGATTAAGAATCTCACTCAAAACCGCTCAACTACATGGAAACTGAACAACCTGCTCCTGAATGACTACTGGGTAAATAATGAAATGAAGGCAGAAATAAAGATGTTCTTTGAAACCAGTGAGAACAAAGACACAACATACCAGAATCTCTGGGACACATTCAAAGCAGTGTGTAGAGGGAAATTTATAGCACTAAATGCCCACAAGAGAAAGCAGGAAAGATCCAAAACTGACACCCTAACATCACAATTAAAAGAACTAGAAAAGCAAGAGCAAACACATTCAAAAGCTAGCAGAAGGCAAGAAATAACTAAAAGCAGAGCAGAACTGAAGGAAATAGAGACACAAAAAAACCTTCAAAAAATTAATGAATCCAGGAGCTGGTTTTTTGAAAGGATCAACAAAATTGATAGACCACTAGCAAGACTAATAAAGAAAAAAAGAGAGAAGAATCAAATAGACGCAATAAAAAATGATAAAGGGGATATCACCACCGATCCCAGAGAAATACAAACTACCATCAGGGAATACTACAAACACCTCTACGCAAATAAACTAGAAAATCTAGAAGAAATGGATAAATTCCTGGACACATACACTCTCCCAAGACTAAACCAGGAAGAAGTTGAATCTCTGAATAGACCAATAACAGGAGCTGAAATTGTGGCAATAATCAATAGCTTACCAACCAAAAAGAGTCCAGGACCAGATGGATTCACAGCCGAATTCTACCAGAGGTACAAGGAGGAACTGGTACCATTCCTTCTGAAACTATTCCAATCAATAGAAAAAGAGGGAATCCTCCCTAACTCATTTTATGAGGCCAGCATCATTCTGATACCAAAGCCAGGCAGAGACACAACAAAAAAAGAGAATTTTAGACCAATATCCTTGATGAACATTGATGCAAAAATCCTCAATAAAATACTGGCAAACCTAATCCAGCAGCACATCAAAAAGCTTATCCACCATGATCAAGTGGGCTTCATCCCTGGGATGCAAGGCTGGTTCAATAAACGCAAATCAATAAATGTAATCCAGCATACAAACAGAGCCAAAGACAAAAACCACATGAGTATCTCAATAGATGCAGAAAAAGCCTTTGACAAAATTCAACAATCCTTCATGCTAAAAACTGTCAATAAATTAGGTATTGATGGGACGTATTTCAAAATAATAAGAGCTATCTATGACAAACCCACAGCCAATATCATACTGAATGGGCAAAAACTGGAAGCATTCCCTTTGAAAACTGGCACAAGACAGGGATGCCCTCTCTCACCACTCCTATTCAACATAGTGTTGGAAGTTCTGGCCAGGGCAATTAGGCAGGAGAAAGAAATAAAGGGTATTCGGTTAGGAAAAGAGGAAGTCAAATTGTCGCTGTTTGCAGATGACATGATTGTATATCTAGAAAACCCCATTGTCTCAGCCCAAAATCTCCTTAAGCTGATAAGCAACTTCAGCAAAGTCTCAGGATACAAAATCAATGTACAAAAATCACAAGCATTCTTATACACCAACAACAGACAAACAGAGAGCCAAATCATGAGTGAACTCCCATTCACAATTGCTTCAAAGAGAATAAAATACCTAGGAATCCAACTTACAAGGGATGTGAAGGACCTCTTCAAGGAGAACTACAAACCACTGCTCAACGAAATAAAAGAGGATACAAACAAATGGAAGAACACTCCATGCTCGTGGGTAGGAAGAATCAATACCGTGAAAATGGCCATACTGCCCAAGGTAATTTACAGATTGAATGCCATCCCCATCAAGCTACCAATGCCTTTCTTCACAGAATTGGAAAAAACTACTTTAAAGTTCATATGGAACCAAAAAAGAGCCCGCATCGCCAAGTCAATCCTAAGCCAAAAGAACAAAGCTGGAGGCATCACACTACCTGACTTCAAACTATACTACAAGGCTGCAGTAACCAAAACAGCATGGTACTGGTACCAAAACAGAGATATAGATCAATGGAACAGAACAGAGCCCTCAGAAATAACGCCACATATCTACAACTATCTGATCTTTGACAAACCTGAGAAAAACAAGCAATGGGGAAAGGATTCCCTGTTTAATAAATGGTGCTGGGAAAACTGGCTAGCCATATGTAGAAAGCTGAAACTGGATCCCTTCCTTACACCTTATACAAAAATCAATTCAAGACAGATTAAAGAGTTAAACGTTAGACCTAAAACCATAAAAACCCTAGAAGAAAACCTAGGCATTACCATTCAGGACATAGGCATGGGCAAGGACTTCATGTCTAAAACACCAAAAGCAATGGCAACAAAAGACAAAATTGACAAATGGGATCTAATTAAACTAAAGAGCTTCTGCACAGCAAAAGAAACTACCATCAGAGTGAACTGGCAACCTACAAAATGGGAGAAAATTTTCGCAACCTACTCATCTGACAAAGGGCTAATATCCAGAATCTACAATGAACTCAAACAAATTTAGAAGAAAAAAACAAACAACCCCATCAAAAAGTGGGTGAAGGACATGACCAGACACTTCTCAAAAGAAGACATTTATGCAGCCAAAAAACACATGAAAAAATGCTCATCATCACTGGCCATCAGAGAAATGCAAATCAAAACCACAATGAGATACCATCTCACACCAGTTAGAATGGCAATCATTAAAAAGTCAGGAAACAACAGGTGCTGGAGAGGATGTGGAGAAATAGGAACACTTTTACACTGTTGGTGGGACTGTAAACTAGTTCAACCATTGTGGAAGTCAGTGTGGCGATTCCTCAGGGATCTAGAACTGGAAATACCATTTGACCCAGCCATCCCATTACTGGGTATATACCCAAAGGATTATAAATCATGCTGCTATAAAGACACATGCACACGTATGTTTATTGCAGCATTATTCACAATAGCAAAGACTTGGAACCAACCCAAATGTCCAACAATGATAGACTGGATTAAGAAAATGTGGCACATATACACCATGGAATACTATGCAGCCATAAAAAATGATGAGTTCATGTCCTTTGTAGGGACATGGATGAAATTGGAAATCATCATTCTCAGTAAACTATCGCAAGAACAAAAAACCAAACACCGCATATTCTCACTCATAGGTGGGAATTGAACAATGAGATCACATGGACACAGGAAGGGGAATATCACACTCTGGGGACTGTTGTGGGGTGAGGGTAGGGGGGAGGGATAGCATCGGGAGATATACCTAATGCTAGATGACGAGTTAGTGGGTGCAGCGCACCAGCATGGCACATGTATACATATGTAACTAACCTGCACAATGTGCACATGTACCCTAAAACTTAAAGTATAATAAAAAAAAAAAAGAAATGAATAACCCAGTTTAAATCCTGTAAAGCAGTAAAGTGATGTACCACAACTGTTGAACAGGTGAATCCACCAGAAGAGTCTGGAACTATTTAAATCAAGATTATAGTATGAAGGAAAACATTCATTATCTGATAGTTAAACGATATCTCTTTAGATGATAAGAAAAAGATAATTTAGACAGGAATCTTAATATAGTAATTCCACACTGTAATGTAGACGGTCCCATTGTCTGGATAGATGTCTTCAGACAAGGGGAAAAAGCAGGTTGAGAGACCTTTTGTGTAGGGACATCTGTAAAGAACCCTCATAGTGGTACACTCACAGAATGAGACTGAACACATTCAGTGTGCTATGAAAAACCATGAAATTTAGAATCACAAAGTAATTTGGGGAATCATGCTGAACTATGTTACTTGGGCCTGTATTTTCACAGAATGATTCCCTTCTAGGCACTTACTGTATGTTTTATCCATAGGAATACACGTACGATAGCAATTTATAATAATTTAAGTTGAATAGACGTGTGTCTCAAGAGCTCTGGGACAAGTTGGGAATTGGAGTGGTTTGTTTTCATTTAAAACTCAGGAAAAAACCTTCAAAATGTATTAAGTATTTTGTTTTAAGTCAACACTTCTCTTGTCTTAGTCATTTTTCTTTTGCTCTCTTTGTCTGCCTTAACAATTTCTCAGTTAAAATTCTTTATATAAAAATTGGACTTAATAAGAGGCTATTGAAAACATACTTTAAAACAACTATATCAGATAATTCAAAATGACTGAACGTACAAGATTAAAGAGATGTCAAATCACGCTATGAAAAGAAAAGGGTAAAGGAAAACCACTTGAAAATGATTCTGTTAAAGATATCCACAACATATAGTTATATGAAAAAAGGCAAACTTCCAATGGTTTGTACAGTTTGACCTTATTTTAAAGATAGATAGATAACATACATTACGCATGACCACAGTGTATAGACACAGCAAAATTATTTTATATTAACAATATTTATATGTGGGTAGTATATTTGAGATTCTTGTTTCTTCTTTTTACTTATTTACATTTTCCTAATTTTCTACAATTACTGTGCATTAATTTGAAATAAAATAATAAAAAATGTATTTAAAAATAAAATGACTCATTTTCATATTAATGCCCCTGGCATGGTTCAAGATGTCAGAACTGATAACTCAGAGGAATCTGACTACTGTATTTGTGGCCTTTCTTTTCTTTTTTTTCTTAGTGAATCATGGTAGTTTACTCAGATTGAAATAGGGCAGAAGGTGAAGGGCAGGCATTTTGCTGGTGGAACTCATCACTTTAGGCTCTTCCCTCACCCTACCCAGATTCTCGGGCACACCAATCCTGCTTGGAGGTGCCTCTTGGCCTGAGTCTCCCATCACATGATTTATTTGCTACAGACCCTGCTGTGCAGCCAGACTTTGCTCCACCTCTGCCTGATTTGTCTTGAACCCCCTAAGACAATACTACAATAGGCAATTGCAACTGTAAGACCAGGACAGAGGTTTAGGGATTTAGTCAAATCCCACCAGGAGAGGGATGAGGTAGATAGTATTGACTCAGGAGCTGGGAGCAGTGAAAGAGTTAGGTCAGGAAGAGGCTTGGAGAGTAAGTAAGGAGCCCAGGTACCCAAGAGGTATTACTGCTATCATCCTTCCTGACTTTGTATGAATTTATATACAGTTTTGAGGGGGGGCTAATTAGTCCTAAAGAGGATCTTTCTAAATACTTACCAATTTATAAATGTACTAAAAAGAAGTCAGCATTTTGTACCCGTGTCAAATGACCCTTGATGAGGCTGTCTCACTATTACTTTTCCTGGAAAGCTAGCTTTCATCATAGCAGAAAAGACCTCACCATGCAGACTCTGCTGGGTCACCAACGGGCAGCACCAGTGTCTGGTTTATGGCTTCAGAGGTAAGCAGAGGTCCAAAGACAGTGAAAAAAAAAAAATCAGTATGTTTGAAAACATTTCAAATTAATATTAAAATAAATTCAAGGAAACGCCATTAGAAAAGCCAGAACTTTGCTGAACTCCTTGCATTTATTTTATAGTTTAATATTGTTTTTATTTTAAATAACAAATGGGAGGAAGGGCAATATAATCTCAGTGTTTAGAGCATTGAAGCTCCAAATCTGCATACATGAAACAGATCACTGGCCCTATGATATGATGTTACAATGATCCATATACTCCTATTTGCACACACACACACACGCACATACACTCGATAATTTCTTGCAACAAAATTTTATCCATTTACTTTAAGGATTTGGTCCTTATAAAAATGCAAATACTTGTTAGAGTGGGTAATATAATAAAGCCTTGAGGCCAGGCGCGGTGGCTCACGCCTGTAATCCCAGCACTTTGGGAGGCCGAGGCGGGCGGATCACTAGGTCAGGAGATTGAGACCATCCTGGCTAACACGGTGAAACCCCGTCTCTACTAAAAATACAAAAAAATTAGCCAGGAGTGGTGGCGGGCGCCTGTAGTCCCAGCCACTCCGGAGGCTGAGGCAGGAGACTGGCGAGAACCTGGGAGGCGGAGCTTGCAGTGAGCCGAGATTGCGCCACTGCCCTCCAGTCTGGGCGGCAGAGCGAGACTCCGTCTCAAAAAAAAAAAAAAAAAAATAATAATAATAATAATAATAAAATAAAGCGTTGGTAGTGAGAAGGGAAGATGAGGATGCTGGAAAAGCAGCAGTGGAAGTAGGGAATGGGGGCCTCAAAGACAAATGAGACCCTCTTCATGATTTGCCTGTGACCAATACTGGATCTTTAGAATAAGCTTTATACTTTCTGCAATTCTTTTGCAAAGAAATGTGCAAATAATTCTGGTGGTTTCCCTATGACTTTTAGGAGCTGGTCCCAAAACAATCTTCTTTCATAAAGAAGTAAAGCGATAATAATAAACAAGTAGTAAGCAGTTTCTTGCTTTATGCAGACACTCTTACCAGGATGTCCTATAACTCAACCAGGACAGTGTGTGTGTGTGTGTGTGTGTGTGTGTGTGTGTGTATGTGCGCGCGCGTGCAAGAAATGAGAATATCTTAAGAATGATGGGGAGTTGGAGAAATAATTGAAATTCAGCATTTTTATATTCAGTGTCTTAATAAAAACTAAGGTTTGTGTAAGTAAAGACATTGCAGGGTGTTTTTTTTTGTAATTTTAAGATTAAATTAATTTCATATATATATATCAATTCATTACTTAAAAGTTTACATGTGTATGTATAATTTAGAGAGCTTTCAACTTCTCTATTAACGTATTTAGTTCAAAATAAGGAGTTATAGTATATATTGGCCAAATGCAGTAAATATTAATAGTCACTGTATCAGTAAAGAGTCTTGAATTTAAACTAGCTTTATGAAATTCAGAAAAGACATTCAACTTTAAAAAGCATTGAGCGTTATTGTAGAATAACTAGTAGTGACTTTCAGATACAGTCTCAGACTTTTTGTGAAGAAAATTGATTCCTCCAAATACTTGCCTTTATTTTAAAATTTAAGTATGGGGATTACACAGTATATTTTCCATGTGTTCAAGTGATCCAAATTTTACAGTTATGAAAGTAAACATGTACTGTTTACTCAACAAAAATAGACTTCCTTATGTCTCATCTCTCAAATCTTTTCCACATATCAATTTTAAACTCTAATATATCTTCTGTGAATATTCTTTTTTTTAAAAAAATTCAACTTTTCTTTTAGATACAGGTGGCATGTATGCAGATTAGTTGCATGGGAATATTGCATGATGCTGAAGTTTGGAGTAAGATCTCATCACCCAGTTAGTGAGCATAGTACCCAACAAGTAGTTCTTAAACACCTCCCCTGAACCCTCTAGTAGTACACAGTGACTATTGTTCTCGTATTTATGTCCATGAGAGCTCAATGTTTAGCTCCCACTTATAAGTAAGAACATGAGGTATTTTAGTTTTCTGTTCCTGCAGTAATTTGCTTTGGATTATGGCCTCCAGCTCCCTCCATGTTGCTACAAAGGACATTATTTGGTTATTTTTTTATGCCTGTATAGTATTCCATTGTGTATATGTACCACACTTTGATGGACACCTAGGCTGATTCCCTGTTTTTGCTATTGTGAATAGTGCAGCAATGAGCATATGAGTGCAGGTGTCTTTTTGGTAGAATGATTTATTTTCTTTTGGGTATATACCCAGTAATGGGATTGCTGGGTCAAATGATAGTTCTAAGTTATTTGAGATATCTCCAGACTGTTTTCCACAGTGGCTGGATTAATTTCCATTCCCACAACAGGGTATAAGCATTCCCTTTTCTTCACAGCCTCTGACTGGTATGAGATGGTATCTCATTGTGGTTTTGACTTCCATTTCTCTAGTGATTAGTGATGCTGGGCATTTTTTCATGTGTATTGGATACTTTATATCTTCTTTTGAGAAGTGTCTGTTCATGTCCTTTGCCCACTTTTTAATGGGGTTATTATTATTATTATTATTATTATTGCTTGTTTATTTATTTAAGTTCCCTATAGATTCTGGATATTAGTCCTTCGTTGGATGCATAGTTTGCGAATATCTTCTCCCATTCTGCAGGTTATCTGTTTGCTTTGTTGATAGTTCATTTGGTTGTGCAGAAGCTCTTCAGTTTAAGTAGGTCCCACTTGTCTATTTTTGGTTTTGTGGCATTTGCTTTTAGGAACTTAGCCAAAACTTCTTTGCCAAGGCTGATGTCAAAAAGAATTTTTCCTAGGATGTCTTCCAGGATTTTCATACTTTGAGGTATTAAATCTTTAATCCATTTTGAGTTAATTTTTATATCTGATGAAAGGTAGGGATCCAACTTCAGTCTTCTGCATATGGCTAGCCAGTTATCCAAGCACCATTTACAGAATAGGGAGTTCTCTCCCTATTGCTTGTTTTTATTGGCCTTGTCAAAGATCAGATGGTTGCAGGTGTGTGGCTATATTTCTAAGTTTTCTATTCTGTTCCATTTGTCTATGTGTCTGTTTTTGTACCAGTACCAAGCTGTTTTTGGTTACTGTGGCATTATAGTATAGTTTGAAGTCAGGTAGAGTGATAGTCTTTACACAAATTTTATATACCCTTCCATATACCCTTCAATTTGATGGTTACCATATTCCTCTAACCAGTGTCCTTTAAGAATTAGAATATGATTAAAAATACATACTCACAAGACTCATAAAGATTAATTGGGACCAAATAACAGGAAGAACCCAGTATAAACTCTTGAACATTATAGGGCCATGTCGATTTTGCTCTGTAATAACCATCTCAACTTTTAGTGAGTTAAAACAACACCATTTATTTAACTCATAGATCTAAGTGTCAATAATTTGGGCTGAGCTCAACTGGGCCATTGTACCAGTCTCTGCAGGGGTTCCCTCATGCTTCTGCAGCTGGCTGCTTAATCAGCTGAGATCTGGTGAGCTATTGGCTCTGGTGGTTGGGTTCCTCTCCATATGGCCTCTCATCCCCAAACAGAGTAGCCCGAGCTCCTTTACATAGCTGTCATAGGGTTCCAGAAGCCACAAACAGAAACATGCCAAGCCTTTCAAGACCAAGCTCAAAACTCACTGGATGTTGCATCTGTTGCATTCTATTGGCCAAAGCAAGTCACAAGATCAGCTCACATTTAACCTCTTGATGAGACGAGGTGCAAAGAATTGTGGCAATTTTTTTAATCCAACATGACCCTCACTTCATTTCCCTTCCTTTTCCTACACATTAGCAAAATGTCTTCACTCTCAAATTGATGAATTAATTTGAAAAAATTATTTTCAATTTATTGTCTTTGATACAGCACACACTTCTCCAAAGCAGACTTCTTTGTCTTCCTGCATCTCTTCCTGTTCCTGAGGTTATATTTACATAGGACTTCACCATTTACAAAGTCCTTTCACCAAATGGATCACTTCATGTAATTCTCACAACAATCACAGGTAGACAAAGCAAGAATATTAATTTTCATTGCATGATAAGGAACAGTAACTAAAATAGGTTAACTTGGATACTGGAGTTCACTTGCATTTTCAAGAATCTTGTCAACCAGTTGTTAAATACAACTATTATTAAAAATTAAAGTTTAGTGGGGGAAATCTCACAACTTCATGACATAGTGTGATCTCAAATCCATGATTTTCACCTTCTCCTGAGTTTCCAGCAATCTGCGACAATTTGACTGTTTTTCTTTCATCAAATTTACCTCTTGTTTTTCAGAGTGACTATTTCAAACCTATACCACTGAAAATCTGTGTATTATCATACCCCTTGTGTTTTTCAATGGACAACTGGCCTCCTATATCATGGTAAAATAGAAATCACAAGATAGGAGGAAGCGCCTTATACCTTCCTGCCACCTCATCCCCAAGCTTCCCATTGTTCCTAAAGGTTATGTTCACCCTCCTAATTAGGATGATGGGAGAAGCATCTTGCCTCCTTCATAAAACTAATGCCTCCACTTACAGTCTAGGTCCCATTTCCAACAGTTTCTCCAGAGATTTAATGCCATAAATTAACTACTTTCTTACCTGAGTTTTCAAAACGGTTGTTCTATACTGGGGCTTTTCCCATCAGCATTTAAAGGGGCTTAATTCTCTTCCCCCACCCTCTACCCCGAATTTTTCTTTTCTTTTTATGTCTCCCGTCCTATCTCATTCTCACGTCAGACTCTTCACAGACACATTTATGGGAAGAGTTGCTTGCAGTAGGCTCTATACAGCCCAGGAGCACTCAGCACTCTGAAGTTTGGCAGGCTCGATGTTTCCACTGAAACCCCCTGGTTCACCATTGCCGATGGACTTCTTGTGGCCACATCCAGTGGATACTTTTGTATCATACTTGACAAAGAGCCTCAGAAATATTAAATTGATGAAAAAGTTGAATCAGACAATTGTGTCACCCTCAGAAGCAGGAGTCCCCACATTAGTATTAAACTAAGTGGAATTCAGAGCAAAAGCTATAAAATGGGAAAAGGAGAGTCATTTTATACTCATAAACTTTAAAATTAACAGACATTTGATGTGATGGAGATGCTAATTACACTAATTTGATCATTATACATTCATGTATCATGTATTCATGATACATGTATTCATGTATCAAAATATTCCCTGTACTCCACAAATATGTACAATTATTATGTCAGTTAAAAATAATAAAAGTAGAAAATATTAACAGAGAAAAAAATAAATTTTATTAATTTATAGGTAAATAAATTACATTTTAAAAGTGATATGCAAAACCCATCACTTCCCAGGTTCTTTTTTTGCTACATTTTACTATTATCTGGAGGTTATTGACATCTATTGTGTCTACATGGTAGAAATACCATAGAAGTGTATGCTACTTACTGCACATGCCTCGCAACTCGACATTCAGTGATGTGATGTTGGTAGCATGAAATTGGCTATGGTGGAAACATTTACACCATGGAAATCAGGATTTGATTTATTGCTTTGTTGATTGTCTAGACTTTAAAAAGTGATGAAAAATGTTCACAAGGATTAATGTTTTATGTCTATAGCTATTACACTGTGAATAGCACAAAAAACTGAGAAAATGTTCTTTGGATGTTTAAATCTTATTATCTGATTTAGCAAAGAAGTCACCTCACTAATGAACAAATAAAGTTCCAACATATGTCTTTGATGCTTCACTTTTTTCTTTCCCAGTAACATAAATGAAAATATCATCGACATTCATGTCAGAACTGCACACAGGGAACCAGGTGCTAAACATCTCCAGCCCAAGTTGACAAAACTCATATGGTTAAAGGAGATACACAAAGTCAGACCCTGTGTCCCAGGCTTAGGATTCTTTTTCTCAAACCACTTGTTTTCTCCTCTCAAAGAGATGTGGGGCAGAGGGATAGGATTACAATAGTTGATGGTAGAAAACCATCTATTCCTTTCTTTCGTTTCTTCATATCTCATTTATTCATTTAAATCTGAAGGCTACCTGAGTGGATTTACATGCAAAAATTTCTCATTTTTGTTTTTAGGAGAAAAACAATACTCAAGCCCACTTTTTACACTATATCTCCCAGCTGAGAGGTCAAATTAATACTAAGCCCATGGGCTTTAGAGGAGACCAGATGTGTACTCTGTCACTCATTAGCTGCATGACCCTATGCTGTCCAAGCCTCTGTCTCTTCTCAACTGTAAAATGAGAATTATAATAACAAAGATGATAATTGCATGGAGTTTTATCAGGTTTAAATAAAATAATGAATATAATTCATTTTGTATCATCTTTGGCACATACTGAACATTCAAAACATGTTAGAAATCATTAAAATTACTCTTTTACTAAGTTATAGGGTGTGCTAGGAGGAAATAGGTAAGTGTGGCAGTTGATGTTGCTTGGTTGACCTAGTCCCATCTGTATTCCTTCTCTCTAGTTACTGTCCAGTGATTGTGTGGGGATTTCAATGCAACCCAATTAGGGCCAATGAAGTGAATACAAGGTTTTTGTAAAGGGATAGACTTGACTTTTGCCACTCTCACCCCTCTATTTCTGCTCCCAGGTGGAGGAGCTATGAGGCAGTAATCATGAGGATAGATGCTTGCATGCTAACAATGGTACTACTTGTAAGACAGAAAGAGCCTGGATCCTTGATAACACTGCTGAGCTCTTAGAGGCTCTGCACTGCCAATCTCTGGACTTCTTCCTATGTGAGAAAAATGAACTCCAGTCTATTTAAGCCACTACAAAAGTGTTTTCTATTATTTGATATGGAAAATATTTTTAACTAATAAAATGTGTCAAAATTAGAGGTAGGGGTCAGGGAGAAGGAAAGAGGGTAGGGACAGAGAATGAAGGGTGGGGAAGGAGACAGAGACAGAGAGCGAGACAGAGTTCATGAAAAATGGTGGTTTGTTTAACTCAAGAATAAGCGCCTTCCAATCATCAATACTATATATTTTCTTATCAGTGATTGATTACATAGTCAGGAAGTTAATACAATGGCAGCAAATACCAAATAGAAAGTTCTATAATTCAAGATATTTCCTGTGAATAAAAACAAATCCATTTTATTCCTAACCCTGAACACATTCAAGTATGAGAAAAATACATGACAGTAGACAGGAAATTAAATCTGAGGAAAGGTTACATAAAAACGTAATGGACTATACAACTGTCAGAAGGAAATACTTTTTTATATATAAAATATGCTGTTCAAACCTGTCATAAGAGAAATATAAATTTCTATTATGTATAGCTGAACTTCTAGTGAAATTCTTCTAATGAAGAATTCTTTGAACACAGGAAATATGAACTATAACAGTTGATACAGTCTTGCCAAGAGTAGCTAACCTGGAGCAAGTTATCATTTTTAAAAAAGATGCTGAAAATGATAAGCAACATTCATTACAATTAATTAAGGAAAACATGTTATTCTGTTTCTTACCTAACATCCTTTATTAAAATTACAGAGAAAAAATAGTATTTAGCCATGCAGAACTTCTTCAGCAACACTCATTTTCTGCCTACAGTAATGTTTAGAAAAGCACTGTAAGTGCTTAATGTTTGATGACTATGAAAAAATTAAGGCTTCCATGAGGCGGCATTGTCTTAGTTCGTTCAGGCTGCTATAACAGCGTACTATAGACCTATAGACTGGGTGGCTTATAAACAACAGAAATTTATCTCTCACAGCTCTGGAGGCTGGGAAGTCCAAGATCAAGGCACCAACAGGTTCAGTGTCTAATGAGGACTGGCTTTCTGGTTCACAGACAATGCCTACAATGTGTTCTCACACAATGGAAGGGTGAGGGGTCTCGCTGAGGCCTCTTTTGCAAGGATACTAATCCCATTTATAAGAGCTCTGCTCCCATGACAGGCCCCACCTCATAATATCATCTCCTTGGGGGTTAGGATTTCAATACATGAATTATAGGGTGGTGGGGGAAGGGGTGGGCACGAACACAAACATTCATACCATAATAAGCATCTTAAGCAGCTAATAGTACAATCAATTAAATTCTTTCTCTTTTCAAAGTATGACTGATTTTCTACACAAAGAAAGGAAAACACCTGGAAGGTGCTCTGAACTGAAGGGGGTTGAGAGGACGAGTTCTCAGGTGTCTGGCTCTTTAGAGGGCATATGTTCCCCGGTAGCCCAGATGCAGTACTGAGTTAGAAGCTTCCAAAGGCACCAAACCGTGAGGAGATAGTTTAGTCCTGACAAACCCCACTTCAGTTTACTGGATCCAGTGGGTTTCATACCCACTTGCCTTGGCCTAGCTCCAATATCTCTCTAGCCCTGCCTGTTTCTGTCTCCTGTTGTCTATGACATCAGCTCACCCAGCCCTTTTGTTACTCTGTATTTGGTTGGTATCCTTTTTTCCATTCTTTCCCCTTGTCAGAATGATTTTCTGATTCTTTCCACGTTTGATTTCCTTTTTTTCAGGCTTGTTAATCAGAATAGCTCCTCAGACCCCTCAGAATTACCTTGTGCACCTTTTTCCTTTCACTGTAAATATTCCAGCTAGCAATGCCTTGGCAATGGGCTTTCCTAGGTACTCACTGTCTATCTATTTAATAACCTATGCTAGAATTTTGCCAGGCATTGATCTGCATTTCCCAAATCCACCCTTCAAAATTTAACTTTTTAAAATGGTGACATGTCCAGGTGGGGTGGGCTTACGCCTATAATCCCAGCACTTTGACAGGCCAAGGCAGGCAGATCACCTGAGGTCAGAAGTTGAAGACCAGCCTGGCCAACATGGTGAAACCCCGTCTCTACTAAAAATGCAAAACTTAGCTGGGCATGGTGCTGGGTGTCTGTAATCCAAGCTAGTTGGGAGGCTGAGGCAGGAGAATCACTTGAACCCGGGAGGTGGAGGTTGCAGTGAGCCAAAATCATGAAACTGCACTCCAGCCTGGGTGACAAGGGCAAGACTCTGTCTCAAATTTTTAAAAAAAGTGACATTTTTCTACTTCTGGAACCTAAACTCTTTGCCATGAACTTCGAAGCTTACAGAATGGAGATATCTCTTAGAATCTCAGGTACGATTCATGTAAACCCACAGTTTTAACGACATTTAAAGAAGCAAATGATTTTCAATAGTTGCTTCACTTAAACTGGTCTTTTGTGCCCTCTTAACAACATTTACTTTATGAATCCCAGTTTAAGTATCATCTTTCTTGATAGAAAAATAAAACAGACAGTTGAGCTTTGTCTTTTCTCTACCATCTGTTGATATACCACCTGCCCCAAGCCTTGGCCATGTCTCTTTTTTGTTGTTCTTGTTCTGGACTTAGCTTAAGAAAAAGATCACTCAAAACCTTCTGAAAATATTGTTAGCATTTCTGCCAGAGTCAGCACATCCTACACTTGAGTCTTTCTGATATTATCCTTCTAAGTTTCTGTCACTTGCACACATGGATCCTTGAAATTTTAAGTCTCCTTTTATCTATTATGTGTTTCCTTTGAAAACCTCCATTGATTGAAATGGACACTGGGTAGAGGAAATAGCAGGAAGCACAAAAGAGGAATTGCTTTTCTACCTGGGTTATATGTCTGACAAGTCCCCGAGTTCACCTCTTGGGAACATTGTGTTTTCTATGTTCTTCTATCTTTGATTTTTCTCTCTCCTCTTTTCACCCAAATGCCCTCCAGACTTTCAGTCCTCAAAATCATAGATTTCCACATGTTTCTCTCTGCCCTTTGTGTTCATTTTTCTTCGTATGAGCCAGGAACATTCTTCCATTGCTTGACTTTCGCCTCAGGTGCCACTTTTCCACATTGGGTGATAATTACAAAATCACCTTTACCTTTAAGTACTAATACTTCAAATCCCTTTCCCCATTCTTCATAATCATATAACATCCAAGGCAATATTACTCCTCTCTCCTTCTCTCCCTTCTCCTTCTTTCTCTCCCACCCTTCCTTTACCAAATGTTTGGGTGCTTGCTCCATGCCAAATACACAAGATATACACGAGACCAGCAACTTGCAGTCTTAGGACCCTGTAGATTTTAATCTCACATGGAACCTTGATAGTATTTAATGTGCTTATTTATATAAACCTATAAGTATTGATCTGTAAGTATTTAATCAGTAAGTATTGTTTATTGAGTTCCTAGCATATGCATAAAACCAGGCTAGGAAGTAAAATAAATTGAGGTGGCATAGTGTGGTTTGCTTTACAGAAAGAAAGTGGGCTTTGAGGTTAAGTCGGGCCTGGATTTGAAACCTTGCACCAGTACCTTGCAGTTAGCCCTAGGTGAATTATCCCAATCTCCTCATCTATAAAAGGAAGGTTACAGACTTGTAGGATGGTTATGAGAACTGTGTGTGTGTGTGTGTGTGTGTGTGTGTCTGTGTCTGTGTGCATGACAATCTAATCTGGAAAAAGATTTTGGATATAGTATCCATAGGATTGACCAAAATAGTCTATATCATATCTATAAGAGAACAAATTCATTATTTTCTCCAAGCTACAAATCTTTCAATGAAATATTCTCCTTAAAATGATATTCCACTTTATTTTCCAATAAATTAAGAGTTTCTCGGCTGGGCGCGGTGGCTCACTCCTGTAATCCCAGCACTTTGGGAGGCTGAGGCGGGCAGATCACGAGGTCAGGAGATCGAGACCATCCTGGCTAACACAGTGAAACCCCGTCTCTACTAAAAATACAAAATATCAGCCGGGCATGGTGGCGGGCACCTGTAGTCCCAGCTACTTGGGAGGCTGAGGCAGGAGAATGGCGTGAACCTGAGAGGTGGAGCTTGCAGTGAGCTGAGATCGTGCCACTGCACTCCAGCCTGGGTGACAGAGCAAGACTCCATCTCAAAAAAAAAAAAAAAAAAAAAAAAAAAAGAGTTTCTCAATCTAATATCTCACAGGAGGAGTCATCACCTTTAAAGTTCAACTATTGTACCATTGACTATCATATTGTTTTAACTAAGACAATTTTGCATAAAATAAATGATTGAGTTTATTTTTGGAAGTATTTAATGACGTGTTGTCTTTTTTACGTCATGGACAAGAATCACACATAGGAGAAAGTGGTACAATTGCAATATTGATTTAAAGCTTTTAGAGCTCCCTAAGCATCTTTATTAAAATCACCACACTTGAATTAGTGTGGGCAGAAAAGCCTTTCTGGCATTATTATATTTTTCACATTGGCATAAGACAGGATGTTACCCTAGCCCTTCTTGTTTTTTTCAATGTGCGCTTCATAATTGGGTCAGTTTTCAGAACACAAAGCGGCTTCCTTCCTGTGGTCAGTTTTGCCTATCACCAAGTTCAACTCTGTATCTGCAACAGACACAGCTTCTCTGCATAATCTGCAGGCCCACAAAGATATGCCACTGTTATCTATTGGTAGTAATATCCATTGACATGAACTCTCCTCCCATCTGTTCCTCCTGTGACCCAGTCTGCTTCTGGCTTCTGCCTCCATCAATTGTGTGTGATCCCATTCCTGACCTTGAGTCTTGAGTTTCTGGTCCATATCTTGATTCCCCTTCAAAGACTCTGGCTTGCATTTATACTAACAGTTCTATTCACTTGGGGTTTTCTCAGTGGTAAAATCCACACCATTTGGGTATTCATTCACTCAATAAATCTTTTTTAAACAGCTAATATGTGTCAAGCATCCTGACTTGAAATCTAGTTCTTCAATTTGTTCCTTATTCTCTAAAAGAGAGACTTAGACAACACTTTTCCCACCCCCTTCCATATGTAGTTAATATGATGACTTCTAACTGTCATTCAGTCACATCTGGCTCTTGAGCCGATACTGATCAGCAGGACATGTAGCACTAATGGTGGACTGAATCTGCCATTGGTCTTTCTGTTGTGGACCCAATATCCAGTGTACCTGAAATTAACCCACCACATTGCAGCCCTCTCTTACTTCCGGCTGTATTGCCCAATCCACAAAATAAAGTCTATGTTTTAGTTCTCCAACTAGCATCCTAGTCTCCCTCCCAGGACTGGGATGTGCCTTAAGTCAGACTACTTTTGGGGGCCTTGACACACGCAGCTCCTGCCTGTATATGTCCGTCGTCACTACCACAACCAACTGTTCTGTGCACAGTCACTCATATTCAGTCTTATCCTAAGCAGAACTAGATCACATGGCTGGTTTTGAGAATTGCCTGTTGATGGTCCCATCCACCATATTAGATCTTATGTAACACCCTCTAGAACAAAAATGCACCACTTTGGGACTTTTTAGTGTGTTATAGTTCCATGAGATCTTTCCACTCTCCCATCCATTCCCCATTCTGGTGAGGTTTCCTTCTTGATCCCCACTTCAGCCATATTGCTCAGTTACAGTGTGCCCCAGGCCTGAGCTTGTCTGAGTTATGACACATGCCAATACAAAGATAATGATATAGCTTGTCATCCAAATCATGGCAATTTTGAAAGTAGAATAGGATTCTATTAATAACTGAACCGAGGCAAGAAGTATCAGCATGAACTGTCCCAGGCAAACCGGGTGACCCTAACCATAATAAACATGATGGTAAAAATCCATATTCTGCTTGTATGAGCCTTTCTTTCAGTGCTAGAAATGGTCTTATGAGAAGCTCAAGATGTTTTAAACATCTAAATATTAATTATACCAACCTCCAGACTGTTGTTTTTGTTAAACATACATGCTAATGAATGCTATCAAACAATTGTATTGAATAGATCAGCTCATTTACTCAGGGTCTATTTTGTAGCTAATATTATCTGGCACAGATACTAGCATAGAGTGGTTTTGAAAAAAAAATACTTATTGAATCTGCCAGGGTTGTAAGGTTACCTTTCTGCACAAAATAAATATGCAAGGGGAGCTATGTAAAGATTTAATGATGGTAAGTCATATGAGGATAAATGTGAGTGAGGGTATTTTAAAACTTCCATCTTCAAAATGGTCCAGCTACTCAGGATGCTGAGATGGGAAGATTCCTTGAGGCCAGGAATTCAAGGCTGTAGTGCACTATGTTGGCACCTGTGAATAGACACTACACTCTAGCCTGGGCAACATAGCAAGACACATCTCAAAAAAAATCTTCTAAGTCAAAGATTTTTCTCCTGTATTTTATGACACAGAACCTTCAGTTTAAATGGGTACACATTTGTGCCCTTCAACCGACATGGGATTTGGAAGTGTGGCCTGTTAACGAGATGCAGGCTCCACCTTATTGAACTTTTTACTAAAGAAGCAACTACATTCAAAGCAAAAGCATTCTTCAGATAATATCATGGCTAACGTCTTCACTGGCGAAAAAGGAAAGAAAAAGCAATGAACTCAATAATCCCACAGCCTCCCCAAACTTCCAAACTTATACCTTTTAAAGATGCGTATGTTGGAGATATGCCATTTCAAGTCCATTGCCATATGCCATTTACAGAAAGGAAGCAGAGTCCCCCTGAGCACTGAAGTCAGTTTTTCCTTTTAAGAAAAGGCATGGCAGATGGCAGAGGACTTGAGAGCTTTCATAGTGTCATAAATTGTTGTTGTTGTTGTTGTTGATATCAGAGAGAAACAAGATTCTTCATGGTGAATATATCTGGATTAGTATGTATAGTGTCAGGTGTACAGGCCCTGGAAAATGATGGCTTGTGTTTTAAATGGTTGACCAGCTACTGTATAGACATACAAATAGCCTTGAACAGATTACTTAACATCTCCGAACATCTGTTTCCCTATCTGTAAAATAGTGACTTTTGTACATATCTCAAAGGGTTATTGAAAGGATCAAATGAAGTAATGGTTGTAAAGTGCTTTGTAGGAGTTCCTGTCACAGTAAGCATTTAATAAATATTAGACGTCATTATTATCAAACCCATCAAACACACCCAACAAAGAGGACAAACCCTTGGCATGTGTACGGCCACATCCTGAACCAAGAACACTTGCTTCTATTGAACATAGACATTGGCTCAAAAAACTTCTGATGGAATTCTTCTAAACATAGTGCCCCAACAACTTGACCCAGATGAAATCTGTATCACAAGGAATGGACAGCTAGAAGTGGTGCTCACTCAAGAGCACACCCAAAAATGCATTTAAAAATAGCATGTGCAGGCATTTGTGGTGGTTTTCATGTGGGAGGTGAGTTGCCTGACAAAAATAGGGAAGGCAGGCTCAATTTGGCAGACGCTGATGTGTAACTCCCATTTCAGTGGGAGCTTCACATGCATACGTTTAAACTTTGACAGTGATCTTATAAAATACCTCACCTGAGTAAGAATGCTGCTGATATTCCACAGAGGTTTTGTCTGTAAAATAATCCCTTACACCTTATATTCTCCATCTCACTTCCTTACACCAAGATTATTTTAAATCAGATGTGAAAAGAACAGGCACCAGGCTTTGTACCTGGGGTCTTAACTAGACTTTATGAGAATTAAGCAATAAGATCTTAGATGCAAAAACTGTTAAATGTATTCATCAACTGAAGTTCTTTTAGCACTTACTTTGTATCAGGAACAGAGGTGCGCATGAGTGATGGAGAAATGTGTGTAATGTGATTCTTATACTCAAGGAAAATGTAGTTTTGATAGGTGAGAAAGATACATAGGCAAACAATTGTAACACAATAGGTTTGGTGGTAGACTAACTTACGCAGTGATACAAGCACAGGAGAAAAGGATAATTAAATGCTGTTCTCAGAATCATGTAAGTAGTTAGTGGTAGGGTTGAGTCTGGTAATAAGTGCTCCTGCCTGCCATTCTATTATCCTGGCTTCAACTACTCCTAATAATAATTTAATACCTTGGATTTACATTTTTACTACGTTATTTTGCAATCGCAAATCCCTGTCAATAAATCGTCTCACTTTTTGTAAAACGATCATGCCCCTCCTTTCTGGTGTGCTTTGCTGGATAATGAGAGTCTGCCTACCATCTCAGAGTAACTGCTTTCGTAAGGCAACAGCACTCTCCTCATCAGTGCTGAGAGGCAGCAGTAGAATAAGGCAGGAGAGGCTGGAATGAGAAATTGTAAATGTTAAGAATGGCCAATCAATATACAATTTCTGCCACCTAATGGTTTTTCAAAGTTATTTGCATGCTTGATGCAAATTCTTTATACCAAAGTACAAAGATTTGCCTGATAGTTCAACAATATAAGGGAATGTGACAAGAAAAATGTTTTAGTGTTTCATCATGTGACAAAAGCAATGTTTACATTTAGAGCTTAATTCTTGAGATCTGATAACACACTTCCTAAATGTCATTATTAACTTAAATAGAAATAAGGAATAATTACATAAAAAAGGCATTACACTGCTTGCTTGTGTTTACACCGTTGTGAGTATTAGTTCTAAAATCAATTTTTTTTTTCTTTAGAGGAGTTGTCAAGGAAAAAGTTAAAATTAGAATAGCTTTTGGGGACTAGGTAAGGGAAAGAAATGTCATGCAGGGAGATTCAAAATATTTGAAAGAAGTTCAAGGTAGGGAGCATTCAGCCTTGCTTTTGATGGAAATCTGAAAACATTTTAACAAAATTCTTGAATTCTCTGTTATAAGATGGGGAGTAAATCAATGAATTGAGTGAAGTGAAAGAAACACTCAAGTATGTTCTTTCTTTAACTGAAGGAAGAGTCATCTTAGTCATTTTAGGAAGAGTCATCAAAGGGACACAAGCTCAAATAAAGGGAATAAGTTATTATTTGCTTGTCTCTGGTGAAGATGCATTCTATCTGTGAAAACTGATTTATACCCTAATAAAAACATTGCTTCTCTTCTCTAGGACCATAAACAACTGTAGTTTTGTTTTATTTCTTTTCTCATAGCATTAATGATTTTGACATGGCATAGATTATATACTAAATGGAACATAATGCACCAAATGTAATCATCACTCAAGACAAACAAATATTGTCTTCACATCGAGGTTTAGGAGAAACCACAAAACAGCATATTAAATATTCAGCATATTTCCTCTCTTCCCTTCATCAGAAATTGAGTACTGCATTGGACTATATTCAAAGTGAAAAGTTGGTATGTTTTTCCCAATAACACACCTGCTCTCTAAATAGAGCTAGCTTCTATTTTGAGAGACATAACTGAGATCACATCCTACAATAAATTTCTTGTTTCCTTGGGTTGTGTTACATTGTACTGCCAGGACAAGTGAGCTATATCAAGTCCAAGAAAGTCTGAGTTAATAAATTAACTCCTTTTGGGGGAGGGATAGCATTGGGAGATATACCTAATGCTAGATGACGAGTTAGTGGGTGCAGCGCACCAGCATGGCACATGTATACATATGTAACTAACCTGCACATTGTGCAAATGTACCCTAAAACTTAAAGTATAATAATAAATAAATAAATAAATAAATAAAATAAAACAGAAAAAAATAAAAATAAATTAACTCCTTTTGGTCAAACTGATAATTCATATTGCTCAAAATTTTGATTGATGAAACCATTAAGTCTACAAATATTTTCCCATTTCCCTTTGATGTCAACACTTTGTATATTATATGGACTTAACTCTTAATTTATGGAGTCAGAAAAATTGTGTTCTAATCTCAGTTTTGCCGCTAATGAACTATGACACTAAATTCACTGTCAGGTCACTAAATTCACTGTCACTCAATTCCCTAATCTATAAAATGAAGTGTTTTATGAGACGATTCCTAAGACATTTTTCACTTCAAAAATTTTCATTCAATTCATGAAATTATAATAGAATGCATTCTGTCAGCATTTTTGTGACTATAAAATCAATAATAAAATATTATATGACATATATGTTATTTATATTATATATTATGTATATATAATATGTCATATATTATATTATATTACATATAAATCAACAAGTGAATCATGATTTAGGTTTGGGACTGGATCAAGACCATTTAGAGATCTCTGTCAGTTTCAGGAGAAAATTAATTTTGACTAGATTCAAGGACCTCAAAGGTGCTAAACATTAAGTTACTATTTGGTTTGTTGAATAGTTGAATTCCATTCAGTCATGTTAGATATTTCCTAGTTGAGTCCTAAAGGATAACAGTTTCTTAACAATAAAATCAGCAGAACTATTGTGCATATTATAACATTGCATTTCTAAAATTGTTCATGTATTTTTACCAAGTTCCTTTTGTTAGACCTAGGGGAGGAATAGACAGTGATACAAGTTTTAGAAGTTGGGACCTTGAAAATGGAGTGTGTAGGGGGAACTAGTAGCCATGACTGAGTCCTACTTCTCCCTAAATTGGTTATAATATGTAATTAAAACAATGTATTATTTTCTGTGCTTATTAAATACAGTTTTCTAGTCAGTTTTTTTGTTAGTAAACTTTATTTTTTAGAGAAGTTTTAGATTCACAGTAAAACTGAGCAAAAAGTGCAGGGAGTTCCCACATATCTCTCTCTCCATACACACACACACACACACACACACACACACACACACACACACCCTCTTCCTCTTTCATTATCAGCATCCTCACTAGAGTAGGACATTTGTTACAATTGACAAACCTACACTGACATACCATTAGCACCCAAAGTCCACAGTATACATTAGGGTTTATTCTTTTTTTTTGAGACAAGATCTTACTCTGTTGCCTAGGCTGGAGGGCAGTGGCACAGTCATGGCTCACAGCAGCCTCGACCTCTCAGGCTCAGGTGATCCTCCCACCTTAGCCTCCCAAGTAGCTGGGACTACAGGCATGTGCCACCATGTCCAGCTAATTTTTTGTATTTTTGTGGAGACAGAGTTTCACCATGTTGCCCAACCTGGTCTTAAGGTTTTGGCCTCCGAAAGTGCTAGGATTACAGGCAGGAGCCATGGTATCCAGCCTCATAAGGGTTTATCCTTGATGTTGGGGCTTGGACAAATGCATAATGACAGGTATTCACCACTATTGCATTATACAGCATAATTTCACTGCCCTAAAAATCCTCTGTGCTACACCTGTTCTCTGCTCTCTCCCCCAAAACCTCTGGCAACAACTGATCTTTTTACTATCTCCCCAGTTTTACCCTTTCCAGAATGTCAAATAGCTAGAGTCATAAATATGTTGTGTTTTCAAATTGGCTTCTTTCACTTAGTTATATGCATTTAAATTTCCTCCATGGCTTTTCATGTCTTGATAGCTCTTTTTTTTAATGCTGAATAATATTCCATTGTCCATATAGTCCAAGTTTACTTATCCATTCACCTACTGAAGGACATCTTTCGTTGCTTCCAAATCTTGGCAATTATAAATAAAGCTGCTATAAATATCCATGTGTAGGCTTTTCTGTGGATATAAGTTTTCGGTTCATTTGGGTAAATGCCAAGGAGCACAATTGCTGGATTGTATGTAAAGAGTATATTTAGTTTTGTAAGAAATTGCCAAATTATCATCCAAAGTGACTGTACCATTTTGCATTCCCACCAGCAATGTATGAGAGTTCATGTTCCACGCCCTTGCCAGCTTTTGCTGTTGTCACTGTTTTGAATTTTCATCATTCTCATTAGTAGGTAGTGGTATCTCACTGTTGTTTAAATTTATAATTCCCTAAGGACATATGATGTTGAATATATTTTGTATGTTTTTCATAAGCATCCATATATCTTCTTTGTTAAGGTGTCTGTTCAGGTCTTTTGCCCATTTTTTAACCCAGTTGTTCATTTTCTTATTTTGAGTTCTAAGAGTTTTTTGTATATTTTGGATAACAGTCCTCATCAGATGTGTCTTGCAAATATTTTCTTTCAGTTTGTGGCTTGTCTCCTCATTCTCTTGACATTGTCTTTCACGAAGTAACAATTTTTAATTTTAATGAAGTCCAGCTTATCAACTATTTCTTTGATGGATTATACATTTGATATCATATCCAAAAAGTCATTTCTGTACGCAAGGTCATTTAGGCCTTCTCTTATGTTATCTTCCAGGAACTTTATAGTTTTGCATTTTTACATTTAGGTCTGCAATCCATTTTGAGTTAATTTTTGTGAAGGTGCAAGAGCTGTGTCTAGATTCACTTTTTTGCAAATGGAAGTCCAGTTGTTTCAGACCATTTGTTGAAAAGACTACCTTTGCTCCACTGTATTGCCTTTGCTTCTTTATCAAAGATGGTATGATGATTAACATTGAGCGTCAACTTGATTGGATTGAAGGATGCAAGGTATTGTTCCTGGGTGTGTCTGTGACGGTGTTGCCAAAGGAGATTAACATTTGAGTCAGTGGGCTGGGAGAGGCAGACCTACCCTCAATCTGGGCGGACACCATCTAATCAACTGCCAGTGCAGCTAGAATAAAGCAGGCAGAAGTTGGAAGAACTTGACTTGCTGAGTCTTTTGGTCTTCATCTTTCTCCCATACTGGATGCTTCCTGCCCTCAAACATCAGACTTCAAGTTCTTCAGCTTTTGGACTCCCGGACTTAGACCAGTGAGGCTCTCGGGCCTTTGGCCACAGACTGAAGGCTGTACTGTTGGCTTCCCTACATTTGAGATTTTGGGACTTGGACTAGCTTCTTTGCTCCTCAGCTTGCAGATGGCCTATTGTGAGACTTCACCTTGTCACTGTGTGAGTCAGTACTCGTTAATAAACTCCCCTCCATATATACATCTATCTTATTAGTTCTGTCCCCCTAGAAAACCCTGGCTAATACAGATGGGTTGGCTATATATTTGTGGGTATATTTCTGGGCTCTCTATTCTGTTCCATTGCTCTATTTGCCTATTCTTTTGCCAATGTCACACTGCCTTTATTAGTGTAGCTTTAAAGTATGTCTCGAAGCTGAGTAATGCCAGTCCTTCAAACTTTATTCTTGTTCAATAGTTAGCTATTCTGGCCTTTTGCTTCACTGTATAAACCTTTTTGTTTTGTGGTGGGCAGCGGAAGGGAGAGACACAGTTTCACACTGTGGCTCAAGTTGGAGTCTGTGGCGCAATCCCGGCTTGCTGCAACCTCTGCCTCCTGAGTTCGTGATTCTTGTGCCTCAGCCTCCTGAGTAGCTGGGATTACATGTGCGTGCCAATACACCCGGCTAATTTTTGTATTTTTAATAGAGACAGAGTTTTGCCATGTTGGCCAGATTGGTCTTGAACTCCTGACCTCAAGTGATCCACCCACCTCAGCCTCCCAAAGTGCTGGGATTACAGGCATGCACCATCACACCCAGCCATATTTCACTGTACAAACGTTAGAACCAGTTTGTTGATATCCACAAAATAACTTGCTAGGATCTTGACTGCATTTGCATTGAACCTATTGATCAAGTTGAGAAGAATTGACATCTTGATAATATTGTCTTATTTTCAATAGACTGGAATATCTTTCTATTCAATTCTTCTTTGATATCTTTCATCGGACTTTTTTCATCAGACTTTTGTAGTTTTCTGCATATAGAACCTCATATAAGGTTTACATTTGTAATCAACAAAAAGTTTATACAAGAAGATAAGTCATAAAACATATTTTGTAAGATTTATTCTTAAGTATTTTACTTTGTGGAGGGGTGCTAAATGTGTTTTTAATTTCAAATTCCACTTGTTCATTGATGGTATATAGAAAAGCAATAGACTTTTATATATTAACCTTGTAACCTGCAACATTGCTTGTTAGTTCCAGAAGATTTCTTTGTCAATTCTTTCAGAATTTCTACATGAATTTGGCCCTCTGTATCTGCAGGTTCCACATCCACAGATTCAAACGACAGTGTATAAAAAATATTCAGAAAACAATAATAAAATTAACAGTACAACAACAAAGATAATACGAATTAAAAAGCAATACAGTATAACAACTACTCAGAAAGCATTTACATGGTATTAGGCATTACAAGTAACCTAGAGATGATAAAGTATACAGGAAGATATGTGCAGGTTATATGCAAATACTATGTCATTTTATATAAGGGATTTGAGCATCTGTCAATTTTGGTTTGTGAGAGAGGTCCTGTAACCAATACCCCATGGATACCAAGGGATGACTGTAGATGATCATGTCATCTACAGAAAAAGATAGTTTAATTTCTTCCCAATCTTTTTGCCTTAATTTCCTTTCTCATCTTCTTGCATTAGCTAGGACTTCCAACACAATGTTGAGGAGCAGTGGTGAGAGAGGACATTATTGTCTTGTTTCTGATCTTAGCAGGAAAGTTTCGTTTCTCACCATTAAGTATGCTATTCACTGTAGGATTTGTATAAATATTTCCTCTTAAGTTCAGGATATTCTCCTCTATTCCTAGTTTACTGGCTCTTTTTTTCCATGAATGGGGGTTGGATTTTGTCAAATGCTTTTTCTGCATCTCTTGGTATAATCATGTGATTTTTCTGCTTTAGCCTGTTCATGTGGTAGATTAATTAATTTTTGAATGTTAAACCAATGTTGTATTCCTGAAATAAACCCCCTTGATCATGATGTTTTAGCTTTCTAGCTGTAATTGGATTTGATTGCTATAATTCTATAAGTATTTTTACATCTATATTCATACGAGATATTGGTGTATAGTTTTCTTTTCTTATAATGTCTTTGATATTGGCAATAGAGTAATGCTGGCCTAATAGAGTTAGTGAGAAAATATTTATTCTGCTTATATCTTCTGGAAGAGATTGCAGAGAATCGGTATAGTTTTTCCCTTAAATATTTGGTAGAATTCACCAGCGAACCCATCTGGACCTGATGCTTTTTGCTTTGGAATGTTATTAATTATTGATTAAATTTCTTTAATAGATATAGGTCTATTCAGATTGTCTATTTCTTCTTGTATGAGTTTTGGCAGATTGTGTCTTTCAAGGAATTGGTCCATTTTATCTAGGTTATTGAAGTTGTGGGCATAGAATTGCTTGTAATATTCATTCCTGTGTTATCCTTTTACTGTCTATAGGATCTGTAGTGATGTCACCTTTCAGTATTTGGGTTTTAAATGGATGAGTTGAACATTTCTTATTTTTCTGAAAAAAACAAGTTATTTTTCTTCTTATATGACCACAGTGGATTAACATTTAGAAACTGGTGGCCCTTATCTAATCAAACTAAAGAGCTTCTGCACAGCAAAAGAAACTATCATCAGAGTGAATAGGCAACCTGCAGAATGGGAGAACATTTTTGCAAGCTACCCATCTGACAAAGGTCTAATATCCAGAATCTACAAGGAACTCAAACAAATTTACAAGAAAAAACAAACAACCCCATCAAGAAGTGGGTGAACGATATGAACAGACACTTCTCAAAAGAAGACATTTATGCGGCCAACAAACATATGAAAAAAAGCTCATTATCACTGGTCATTAGAGAAATGCAAATCAAAATGACAATGTGATACAATCTCATGCCAGTCAGAATGGCAATTATTAAAAAGTCAGAAAACAACAGATGCTGCAAGGCTGTGGAGAAATAGGAATGCTTTTACAGTCTTGGTGGGAGTGTAAATTAGTTCAACCATTGTGGAAGACAGTGTGGCAATTCTTCAAGAATCTAGAACCAGAAATACCATTTGACCCAGCAGTCTCATTACTGGGTATATGCCCAAAGGATTATAAGTCATTCTACTGGATAAAGAAAATGTGGCACATATACACCATGGAATACTATGCAGCCATAAAAAAGAATGGGTTCATGTCCTTTGCAGGGACATGGATGAAAATGGAAGCCATCATTCTCAGCAAACTAACATAGGAACAGAAAACCAAACACCGCATGTTCTCACTCATAAGTGGGAGTTGAACAATGAGAACACATGAACACAGGGAGGGGAGCATCACACACCGGGGCCTGTTGGGGAGTTGGGGGCAGGGGCAAGGGGAGGGAGAGCATTAGGACAAATACCTAATGCATGTGGGGCTTAAAACCTAGATGACAGGTTGATAGGTACAGGAAACCACCATGGCACATGTATACCTATGTAACAAACCTGCACGTTCTGCACATGTATCCCAGAACTTAAAGTAAAATAAAAAATGAATAAATAAATAAAACAATTTAAAAAAGAAATTAGTGGCCCTTGATGAAAAAAGATAGGTTATGTACTTAAGCTTTCTAATTTTATTCATAATTTGATTTTGTTAACATTAGCTATAGTCTTCTTAATAAAGAACAATACAACTAAAATGCTCCTGTGAAAGGGCTACAGTAACCAAAACAGCATGGTACTGGTATAAAAACAGACACATAGACGAATGGAACAGAATAGAGAGCCCAGAAATAAGGCTGCACACCTGCAACCATCTGATCTTCAAAAAACCTCATAAAAATAAGCAATGGG
Source organism: Homo sapiens (assembly GCF_000001405.40). Taxonomy (NCBI): domain Eukaryota; kingdom Metazoa; phylum Chordata; class Mammalia; order Primates; family Hominidae; genus Homo; species Homo sapiens. The sequence goes on along the minus strand of NC_000006.12, from coordinate 83,772,548 downwards.
GAAAGGGCTCTATAGTCACTAAATGGTGCTGGGATAACTGACATGTGTGGAATATTGAAACCAGACCCTTTCCTGATACCATATACAAAAATCAACTCATGATGGATTAAAGACTTAAATGTAAAACCCAAAACTATAAAAACTCTGGAGGACAATGAGGCAATACTATCCTGAACATAGGAACAGGCAAAGATTTCATGATAAAGACACCAAAAGGAATCACAACAAAGGCAAAAATTGACAAGTGGGATCTAATTAAACTTAAAAGCTTCTGCACAGAAAAAAAAAACTATCAACAGAGTAAACAGACAACCTATAGAATGGGAGAAAATATTCACAAACTATGCATCTGACAAAGGTCTAACAGCCAGCATCTATAAGGAAGTTAAACAAATTAACAAGAAATAACAACCCCATTAAAAGGGGTCAAGGAACATAAACAGACATTTTCAAGAGAAGACATACATGCAACCAATAAGCATATGAAAAAAAAAGCTCAATATCACTGATCATTAGAGAAATGCAGATCAAAACCACAATGAGGTACCATTTCACACCGTTCCAAATGGCTATTGTTAAAAACTAAAAAAATAACAGAGGCTGGCAAGGTCAAGGAGAAAAGGAAACACTTATACACATTGGTGGGAGTGTTAATTAGCATAACCATTGTGGAAAGTGATATGATGATTCCTTAAAGAGCTAAAAACAGAACTACCATTCAACCCAGCAATCCCATTACTGGGTATGTATCCAGAGGAATATGAATCATTCTACCATAAAGACACATGGATGAGAATGTTCATTGCAGCACTATTCACAATAGCAAAGACACAGAATCAACCTAAATGCCCATCAATGACGGACTGAATAAAGAAAATGTGGTACATATACACCATGGAATACTATCAAGCCATAAGAAGAATGACATTGTATCTTTTACAGGAACACGAATGGAGCTGGAGACCATTATCCTTAGCAAACTAACACAGGAACAGAAAACCAAATACCTCATGTTCTCCCTAATAAGTGGGAGCTAAATGATGAGAACATACAGATGTAAAGAAGGAAACAAAAGACACTGGGGTCTACTTGAAGTTGGAGGTTGGGAGGAGGGAGAAAATCAGAAAAAGGAACTATTGGGTACTGGGTTTAATACCTGGGTGACAAAACAATCTGTACAATAAACCCCTGTGACACAAGTTTACCTATACAGCAAACCTGCACATGTACCTCCGAACCTAAAATAAAAGTTAAAAAAATAAATAAATGAAATGCTCCTGTAGAAAAGAATCCATTCTGTTAATGTGTTTCTTTAAGAAAAGAAACTGCTTTAAAATATATGGAATTCCCCAGAGTTCATTAAATTTTATACTACACATCTATCATTCTAGTTGACAGTTTTCTCACTTCTGCTTTTTATCAAGAGAGAATTCAAGAATTGAGTATAAACTCCTCTCATTTAACAAGCAAAAAAACCACCCTTCTTGGAAATTTTGGTCATTCCCATAACAATATGCTTTGAAGAATTTTTTTTTCCAAGAAAGTCTTTCCATGACACCTATCACACAGAATTAATGAATTTGTGCCAGCATCTAACACTTTATCATACATTTTTATGTTATGATAAATGTATTAAATATCTAACAAGCAATTATGATAAATGCCTATACATGTATTAAAATATTAGCCATACTTCCCACTACAAGAAAAAATATGACTTCATTTTTTTCAATTTTTTGGCATCTCATCCAAGTATATAAATTTTTGTTTACCAATAAGTAGCTCAGAATATTTTGAACACCCTTATAAGACATTCTTTCAAGGTATTCCTTTTGAGAAATCCAAAAAAGAGCAAAACAGAGTTCTATTTCTTGGCATTATAAATCCTCATGTCCATTTTGCATAATAAATTATTAAGTTTCAACCAAACAAGCAACCAATAAAACAATTGTTCAGATACATAACTAGAAACAAAATAATTTTTGTCTCTCATTTATTTTGCAACTTTTTTTGATAGCATTGATATTTAATTCATGCATATTTTTAAAAACATTTATTAATCAATTTCTTAAGATCAAAAATATATCTTTGACCGAATTTTTTTTTGTTACTGAAGTTTTGTTTTTGTGAACTGTGTTTGGGGTTCAATAAGATATTTAACATTTTTAACTTTCTTAATTAATTTCTTTATGTTAGCACCAGGGATTTATGGTGTTTCTTCAGACCTCTGTTTATTTGTGCATAATTCACAATGACAATGCTATGGAGCAGTGAGTGACCAAGGTGGGCCCATAGGCATGGAGAAATTATGGATGTCAAACCCTGGGCAGACTTCCTCCCTGGTCAGGGCTAGTGGAGAGGGAATGGGTTTCCTTGTTCCTTTCTGGCATGGAGTAAATCCCAAGCAAACAGAAGCCTAGGGGAAAAGGGAAGTTGGTGGTCTAGAACCAGCCTTATTTGCTCTTTTCTTTCCCTCTTCTCTTCCTCTCTCCCTTTCTCTCTTCTCTTGCTATTTCAGTTTAGACTCCTTTACATACTCAGAACAGAAATTTGCTCATATTAGTTCCCATAATGATTTAATGTTAAAATCCAGAGATTTTACCTCAGTATGGTGGCATGTGCCTGTGGTCTCAGCTACTCAGGAGGCTGAGGCTGGAGAATTGCTTGAGCCATGGAGTTGCAGGTTGCAGTGAGCTGAGATCAGGCCACTGCACTCCAGCCTGGGCGACAGAGTGAGACCCTGACTCAAAAAGAAGAAGAAGGGAAAAAAAAAAAAAAAAGGCCAGCTGCAGTGGCTCAAATCTGTAATAGAAGCACTTTGAGAGGCTGAGGCAGGCAGATCCCTTGAGTCCAGGAGACCAGCCTGGGCAACATGGCAAAACTCCACCTCTACAAAAAATTCAAAACTTAGCTGGGTGTGGTGGCGTGTGTCTGTAGTCCCAGCTAGTTAGCAGGCTGAAGCAGGAGGATCACTCCAGCCTGTGAGGTCAAGGCTGCAGTGAGCCAAGATGGCTCACTGCACTCCAGCCTGGGTGACAAAGTGAGACACTGTCAAAAAAAAAAAATCACCCCCCAAAACAAAACAGATTTTGCAGGAACCCACCCAAGAAAAAGTGTTAGGAACAACAGAAGATTCTCTCTCTCTCTCTCTCTCTCTCTCTCTCTCTGTCTCTCATATGACCTTTCTCTCATGACATCTTTGTTTTTCTGTGTGCATTTGCTCAATTCGCATCTATTAACTAACTTCTTCTTCCTATAATTTCCATTTCCACCATGCCTCTATATCCTGACTCTACATCATACCTTCAACTCCAGTTGTCTTTTCTAATTCACTCAGTTTCTCATTCCCCAACTCCAAAATACCAATAAATAAATCTGATTGGCTCAGCTGGTCTTTTCAAGCCAGGCCATTGATGGTCCTAATCCACTCAGGCTGAGGGATAGGATCACATGGATACAGAAAGGGCTATGAGCAGGGCAGGCAATGATCAATATCTCAGTATAGTCTTCTATTTTTCTCTCATTTCTTTTTTCAAATAGCTACTGAATACCCACCACGTACCCATTACTATTCTAGCCTCAGTCTCTACTTTCAAGAAGCTAATCATCCAGGAGAGGAAAGGAAGATGGGGATTCCAGAGAGACTTCTCAGGTAAGATGATGCCTGAACAATGTCTAAAAGAATAAGTAAGAGTCACCTCAGTGATGGGAGTAGGAGGTTGGCAAAGATGAAGAGGAAGAACACAGAGGATTCCTGGCAGATGGAGCCATTTGTAGAAAGGAACAGAGGTTAGAAATTCACTGTAAATCCCTGGGACTGCAGGTGGTTCAGCAATGCTAGGGGCCTGGCAAGAAATAGGCTGAAGAGGTAGGTGAGGGAAGATCATAAAGTGTCTTGCAGCCCCCAAGTTTGGAGGACAATGTGACCACTAAATAATTTTCAGTAAGGCAGTAATACAATTGGATTTTTGTTTTATAAAGATCTCTCTGGTAGCAGTGTTGGCAGTGGATTGGACGGGTACTACTGAAGTCTAAGAAATGAATTAGAAGATCACTCTAGGCTTCAAGGTAAGAAATGACGTGAGGATTGGAATTAAGGCATGCCATCGGAATGGAGAAGAGATGGACTTGAGAAGTCCTAAGGAAAGAGAATCAATGCATACAAACTCAAGATGTGAAAGGAAGAGTGACTAGAGGTCTGGTGGCTTTACCCCCTTGAATACTTTCTAAGCCCACCCCCAACACAAGTACTAGTCAAATACCTACTTCTTCTTCCCTATGTCTTACCATTGGTGTGCACAAGCAGATGAGAAGAAGCTGGGAGAGGTTACGGCTTCATTTTTAGCATCTAGGGAGCACTGTTTTACAAACTTGCTAACCCTCCTTACAAAACCTTATCCATTTGTATTCCTCAAATCTGTTTACCGTTGGACCTGTCTTCCAGTCCATTCTTCCAAGCCCTATTTTCCTTCCTTGGCTGCTCTGCTCTTTCACATTCCCTTGACTGATATTGTCCAGAAATCCCTAACATTCACTCACTCGCACATTCAGTCAACATTTGTTAATTTCCTACTATAGACAAAGAGAAGAGAGTGATCAAAGAGCAACCCCTCCATGACACCCAAGCACTTTCTGTAGCTTTGAGGCAGAAGAGCAGGGTAGAAAAATATAACTACAGTGGGATTAGCAAAAAATGAGCCCATCAGCAAGGCTTTAATGAACTCAGTGTGAGCCCAAACTCTGCAAGAATCAGAGAAGGCTCCACACAGATTTATAGATTTCACTGTCTATGGTCAACAGCAAAGGTAGGGACACATGTAACTTGGGCTATTTTCTTTTGGAGGTCCCTCTGGCCCATCTCACCTGCATGATCTCCTAGATGTGCTTTCACTTGCCAGCATGCAAGCAGCAAAACAATAATTTTATTTTAAAATAATTATATTTTAAACAGTAAATATTTAATATTAAACAGTAAATATATATGAAACAGTAAATATTTAAAATAATTAGTGTTTAGGGCTAGAAAAGTGGAATTTAGAGGGTCATTAGCAGTTATCCTCCTGCCTAGAAGTGTAGCTTAATCTCCAGCCTTAATGACTCCCTGCCAACTGATTTGTCTCTAGTATAACTAACCACAAAGGATGAGAAGAGAGAAAGAATTGGAAAGGGATCCTTATTCTGAGTTTTAGCATATACTGGCCTCAAGAGCCACATTCAACACTGGAATTAAGCTACATTCCTCTTTCTCGTCAGGCACTTCATTCACCACAAATGAACAAAATATTTCTGGTTCGTTTCTGGAAAGGAAGTGAAACTGTGAATTCAGGTTACCCAACAGGGAAGGCACAGTAGGAAGAACAATAGCTGAGCACATCAGTACCAGCTTCATAGAGACCAGCAAGCAAGATGGGGTGGGACAGAGGATCAGTACATCTAATGGTCTGATATAATGCTTCATGGTTTCACAGAAGCGCAGTTGGGAACAATTTAACATGGTTCGTGACAGCCAAGAAACACTTGTTTGTCTGAAAATCCTAGACTGCTGACATCAGGGCCCAGGGGATTCCTATTGGGCTGAGGCAATGCAAAGACTACAAAAAAGGCAAAGCTGTAAATCATGCCCTAGAGGTCAAAACACTTACACAAGGTTACACATGGAATTCTTGCAGCCAACCAAATTGGACTTTCTTTGAAGCTAGGTAAACAATCTTTGTCTTGGCTGCTATGTCACAGCCATATAAGATGGCAAAATACAGCTGCAAAAAGGCTTTCAGCAGTTTCACCTAGTTTACCTTCTATGTCTAACACCCAGTAGACCAGAAGATTCCCCTGACGAGACTGTTTCCTTGGAGCATGATCCTTCGTGTTCTCACACTGTCCTTTCCCCATTTCTTTAGTCAGTTGTATGGGATGCACAAACATTTTACTACCTGTAAAGCACGTGAGTTACAGCCTCATGAGTTTGGAGCGATACATTATTTTTGGCATAAGTCGACAAATGTGATGGCATTTTATGGCAGTTTCATAGGCCCTTTCCTAATTTCTGTGTACTTGCATCTTCCTTGAAAATCAGAACCAATTCTCCCAGCCTCCTTATTAATAGGAAAGCGAAATTTCTTCTCTTTGAGCTACAGGTTCACCCCCATTTCCAGGTCATATTCATTTCATTGCTTAAATCTATTTCAACTGTAACTTTTTGTTACAGTTTAACAATTTGTTAAATTGTTAAACTTTTTAACAACGTTTATCAACTTTGTTCATAAAATTATCACCAATTACATATCCCTGGTTCAGAGGCTCAAAGTTATTTATGTTGTAACTACTTCTTCATGTTTTGAAACCTTCTCTAAAAACTCTCAAGTTTGCTTTCAATTTTTCCAATGATTTTTTTCTAACTCCTAGGATCTCCTCAGTCCCCAGGGAGCTCACACTCCAAGGCCCACATCTAGTTCTAAACAACCCCAAATGAAACATTATAGCATCTTGCATTAGTCTATTCTTACGCTGCTAATAAAGACATACCCTAAACTGGGTAATTTATAAAGAAAAAGAGGTTTAATGGACTCACAGTGTCACATAGCTGGGGAGGCCTCACAATCATGGCAGAAAGCGAAAGAGGAGAAAGGCACATCTTACATGGCCACAGGCAGGATTGCGTGTGCAGGGGAACTCCCCTTTATAAAACCATCAGATCTCTTATTCACTAACAGGAAAACAGTGTGGGAAAGACCCGCCCCCACGATTAAATTACCTCCCACAGGGACAATTCCCATGACATGTAGGAATTATGGGAATGATAATTCAAGCTGAGATTTGGGTGGGGACACAGCCAAACCATATCACACCGCTTCAGACAGACTTTATTGGTCTTATTTTCTGCCCATTTGAATTATTTTACCATCTAGTTTTCATTCGAGTTTTTGTGGGGATTTTGTTGGGAGATGGGTGTTCTTCTGCATGTAGTTAAGCTGTGTTGGCAAGACTGTGGGAGTCAGGGAGGTCAAAGGAGCCGGAATGTAAGTATGGAAGGTCAAAGCTGGGGCGGAGGGAAAAAGTGAGGGAGACAGAGATTGAGTCTCTATAAAATTCCAACCTGCTGCAGTAGCTAATCCTTTCAAAGTCACTTCATATACTGCTAAGTTAATGGAGGCAGTCATTTTTCCCAGACAGTGGTAATATTTGTTACCTGGACAACCTACTCATTTATTCTCTACCCCTCCCCTAAATAGGACTGCAGTCATTTCTGTGTGAAAACAAAACTCACAGTTCAACAGAGCCATACCATTTAGTTTGTTTAATTACAATGCTTATTTTTATAAATACCCAGCAGCACATTTTTAGAAATCTAACAAATAAGCAAATACATCCTTAGATCACAGACACAGCTCTCCTATTTTGTTTGGTACAAAAAGGAAAGAACACTTATCACACCTACACACTATTATTTCCCCATTTCCATCCACTTAAATGCACTTAAATCCACTTAAATGGAGAAATGACACGATTCCTAGTTTTCTAAACCATAACTAGAATTTCCTCTGGGGAATTAGTGTGAATACTCTCAGAAAATCTTTTGCAATGATATTTAATTCCTCTTTTGTACTTTAAAACGACTTCATAACTGATCAAATAAGCAAAAAAAAATTGTGGGGGTGGGGTGGGGGGCATACACAGGCTAGAGAATAACTAGAAGGCTATTCCAGAAACCCACCAAGACTTTGATTTTGGAAACTGACCAGATGGCTTCACTGGTGAATTTTTCTGAATGTTTAAAGAAGGAATAACACTACTCTTACATAAACTCTGTGAGTATGGAGAAACAGGAAACATTTCCAAACTTGTTTATGAGGCCAGCATAATCCAGATTTAAAAAAACTGGCAAAGACATTATAAGAACAGTGAATTATAACCCCATATATCTCATGAACTTAAATGCAAAAAATATTTTTAATAAATTATTAGATATGCATATGGAAAAATGAAACCTGAGCCTTAACTTATGCTAATTCCAAATGGATTGTAGATACATCTAAATATAAATGCTTTGAGAATAATACAGTTTTGAGAAGAAAATATAGAATATTTAATGGCCATGGGGAAGGCAAAGATTTCTTAAGTAAGACACAAAAAACATTAATCATAAACCACAACAAATTACATTTCATTAAATTAGACTTTATTAAAATAATAAATGCTCTTTATCAAGAGACAGTATCAACTAAATGAAAAGTCACAGAGAGGGAAAATAATTTTTTAATAGATATGTTTAACAAAAGACTTGTATCTAAAATATATAAAGAACGACTAAAGCTCAATAAAGAAAAGCAAACTAATTTTTAGAGGGCAAAAACTCTAAACAGGCACTTCATAAAAAACTTTACCTAAAGGTTCAATAAGAACTTTTAGAAAGTGCTCAAGATTGATAGCCAGTAGGAAAGAGCAAACTAAAACCACAATGAAATATCATGACACATCTGCCAGAATGGTTGAAATTTTTTAAAATGATGATACCAAGGGTCAGAAAGGATATGGAGCAACCAGAACTCATACGCTGCTGTTTAGCACTACCTCTTTGGAAAATTGATTGGCAATAGCTATTAAAGATAAATATACAAACCCCTTTGATCCAGCATTTCTACTTCTAGGTACCTACCCTGAAGAAATGAGTATGTATTTATACTATAAGGCAAGATAAGATACCTACCCTGAAGAAATGAGTATGTATTTATACTATAAGACACAGATGAGAATTTTTATAGCAGTATTCTATTCATAGCCCCTAACTAGAAACAACCCAAATGACTACCAACAGGAGAATGGAGAAATTATGACATATTTATACAATGAATGTTTTACAGCAATAATAAAGAATAACTACTAGTATATGCAACAAGGAAAATTTCACAGAAATGATGTTAAACTTAAAAAGCTAGCAGAAAAAAGTACATTTTGTATTATTTTGTTTTATTAAGTTCAAAGAAAGGCAAAAATAACCTATAATGATAGATTTTTTTAAAAAGCTCCCAAATGATTCTAATTTGCATCTAGGTTTGAGAACCACTTATATACAGAGGAGGTAACTGAGGGCCCAGAAGGTGAGGCAATTTGGCCAAGGTCTCTTGATTCCTAGCTGCTGCTGCTGCCATTAGGGAAAAAAGATTCAAACCAGCACTTCATTATATGTATTACACGATGGAATCCCAAATCTTGAACTGCGTGTATTTTCCCTAATAAGCCCACTCTATGTAGATTCCATGGGCTGTCCGAGAGATCTCTTTCACCTAAGAGTGAGTGAACATTTCTGTCTCTTTTCCCATGAAAACTTTCTTTGATAATTTCTACTATTTAAAAATGACAATGCATAAGAGTATCTATAAATAAATATGAAAGAAGTGATATATATTTCTCTCAGGTGTCTTTTTATATCTCTACCTGACATTAGTTAAGCCAATGTTCTGATATCCTCAGTGTTAATCTTCTGATTTTTGGTGGTTTTCACTTTCTGTTTATTTAAAAAAGCATTTAGAAGGATTCTGAAAAGATTTGGGAAAAGAAGAGTTTCTCTCTCCATCAGGAAATTGAGAAACAGTGGTCCATTGCAAAATGCTTATTATGTTCATTCAGTGCCTTAATTCTACTTGACAAGATAATGAAGGCAGAAAAATGCTCACATTTTCTGCTTTTGGGGTGAGCAATGTGGAATGCATTCAGATCAACAAAATTCAAGAATATCTCTGATGTAAACAAAAGAGATGCATTAGCACTTTGCACATCTAGTTAATAGCAATCATGACAAATAGCCCAACAAAGAAAAATTAAGTGACACATTTATATGTGAAAAGAATTTGAATATTCACAGTTGAAACTCACAAATGTGGGTATTGATAATCCCTCAAAAACCACAAGGAAAGGTAGAAAAGTTAAAAAAAAAAAGCTAGTAAGAAGAGTGACCAAAAATAATCAGCTTTATTTCAACAAGTTACATTGGTGGGGAGAACCTTCACATTTTTTTGCTTTACTAAAATCTTTAATCCCTTCTCAACTATTCGTTTTTCTTTTCACTATTCCAGAGAGTTATCACCTATACAGAATGTCCTATGGCCTAGAAATGTGTTTCCTTATTGGTTTATCTGAATCCCAACTTATTTTCTGTTGGTAGAAGCACTGTTTCTTCACCTATAGCTTTTCTTTATCTTCAAAATTATCAGTGATGCTAAACAATAGCTATCCAATGCCATTTTCTTTATATTTACTATTTCCTCATACTTCTCAACAAGGCTAATAAATCACATCTGCTAGTGAATTCCTTTCCACCAGTATACCATCCTAATTCACAGTCAATGCCAGGTGCACTGTGCTCCATCCAGCACCATTATTGGAGTCCTTATTGCCCACTGGACAGTAAGTGATACAGCTCCAAATCTCCATCTTATCACCTGCATTCTGGCACCACTCCTGGTCGTGTCTCAGACTAGCTGCTCAGGATTCAGAAATCAACTCATGTATAAGGGAGAGGTGGGGCCAGAATTGGGCAAAGGGATATGCCAAATTGTGATATAGGATGACAGCCTCAGCCAATCCCCAGGGAAGCTGGGGCACATATGTTTATCAGAGGGGTACCACATTGGTCCTCTATACTCCACCACCATCAGTCATTGTATCTGCCATCAGTCATTGGATGTGGGCTTCTGGGAATGCCTTTGCCCTGGAAAAATGGGGCTGTGCAACTGAGGCAAACTCAGAAGGTGCTGACACCTGAGGCATTAAGTTCTTTCTGGAAGAGGGATTGATTGTTTCTACCACAGAGATCCATGAGGATAAATGCAGATTATGTCATGTCTGAAAATAATTCTAATCCTCCAAAATAACCCTAGATTTCACTTGAAAGACTATAGGCTTCTTTCAGGCCTGATCTTAATGTGCAGCCCAGAGTATGGGCCAAAATTTTCCCATTTGCTTTGGAAAATACTCCAAAATCTCACTGACCTAAATACTTCGTGCACTGTAAGGTCACTAAGAGAGTTTTTAAAAATGTATTTTGGAAAAGGATTTCTAGTTTAGTTTGCAAAAAAAGATTACATATAAAAAAGATTTTTTGGGGAAATGATATAACTCTAACTAAAATTGATTTAATAGCATCTTATATAGGTGTGTTTGACCTTAGGCTCTGCTTTAGATATTACTTTCTGACCTTCTGAGATTCAGGCCAATTCTAGGGGTCTGGGGACCATTTTCAAAAAATCTCCTTAGTCTTTTCCTATCTTGCTGGATCCAGACCAGAATTCCATTAATTCTGTAGTTTAAATTCCATCCTGGGCACTGAAAACTTTAGCCACTATAATTAAATCTAGGAGACATTTAAAAATTTCTAATTTGGAAGCATTAATCTTTTTCCCTCTTGAGAGTTTTCTTTCCTATCCTTACCATAAAACTGAGCACCATGTTACCACTAAGCTTTCCCTGCTTGAAACAGCTACCATTAACCAGCAGAGCACCCTAAAGAAGAAAAAGGTCAATTGAGCAGGCATGATGTTATCCAAAGACGCCAGAGCTTTGCTATGAACTAATTTTAAATAAATTTTCTATGCATTAGATTTCACAAGGTCACACTATACATTTCTGCTATCAAGCCAATAAAAGTACTTTCAATAACAGTTTCAACAACAGGAATGTGAAACCATTGTTTTTAATTGCCTTACCAAATGTCAAACCAACTTTCTTTGTTTCTGTGGTAGCCAATAATTTTATCAAATATATTTCTTGAATTAAAAACAAAAAAGTTCATTATTATAAATTTAGAACATATTTATTAATATTCCCAATATATGGTTGGATCCTACTAATAATGTAAAAATGGAATATCAACTTTATTGTAAGTGTTTACATTTTATTTCAGAAATATATGGAGGGTTCCTTAGGGTGTATGCCTTGCAATGAAAATCAATGTTCTCATTTAGTATTAAAGGTATTCCTGGAATGCTTCCCTTTGTTCAATTAACTTGATTGGGATCAATTCAGATGCAATGTTTTCTCTTCTTAAATTCATACTACCTCAAAATTTCTTAAACAAAGCAAGGTTAACTTGATGTCCTCAGTTCTTCAAAGTAATTAACAGTACTCCAATTTTTCTCACTTTCTCATTGCTTCTCCCAATTTCTTGTCTCCTCAAGTGGGGTGTCAGCTCCTCCAGAGAAAAAAATATCAAGCATCATTGTTTTTTATTGCCTTGAGTGTCTTGCATGAGTCTGCTGGGTAAAACAGTCTCTACGGCCTGGAAGAATGGGACAACTGAAAGTGATTTTACAATTTGATGGGGTTGAAGCTGTGTCACATCTCAGCCTGATGGGCCTATTTAATTAGTTCCAGTGAGAAGGCAGGAGAAGGATGAAGTGTCATAAAAATAGAAGTCAGTCAGCCAATGCAATTCATGTCAGCACATAATTCTGCTTCCTTCTCCCTCCACGGTCGCCGTTCGACCACCTCTTTGACACTGACAGTCACAATCTGGCAGATGTCACTTCCCACCTCTGCCTTCCAGCCAAAGGACTTAAGTTGATAAAATTGTTGGTGAGGAGACAATGTAGAAAAGGCCCTTTACAGTATAACTAGTCCTAAGTCCCACAGCTCTGCAGGAATCATCTTAATGGTAAGAAATGATATCATAGACTTGAAGTTGTTGGGGGCCTCAGAGTTCTCTAAAATCCTGCTATTAAAAGTAATGGTTGGATAGAAATGCAGACTCTCAGGCACCCTCTCTAACTACTGTCCCAGAATCTGTGGTTTAACAAGATCCTCAAGTCATTCACATACACAGAAAAATTTGAAAGCCACACCTTTTATTAAATGTACCAGAAAACTGAGCCAGAGATCTAAAGTAGGTATCTAATAAATAGTTCTCAAGCTAGTTATCTAAATAAAATGTGTTAGTAAAAATTTGCTGATCAATTAATTCATTGGTCCTGAAGAAATAGTAACATCAAAATTATAACAAACATTATTAAGAGCAGAGTTTTAGTTACTAACAAAATACCAATAATTGAATGATAAGTTAAATTACATGACAATACATTGGAGTATAATTCCACAGTTCATAAATATTTCTAAGCTCCATCATAAGAACTACTTAGTAAGTACTTGCATTAAATGAAATAAAAATATTACTTTTGTTTATGTACTAGTTCCTTTGTTTTGTTTCTGGCCTGGGTTAGGTCAATACAACCTCTAAAAAGCACACCAAAGTCTTGGTCACTAAGCAAGATTTCTAGGATTTCTAAGATTTCTAAAGCTGTTACTTCTTTCATCCTTGAAGTTTCTGCCTGGCCTGTTACTCCCTCTCCAGCCTATCTTTGATTTTGTTTTATTATTTGTTAAAAAAAAGGCAATATATGGGGAATACAGGAGAGTATTTCAAAGCATAGAAATTATCCACAATTAAAAGAGAGTGATGTCACCAAGATGGCAGAATAGAAGATAACCTAATAATATTCCGCCACAACAAGAATTCTGCATCTATCCACATTCTCTCAGCAAAAGCCTCAGGATTTAGGTAAGAGTTTGTGAAACCCCAGTGGAGTCCAAGATCTTGGAGGGTCACTTTGAGAGTGAAAACCAACACCCAGGTGGTTAATCTGCCAAGATTGCTCCTGGGTTCAAGCCTGGAAATGGCCCAGTCCTCCAAGGGGCTTGGCTACAGCCCCATTTGGCCTTGAGCCTGCAAATAAAACCATCTGCCAAGGGGTTCAGAAGGAATTGCACACACTAGTGCTTGGCAGAAAGGTTTATCTACTTACTGACAGCAGTCACAGCAGTGAACCTGAAAGTTGTCCTGTGGCTCTGCTCCAGCCCCCTTCAGCTGAGCTCCTAGCTCAGAACCACTCACACAAGGACCCAGAGGAAGATTCACCCATGTCTCACAGCCCAGGAATCTGAGCTTCCCAGATGGTCTCACCAATCTCCCTCCCACAGATCCTGAGGGTACTCAGTCTCAGCTCCAGCTCCTCCTACTGCAGTCAGAGAACTATCCCATATGTGCAGGGACTTGCTGGGAGGTGTGTGCCACTTTGATCCAATGAGACCCAACTCTCCAGCCTCTCTCTCTCTCTCCCTTTTTTTTGGAGACAGAGTCTCACTCTGTTACCCAGGCTGGAGTGCAGTGGCACAATCTCAGCTCACTGCAACCTCTGCCACCCAGGCTCAAGCGATTCTCTTGCCTCAGCCTCCTGAGTAGCTGGTACTACAGGTGTGTGCCACCATGCCTGGCTAATTTTTTATTTAGTAGAGATGAGGTTTCATCATGTTTCCCAGGGTGATCTCAAACTCCTGAGCTCAGGTAATCCACCTGCCTTGGCCTCCCAAAGTGTTAGGATTACAGGCATGAGGCACCGCACTCAGCTTCTCCAGCCTCTTTCTTACAGCAAATCTCAGATTCCAGTCTCAGTTCCAGCTCCTTCTGCTACAGTTGGAGAACTAGCCTGTCCATGTATGGACATGCTGGGAGATGCATACCCATCTGAGATAACATGATAAACATGCCAACCTTCATTCCACAGCAGATCCTAAGAAGACCCCATCTCATCTCTGGACCCTCCTGTTGCAGTTGAGGTACTACTTGGCTTTTGCAGGGTCCTGCAGGGTGATGCACAGCCACTTGAGCCAATGAGATGGGCCTACCAGCCTCATTCCTACCAGTAAATCCTGAGGGGGTCCAGTCTCAACTCTAGCCCCTCTCAGTGCAGTGGGGGACCTATCTTGTATGTGCAGAGACCTGCTGGGAGGCACACCCATCTGGGCCACTGGGACAGTCTTCTGAACTCATGTCCCTACCCAGTGTTGCCATATAAACCTCAGAGCCCTCATGAGACTTGCAGCAAGCCTGGACTTAGAGCATTCTCTACTGCTGAGGCAGCTGCAGTGGTCACACGCTCAGCAAACACAACAGTCAGTCTGCTTAGAATCTCTGGAAGGCCCTCTGAAAAAGGACAAGCACAAACAAAGCCAGACTGTGAAGACTAAAATAAATACTTAATCTCTCAATGTGCAGACATTGTTGCATGTTCATAAGCATCAAGAAGATTCAGGGAAATATGGCCTTACCAAATGTACAAAATAGGTATTAGAGAATGAACCTAAAGTGATGAAGATGTATGATCTCTTATAGAAAGAATTCAAAACATCTGTTTTAAGAAAGCTCAATGAACTGCAATAAAACACAAAAAAATTAATTCATAAATTTATCAGAAAATATTTAAGAGATTGAAATATTTTTTTAAAATTAAGCAGAAATCCTGGAGCTGAACAGCATAGTAAATAAAATGAAAAATGCAACAGACAGCATCAACAGCAGAATTGATCAAACAGGAGAAAGAATCAGTGAGCTTGAAGACAGTCTGTTTTAAAATAGAGAAGACAAAAAAAGAATAAAAAAGAAAGAAGCCTTATGAGATCTATGAGAAAACATCAAAAGAGCAAATAATTGAGTTATTGGAGTTAAAGAAGAAACTGAGAAAAACAAAAGGGTAGAATGCTTATTAGAAGAAATAATCACAGAAAACTTTCCAAACCTGAAAAAAGATAGAAATACCTAGATACAGGAAGGTCAAAAATCACCAATAAGATTTAAACCAAATAAGAATACCATAAGACATATTATGATCAAACTCTCAAAGGCCAAAGTCAAAAAGAAGACCCTGAAAGCAGAGTGGGAAAATAAACGAATAACATATAAGGGAGATCCTATACACCTGGCAGCAGACTTCATAGCAGTAAACTTACAGTCCAGAAGGGAGTGAGACAATATATTCAGAGTGCTGAAGGAAAAATAAAAGCTGTCAACCAAGTATGCTATACCAAGCAAAGCTGTCCATCAAAAACTAGGGAACAATAAAGACTTTCGCAGACAAATGAAAGGTGAGGGAATTAATTGCTATCAGACCTGTTTTACAAAATATGCTAAAGGGAGTTCTTCAAACCAAAAGAAAAGAATGCTAACATGATTGTTACACTAATATTGTAATCTTGGTGTATAAAGCACTTATATCTTTACAACAATACTAAAAGGAAAGCTATTAAAAATAATAACTACAAAACTTTTTAAACAGACAACATAAAAGTGTAAATTGTGATATCAAAAATTTTAAATGTGGAAGGAGAAGAGAATTAATTTATACCAACTTTTTTGCTGGTGGTCTTTTTTTTTTGTGATAAAAGTTAAATTGGTGTCTGTTTTAAATAACTTGTTAGAACTATAGCAAGCTTATCCAATTCATGGCCCAGTGGCCCTGGACAGGTTTCAGTGTGGCCCAACACAAATTTGTAAACTTTCTTAAAACATTATGAGATTTTTTGTGTGATGTTTTTTAGCTCATCAGCTATCATTAGTGTTAGTGTATTTTATTGGTGGCACAAGACAATTCTCCTTTTTCCAATGTGGCCCAGGGAAACCAAAAGATTGGACACCCCGGAACTATAGGATGTTTTTGGTAAGCCTTATTGTAATCACTAAGCCAAAGCATATAATAGATACATTAAAAATAAAAAGTAACAAATTAAAACATACTACCAAAGAAAATCACTTAATCACAAAGGAAAACAGTAAGAAACGAAGAAAGGAAGACAGGAGTTACAAAATAGCCAGAAAACAAGCAACATAATAGCAGTAGTTATTCATTGTTATTACCTCTCAATAATAACATTGAATGGAAATGGACTAAATTTTCCAATTGAAAGATATAGAGAGGCTGAATGAAGTAAAAAATAAGGACCAACTATATGCTGCCTACAAAAATTCACTTCATCTGTAAACACAAACATAAACTGAAAGTGAAGGAATGCAAAAAGATGTTTCATGCAAATAGAAACCAAAAGAGTATAAGTAGCTATACCTCTATAAGATGAAATAGACTTTAGGTCAAAAACCAGAAAAAGAGACAAAGAAGACATTATATGATAATAAAGGTGTCAATTCAGCAAGAGGATATAACAATAGTAAATATACGTGCACCCAACACCAGAGCACCTGAGCATATAAAGGAAATAGTAATAGCTCTAAAGGAAGAGATAGACTGCATTACAGTAAATATTAGCAGACTTCTACACCCCTAATTTTGGCAATGAAAAGATCATCCAGGCAGAAAATCAAGAAAGAAACATGGAAGTTAAACTATTATCTGGACCAAATGAACCAAATAGACATTTACATATTCATCCAACTGCTGCAAAATACATATTCTTCTCATCAGCACATGGAACATTCTCCAGAATTGGCCATATGTTAGTCCATAAAATAAGTCCCAACACATTCAAAAAAGTCAAAATTATATCAAGTATCTTTTCTGGCCACAATAAAATAAAACTAGAAATTAATACCAAGAGGAACTCTAGAAACTGTACAAATATATGAAAATTAAACAACATGCTCCTGAATGACCAATGGGTCAAAGAAGAAATTTAAAATGATTTGAAATAAATGAAAATGGAAACACAACATAACAGAACCCATGGGGTACAACAACAGAAGTACTAAGGGGGCAGCTTATAGCAATAAACATCTACATCAGAAAAGTAGAAAGACTTCAGATAAACAACCTAACCATGCAACCCACGGAACTAGAAAAGCAATAACAAATAAAACCTAAAATTAGTAGAAAGAAACAAGTAATAAAGGTCAGAGCAGAAATAAATAAAATTGAGATTAAAAACAAATACAAAAGATCAAAGAAATAAAAAGTTTGTTATTTGAATAGATAAACAGAAATACAATAGATCATTAGAGACTGTACAACTGATACAACAGAAATATAATAGATCATTAGAGACTACTGTAAATGACTATATGCCAACACATCTGACAACTTGTGAGATATGGATAAATTTCTGGAAACATACAACCTATCAAGATTGAACATGAAGAAATAGAAAAATTGAACAAAGTAATAATGAGTAAAAAGAATAAAGCAGTAATAAAAAGTCCCTCATCAAAGGAATGCCCAGGACCTGAAGGATTCACTGTTAAATCCTGCCAGACATTTAAAGTAGAACTGATACCAATTCTCCTCAATCTATTTCAAAAAAATTGAAGATAAGGGAATACTTTCAAACTCATTCTGTCAGGCCAGCATTACCCTGATACTGAACTCAGAGAAGGGCATTTAAAAAAAAGAAAACTATAGGCCAAAACCAAACAAGAACATAATAAAAAAGAGAGAAAACTATAGGCCAATGACTCAATAAACATAGATCAACAAATACTCATCAAAAATCCTCAGAAAATACTAGCAAACAGAATTCAACAATACATTAAAAGTGTCATTCACCATGATCAAGTGAGATTCATCCCAGGGATGCAAGGATGGTTCAACGTACACAAATCAATAAATATGATACATCACATCAACAGAATCAAGGACAAAAACACACGATCATTTCAATAGATGCTGAAAAGCATTCAATAAAACTCAGCATCTTTTCATGATAAAAAACTCTCACTAAATTGGGTATAGAAGAAACATACCTCAATACAATAAAAGCCATATATGACAAACCCACAGCTGATAATGTACTAAATGGGGGAAAATTGAAAGCCTTTGCACTAAGATGTGGAACATGACAAGGATGCCCACGTTCACCACTTCTATTCAACATACTACTAATCAGAGCAATTAAGCAAGGGAAAGAAACAGAGAGGATCCAAATTGGAAAGGGAGAAGTCAAATTTGCCTTGTTTACAGATAACATAATCTTATATTTAGAAAAACGTCATAATTATACCAACAAACTCTTAGATAAACAAATTCAGTAAAGCTGCAGGATACAAAATCAACATACAAAAATCAGTAGCATTTCTATATGCTAACAGTAATCAATCTGAAAATGAAATAAAAAAGCAATCCCATCTACAATAGCTACAAAAATTAAATAAAATATCTAGAAATAAATTTAACCATAGAAGTGAAAGAGCTCTACAAAGAAAACTTTAAAGCATTGATAAAAGAAATTGAAGAGGACACACACACACAAAAAGTTTGGAAGAATTGATATTGTTAAATTGTTAAAATGTCTATGCCATCCAAAGTGATTTACAGATTCAATGCAATTCCTATAAACTGTTTTGAAATTATTTACAGAAATAGAAAAACAATCCTAAAATTCATATGAAACAACAAAGGACCCCAAGTAGCTAAAGCAATTCTGAGCAAAAAGAACAAAGCTGGAGGCATCACACTGCCTGACTTAAAAACATATTATGAGACTATAGTAACCAAAACAGCATGGTACTGGCTTAAAAACAGTCACATAGACAAATGAAACAGAATAGAGAGCCTACAAATAAATCCACATATTTACACTCAACTTATTTTCAACAAAGGCACTAATAGGAAAGGACAGTCTCTTTAATAAATGGTGCTGAAAAATGTGCATCTCCATATGCAGATGAATGAAACTAAATCCCTATTGTTCACCATATACAACAATCAACACAAAATGGATTAAAAACTTGGATGTAAGAACTGAAAATATGAAGCTACTAAAGGAAAACATTAGGAAAACACTACAGGACATTGGTCTGGGCAAAGATCTTTTGGGTAAGACCTCAAAAGCACAGGCAACAAAAGCAGAAATGGACAAATAGGATAGCAAGCCAAAAAGCATCTACATAGCAAAGACAGCAATTAACAAAGTGAAGAGACAAACTACAGAATGGGATTAAATACATGCAAACTACCCATCTGACAAGGGATTCATAACCAGAATATAATCAACTCAAACAACTCAAGGCCAAAAAACAAAAAATCCCGTTGACCCAGCCATCCCATTACTGGGTATATACCCAAAGGATTATAAATCATGCTGCTATAAAGACACATGCACATGTATGTTTATGGTGGCAGTATTCACAATAGCAAAGACTTGGAACCAACGCAAATGTCCAACAATGATAGACTGGATTAAGAAAATGTGGCACATATACACCATGGAATACTATGCAGCCATAAAAAATGATGAGTTCATGTCCTGTGTAGGGACATGGATGAAGCTGGAAACCATCATTCTCAGCAAACTGTCGCAAGGACAAAAAACCAAACACTGCATGTTCTCGCTCATAGGTGGGAACTGAACAATGAGAGCACATGGACACAGGAAGGGGAACATCACACACCGGGGCCTGTTGTGGGGTGGGGGTAGGGGGAGGGATAGCATTAGGAGATATACCTAATGTAAATGATGAGTTAATGGGTGCAGCACACCAACAGGGCACATGTGTATATATGTAACAAACCTGCACATTGTGCACATGTACCCTAAAAGTTAAAGTATAATTTAAAAAATGGGCAAAAATACCTGAATAAATATTTCTCAAAAGAAGACATACGAATGACATATATGTATATAAAAAACTCTTTACAAGTGTTGGTATTCAGACCATCTCAACAGAGATTGACAGACCCTTAAAGCATTTACTAATTTCAATAGTGAAAATAAAATCCTATTGTTTAAATAGAAAATTCAAATTTTATATTGTATATTTTCTTCTGTGAATAATTCATTTTCTCCAATGCTCATTTATCTAAAGTTCATAGTGTTTTTCTCATTAATTTGTATGTGATATTTATAGTTATAGTCTTTATTTGAATTATGTTGCAAGTGTTTTTTGTTTTTAAAATTGTACACATTTTAATATACAGTTTTTTTTAGAAAACTTTTATGTAAACAAACCTATCTTCTGCTTACTGAATATTTTCTTTGCTTCTAGGCTTAAAAAATACTCTTTCACTCAGAGATATAATGTTTATTTCTATTATTGTGTACTTATTTTCTGTCTTGACTTTTAGACTCAACTGTTTAGTCTATCTGGAATTGATTTTGGTGTATAATACAAGGATGCTAAGGAATTTTTCCAAGTTATGATATAACTGTTTTAATGCAATTTAATAAATCTTTTTATTTTCTACTTAATCATTATGCCACACACATATCTATGCACATGCACGCACACACACACACACACACACACACACACACGTACATATAATTTTACATATTCCGTGGCCTGGTTCTGAGCTACCTATTCTTGAAAGTAAAACACACTCTTACGATTATTGTAGCTCTGTGGTATGTTCACATATATGATTGGCAACTCTTATCTCATTTTTTTCAAACTTTTCCTATATGTTTTCATCTGTATATGTTTTGACTTTTTAACTTTTGAATTCTAATATTCTCTTATAATGGAGAATTTTATCAATATTGTACTTTTTTTTGGAATTTACTGAAGCTCCTCTGGCCTAATACAAGGTCAGTTTTTGTAAATGTTCAGAGTGGACTTGAAAAAAAAGGTGTATTCTTTGATTAGAAGGTGCAGGTTTCTATATATATTCATTAAATAGGATTGTTGTTTCATTGTTAAGATCTTTTATATCCTTCTTAATTTTGTATTTGAGTCATGAATTTTTGAAAGCTCTGTTAAATCACCCACCATAATTGTGAACTTGTCAAGTTTGCTTATCGCTTTCTTAGTTTTTGCTTTAATCTCAGCTCACTGCAACTTTCACCTCCTAGGTTCATGTGATTCTCTTTTCTGTCTCTCAAGTAGCTGGGATTACAGGCATGTGCCACCATGCCTGGCTAATTTTTGTTTCTTTTCTTTTTTTTTTTTAGTAGAGAGAAGGTTTTGCCATGTTGGCCAGGCTGATCTCAAACTCCTGGTCTCAAGTGATCCGCCTGCCTCAGCCTCCCAACATGCTGGGACTACAGGCATGAGCCACCTTGCCCAGCCTAGTGTCTTTTTTCAAAAAAAAATTTTCACATCTCCCACTTCCTTCTTCTGCTGATTTAGAAGCTGTATATTTTATTTCTACTCTTTCGTTGACTACTTTTAAATTTTTAAAATATATATGTAAATGTTTCTAATAGTCTACTTTTATCAGTACTTCTCTTTTTCTCTCAAATTATTGCTATTTACCTATTCAGCTGCTCTACTTACAATCTTAATATTATCTAGCTTTTTATTTTTATTTTAATGCAAAAATTATTATTGTTAAAGTCAATTATATTTAATGACTCTTTTTTATTAATCATTTTCTGAGCTTACAATTGTTTCCTGGATTACATGCCTCCGCTCTTGATTTAGTGTTCTTAATGCTTTTATAATTAATTAATTAATTTATTTTTTCCATCAAATATTTATTTATGAATTAACACTTTTTTATTATAAAATATAACACATACATGGAAAACTACTTGAAACAAATGTATAGGTTAATCATGAATTTATAAGATGTAACCACTACTCAGGTACAGAAAATAACATTGTTAGACAATCCAAAAGTGCTGCCTGTGCTCTACTCCAATTGAAATCGTTTTTCCTCCAAATGTAACCACCATCCTAACATTTATGGTGATGACTTTTTTGCTTTTCTTATAGTTTTATCACCTGTGTGCATTTCTAAACACCACATTTAAGTTTTTTTCTCCTTTGTCATTTAAATCACTTAATCTACAAATTCCTCCTCAATCTCTCCTTTTTCTTTGCCATTAATTTGTTGAAGAAACCAGGTTTGGACCTATTGAATTTCCCACAGTCTGGATTTTGCCAATTGAATCCCTATGGTGAGGCTATGTTCATTTATCTTTTGTATTTCTCATAAATTAGTATTTGGATCAGAGCTGTGCTGTTCTATATGGTAGCTATTGAGCACTCAAAATGTGGCTAGTACAAATTGAGATGTGCTGCGTCAAAATGCACACTAATTTTGAAGATTTATTACAAAAAATAATATGAAATACCTCATTAATAGTTTTTTTTTCTCCCTAGGAGACACTCTTGCTTTGTCACCCAGACTGGTGTGTAGTTATACAGTCTTATCTCACTGTAACCTCAAACTCCTGGGCTCAAATGATTTTCCTGCCTCAGCCTCCCGAGTAGCTAGGACTAAGGGCACATGCCACCAATGCCCAGCTAATTTTTTTATTTTTCACAGAGGTGGGGTCTTACTGTATTGCCCAAGCTGGTCTTGAACATCTGGCCTCAATCCCAAAGTGCTTGAGCCCAAAAGGATTATAGGCATGAACCACTGCACCCTGACCTTAATAGTTTTTTTATTGATTGCATTGAAATAATAAATATTTTGGATATATTGGGTGACATTTATTAAAAATAATTTCCACCTTGTTATTTTTACTATTGATAATGCAGCTACTAGAAGATTTAAATATATGTGTGGCTGGCATTGTATTTCTATTGGACAGCACTGATCTAGAGACTTAACTCTGGTTTTATTTATTATTGGTTTTTGCAAGACTACTTCGTAAGTGGTTGTGTGTTCTCATTAGAAGGCATGTAGTTTGGTTATCCTCCTTATATAATTTAGTAAAGGTCTAGAGGGAGCAAATTCTCCTTTTCTGAGTTTTTCTGACTTTCTTCTTTTAGTTTTACCCCCACTTTTGTACACTGGTTTAGCCACCTATTATTTTAATTTGGCAGATAAGTTCCTTTGGCATCTTAAAGATATTGCCCCATTATGTTCTGACGTTCTTGTGTTGCTGAGGAAAAGTTTGTTGCCAGTTTCAAAGTGTTTCCTCCCTATTTAATTTGTGTTTTCTCCTTCTTATTGCCAATACTTTTATTTTTTCTTTGATGTTCAGCAGTTTCATCATAATGCATCTTGGTTTGAATTTATTTATTCTGTTTAATACTCATAATGTACTTATGTTATAAAAATCATATATTTCTTCAGCTTAGTTATTATTTCTTCAAATATTATTTTTCTTCAATTTCCTTCTTATGGCACTTCTAATAGACATATAATAGAGCAGCAATACCTACTCTCTTTGTCTCAACTGATTTTTCCATATATCTTATCTTTTTGCTACTCTGAGCAAACTCTTCGGTACCGTCTTTCAAATTGCCAGTTCTCTTTTTCACTAAGACCAATCCAGAGTATATTCTCTTTTTAGAGTTTTTAATTTCAATGGCTTGTTTTTATTCTCACAACTTTTTTTCCTTCTACATATTTCTTTATTGATTATTATGTCAATAGTTTTAGGGGAACAGGCGGTGTTTAGTTACATAGAGAAGTTCTTTAGTGGTGATTTCTGAGATTTTGCTGCACCCATCACCTGAGCAGTGTACACTCTACCCAGTGGGTAGTCTTTTATCCCTCACCCCTCTTCCACCTTTCCCTCTGAGTCCCCAGAGTCCCTTATAATCATTCTTACACTTTGTGTCACAGCTTAGCTCACACTTATAAGAGAGAGCATACAATGTTTGGTTTTCCATTCCTGAATTACTTCACTTAGAATAATGGTCTCCAACTTCATCCAGTTTGCTACGGATGCCATTATTTCATTCATTTTTATGGCTAAGTGGTATTCTATGGTACACATATACCACATTTTCTTTTCTTCTTTTCTTTTCTTTTTCCTTTTTTTTTTTTTTTTTTTTTTGAGATAGAGTCTTGCTCTGTTACCCAGGCTAGAGTGCAGTGGTGCAATCTCGGCTCACTGCAACCTCCGCCTCCCAGGTTCAAGCGATTCTCCTGCCTCAGCCTCCCGAGTAGCTGGGATTACAGGCACCCACCACTGTGACCGGCTACTTTTTGTATTTTTAGTAGAGACGGGGTTTTACCATCTTGGCCAGGCTGGTCTCAAACTCCTGACCTTATGATCCACCATTGGCTGATGGGCATTTAGGCTGGTTCCATATTTTTGCAGTTTCGAATTGTGCTGCTATAAACGTGAGTGTGCAAGTGTCTTTTTCATATAATGACTTCTTTTCCTCTAGGTAGATACCCAGTAGTGGAATTGTTGAATAGAATGATAGTTCTACTTTTCGTTCCTTAAGGAGTCTCCATACTGTTTTCCATGGGGTTTGTACTAGTTTACATTTCCACCAGCAGTGTAAAAGTGTTCCCTTTTCACCACATCATACTAACATGTATTTTTTTTATTTTTAAATCATGGCCATTCTTGCAGGAAGAAGGTGGTATCACATTTTGGTTTTGATTTGCATTTCTCTGATCATTAGTGATGTTGAGAATTTTTTCATATGTTTGTTGGCCATTTGTTATCTTCTTTTGAGAATTGTGTATTCATGTCCTTAGCTCACTTTTTGATGAAATTATTATTTTTTTTCTTGCTGATTTGTTTAAATTCCTTGCAGATTCTGGATATTAGTCCTTTTTCAGAGGCATAGTTTGCGAAAATTTTCTACCCACTCTGTGGGTTGTCTGTTTACTCTGCTGATTATTTCTTTTGCTGTGCGGAAGATTTTAAGTTTAATTAAGGCTCAATTTATTTTTTCTTTTTTTTAATTTTATTATTACTATACTTTAAGTTTTAGGGTACATGTGCACAACGTGCAGATTTGTTACATATGTATACATGTGCCTCATTTATTTATCTTTGTTTTTGTTGCATTTGCTTTTGGGTTCTTGGTCATGAACTCTTTGCCTAAGCCAATGTCTGGAAGTTTTTCCAATGTTATTTTCTAGAATTTTTATGTTTTCAGGTCTTAGTTAAGTCTTTGATCCATCTTGAGTTGATTTTTGTATACAGTGAGAGATGAGGATCCAGTTTCATTCTTCTACATGTGGCTTGCCAATTATCCCAGCACCATTTGTTGAATAGGGTGTCCTTTCCCCACTTTATGTTTTTGTTTGCTTTGTCAAAGATCAGTTGGCTATACGTATTTGGCTTTATTTCTTGGTTCTCTGTTCTCTTCCATTGGTCTACATGCCCATCTTTATACCAGCAGCACACTATTTTGGTGACTATGGCTTTATAGTATATTAATCGTTTGAAGTTGGGTAATGTGATGCCTCCAGATTTGTCCTTTTTTCTTAGTCTTGCTTTGGATATGTGGGCTGTTTTTTTTTTTATTCCATATGAATTTTAGGATAGCTTTTCTAGTTCTGTGAAAAAATGATGATAGTATTTTGATGAGAATTTCATTGAATTTATAGATTGCTTTTGGCAGTATGGTCATTTTCACAACATTGATCCTACCCATCCATAAGCATGGGATGTGTTTCCATTTGTTTGTATCACCTGTGATTTCTTTCAGCAGTGTTTTGTAGCTTTCCTTGTAGAGATCTTTCACCTCCTTTGTTAGGTATATTCCTAAGTATTTTATTTTTTTTGCAGCTGTTGTAAAAGAGGTTGAGTTCTTGATTTGATTCTCAGCTTGGTCGCTGTTGGTGTATAGCAGCGCTACTGGTTTGTGATCATTTATTTTGTATCCTGAAACTTTGCTGAATTCATTTATCAAATCTGGGAGCTTTTTTTGATGAGTTTTTAGAGGTTACTAAGTATACGATCATATCATCAGTGAACCGTGAAAATTTGACTTCCTCTTTACTGATTTAGATGTCTTTTATTTATTTCTCTTGTCTGATTGCTCTGGCTAGGACTTCCAGTGCTATGTTGAATAGAAGTGGTGAAAGTGGGCATCCTTGTCTTGTTCCAGTTCTCAGGGCAAATGCTTTCAACTTTTCCCCATTTAGTATAATGTTGGATGTGGGTTTGTCATAGATGGCCTTTATTACCTTGAGGTATATTCCTTCTATGCCAATTTTGCTGAGGGTTTTAATCATAAAGGGATTCTGGATTTTGTCAAATGCTTTTTATGCATCTTTTGAGATGATCATATAATTTTTGTTTTTAATTCTGTTTATGTGGTGCATCACATTTATTGACCTCCATATGTTAAACTGTCCCTGCATCCCTGGTATGAAACACACTTGATCATGATGTGTTATCTTTTTATATGCTGCTGGAGTCAGTTAGTTGGTATTTTGTTGAGGATTTTTGCATGTATGTTCATCAGGGATATTGGTCTGTAGTTTTCTTTTTGGGTTATGTCCTTTCTTGTTTTTGGAATTAGGGTAATACTGGCTTTATAACATGAATTAAGGAGGATTCCCTCTTTTTCTATCTTTTGGAATAATTTCAGTAGGATTGGTACCAACTCTCTTTTGAATGTCTTTCTTTTCCTAGGACTTTGGACTATTTAGAAAATTTAGTCCTACATCTTCTTGGACCTATTTCCTACAGTCATCTGTTTCCTTTTTTAAGGTCAATGTCAAGGCCCAAGGCCAGAAACAGATGGCCATCTGCCAAGAACAGAATTAGTCTATAAGGTAGGGCAGCAGTTGTTGATGGAGGGCACGTGTGGGTGTGTGTTTGTGTATGTTTTTGCCTGCTAGGGATACCTGCTTGTAAGTCTTTAAAGAAAGGAATCTTTTCTAGTAATTGTTAAGCTCTACTTCCCCTTCCTTACACTTTGTTGATTTTAAAGTATTTGTCCTGAATTTTAATTATTTTAGAGGGGGGAAGTATAGAAATCTAATATAAATATGCCATTATGTTCATATTTAATCCATTAAAAGTGCTTTTTCATATGTAAGCTTTAACACTTAATATGATAAACACAGGAAGTTGTAAAACCGTAACTTGGTTTTATTTGGCTGTATGTTTATTCAGCAGTGGGAACTTTCAAATGTTTATGGATACCAGTATGTTATATGCTTGAACCTAATTAACTCTGTTCATTTTAATTTATTTATATCTGCTATATTTGCAATAAATGTCACTTGGCCTACTATTCACCAAGAAAAAATAGATTAAAATATAAATACTTTCTTCTGAGATTTGACAAAAGAAAATGTTTCAAAGTAGAATAATTTCTGAGCTATTTTTAAGATGACAAGTAATATCTACCTATGATATATATACATGTATATATCATATATGTGTGTGTGTATATATATATATATATACACACACACACACATCATACATACATACATATTTTCTTTCAAAATAAGACCATAAAATTTAAACTGAATCAAAGTTTCAAGTTCAACAAAATTTCTGGTGATACAGTAACAGCAAACACCAAACAAAACAATACAAAATCTCATCAGACAAGAAGGACATAGCCAAATTGTCTTGAAATAAAACGTATGCTACATAGGTCATCTCTTTTGGAGCCCCAAAATCAATTTTCCACAAGATAAAATTGTTTCAATCAATCATCTTTAATCAAACTAGTTTACTACAGCACCCCATTACCCATATTAAAGAACTACACATAGTATTCCTGGCAATGGGTAGGTGGCATGGAGAAATCTATGTTTTTGGGAGAGGGAGAGGGCAGCAATGGGGGGCTTTACATTGAACTCTGCTGCCTTGTCATAGCAGACACCTAGCAGGATTCATCACCTGATGACTAAAGAGCTCCTGGGCCCTGAATGACCAAAGCAATACCCAGGTAATATGCCATGGGCCTTGGATTCTGAGACTTGCTGCTTTCAGGTGTGATCCAGCACATTCACAGCTGTGGTGGCTATGGTGGAAAGACTCCTTCTGTTTGAGAAAAGCGAGGGAAAAATAAAGGGGACTCTGTCTGGGACCTCAGGCACTAGCTTAGTTACAGTGGGGTAGAGCACCAAGCAAGCCCTTGTGGTTCCCAAGTCTAGACCTAAGTTCTTGGTTAGCATTTATAAACCTGCCCTGGGGCCAGACAGGGTGCCCACTGCCCTGAACAGTGAGTCTCGGGCCTGACAGCCCGAGAAGCCCTTAATCACAAGCTGACTGAAGAGCCCCTGGGCTTTAAGTGAACACTGGTGGTGGCCTGGCAGAAACCCCTGTGGGTCGATGATGGTGGTGGCCATATGGAGAGGCTCCTCAGCCTGTGGAAAGAGGAGAGATGAGTGGGAAAGGTGTAGTCTTGTGTGGTTTGAGTGCCAGCTTGGCCACAGTGGACTAGAACACCAAGTAAATTTCCAAGATTTTTGACATCAATCTCTGGCTCCCAGACAGCATCTCTGGACCCACCCAGGACCAGGGGAAAGTCACTGCCCTGAGGGGAGGGACAAAAATCTGGCTAGCTTTGCCACTTGCTGATTGTATAACCCTAGGGACTTGAGTGAACTTAGGTGGCAGCCAGGTAGTGGTTACAGCAGGCCTTAGGCAAGTGCCAGTGATGTGCTGGCTTCAGGTCTGACCCAGTACAGCCCCAGTGGTGGTGGCCACTGGGGTGCTTTGTCTTGCCACCCCTAGTTGTAGGAGGCTCAGCATAGAGAGGAAGACTCTATTTGTTTTGGAGAAAGTAAGGGAAAAGAACAAGAGTCTGAGCCTGGTAATTCAGAGAATTCTTCCAGATCTTATCCAGGATCACCAAGCGGTCACTCTGTGAATCTTCAAGAACCACAGCATTATTGAATTTGGGGCCCCAATCTTTTCAAATACCTGGAAAGCCTTCCCAGGAAGGGCAGGTACAAACAAGCCCAGACTGCAAATACTACAATAAATGCCTAACTCTTCAATGCCCAGACACCAATGAACAAGCATCAGGACAATCTAGGAAAACATGACCTCACCATATGAACTAAATAAGGCACCAGGAACCAATGCTGGAGAAAAGGGATATGTAGCCTTTTAGACAGAGAATTCAAAAAAGCTGTGTTGAGGAAACTCAAAGAAATCCAAGATAACACATAGAAAGAATTCAGAATTCTATCAGATAAATGTAACAAAGAGATTGAAATAATTACAAAGAATTAAGCAGAAATTCTGGAGCTGAAAAATGCAACTGGCATACTGAAGAACATGTCAGAGTCCTTTAATAGCAGAACTGGTCAAGCAGAAGAATGAATTCGTGAGATTGAAGACAGGATCTTTGAAAATACACAGTCAGAGGAGACAAAAGAAAAAAATAAAAAAGAATTAAGCACAACTACGAGATCTAGAAAATAACCTTAAAAGGGCAAATCTAAGAGTTATTGACCTTAAAGAGGAGGTAGAGAAAGAGATGGGGTAAAAAGTTTATTTAAAAGGATAATATCAGAGAACTTTCTAAACCTACAGAAAGATACCCATATGCAAGTAGAAGGAGGTTATAGAACATGAAGCATATTGAACTCAGAGAAGACTAACTGAAGGCATTTAATAATAAAAGTCCCAAAGCTAAAAGATAAATAAAGTATCCTAAAAGCAGCAAGAGAAAAGAAGCAAATAAGATACAATGGAGCTCCAATATGTCTGGCAGCAGACTTTTCAGTGGAAGCCTTACAGGCCATGGGAGAGTTGTGTGACATGTTTAAAGTGCTTAAGGAAAGGAACCTTTACCCTAGAATAGTATACAGAGAACATATCCTTCAAACATGAAGGAGAAATAAAGACCTTCTCAGACAAGCAAAAGCTGAGGGATTTCATCAATGCCAGACCTGTTCTATAAGAAATGCTAAATGTTGTACATCAATCTAAAAGAAAAAGATGTTAATGAGCAGTAAGAATTCATAAAGAGGTACAAAACTCACTGGTAATAGCACACAGAAAAACAAATATTATTATAACACTGTAACTGTAATGTGTAAAATATTCTTAAGTAGAAAGACTAAACTATGAACCAATAAAAAATAATAACTATAACAACTTTTCAAGACATAGGCAGTATAGTAAGACATAAATAGAAATAACAAAAAGTTAAAAAGGGGGGGACAAAGTTAAAGTGCAGACTTTTAATTAGTTTTCTATTTTTTTTACTTATTTGTCTGTTTATACAACCAGTGTTAAGTTGTCCTTAGTTTAAAATAATGGGTTATAAAATAGTATTTGCAAGTCTCATGGCAACCTAAAAGTGAAAATCACACAACAGATACACAAAATGTAAAAAACAAAAAATTAGTTCATACCACCAGAGAAAGTCACCTTCACTAAAAGAAAGACAGGGAAGAAGGAAAGAAAGAAGGAAGAGAAGACCACAAAACAACCAGAAAACAAATAACCAAATGGCAGGAGTAAGTCCTTACTTATCAATAATAACATTGAATGTAAATGGACCAAACTCTCCAGTCAAAAGACATAGAGTGGCTGCATAGATTAAAAAAGTAAGACTCAATAATCTCTTGCCTACAAGAAATAAACTTCATTTATAAAGACACACATAAGCTGAAAATAAAGGGATGGAGAAAAATATTCCATGCCAATGGAAATCAAAAAACACCAGGAGTAGCTACACTTATTCAGACAAAATAGACAAGAAGATAAAAACTATAAAAAGAGATGAAGCAGGTCATTATATAATGATAAAGGGGTCAATTCAGCAAGAAGATATAACAATTAAAATAAATATATCTGCACCTAACACTGGCGCACCCAGATATATAAAACAAATATTATTAGAGCTAAAGACAAAGATAGACCTCAATACAGTAAGATCTGGAGACTTCAACACTTCACTTTCAGCACTGGACAGATCTTCCAGACAGAAAATCAACAAGGAAACTTTGGAATTAATCTGCACTATAGAACAAATGGACCTAATAGATATTTACCGAACATCTCATCCAAAGGCTGCAGTATACACATTCTTCCCCTCATCACACGGATTATCCTCAAGGATAGACCATATGCTAGGTCACAAAACAAATCTTAGAACATCCGAAAAATTGAAATAATATCAAGCATCTTCTCTGACCACAATGGAATAAACTAGAAATCAATAACAA
The DNA here is from genome assembly GCF_000001405.40 of Homo sapiens. NCBI lineage: Eukaryota > Metazoa > Chordata > Mammalia > Primates > Hominidae > Homo > Homo sapiens. The sequence continues at coordinate 83,741,040 of NC_000006.12, read as the reverse complement.
GAGGAATTTTGGAAACTATGCAAACACATGGAAATTAAACAATATGCTCCTGAATGACCAGCGGGTCAATGAAGAAATTAAGAGGGAAACTGAAAAATTTCTTGAAAGAAATTACAGTGAAAACATAACATATCAAAACCTATGGGATACACCAAAAGCAGTAATAAGAAAAAAATTTTTAAGTGTCTACATCACTAAAGGAGAAAAAATTCAAATAAATAACCTAACAATGCATCTTAAAGAACTAGAAAAGCAAAAGCAAACCAAACCAAAAAGTTAGCACAAGAAAATAAATAATAAAGACCAGAGAGCTAGACAAGAAAGAGCAAACCAAACCAAATCAAAAAGTTAGTACAAAATAAAGACCAGGGAACTAGAAAAGCAAGAGAAAACCAAACCATAAATTTAGTACAAGAAAAGAAAGAAAGACCAGAGCAGAAATTAATGAATTAAAAATTTTTTTTAAATTAACAAAATTGAGAAATGGTTAGCCAGGCTAACTAAGAAAAAAAGAAAGAGAAGATCCAAATAAATAAAATCAAAGATGAAAAAGAAGACATTGCAACTGATACTGCAGAAATTCAAAGGATCATTAGTGGCTACTATGAACAACTATATGAAAAAATTGCTAATCTAGAGGAAATGTATAATTTCCTAAATTCATACAATCTAAAAAATTTGAAAATCTAGAGGAAATGTATAATTTCCTAAACTCACACAATCTACCAAGATTGAACCATGAGGAAATCCAAAACCTAAACAGACCCATAACAAATAGTGAGATTAAAACTGTAATGAAAAATCTCTCAGTACAGAAAATCCCAGGATCCAATAGCTTCACTGTTGAATTATACCAAACATTTAAAGAATTAATACCAATCCTACTCAAAATATTCTGAAAAACAGAGGAGAAGAGAATACTGCCAAACTCATTCTCTGAGGCCAATATTACCCTGATACCAAAATGAGACAAAGATACATCAATAAAAGAAAACTACAGGCCAATACATGAGATGGATATTAATTCAAAAATCCTCAACAAAATACTATCAAACTGAATTCAACAATACATTAGAAAGATTAGTCATCATGACCAAGTGGGATTTATCTCAGAGATGCCAATTACGGTTCAGTCTACACAAATCAATCATTGTGATACATCATATCAACAGAATGAAGGATTAAAAACCATATGATCATTTCAATTGATATTGAAAAAGCATTTGATAAAGTTCAACATCCCTTCATGATAAAAACCCTAACAAACTAGGCATAGAAGGAACATACCTCAACACAATAAAATCCATTTACGACAGACCCACAACTAGTATCTTACTGAATAGGGAAAAACTAAGCCTTTCCTCTTAGATCTGGAACAAGACAAGAATGCTACTTTCACCACTATTATTTAATATGGCACTGGAAGTTCTAGCTAGAGCAATCAGACAAGGCAAAGAAATAAAGGGCATCCAAGTTGGAAAGGAAGAAGTCAAATTATCCTTGTTTTCAGATAATATGATCTTATACATGGAAAAACCTGAAGATTCCACCAGAAACATATTCGAATTGATAAACAAATTCAGTAAAGCTGCAGGATACAAAATGAACACACAAAAACTAGTGGCAATGCTATATGCCAAGAGTGAACAATCTGAAAAAGAAATAAAAAAAGTAATCCCATGTGCAATAGCCACAAAATAAAATTAAGTACCTAAGAATTAACCAAAGAAGTGAAAGATCTCTACAATAAAAACGATAAAACCCGATGAAAAAAATTGAAGAGGACACACAAAAAATCTAAAGACAGTCCATGTTCATGAATCGGAAGAATCAATATTGTTAAAATGTACATACTATCCAAACCAATCTACAGATTTAATGCAATACTTATCAAAATACCAATAACATCCTTCACAGAAATAGAAAAATCAATCCTAAAATTTATACAGAACCACAAAAGACCCCAAATAGCCAAAGCTATACTGAGCAAAAAGAACAAAACAGGAGAAATCACATTACCTGACTTCAAATTATACTACACACCTATAGTAACCAAAACAGCATGGGACTGGTATAAAAACAGACACATAGAACAATGGAACAGAATAGAGAACCCAGAAATAAATCCCTGCATCTACAGTGCGCTTATTTTCAACAAAGATGCCAAAAATATACATTGGGGAAAAGACAGTCTCTTCTATAAATGGTACTGGAAAACTGGATATCCATATGCAGAATAATGAAACTAGACCCCTACTTATCACCATATACAAAATCCAAACCAAAATGAATTAAAGACTTAAATCTAAGACCTCAAACTATGAAACATTGGCTTGGGCAAAAAATTCTTGAATAGTACCCCACAACACAGGCAACCATAGCAAAAATGGACAAATGGGATCACATCAAGTTAAAAAGCTTCTGCACAGTGAAGGAAAAAATAAAGCAAAGAAACAACTCACCGAATGAGGGAAAATATTGGCAAACTAACCATCTGACAAGATAACCAGAATACATTAGGAGCTTAAACAACTCCATAGGAAAAAAAATCTAATAATCAGATTTTAAATGGGCAAAATATTTGAATAAACATTTTTGAAAAAAAGACATACAAATGGCAAGCAGGCATATGAAAAGGTGCTCAATATCATTGATCATCAGCGAAATGCAAATCAAAACTACAATAAGACATCATCTCATCCCCGTTAAAATGGCTTTTATCCAAAAGACAGGCAATAACAAATGGCGGTGACAACATGGAGAAAAGGAAACCCTTGTACAATGTTGGTAGAAATGTACATCAGTGCAAACACTATGGAGAAGTTTGGAGGTTCCTCACAAAACTAAAATAGAGCTACAATCTGATCCATCAATCCCACTGCTGAGTATATACCCAAAAGAAAGGAAATCAGTTTATTGAAGAGATATCTGCCATGCTGTTTGTTGCAGCACTGTTCACAATAGCCAAGATTTGGAAGCAACCTAAATGTCCATCAGCAGATGATTGGATAAAACATGTGGTACATATACACAATGAAGTACTATTCAGTCATAAAAAAGAATGAGATCCTGTCATTTGCAACAACATGGAGGGAACTGGAGGTCATTATGTTAAGTGAGATAAGTCAGACACAAAGACAAACTTCATATATTCTCATTTATTTGTGGGTGCTAAAAATGAAAATAATTGGCCCAGTGCAGTGGCTCATGCCTGTAATCCCAACACTGTGGGAGGCCAAGACAGGTGGATCACTGGAGGCTAGGAGTTCGAGACCAGCCTGGCGAACATGGTGAAACCCCGCCTCTACTAAAAATACAAAAATCAGCAGGGTGTGGTGGTACAGGCCTGTAACCCCAGTTAATTGGGAGGCTGAGACACAAGAATCACTTGAACCTGGGAGGCAGAGGTTGCAGTGAGCCAGGATCACACTACTGCACTCCAGCCTGAGCGACATAAGCGAAAATATAATTGAACTCTTAGAGAGTTGAAGGATGGTTACCAGAGGCTGGGAAGAGTAGTAGGCAGGTGGGGAACAAGTGGAGATGATTATTGAGTACTAGAGAGAGAGAGAGAGAGAGAATGAATAAAACCTAGTGTTTGATAGCACAACAGGGTGACTATAGTCAAATATATATATATATATATATTTTTTTTTTTTTTGAGACGGAATCTCGCTCTGTCGCCCAGGTTAATGTGCAGCAGCACGATCTCAGCTCACTACAACCTCTGTCTCCTGGGTTTAAGTGATTCTCCTGCCTCAGCCTCCAGAGTAGTTAGGATTACAGGTGCCCACCACCACACCCAGCTAATTTTTGTATTTTTAGTAGAGATCGGGTTTCACCATGTTAGCCAGGCTGGTCTTGAACTCGTGACCTCAAGTGATCTATCTGCCCGCCTCAGCCTCTCAAAGTGCTGGGATTACAGGCATGAGCTACCGCATCTGGCCATTATTCATTTAAAAATAACTAGAAGAGTATGATTGGATTGTTTTGGGAGTTTTGTTTGTTTGTATTTGTTTGTTTGTTTTTGAGATGGAGTTTCACTCTTGTTACCCAGGCTGGAGTGCAATGGCACGATCTCGGCTCACTGCAACCTTCACCTCCCAGGTTCAAGCCATTCTCCTGCCTCAGCCTCCCAAGTAGCTGGGATTACAGGCGTCTGCCACCACACTTGAATAATTTTTGTATTTTTAGTAGAGACAGGGTTTCACCATGTTGGCCAGTCTGGTCTCAAACTTCTGACCTCAGGTGATCTGCCCGCTTCAGCCTCCCAAAGTGCTGAGATTACAGGCATGAGCCACTGCACCCTGCCATTATTCATTTAAAAATAACTAAAATAGTATGATTGGATTGTTTGCAACACAAAGAATAAATGCTTGAGGGGATGGATACCCCATTTTCCATGATGTGATTATTGCTTATTTCATGACTGTATCAAAGTTCTAATGTACCCTGTAAATATATACACCAATGTACCTACAAAATTAAAAATAATAAAAAGATTTCCAGTACGTATTGTAATATAAGTAGTTAGATTTTTTTAATAGTCATTAAGAAATACTAGGAATTATTTTGTGAAGAATGCAGTGGAGACTTTTCTTCTTCATAAAAAATAATTTTGTTGCTTTCAAAATTAAGCTATTTCAGTTGTTTATAGAGACAGGTCTCTTTCCACTTTACTCCAGGGGATTTCTGTCTTCGTATGAAGTACTCCAGACACTTCTCTTCAATTGTTTTGTTGACCTGTTTAAAGTTGATTTCGGGTGAAACTGGAAGCACAAAATTGTGGGCACATTTAACTAACAATTCAGTGACCTAATTACTTACAGAATTCAACTTCTGCCTCAGACATTATTTTGTATTACAAAATAAATTTTCAATAGTTTAGATTTAAGAAAAGTTTCACAGCCATGATCTTAAAACTTGGAATAAAAGTCCTAAAGTGACTGCATGTAAAAAATTCCATCCTGTTCAACATTAACCCTAACAACAGGGAAGCATAATAGAAATGAAAACCTTTGACCTCCTCTATGAAATTCTCGACATTTTCTCATTGCTATGGGGATTTTCTTCGCTGAATACATACACATGACTTTCAGTTAGTGCTTCCCTATGGCAAGCTCTCATGATATTTTTCTCTGGTGTTCCAAGGCTAAAACTGTTAGTTTAACTCCTCATCATTAAATACAGAATCTAATACAGATTTCTGTTCTTAAGTTTATATGTTTTTGGGCAATGTGTAATTTATTAGTTCAGTAATCTCTCGTTTCTGTAAGCAAGACTGAAAAGAATGAGCATTTCGTAATTAGGAAATTCAGTAACTACCCCCACTGAATACTAGAAAGAGCAAAATGAGAAAGCTGGCACTGTTTTTAGCTCCTTAAATCCAGTGTTTTTTCAATGATTCATTGGCAACACCCAGGGAACAACTGTTTTCTGGTATGAAAGCCATCCTTTTACTTTAACACGTTGTCAGGAATAACATGGTCAAATCCTAAACTCTCTGTTTTAATTATCAAATACTATTTTGCTCATGTATTGTGTAGGACAATTTCTGGGCCATTTTCCTTCAAAATCTAATCATAAAAATAAACTAGCAACATATATAACTACTTCTGCAGTCACACACATTTGAGTTCAGTTCTGTAACGCTTGTAAATGGGCAATTAACACTTTTGTATACTCAATTTAAGAAAGCCAGTTTAGGCCAGGCGCGGTGGCTCACACCTGTAATCCCAGCACTTTGGAAGGCCAAGGCGGGTGGATCACAAGGTCAGGAGATTGAGACCATCGTGGCTAACACAGTGAAACCCTGTCTCTACTAAAAATACAAAAATTAGCCGGGCGTGGCGGCGTGCGCCTGTAGTCCCAGCTGCTGGGGAGGCTGAGGCAGGAGAACAGCATGAACCTGGGAGGCGGAGCTTGCAGTGAGCCGAGATCGTGCCACTGCACTCCAGCCTGGGCGGCAGAGTGAGACTCCGTCTCCAAAAAAAAAAAAAAGAAAAAAAAGCCAGTTTAATATGATGTTAGCTATTAATCTTTTGTCACAATTCATTTTATTTTAATGCAGGCATCAAGCAAAGACATCGAATGACAACATCTACTGAAAAAGATACTTGTGGCCACTTTAGGAAAGATTAATGGTTACACACACACACACACACACACACACAACAGAGTGATGAGTGTAATGAAAAATGTTAAATCCTCACATTGTAGTGATAAGTAAATTTTGCTCTGTCACAGTACAAATAATGGAATAAAACAAATTTGCCCTTGTCTGTGTGCTAACAGAGTTTCATATTCATACACCATATACACGATGATTAGTGACACTTTACACTCTCAAGAATCTTAGAGTGTAGAAAACAAGTGGAATAAAAGAGTATTATCTAATGCACCAACAATTTAAATGCATATGTGATAAAATGGTTGCTTTTAGTATAGTATGCACGGAATGAGATCTTCAAAATTTCTCGGTAGCAGGTGCTAGATATATAAATAAACATCTAGAACTTTATATTTGGCTTCTCCCGATTTGTTACCCTTTCTCTGTTACACTTCTTTTTTTTTTTTTAAGACATTGACCTTATTGCTATTCAATAAAAGGTTACCCGAGGTGATTTTCATGTTCTTCAGATTCGAATAACAAAGGTATAGTTATTTTGTGCTTTCATAAAATTCATCTATCCACCTAGAATACTTCCTTATGAAGGGGGAATTGTTTATTCTAAAAATAGATAGCTTTTTTTTTGACAAAAACAAGCAATGGGGAAAGGACTCCCTATTTAATAAGTGGCACTGGGATAACCAGTTGGCCATATGCAGAAGATTAAAACTGGGCCCCTTCCTTACACCATATAAAAAAATCAACTCAAGATGGATTAAAGAGAAATGTAAAACCCAAAACTATAACAACCCTGGAAGACAACCTAGGCAATATCATTTGGGAACTAGGAACCTGGCAAAGATTTTATGATGAAGACTCCAAAAGCAATTGCAACAAAAGCAAAAATTGACAAATGAGATCCAATTAAACTTAAGAGCTTCTGCATAGCAAAATAAAGTATCGACAATAAGGGAAATGGTGAATAAATTGAACGTGGTATCTTAAACAGGGTATTAGGTAACAACCAAGGAAACCTAAATAAGTATGGACTTTAGTTAATAATAATGTATATTAATAAACCACTAATCTGCTTTCTGTCTTTAAGGATTTATGTATTCTGGGAATTTCATGTAATGCAATTATATAATATGTGGCCTTTCGTGTATAGCTTCCTTAACATAATGTTATCAAAGTTCATCCAAATTGTAGCATGTGACAGTACTTCATTTCTTTTTATGGCTGAATAATATTCCTTTGTATGGATATGCCACATTTTGTTTTTCTGTTAATCAGTTGATGAATATTTAGGTTGTTTTAATGTTTTGACTTTTGTGAATATTGTTGCTATAAACATTCATGTAAAAGTAAAAACAAGAAGAAACTATCAACAAAGTAAACAGGCAAACTACAGAATGGGAGAAAATATTTGCAAACTATGCATCTAACAAAGGTCTAATAGCCAACATCTTTAAGGAACTTAAATTTACAAGAAAAAAACAAACAACTCCATTAAAAAGTGGGTAAAGGACATGAACAATTTTCAAAAGAAGGCATACATGTTGCCAACAAGCATATGAAAAAAAGCTCAATATCACTGATCATTAGAGAAATGTGAATCAAAACCACAATGAGATACAATCTCATACCAGTCAGAATGGTTATTATTAAAAAGTCAAAAAATAACAGATGTTGGTGAGGTTGCAGAGCAAATGGAACACTTATACTCTGTTGGTGGGAGAGTAAATTAGTTCAAACCTTGTGGAATGCTGTGGGTGATTCCTCAAAGAGCTAAAAACAGAACTATCATTTAACTCAGCAATCCCATTACTGGGTATATACCCAAAGGAATGGAAATCATTCTACCAAAAGGACACTTACACTTCTATGTTTATTGCTGCACTACTCACAATAGCAAAAACATGGAATCAACCTAAATGCTCATAAATGGTAGACTGGATAAAGAGAAGGTGGTACATATACACCATGGAATACTACGCAGCCATAAAAAGAATGAGATAATGTACTTTGCAGGAACATGGATGCAGCTGGAGGCCATCATCCTTAGCAAACTAATGCAGGAACAGAAAATCAAACATCACATGTTCTCAGTTATAAGTGAAAGCTGAATGATGAGAACACATGGACACAAAGAGGGGGCAACAGACACTGGGGCCTACTTGAGGGTGGAGTGTGGGAGGAGGAAGAGGAGCAGAAAAATAACTATTGGTAATAGGCTTAGTACCTGATTGACGAATAATCTGTACAACAAACCCCCATGACATGAGTTTACCTATATAACAAACCTGCACAAGTACCCCCGAACCTAAAATAAAAGTTTAAAAATATAAAATAGATAGCTTTTTTTGCTATAAGAAATCCATCTATTTGATTATTTTGGATATAAAATTCATTGCCTAGTACACAATCTTCTGATTATAAGCTCTATTAAGGATACATTTTGTGCAGTATACTTTTGACAAATTACTTATTGACTCCTGAGACTCATGATCTGCTCTTAATAGGATAACTGCATGTTTTTTCTTTCCCTAGACTATCTATAAATGGCATTTTTTATTTTGCAAGTTTCGAGAAATGAAATATGCCAGATAATCAAATAGATGTTTCTTCATTTGTTTTATTTTGAAGAATTATAATATTGCTTTCTAATCTGTACCACTATCTTACATGCTTAATGATTAAGAAGACTTACTCCAATGATTTAACACTGCACAGAAACTTTCTAATAAATTTTAGTTAACAAGCTCCAGCCAGCTTGCTAGTGCTCTCAGGGCTCAAAACATGATACCCCAAAGTATGGCACATTGGCATGCTGAGTATTTTGAACTGAAGGAGATTGAAAGGCCTCAGAAGAAAATTTTCTATGACCTTCTCCTGCCCTCCTGTCTCTTTCCCCTTGTTTTCCCCAGAAACAGGTCATAGAAGCCAAAATTCCTCTTTCAAATTCAGTAGTAGACTTGATTATGACTTGAGTCATAGAAACTAGAACCTCTCTCCCTCAAAGCAAGCCATAAAGTCTAGAAAGGTCTTTCCCCTCTCCCTTTTCCCTTGAAGATCTTCATTCCAGAGGGGTGTTGTCCATACCTCAGAGGAAGGAATGCTACACAGACAGACCAAGGAAATCTGTACAGAAAGGCCTTGCTATGTTTCTCCCACCAGTCTATTATCATTAGATCATATCCTTTATCCAATCACATTCGTACATGGCTCTCCATTCTTCATTGAACCTACAACAGTTTTCCCTGGGCCTTTAGGTCTTCATTTCTGAGGCTCCTGTGTCACATAAAACTTAAATTAAATAAATTTGCTATGCTTTTTTCTTGTTAACCTGTCTTTTATTATAGGAGTGTTGATCGTGACCCTTATGATGAATGAGGACAGGGAGCATACCTTTCACCCATGCCGTGCCACAAGGGCAGGGCCCACTCTAATTGTTTACTACTCTACAACATCTAAAAATAAGTCTGGTACATAAAAGGAGATCAAAGAAGGCTTTTGGTATACATCCATTAGGGGAACTAGATAGCAAAATCCAATGTAGTTATGATTGACTCACTTAGCTCTCCCATCATTAGAGGCTCTTCTAGGACGAATGAGAATGTTCACTGGCCTATAAAAGCTTGAACCAAGGGTTCCACCTCAGTTTGGAGGCAAACCATGTGTTTTGCTCTGTGCTTTTAACTAGTTTCTGAAAAATCTAGTCTTCTGATAATGATATGATAAGTTAAATTGGAATGCAACAGAACTTCAATTCTGACAAAACTATTTGTTTTGTCATTGACCTGTACAAGCATGCCTTATAACTAATCTCAGGAATTAAAAAGGTCATCACAAGCCAAGGTTACTCTTTTCATCAAAATTATATTTGTAAGTCATTTTTAATGATATAGGAAAATACTTTTATTTCAAATAACATGGGAAAATTAGGATAGCATATAATCACAACTATTTTTTAATTATTAGAAAAATACACCAAGGAAAGACAGCAAAGTAACAACTGATTATCTTTGGATGGTAGGATTATTGGTAAGTATTTTTCTTATTTATACCTTCCTATATCTCACAATTTTTGAAAACAATAAATAGGTATTATTTGTGTAAGGAAAAAACCTTCATACTTAAAATGTTATAAAATCACTATTAATTTTTCATATATTTCATTTCTAGCTAATTGCTGCAATCACTTCTGTAGTTGAAGATGTATATTTTCATAAATTATTTGAATTAGAACATAATTCTGTTTGAAGAAATGTGTGTCAATGCTGTTATGAAAATAGAAAGAGGGCCTACACTAGAACTTTTCTCCAGAAAAAAAAAAGATAGACACTTGGAAATGCCAATGTATTTCTCTGAATTATATCTTTTAAAAATAAATGCATGTGAATATCTCATCTTTGTTCTATGTTTCCCCATATTAACCTGAATTCATTGTGAATATTAACTATAACTTCGTGTGGGTTTTTGGGAAGAATTTAAGATTACTTTTAAAAATTACTTTTAGAAAAGGAACAACAATTTGTGGTTGCTGAATGTTTCAGTTCCCAGAGTTGGAAATATCAGTTAAGTTTTAGAACAAATTCCCTTTGTTTTGGGAAATTCACCAGGATGGAACTTTTAATTACATAAAAGTACCTATCATTGTTTCTGGAGAAAATTGTGAAGTCTCCACAAATTTGGATGTAGTAATATAAATGGCTGCATTTTTAGGCAGACTATTGACTTGTAGAGTTAGACAACTGTTTTCCCAAAATATGGATACAAACAGAATGTCAGTGGCCTCCATATTAAGATTGAATTATCCAAAAACTTGGGAAGTACATTTTCACCCACTATGATTGCATCATCTAACCCTTGACAGTCAACCCACGCCTGGCTTCTTCTGCTAAAAGAACAGGTGCCTATTTTCAATATCAGTCTAGGTGGGGCAAGAATTGGTGGGCCTGGTCCTTGGGGCATTTCTGAAATATAGGACCAAAGAATAGGGGTCTTGAAGTGAAGGAACATGGAAATTTCTCCTTGGCTGGAGTAGTGTACTGGCGTCTAGACACCCAGGAATCTGCACAGAGCTAGGCTACAACCCCAACACTAGATTCTAATGTCCATGGTAAATCACTGAGGTACCAGAGTTTGTCTCCCAAACAGTAAAGCATCATTATCCCTCACTTTGCTGAGATTTGGAAAGTTTAAGAGAAAGGATATGTCTATACTGGGAACAAAGCAGTGTGTTGTGAACAGTGTCAGTTTTCACTTAGAAATGGCCAAAGGTGACTTGGAGAGTTCTGTAGGGCAGAGTGGCCACCAGGATGGGTTAGAAGGATGTGGTAGCATTCTCTAAGGATTCCCAGGAATACTTGAGGAGAGAAATCTTAGAAAGGAGATGCCAGATTTAAATAGTCTGGGCAAGTGGGAATCGCCAATCATTACGGCTTAAACAGTAAAAGTAATGTAACTCCAAGCTAGATAAGGGTCTGCTGTTTATGCCTGTATAATCTAGTATTTATAATATATTAAAACATAGTTTTGGACTTTTAGTCAATCAGATGCCAATTTTGAGTTCTCAGTTTAAGTTGTTAAAATGTGTTTAGCAAACGCTTAACCATAAATACCCTTCCACATTGTGTTTTCAACTCTACCTAATTTCTGATTTTTTTTCTCTTGACCTAAGAAATTATCACTCAATTCTTGTAAGTCTCATTGTTAGTTCTTTTTAAAAATGTTTTTAAATTATTATACTTTAAGTTCTGGGGTACACATGCAGAATGTGCAGGTTTGTTACACAGGTATACATGTGCCATGGTGGTTTGCTACACCCATCAACCTGTCATCTACATTAGGTATTCCTCCTAATGCTATCCCTCCCCCCGCCCCCCAACCCCCACAACAGGCTCTGGCGTGTGATATTCCCCTCCCTGTGTCCATGTGTTCTCATTGTTTCAACTCCCACTTATGAGTGAGAACATGTGGTGTTTTGTTTTCTCTTCTTGTGTTAGTTTGCTGAGAATGATGGTTTCCAGCTTCATCCATGTCCCTGCAAAGGACATGAACTCATCCTTTTTTATGGCTGCATAGTATTTATATATTCCTCTCCTCCAAGCTAACATTCCTTTTTTATTTATAAGGAGAGAATTCAGAGAACACATCTGTTTCAAAGAACAGACCAAGTCACTCCAAATAATAAGACAGGATAAGTCAACCTTATATTCCTGTTGGGCTTCAAGAGGCGTGCATATTGTTGTCAAAATCCTATGGACTCAGCACACTTCTGAGGAAAGTGGTCTGAATCACTGTCTCCTACATAAGCATCATGGCTCCCACCACGTGGTTTCAGTGAAAACAAACCTGCAACCATGGTCACCACCTCCAGGAGAGTCTAGCCCTCAGGTGGAGCCAGAGATAAATAGTGGCAAGTGTCCGAGAACCACTGAACCAGCAGAAGCATCCAGATTCCCTGTTCATGTTGTTTGACCAGATTGGCTTCCCTTCTCAATGAGCGAAGGAAGGGATCCTTCATTATTCTCCCACCAACACCTGTAGTCCAGGTGGCATCACCAGTCAGGCAGGGGACCAGGAGCAGACTCCATTTCTCTGCCTTATTACCAAACCGGGTAGTCTGGAAAGTCTGAAAAGTGCTGTTATTATTTTTATTTTGGAGGAAGGAGTGCATACAAGGGTTTTGTGGGTGGGGCAGGGGCAGTCCTGGGTCTGTAAGAACCCTGTATTTGCCTCTTTCCTTCCCTTCCCAGGGACTACAGCTGTCCTTACCAGGGAATATCCAGTCCAGTCCCTTAAGGCTGAAAGCTGGGCTCCAAATTGTCAGAGTGCAGTTCACTGATGGGGGTTCCAGGGCTGTGCCCAGAGACACAGAGGTCAGGGGCCTCTTGGCAGTACTATATCAGGGGAAATCCAACTCCAATCCAAGCAACCGGGAATCAGAAGCCACGTTGAGTAGGATGGCCAGCTGGAAGGATGGAGCAGGTGAGAGGGCAGAAGAGGATGGTGAGTGGCGAAAATGGACAGGCAGAGGGCAGCTCTTGGTGGGAGTGAGTGTGGCAGTTAGTCCCCATGGCCTGGTTAATTTCACTGGAAAATCTTTAATACTGCATGACTGCACCTGACATGAGTTATTCAAATGGTGGTGGTCCCTGGATCTGTGAGCCAGTGGCAGCTTTCCAGCTTTCCCTTTCTCTCTCTCTCTTTCTTTTTTTGGGAGTCTCACTCTGTCGCCCAGGCTGGAGTGCAGTGACGCGATCTCGGCTCACTGCGACCTCCAGCTCACGGGTTCGAGCAATTCTCCTGCCTCAGCCTCCCAAGTAGCTGGGACTACAGGCATGCACCAGTGGCAGCTTTCTAAGGCTCCTCAGGCTCACCCTGCAGGAAGCTGGCACATTTCTCACAGAACACAAAGGTGGCTGCTGCACAAACATGTGGACCAAGCAGGTACCTCCTCCTGGGGTCAGTAACAAGCTGGCTTGCCTCACAGTTAGGGACTGTAACTGCTGCCCATCCTGTGAAGTGTGGAATTCCACTTCTTCAAACGTCAGGATCCTTCAGGTGTGGAAAGAGCTTCATATCTGTGTGTCACTCCAATACTGCCCAGTCTTGTCTTTTTGGGGGTCCCATTAAGTCATTTCACATTCATTTTCGTTTTCCTCCCGCCTCGTTCTCACTTCCTGATAATTTTTTCTCTATCTTTATACTTTCCTTACTGATTCATTCCTTTCTTCTGTCAAGACACACTTTATTCCTACTAATGAACTGAAGGAGATCAGTCTGAATTTAGAGCACATAAAACACCAGGCCAAGAAACAAATCAGTGCACACTTAGAAGATCATTGCTACACTCACCTCAGTACCTCCATGCTTCCTGAATCCCAGGCTCTGTGGATGGGATCCAGGAATCTCCTATTGAAGCAAAACCACTACGTGAGTCTTGTAAACACTAGCGTTTGGACCTGCATCAACTCTGACTCCTCCCAGGGCAGGGTCTCTGTCCTTTTCACCTTCGTCATCCAGTGTTCGGGATAGTGTTTGGTTAAAAAGTAGGTGCTCATCAAATCAGTAGTGAATGAAATACTGAACTAATGAAAAAATGACAAAATTGAATAAATATTGAAGCCCCAGCCTTAGGTAAAATTGTAGAAGAGCAGATGTAGTCAGCTTTTTAGCCTATCATGGCTACCAAATTTTACCTGGCCTCCCAGTAGTTCCAATCCTTCCCTTATACTCTTCACTTCAGTAATCCTAATAGGAGGTTCTCTGAGTTCTTATCCCACAAACCAAACACTGTGTTTCTGTTCATTTCTTCTTTTTTTAAAAAAAAAATTTACTAAAAGTTAACTGCACATTACCTCATTCATTCACAGCCAGGGTGTCTGTGTCTTTTGTGTTGATAGCTCCTTAAAAAAAATAAATATTTGGTAATGGACAAGGGTAAATGAGTTTCTTCAGTGCATTCCCTCTCTTCTTCTGAGTTCTTGTGGATTCATCTGAATAGTGCCTTCAGAAGACAACACTATCCAATTTCTTCCCTCTAATTCCAAGGTGAAATTCAGATAATGAAAACTTCAGGCTCCCTGGCAAGTAACCTAAGCAAGAGAGGTTTGAAATTTATTGAATAAAATAAAATAGTTTATTTGTAGCCCGTGATATAAATAGGAAAATGGCCTTTTCATCTTTTGTTGTTGTGGTGGTAGTTTTTAAAAGAAACTACAAGTATGTTATTCTCAACATTTTTCACATATTTAAAACTAAACATTCATTTAATATTAATATGTTTAGTTTTTTAATTAACGGGTTTTTAATTGACAAAAATTTGCATTCATTTATCATGATGTTTTGAAATATGTATACATTATGAATGGCTAAATTGAGCTAAATTAATATTATGTTTTGTAAAATAAATTTTAAGCTTAAAAGCTTAAAATAATCTTTTCCTTTTAAAAAATTACTATTAAACTCTTATTACTTACCAAGTATTTTTTTTTTTTTTTGAGACACAGTCTTGCTCTGTTGCCCAGGCAGGTGTGCAATGGTGCAATCTCAGCTCACTGCAACCTCCACCTCCCGGGTTCAAGCAATTCTCCTGCCTCAGCCTCCCAAATAGTTGGGATTACAGGCGCATGTCACTGTGCCCAGGTAAATTTTGTATTTTTAGCAGAGACAGGGTTTCACCATGATGGCCAGGCTGGTCTTAAACTCCTGACCTTGTGATCTGCTTGCCTCAGCCTCCCAAAGTGCTGAGATTACAGGCGTGAGCCACCATGCCCAAAATTGTTTTTTTTTTTAATCTTTAGTTTGAGCCACCAAAATTTTAAATGTGATTTGCAATTTTAAAATTAGGTAAAGATATAACATTCTTTTATATATGCCTAATTCTTACATCACTTTTTCCTGCAGGACAAAATATAAGCCCACCTAAATATATGTAAGCTAAAATTTACCCTTGACAAATAATAACTGTGATATAAAAATAATTGAGCCAAATTACCAAAATTAAATATTTTAAAGGCAGTCCAAATCAAAGATAATAAGGAAATTAAAAGGCAGTTAAGATGTTGAAACAGTCTGGGATCACCAAGGTATCCCAGTGGAATGAACAATCAAGAGAGCTTATGGAATTTATTTCTCACGTCTTCACAAAAAGAAGAGATTCTCCCTATTATAGGATGGCTTAAATGGATTGTTGCCAGAAGGCAAGAGGATGTACTGCACTAGATAAACACTTAACAGCCTTTGGCTTTACAGTCCTTTATTCTTACCCAATCTTTCTATTCATGAGGTCCTGGTATTTCAAACTTGATCATTAGCTTATTTCTCTATTTTTCTGTAGTGTAAAAATACTTAGTTTTAATGTAGTTTCTAAGCTTTGGTGATATTCAAGTACATTTAAGTCAATAATTTATTTTACTTGAATAGGACCACATGGAAATTTGGTCCCTCTGAGCATGGTTTGAGGGCCTTCAGTTTCTGACCCTTTGACAGTGCTAGTTGACACTGGTTAATATTCTCCTGTTTTTTTTTTTTTTTTTAAATAAACCCAATAGGACTTAAATGTAGTTAAGATACTTCGAATAGAATAGTCTATATTTAAATTTTTATTTTGTTCAGGCTCCCATAGTAATAAATCCTAAGAGGAAGACAACATCCAGTGATATAAAAAAATTAGGAAAAGGGACTTGTAATTAATATAGAGGACACATGCATATCAGAGATGAACACATTTCAAGACTGAATATGTTCAATACAAATAAAAGATACAAATCTTTTATCTTAAGACAAAAAGGGGAAAAAGAAAATGAATCAGAGATCAGAAATGTATACCTGGTGATTTCAATAACAAGCATGCTGTATGGTCTCTTTTTACTTGCCTGGTCAGTTGTGAGTAAAAAAGATTTGCAGGGCTGAGGGGGTGCCACCACAGAGTGGCACTAAGATCCTTGCAGCCCAGTGTTCTGCTGCCAGAGAGCTGACAGGGGTTGCTGTGAGATATTGTGAAAAGTACTAATATAGAAGTGTAAGATATGGGTTTATGGGGGATGGACATCCGACTAGCTTGTGATGGGACAGGGGCAGTGGCTGAGGGTCTCAAAAGTCCTGCTTGAATACATTCTGCTGAAGGTGTAGACTTATTCCTGAAGTTAATGAGAATTTCCTGGAGAGTTTTAAACAGAAGAAGAGTGTGATCAGAGCCTCTTTTAGAGAATCCACTTTGGCCACAGTGCAGTAGATGTACCAGAGGGGAGTGAAAGTGAAAACAGGGACATAAGTTAAGAGGCTATCCAGGACAGAAATGGTAGAAGCCTGAGATAAGGCAGAGACAGGCAAAAAGCAAAACAGTGAAGAAGGGAACAGGGCCCCACTAACAGACTAGCTACCACCTGAAGCATTGCCAGGTACTGTGGCAAAGAGAAAGGCACTAATTGTGTAGTGACTCTTAAAGCTTCTTCCCAAAAGTAACATATCCTATATCCACTCACAGTTCATAATCCAAGGTCACATGACCATCCCCAACTTCAAGAGGGTAGGGAAGTGGATTTCTACCACATACCTAGTAGCAGAGAGAACCAAAATGTTTGGAGAAGCATCTAATAGCTACACTTCCTAGTCTATAATCATTACCTACGGAGACTCATTGCCAGCTATATATGGATTCATGAAAAGAATACACCTAAAAGAACTGCCTAAAGACCTTAAAGGTCTTTCAGTCTTGGCCATTTAATTTGTTGAAATATTAAGTTCAGTCAGGGAAAAAATACTTTTCACTTTTATTTTCCCACCCTAACCTTGGGTACATTCTCTTTTCTTAGCCCAGCTACATAAATCTCACCCCTTTTGAAGCATGGTTTAGTCATTCAATAGATACCGAGCATCTACCATGTAGTAGGTATTGGAGACACTGATGAACAAGGCAGACATCTCACAACATCCCTATCATCAAGGAGCTTAAAATCAGAAAAATTGAAACTAAGAAAATGATTACATGTTATTTACTTATGATTGTAATAAAGGATGGGAAGGCAAACATATTGTGCAATGAGAATGTAAGAACAGGGCAAAGTAGAGTAGTCAGCTAGTTGGGAAGTTGGTCAGGTAAAAGTCTGCGGAATGATTACAAGCAGAGGAAAGAAATGCTTGTGAGAAGGCCAAAAGGTAGGAAAGCCATTGGTACTCATGAGGTAACTGAAATAAATCCAGTATGGCTGAAGCAAAGTAATCAAGAGAAAAAGGCAAGGGGCTAGAGACTGAGGCTGAGGTGAGATCACGGAGGTAGTCATAGAACAACTTAAGGAGCTTACATATTATGCCAAATGCTGTAGGAGGTCATTGAAGAGTTTTTGGCAGGAGAATGACATCATCCATATAGAAAATGAGGGCTGTTCAGAAGGAAATTTACAAGAATAATTATTAATGTATTCTACGCAAAAGTGGCTTGTTTCTTCACCACCTTGTTTACTCAAATGTACCTCCTTCATGAGCACTCACTTTCAACCACCCCCTATCTAAGATTACATTTCCACTCCTCCCACACTAGCCCTCAGATCCTGCTTACTCTTTTATAAGAGCATTTGCCACTTTCTAATATTTTAGACAATTTTCTTATTAGTTTATTGTCTATACTCTTTTGCTAGAATTCTTTTTTTCCTAGAAAGTGCCTGGCATATGGGTCTTCAACAAATATTTGTTAAATTAATGTCATATCACATTATGATTTAAAGCTGGGTTGTAAGATGATTTATCTATCAGTGTTTATGGCTTAATATATTTAGTTTAAAATACCTATTTCCTTAATATATGGCTCTTAGGCAAAACACATACTGTGATTTAATTCTTATTCTTATTTATTGTTATTATTTTTTTAGATGGAGTTTCACTCTTGTGGCCTAGGCTGGAGTGCAATGGCATCATCTCGGTTCACTGCAACCTCCGCCTCCCGGGTTCAAGTGATTCTCCTGCCTCAGCCTCCGGAGTAGCTGGGATTATAGGTGCCTGCCACCATGCCTGGCTAATTTTTGTATTTTTAGTAGAGACAGGGTTTCACCACGTTGGCCAGGCTGGTCTCGAACTCCTTACCTCAGGTGATCCGCCTGCCTCGTCCTCCTAAAGTGCTGGGATTACAGGCGTGAGCCACCGCGCCTGGCCGATTTAATTCTGAAATACGAAAATTGCTCTTGCAGCAGAAATTCATCACAGGCTTATTAAGGCTTATGGAAAAGTGTTTTTAGTTGGTAGAATATCCAAGCTTTGAGCAAATTTTAGGAAGAAAGTTTATGAAATGTGGTCAAGAATCATGAGTCACAGTGTGACAGATTAGCTATTTTACAATGTGGCTACATATACCTATCAAAATGTACTGCTGTGCTAACAAAATTGTAGTATTTTCACAGCACAGCAGTGATTAACTCTATAAACCTACTTTTGAACAATTATTGTAGCCTCACTTGAAGGTATTTTAAGGACTCATATGCAGTTGGCAAATTACAGCTTGTGACAATGCCTAGAATTCCTTGGAGTAAAGCCATTTGATTTGCAAAAAATAAATAAATAAATAAATAAGTCAGGTAGTGTCCTTTTCATTTCTCTGTGTATCTGACTCATATAATCAGAGGTTCCTGATTTATTTCAGAAATTAAATTTTCCAAAAAATTAATTTCCATTGCCAATGTTGTTACTACCCATGATTTCACATTCATTCATTTATTAAATTCATTTATTAGGCATATACTAAGTTTTACAATTGTGCTAGATGTTGGTCCATTTATTCATTAGCTCACTCATCAAACATATCTGTACTGAGGAGAGGCACAAATTTTAAGAGGTAAAATGAGACAGTTGCATAGTCAGTAAATTCATTCATCTATAAAAATTGAGAAGGCTTAGGTAAATAAAGGAAGACATTTGCTTTTTATAAAAAGAACACATCCAATTAGCACCAGTTTCAAAAGTTATTTTTGCTGTAGTTAATGCTGAAAGATGGGATTGTGATTAAAATTATTTGTGTTAAACATATATAGATATATTAAACCAAATATAAACACCAGAAAGTAATTATATTATTTGAATTTTATGTTTAACACTATAAGGAAATATGTTTGCATATTATTAACACTCTACTTTCTAGACCACTTGAATACAGCTTAAACATGAAACTATAGTGCAAGATAATAAGACTAAAATGGCAGAATTCTTGCTACCTTCATTTCCTGCCTCTGCACCCTTTCTTAGAAATGGGACTACCTTATTCATACTTGCAGGATCTATGCTATTCCAAGTCAAATCTAAGCCTCATACAAGCCAGGTAGTATTTAAGAATGACCTTTAAGTCTTGTTCTAGATTTTTTTCTTACCAGCACTCCTCCCACTCAAGTTGGAGTCCTGCCCCTGCCCCTAGTTTGCTGACTGGGCTGTGCTTCCTCATGGCAGATTTGCCTGGATAACCAACTACTGCCTTTTGGCTCTCTGCTTGCTATGGCTAACAAACACCAATTATTTTCTGGAATGTTGAAGTTATCTTCATATATGCAATTTGGGCTTGGGCACCTGCACCTTGAACCCCGGAGGTAGGCTGAGGTCTGCATCTCATTTTTTTCATTTTTTCATAGCTGGGCCCCCCTAAATGAAGCATCAGAGTACATGCTTTCGGCAACAGTTAAAGCAATCTATTCTACATATTCTTGTTCATAGTTATAAAAATTAGACATAGATTGTGTTAGAATATTTTTCCACACATGTAACAAGATTCATTACCCCAAGATATCATCCACATTATGATGGTAGCTAAAGTTAGTTAATTTCTCAAATGATTCTGCGAATTGCTGTTCTTCCGGAAGTTTCCATGTAGGAAGAAACTTGCTAACTGTGGAATGAGTACTTATCTACAGACCAGATTTCAGACAAGCCTCTGTCACTTAGCCCTACCCACAATCATGACATGTCATCTACTCTGTGGAGCTAAAATACATAGTGCATTATTTGATGATAGGTACTTTGGTTTCCTGAATCAAGGAGGCCAAGATTAAACTGACAAACTGACAAAGTTTAATCTTGAGTCAGTAAAGTATCAAGCTCCAGAGGTATGTGTTCAGCTTTCCAGATGATAGTGACACTTAAAGCTATCATAAATGTCATATCCAGCTTTTGAAATGGTCACTATGAGGAGCCAAGTGGCAAAAAACTATCTGGCAATGAGTTCTGTGACTGTTGCCAGTTCCCTGTCATGAAAACGATTCCCTGTACATACAGCTGTATGGGATGAAGCAAATGAGAATAAGGATATGGAAATACCTCCAGGATGGCCAGGTGAAGCTCAGACAACTGCTACTAGAAAAAACACAAGAGATATTTTAAGAACTTAACTGATGCCTAGTAAGTGGCAAGGCTGCTGGGAGATTATAACCCCTGAAAGACGAAGTACTTAAGCAGACATAATTACCTTTAAGGGCTTATAAGCAAGAAATTGTGTGTCTAAGGTGGGCTGCAAATAGAGGCAGCCATATAATCCATTACTATAGTTGGAAATCAATCAACAATATTTATATACACAGTTCAGAATGGACCATGGCTTCCTAATACAGATCATGTGACAATGGCAATCAATAACATTTCCAAATGCAACCAGCAATAAATCATGCAGCTGCTAAATAATGTCCCTCACTGGATAGCATCAGGCTAAGGGCTAAAACCCCCAACAAAACTTCAAAGAAACAAAAATCAGTATTTGTTACTTCAGCTATAGGTATGTCTTGAAAATTTTGTGGATTATTAATAAGAAATACTTTGATATCCCTAATAAACATTGTTGCATAAATAATACATTTATCCACTTGTTTGATCTATATTTTACTACTTTTGCCCATGAAATGGAAATTTCAGAATTTTATTGTAATGCCAATGTCTGTTTTTTGTTTTTTTGTTTTTTTTTTTGAGATGGAGTCTTGCTCTGTTGCCCACACTGGAGTGCAATGGCACAATCTCAGCTCACCGCAACCTCTGCCTCCTGGGTTCAAGCAATTCTCCTGCCTCAGCCTCAAGAGTAGCTGGGATTACAAGCACACACCACCATGCCCGGCTAATTTTTGTACTTTGGTAGAGATGGGATTTCACCATGTTGTCCAGGCTGGTCTTGAACTCCTGGCCTCAAGTGATCCGCTCTCTTTGGCCTCCCAAAGTGCTGGGATTACAGGCACAACGTCTGTTCTTTTTTATCAGCAAAATACTGAGCGAACTTGACAGGGGCTGTAGAATAAAGTGAGTAACAATGGAAACAAATTTGTCTCTCCATATCTACCAGATATAAGAAATGCACCATTTACACTGACATGGGTGTCATAAACCAAATGTGCATCTCTGATAATGCTCACCAAAAAGCATCTGATACAGGGACAAAAGAAGGATCCAAGCCCATGAGAGACGATGCCAGAGAATTTCTTGAGTTTTGTTTTTATGAATATGTTTAAAATCATTCACAATGAAAACAGAATTAACCCAGTTTTAGGCTGAATGAGACAAAATGTTAAGATGAAGACATCTGTTAATAGTAACAGCCATACACTCGGAGAAATACAACAATTAACTCACTCTTAAGTTTCTCCATGGGAAATCGTTGGCATTATTCTAGCATTATTCTAATTTATTTTCCAACGTAAAAGTGAAAGGTGATTCTCAGCTGAAAACTTTCTCCAAACTAACGTTTTACAAGAAAGAATATTATATATTTTGTTTTATTATGATTTATTTGGGGGCTTATTTGGGAACTTTCTGATGTGTGGCTAGCATAATTCAAGTACAGTATTTGAACAAATTGCAAATGTATACTCTACTAATTATCTGAACCTCCCACAACAATGTTCTGTGCTGTGTATGACTCCTGACTGTCTGAAGCATAAGTCCTTGGACAAAAGAAAGTACTTGAGGTAAATTAAAAAAGAAATTCAATATCGTTAAATGCATTATGCTCTAGAAAGAGTAAGGCTTTACTTGTTCTAGCCAAAATTAGTTTAAACAGTAACACAGCAGTTCATTCTCATCTGGTTATACTGAATATCAAATAGCCTAAACTTTCCATTTCTCTTTAATATTCTTGTTACTAGAAATTGTTGACTATAAAGACCTATATATATGTGTGTGTATATATGTACATATATGTATATGCGTGTATATATCTACATATATGTATATGCGTGTATATATGCACATATATGTATATGCGTGTATATATGTACATATATGTATATGCGTGTATATATGCACATATATGTATATGCGTGTATATATCAACATATAAGTATATGCGCGTATACATGTACATATATGTGTATGTGTATATATGTACATATATGTGTATATACGTGTATATATGTACATATATGTGTATATACATGTGTATATGTACATATCTGTATATATGTATATGTGTATATACGTGGTATATACACGTATATACACATATATACATATGCGCATATACGTACATATATGCACATGTGCGCATATACGTACATATATGTACATATGCGCATATACGTGTATATATGCACATGCGCACACGTGTACATGCATGTGCATATGGGCATATGTGTACACATGTGTACATGTGTGTACATATGTGTGCGTGTGTGTACGTGTGTGCATGTGTGTATATATGTGCATAGGTGTACATGTGTGTATATAGTGTACATGTGTGTATATATGTGCATATATGTATGTGTATATATGTACACATATATGTATATGTGCGTATATGTACATATATGTATATGTGTGTATATAGGTGTATATGTGTATATATACGTATATATGTATATGTGTACATACGTATATACGTATGTGTGTATACACATATGTATGTGTGTATACACATATGTATGTGTGTATACACACATATACGTATATGTGTGTATATATGTACATATATGCGTGTGTATATATGTACATATATGCATATGTGTATATATGTACATATATGCGTATGTGTGTATATATGTACATATATGCGTATGTGTGTATATATGTACATATATATGCGTATGTGCGTATATATGTACATATATGTATATATGTGTACACACATTTATATACATGTAAGTAAGTAGCTGGGCACGGTGGCTCACACTTGTAACCCCAGCACTTTGGGAGGCTGAGGTGGGCATATCATGAGGTCAAGAGATTGAGACCATCCTGGCAAACATGGCGAGAACCCACCTCTACTAAAAATACAAAAATTAGCTGGGTGTGGTGGCACGTGCCTGAAATCCCAAATACTTGGGAGGCTGAGGCAGGAGAATCGCTTGAACCTAGGAGGCGGAGGTTGCAGTGAGCCGAGATCGTGCCACTTTACTCCAGCCTGGCAACAGAGCAAGACTCCGTCTAAATCAAAAACAAAAACAAAAACAAACCACTATATATCTATATATATCTCATTTATTTTTTGCATGAGAATTTTTGAAGTGATGAGTAATGTGTATGTTTTAGATACACAATTTGAAGGAGTATGAGAAATACCAGCTCTTCTCACAGTCCACTGCTGTGTTCCTGGAGCTGCACAAAGACAAATGCATGTGGCTTCTGTGATCCTCGTGCAATGAAGTATCAAGTAAAGTCAGTGTCATTTTTCCTAAGCAACTTCAAATATAAATTGAGCTGTAGACAAACACAAACAGCAACCTAAAATACAGGAGCAAGTTAAAGAATGAGAGGAAAACCTGGAGATACACAGTTGAAGGTGAGGCACACTGCTTCGGCTCTCCTATGCCCTTGAGTTAGAAGTTTCCTTGGGAAACTTCCTTCTTCAGACAGACTTTCCTGATTAATCTTCTCCTTTCTCACAGCAAAATCTTCTCACTCCAAAGAATTCTCTTGCAATCATCTTTTTCAATTAATAAAAAGGAAATAACAAAATGCTGTTCATAACAGTATTGCTGTACAATGTCTATTTGCATATGTATATATGTTTTATTTTATTTTATTTTATTATTTTTGAGATGGAGTCTTGCTCTGTCGCCCAGGCTGGAGTGCACTGGCACAATCTTGCCTCACTGCAACTTCCATCTCCCGGGTTCAAGAGATTGTCCTGCCTCAGCCTCCCGTGTCGCTGGGATTACAGGCGCCCACCACCACACCCAGCTAATTTTTTTTTTTTTTTGTATTTTTAGTACAGATGGGGTTTCACCATGTTGGCCAGCCTGGTGTCGAACTACTGACCTCAGGTGATCTGCCCGCCTTGGCCTCCCAAAGTGCTAGAATTACAGACATGAGCCACCACGCCCAGCCATATATATGTTTTCTACTCTAGTTTCCTGAAATTAATAGAAGCTTGATACTCTCCATGATAATATTGAAGTAACATGATTTCACATCTCAGGAGCTAGGTAAATTATTAATTTATTTTCTCACTTTAAAGATGATACTAGTAAAATAATATTTCAATCAGAGAACTATATACACTTGAGTTGTAGTTCCAAATAATAAAATAAAAATGAAAATATAGTAATATATTAATAAAATCAGTCTATCAACAATTACAGAGTATTATCAGTTGCAATTATTAGGCTTTTATTGCATGCCAAACACTGTGCTATTGGCTTTATTTGCATTACCTCATTTGATAGTAACAGCAATCTTTGAGGTGGATATTATGGATCAAGCACATTTTACAGATGAGGAAACTCATCCTTAAGGGCTACAAACCTTGCCCAAAGTCACACAGCTAGTAAGGACCAACGCTAGGGAATCAAACCAGGGCTTGTTTACTTCTATAACCTAAGATATTAGCCACCATCCTTCCAGCCCATAAATTTTAAAAAGGATTTTTTTTTTTACTGAAGAATTAATTAGTATGAAATAAGAGTCTAACATCATACTGTTATACCTTTATCAGAAGCAATGAATGCAGTGGAAAGAACACTGGATTGGATGTTCAACAACGAAGTTTAGGATTGGTTATGCTGTTATCTCACTGTGTGTGATGATGAGAAAGTCACTTAAACTCTCTAGTCTTACATTTTCTCATATATAAAAAGAAGGGACTAAAATAGAGGCTTTGGGAAAGATTTGCAGATCATGTACAGCTTGACCACAATCTTGTAGGAATTCACTTGTGATATGGTTTGGCTGTGTCCCCACTCAAACCTCATCTTGAATTGTAGTTCCCATAATCCCCACATGTTGTGGGAGGGACCTGGTAGGAGGTAACTGAATCATGGGGATGGTTGTCCCCATGCTGTTCTCATGATACTGAGTAAGTTCTCATGAGATCTGATGGTTTTATAAGGGGCTTCCCCCTTCGCTCAGCTCTCATACTTCTTTTCCTGCCGCCATGTGGAGAACGACGTGTTTGCTTCCCCTTCTGCCATGATTGTTAAGTTTTCCGAGACCTCCCAGCCATGCTGAACTGTGAGTCAATTAGACCTCTTTCCTTTATAAATTACCCAGTCTTGGGTATGTCTTTATTAGTAGCATGAGAACAGACTAATATGACTTGCTACATAATAAAGAATATTTCAACGGAGGAAATAATTCAATGTGTTATTTTAATTTATGTTAAAATAATTTTCCACTCCTACACACAAATGTGACATCTTCACCCAAACTCAAAAGCAATTCACAACAAAAAGCAAATTATGGTATCCTGAATGCACTTGAGCAGAGACAAAAAGCTTGCTTCTCTTTTATAAGACAACAAATGAAAAAGACCATAAAACTGATGAACACCCTAGTGTAGCAAGAAAAATTGTAGCTTGCACAAAATATCAGTAAGATTGAGATTCAAACAACTCGATTATCTTAGGGAAGTATAACATTCATCCATGAAACCATTCAAGTTTCTTAAGAATTACAGTTAATGAAGTATATTCCAAGCCAGAACAAACATATTTACTAAGTTTTGTTTTGCCTAAAATTCAGGTTAGAAATGAATTCAACATGACAACTGGCATGATAAAAGGAACATGTACATTTTACATGCCTAATGGCACAAAAACAATTTAAGTATGTTATTTTCATTTGCTTCCCAGTTTTAAATCTATTGTCTATTGCTGTATAACAAACTTTGTGGCATACAACAGCAAATTTTTATTCTTTCTCACAATTTTGTGAGTGAATAGGACTCTGCTGGGTAGTTCTCCTTTGAAGTCTTTTATGTAGTTGCAGTCAGGTGACAGCTGGTCTGTAGTCATTGGAATTCTCCTCTGGGCTACCTGAGATGGCTTATGCACTTTGACATCTGGCAGATGAAACTGGCTGTTTAAATGAGAGTTGGGCTGGGGTTTTGACCAGAGCACCTACGCAGGGCATCTCTGTGTGTTTGGGCTACTCATGTAGAGTGGTTCAGGGTAAACACATTTCTTACACGGTGGCTGGCTTCCAAGAGGGAACATCCCAAGTTGGAATGTTCTAAGAAACATAGGTGGAGGCTATAAGGTTTCTTATGACCTAACTGCCAAGCATCAGTCTGTTGTATTTTATTGATCAAAAGCAAGTTACAGAGACAGCTCAGATGCAAAGGGAGGAGATTTATTGGGGGACTAACTACCACAGTGACACACAAAAGTAAACCTTTGTGACGAATCCACAGAAACCTCTGAGAGGTATAAAGTTAAGTCTTTCATACAAGATTCATTGAATAAGAATCAGGGTGGTTATTCTTGTACCAATGTGTTTTTTTCTACTTTGACAGAAAAGCATTCCTGGAATGAAATTCACCCTATAGTTTTACCTTGAGAATATTATAGATTTAGGAGAAAGGTATAAATTTTCTAATTTCACCTCAGGTTGTTATCTGAGCCAATCAAATTATCTTCAGCTTTATTTTTCTCTGTTTCTTGTACACGTGTTGTATCTTACAAATAAATTGAAATCAAGAACTTGAAGACACTTGCCCTCGTGCTGAAATAAATTGTTGGTCTACGTGTAATTATTGTTGGCTTGATTTTTCTGTATTAAATCTGATACTCAGAAGAAAACATGTGTATTACATCAGAGACTTAGCTGGGTATGGTGGCTCACACCTGTAATCCCAGTGCTTTGGGAGGTCAAGGCAGGAGTATCACTTAAGGCCAGGAGTTCAAGACCAGCCTGGGCAATAAAATGAGACCGTCTATACAAAAAGTAAATAAATAAATAAATCAGAGACTTACAAAAAATCTGTTTAGTAGCATATATGCATTTATGTATATTGGCCCAGAAAATAAATTCAATTTTTTTTTTTTTTTTTGAGACGGAGTCTCAGGATGGTGTGCAGTGGCATGATCTCAGCTCACTGCAACTTCTTGAAGTGATTCTTGGGACTCAGCTTCCCCAGTAGCTGGGACTACAGGCACACACCACCATGCCCGGCTAATTTTTTGTATTTTTAGTAGAGGCGGGGTTTCACCATGTTGGCCATCCTGGTCTCAAACTCCTGACCTCAAGTGATCTGCTGTCCTCCACCTCTTAAAGTGATGGGATTACAGGAATGAGCCACCGCGCCAGCCTCAATATGTATTTTTAAAAAGCAGTTTGGGGTGTTTATTATAATTACCCTATTTTCTGACCACTGAGATCAAAGATATTTCAACTTGTAAAATATTAAATGTCAATTCTTATTCTTGCCTAAGATTTATTGAATATCATTTATTACGTTCCTGTGCCTTCAAAGAGAACATGTCAACAAGTAATTTTTTATCTCAATATATTTCTTTCTTTTAGTCTATTTTCTTTCTTTCACTTTAGTATATAACATTCATGGATGTAACTCTAGATTTTCCTGGCTGTAAGAAGCCAGCATCTCCAAATCTTTGCTACTGAAAATATGCTACTATTTTCAACGCTCATTAAGATCTTCCAAAACAACCCACATTTCATATATTGGTTCCATCCTTGACATTATTTATTGATTATTTATTATAAGAATATGATACTTCTATAGTTGAGGGATTTTCAAACATTCTGCTAACACTATGTCAGGATGTTTATGTGTGGGATATTCTCCCATGTATAGTACCAGAGACATGGGTAGCATACCAAGAATAAGCTCTGGCTTCAAATACTTCCCAGTGTATTGTATGTAACTGCACACTATTATAGGATTGACTTTGAATCCATTCCAATCTATTTTGAAAAATAAATCATTCACAGATTGCATTATTTTAATTATTATTGGAAACATGTTATTTGCTCAAAACCTCTTAACTAATAGCAACATATGTGACATTACATCATTATTGGACTGTTGGAGAACCATTATTTTATACTACTTCCTCATTTTATGTAAATTGTCCAACTTATTGCACAATGTTGTTTATAACATTCTCTAATTTTTTAATGTCCATAGAATTGATTTCTCCTTTCACTCCTAAAATTGGAAATTTTTGCCATCTTATTTTTTCCTTGCTCAATCTGGCTAGTGGGGTTATCCATTTTGTGATCTTTTCCAAAAAATGGCTTTTGGTTTAATTGATTTTATCTATTATTTGTCATTTTCTCTTTCATTGATTTGTACTCTTTATTACTTCCTTCTTTCTGCTCATGTTGAATTCAATTTATTCTTTTTCTAGTGTCTTAAGGTTCAAACTCAAATAAATATTTTTAGATCTTTCTTCATTCCTAAGCATTTTAATGCTATAAATTTGCCTCTAATCACCACTTTGCCTGCAACCCACAAATTTTGATATGTTGGATTTTCATTATTATTTAGTTCAAATAAATTTCCAATTTTCTTATGAGAAAATTAGACCTATGGGTTATTTGGAATGTGTTGTTTAATTACCAAATATTTAGAGATTTCCATATATCTATCTGTCACCGATTTTTAGTTAAATTCCACTGTGGTAAGAGAACATAATGTGTATGATTATAATCCTTTTAAATTTATTGAGACTAGCTTCATGGCTTAGGATCAGTCAGTATGGTCAATCCTGGAGAATATTCCATGCACACTTTAAGAAAGTATTCCACTACTGTTGGGTGGACTATTTTATAAATGTCAATTAGGTGAAGTTGGTCTGCAGGACTATTTCTTTCTTTTTTTTTTTTTTTGTGAGACAGAGTCTTGCTCTGTCACCCCAGCTGAAGTGCAGTGGCGCGATGTCCGCTCACTGCAAGCTCCGCCTCCCGGGTTCACGCCATTCTCCTGCCTCAGCCTCCTGAGTAGCTGGGGCTACAGGCACCCACCACCACGCCCAGCTAATTTTTTTTTTTTTTTGTATTTTTAGTAGAGACGGGGTTTCACCGTGTTAGCCAGGATGGTCTTGATCTCCTAACCTCATGATCTGCCTGGCTCGGCCTCCCAAAGTGCTGGGATTACAAGCATGAGCCAACCGCGTCCGGCCTACAGGGCTATTTCAAGTCATCTATACCCTTACAGGTTTCCTGTCTACTTGTCCTATTTATTACATAGAGAAAAGTGCTGAAATCCTGAAGTATAATTGTGGATTTGCCTGTTTCTCCTTTTAATGCTATTAGGTTTTGCTTCGTCCTACTTTGAAGCTCTGTTCTTAGATATACAAACAAGTAGAATTGTTCCATGCTCTTAATGAATTTTTCATTATGAAATGTGCCTGTTTATTGCTATTAATATTCCTTATTGTAAAACCTACTTTGATATTAATATTGCCACTCCCAACTCTATCAGATTATATTGAGGTATAATTAACAAACAACAAAATTCGCCAATTTTAAGTGTACAAATTGATGAGTTTTGAGAAATACATGCAGCTGTATAATCATCATCACCGTCACGATATAAAACATTTCCATCTCTCCAAAAAGTTTCCTTCTGCCCCTTTGCAGTCCCCTCCCCCAATGCCACCGTCACCTGACTCGGCACCTGATGTGTTTTCTGTTTCTATAGTTTTGACTTTTCCAGAATGTTACATAAATGAAATCAAAATAATAAGTAGAATTTTTGATAGAGCTTCTTTCCCTTCGTCTAATGAATTTGAGATTCATGAATGGTATTAGTTTGTTTCTTGTTATTGCTAAGTAGTATTCCATTATGTGGATATACCATATTTTGTTTATTCATTTACTAGTAGAATAACATTTGGCTTTCCTCCAGTTTGGGGCCATTATATTAAGCTGCTATAAAACTGGAGTACAAGTTTTTTTAATAGAATTGCGTTTTTATTTCCCTTGTAAATATGGTAAGACTAGTACTTGAGACAATAGTGCTCTTAAGCTGTCTCTCTTTAGTCATTAAGCTTCCAATTAGTCCTAGAATCAGTCTCAGTAGTTAGGAAATCATGACTGCATACTGAACACTGTACCAGGTGAAAGAGAGGAATATATAACAAAACGTTGAGATCGATAGGTATCGATATATGGCTTCAAGGCCGAGCAGAAGCCACCCGAAGCAAGGAGAAAAAATGCCAGGAAAGCTCACAAATATAGTTTTGATCTTCATGCTACTGTGAGAATTAAAAAAAAAGGTGAACATAAATAACAACCTTTGAAAATGTCAACACGTGAAGCTATTAACCAACTCCACATCCCTGTTTAGAAATTCCTGCTTACTATTCGAATATACACTTGACATACAATTGACGGACGTTCCAACACTATATTTAATTGGCAGAAATTACTTCTTAAGGGTACAAAGGGTTTTCTTTATGCACGCAAATGATTACTGTCGAAGGTAATCTGGGACTCGATTAACGGCTGTGTTAATTATTCTCCCTTCAGCAGACCTCAGTATCCGTTTAAGACTAAAGTGGCTAGAATTACCTGCCCACCCGGGCTCCCAGTTGTAACTGAGACAAGCGGAGGAGCCTGAGGAGCTGAAGACGCACAGGTGACGGTCGCGGATGGCCGGCAGGATCTGACATTTAAAATCGCCCTGCTCATCTGGGCCTCGGAGCCTTTGACAGGCGGGCGTGTCAGCGACAGTGTGGGGAAGGGGCTGGGCTCCGCCAGGCAGCGCGCGACGACGCCCTTGCCTTGGCCTTCACAGAGTAGAACCCGAGAAGCCCACTCGCCCGTCTTGGCCAACGCCCCCAACGCCCAGGGCTCCCCCCGCAGTCGGCGGGCAGGTGTGCGTGGTGCGCGAGCCCAGTGCGTGCCGGGTGCGGCGCCAGCAGCGGAGGGGCGGCCCGGCGCCCAGCGGAGAGCCGCTGGCTGGGTGGGTGTCGGCCTCCCCGCCTCCTTCTTCTCCCCGCCGGCTTGCCGGGGATGCTTGCGCGAGGCGCCCCCTCGCCTTTAAGCTCCCGGCCCCGGGGGGCGGTGTGTGTGAGTAGCTGGGAGGGGGCCGCGAGGCGCTCCGCCGAGGGCTCGTCCGGGTTTGTCCGCCGCCGTCACCTGACTCGTCGGAGGAGCCACAGCTGAGGTGGGGGCGGGGATGGGGACGCAGCTCGGAGCGCTAGAGAGACGCGGCGGCGCTGGCAGAAGAGGCGGCGGCGGGCGGGTACTGGCTTCTGGGGCCAGGGGCCAGGGGCGGTGGGCGCCGGGACCGCGGAGCTGAGGAGCGGGGCCCGGCCAGGGCTGGAGACTTTGCGCCCGGGGGCACCGGGGCTACGCGCGGTCGCACACATCCACCGGCGCGGCTTCCCTCGGCGGCCCGGGCTCCGCTCATCCTGCGGCGGGCGGCGCCGCTCAGGGGCGGGGTGAGTACCCGCGGCCGTACTCGGCCCCCTCCCCGCGCCAGGGTCTCGCGGGGATCCGCAGAGGATAATCCCAGGGTGCGGAGAAGGGCAGCGGCCGAGTGACAGCTCCGCGGAGCGCTCCAGGGCGGGCGGGGGACTGGGCTTCGCTGTCAGCCCGGCTCCTCTCCAAAGCCAGGAAGGGTGAGGCGCCCCAAGACTCCGGCGCCTCCGCAGAGCTCCCGGGCGGCCCCTGCGGCAGGGATTTGGAACCGGGGGGAAGGGGCCCGGGCGATGGGCCTCGGCGAGGCTTTGGAGCCGGCGGCGAGGAAGGAAGGGGAGGCGAGGGCATAACATGGCGCAACGCTAGGATAATCTCCTTCGCGACTGAGGGAGGACGAGCCCTTTGCTGCAGCAGCGCGAGGAGGAGGAGGGAGGCAGCCAGGGCTTGGGTATCCGATGCATTCCCCGAAGCCTGCGGGCTGCTAGGAGGAAAGTCTGCTGAGGTGGGAGATGGGCACCGGTGGGTGCGGCGCCCAGGGAATAACCCCAACGCACGTTGTGGCTAGTCCAGCACCCGCGGGTCAGGTTGCGGGGAAAGTGCTGATTGACAGGGGGGTCCCCAGGGGGTGAGTCTGGCCCTATGTGGGGGCCGGGGGAGAATGGGGACGGTGTCACGATGCTGCGACTGGAGCCCACGCTGGGGTTCCGTGACGGCCCTACTCACGGCCAAGACTCCCTGGACCGCATCGCAGGAGCGGGGCTTGGCGCGTTGCTGGCTCCGAGAGGTGGTGCCAGGGTGGGGATGGAGGAGGAGAGAGCCGCCGCGCGGCTGGAGGAGGCAAGGCCTGGGTGCTTGGAGGGTAGGGTCTGCGGATTAAAGCCGGACCGTCTCCCCTTGTTTCCTGCAGAAGAGGAGGCGGTAGACGCGACCACAGAAGATGTCGGGCCAAACGCTCACGGATCGGATCGCCGCCGCTCAGTACAGCGTTACAGGCTCTGCTGTAGCAAGAGCGGTCTGCAAAGCCACTACTCATGAAGTAATGGGCCCCAAGAAAAAGCACCTGGACTGTAAGCATCTCTTTATATAAGAGGGACATGCGCACGGCAGAGGCGCCTGGGATGCTGGTGGTGCGGCCTGCGCTCTTGGTCCATAATGCTGTGGCCTCTGATACTCCCAGCCAGGTTGCCCCTGAGCTGAAATTCTTCAGCTGTGAAGGTGTTCCCTTGGGTTAGCCATGAAACCTTGTCTTGTGAGCCATTTTTTCCTCTTATTGACCTCCAAGGTCTTGGTGGAGGGGGAAAAATACACACACACACACACACACACACGCATATGTATATACACACACACAAGAGAGAGATTGTACACACTGAATTAGATGTTTTTCACCTTTTTTTCTTTCTCCACCCACCCTCCCTTCTCCAAATTAGAGGAAATTAGAGGTTGCACAGTCAAAAAAAAAAAAGATGAATTTATGGAAGGTCAAACTTGTCACCCTAGTTCTTTCCTAAATACATTTCAGATAGTTCTAAGGTAGTATAATCTTTTTAAGTGTTGCTCCTGAGGATTGTTTTTGTGAGTATGGGTGTGTGTGTGTGTGTGTGAGGTATGTTACCATACCAAACTGAAATAAATTCAAGGTACTGAATGAGGAAATTGGACTTCATAGCTATGGCAATTTCATTTTACACATCCTGGCACACTTTGTCCCATTCTCAGAAAATGCTGGGTGAGATGACTATGCTATGGTCACAAAATGGATGTACTTCCCCAGCATCTGAGATGGTGCAATTTTAGATGAAACCGTTTAATTCTTAATATTATTTTTGTAACTGGTTATTTGATGGAAAAGGCTTTATTCTACTCTGGAATCTATATATTTCTGAAATACCTTAATTAACAGTAAATCTTTTGTCACCGAAGGATAAACAGAGGCACTTAGAAAAGAAAAAGGCTTTCACCTGCTTTGGGTGGTGAGGTTTCTCATAAGTCAGGCTATATGAGTGTATGTTCAGCAGTTGCTATTTAGTTCTCTTGACCTGCTTAGGATCTTCTGTTCTATTGTGATGTTTTTGGTAAAGGTGAATGTTGGCATGAGAGACACAGGTATGGCCACAGCCATTTCCTCAGCTGGCTTCCTTTG
This sequence comes from Homo sapiens, assembly GCF_000001405.40. NCBI lineage: Eukaryota > Metazoa > Chordata > Mammalia > Primates > Hominidae > Homo > Homo sapiens. The sequence continues at coordinate 83,706,721 of NC_000006.12, read as the reverse complement.
CCCATCTTCTGGGTTTTTTTGGTCTTGGGTCTTTTTCCTGCTATTTCCTTTGTGCAGCTAAGAAAATGGCACCAGTGTCAGAATTCACTCTAGCCCTATTATCTGCATAAGCGAAGCTTGATGAAGCTTACAACTGGACATTGTAAGAGTTGTCCAGCCTTGTGAACCTGTTGTCTCATAGAATTGAATAATTTTGTTTCTAGAAGCTCATCGGAGGGGAAAGTACCATTATGCCTTTCCCAAGGGAATGTTTAACTAAATTTATTGATTACAGCATTATATGTTATATATGCAGTACAGGATGAAAGAGGCCACCAGGGCCAGGGCACCTAAGAGAAGTAGAAATTGTAAATTTGTGACCAGATCACTTTGCTGCAGCATGCTGAATCATTTAGCCATTTTCCCATCAGTTTCCCCAACTCTGGAAGAATGATTCATGTCTTAAAGGTATATATCAGTCTAGAAAATCCTCATAATAAGAAAGGTATAGGTTATGAATTTGCTACATGCTGATCTATAATTAAAATGATAAATCAGTATACTGATATATTTCAGAGAACATTCACAGGTTTGAACATTTCATTAAAACATCATTCAGATAAAGGCTGACTTCTCCAGATCTAAATATTTAGTCACATTAGTATTTTAGTGGAAAAGTCTTTTGAAAATTTGAAGGTAGGAGGTTTTCCAATATGATTTCTAAGATGTGGAAAATAGGGGGAAGATTCCATGTTATAAAAGAAAGCAGCTGAAATAGGAACTGGTGTTGAATTATTAATATGAATGGTCATAAGAGCTGAACATTTATTGAGCAGTTACTATATAGCACGAACTGAACTTTATATTATTAATCTTTCATCACTTAATGGGTTCAGGGAGGGTAATTAACTTTCATGGCTTTTTTTTTTTCTCTTTGTGAGATGGAGTCTCACTCTGTCACCCAGGCTGGAGTGCAGTGGTGCATTGTCGGCCCACTGCAGCCTCCCAGGTTCGAGTGATTCTCCTGCCTCAGCCTCCTGAGTAGCTGGGACTTACAGGAATGCACCACCACGCCTGGCTCATTTTTGTGTATTTTTTTTAGTAGAGATGGGGTTTCTTCATGTTGGCCAGGCTGGTCTTGAACTCCTTCCCTCAGGTTATCTGCCCACCTTGGCCTCCCAAAGTGCTGGGATTACAGGAGTGAGCTGCTACTTCCCCTGTCCAAACTTTCATAGCTTTTAACCAGTACACTTAACTGCCATCTGTAGATTAGTAATATACTTTATTGAGAGAGGAGAGAAAATGAACCATATTAACCTAAATGGTCTAATCTCTAAAACACCCACCTTGCTTGCATAGCTTTCTGTGGAATTGAGCATCAAAATCCGCGTACATATTGCAGTCTTTATAATATGCATGAAAAAATTTTAATTCTATCATGAAAAAATTGAATGAAAATATTTTAATTCTGTTGCATAAAAAAATGACCAAAAACCAAGCACTGAGGAGTATTGGTTAGTGGTTTTTCTTTTTAATGTTTTACTTTTCTAATAAGTCATAAAATAAAACATCTTCTACTTAAAACCAACTTTTGGATGGAATTTGGAGACATAGTTATCACATTACTAATATGTACTATTCTAAGAGAAGATGATATGGAAAACCTGAATGTATATGTTATATGCATTATTAAGAGGACATCTTTGCTCAGAATTCTTTGTGAAGTTCCTTTAAAGAAACAGTAAACTACCTCAGTAATTTATTCACAGGTTTTCAGTAAACACCAGTTATAAAAGTGAATTGTTATTAAAACATGCAAACACATAATTAAGTTTCTTTATAGGCATTGAAGATTCTCAAGTAGTTGGTGTTTTAGTTTTGAAAATATTAAATACTGGTTGGGAGAAAAAGAGCACAAAATATAGAGTTTGGGGGTTTGAAACAAAAACAATTTCAATTTATTACTAGTTTGATTTGTATATAACTTTTTAGTTTGGAGTTTAGATTGGAAGATTATAAAAACAGATTTATGGTCCTGTCATTTTTTTTTAAAGGTATTGGATTAATTGGGCTCAAAATCCTTATGAAATATGTATTTAATATTAAGGTACTGGTTTAAATGATAAATTCTTTTCTCTTTAGGTTGATAGGCCAAGAAAATTATTATTGTTAGTCATGGTGACTTATAAAATGATTCTTAAAGATATATGATTTATACACTTGAAGAAATGATTTGTTAACATCTGAGGGCAGAATTATATCTGGTGAAAAGGTCGAGATGAAGAAACTATATACATTTATTCCCAGATTTTTTTTCTTTTTTCAGTGACAGCACCTAATAATCTAAGTAAGGATTATATATTTTATGGCACTTTTGGATTATGTAAAACTTTCTTTCCATACTCGACTATAGTGATGTTGCCCTTTGTATGTGAAAATTAAATACCTAACCAATATTGGTTTGACATTAACTTTTCTGGGTCCACCTGTACATCCTCGCCTCCTTTCCCTTGTAACTTTTTGTACCTATTTGCTAGCATATAAAACATCCAGGACTCAATGAGTATTTACCTTTTTAGTTACAACTGTTTGACACTTCAGTGTTGTCTGTTTTTTCTATTTTGTATGTGATGCCCTAAGGGATAGCCCAAGTCAAATAATAAAGTAAAAAGATCAGGTAGTAATAGGCACCCAGTACCTACCCAGTATTGTGTCAAGCTTGAACAATAAAATAGAGTTGGTCCAAAGTAACATCTGCAGGTGTAAATTGGAAAGTTTTGCAGCCCTGCCATGTGATTCATTTCAGTTAATAGTGCTTATGAGTGATTTCTATATATGCTACATTGTTAAAGTATCCTATTTATGATAATCAGAATTCAAACCTAGACATTACTGTTAACATCAAAACAAACCTTATGAAAAGCCAATTTGGTTTTCAGTAATCCTATTTTTTCCGTATTAAACACTTGAAGCTATTTAGTAATGAGCTTATCCCACATGAAAAGCAAGTGCTTCAAGTTCTGAATCTGATGTTTGAGAGATACTAGAATTTTACTAATGATTCCGTTCCTCCCAAATTATGAAAAAGAAAAAGATTATGTTTCTTATAAGACTATCTGGTAAAGGTAGTAGGAGACATGTACTGAGTTTTGATTCAAGACAAATACTGGCACATCAACCCAAATTCCTGCTGCTTTAATTTTATTCATAAAGTATCTGCAAAAAAAGTAAGAAATTTTGTGAGTAAAAATAGAACGAAAATTTAAACCTAAAAGTGAGTTTTCTTTGCATAAATGTGCTTAGTAAATATGAAATATATTTTAATTCATAGAAGTTCTGTTAGCACACTAATTCAGTAGACACCATATATTTATATTTGTGATAATTTAGTAGGGCTTTCAGTAAGTGCTGAAAGATCCAAAAAGTAAGCAAAGTTTACTGAATAAAATTAAGTAGAACAATGTGTAAAAGATTACTAAACACTAGAGTAACTTTGAATTTGAGAAGTGTACTAACTTGCTGTAAATATATTTTAATCTGATTTTTGTTTTCATTTAACTATTAGTTTAAAAAAAAAAAAAAAACACACCCTCTCACTTTACTGTACCAGAACATAATCTGTTCCTTCCTCTTGATTTTACCAGAAGACCCAGCCCAAGGGTGAAGAGATGGGGGAGATGCACTTCTGAAAAGCATTTAATATGATTATAATTCATACCATACATGTGTAATGGGCCCAACGTGTGTGATTCTGTGACATTCTCGAAGATGCTCAGTGTCCTAGGAGGGGAGAGAAGAGACCATGTGATCAGGGTTGGCAGGAGCAGGGGAAGCAGAGTGACAAACAGTCTTAGGTAATAGGAGGGAGCATGCTTTAAAAATGACACAAAAATAATTAAACAGAATTTATAGCAGCTAGTGGAACAATAGGGGTTTTTTTTCCAGATCTTTTTACTTTCTCATTTTCAAAAGAATCTTTTTTTAATGGTATAATGTTAAATATATTTGGGTCACTTTAGATTTTTTTTTTTTCAGTTTTTGCAGTTGGTGTGGTTAGCAGATACTTTCTTAGAATAAAATTGATAACTCAATTTGATTTTTAAAAAGTTGTTTTAGTGATTTAAAATGTTGATATGGAAAAATATTAAACATTATATAGATAGTAGGCAAATTCATATCCTAATTGCAATATTAGCTTGTAGCATTTTAAATTAAAATCTAAATTTCTTGATATATTGCCACATTAGTTGTAATGTTTAATAAATGGTGGTTAAAGATTTATTTGTAATTTAATCTGTGTACTTAGTTGCCATGGACCTCTCTTTTAGCTTTTCATAAATAAATATCCTTTAATACCTTACCTCCTCCCTTCAATTGACTGATGCTGGGATAGGGTGTTCTTTGGAGCTTATCTTGGTAAAGAAGGTCAGAAGTGACATATAACCCTATTCCCTAGGGGCCGAGGGTGCTTTCCTTACAGAGTTGTATTTTAAGTGAGTCAACTCCTGAGCCAGCATCTACTAAGAGAACCTTCAAACATAATCATAGTGCATTTAAATAATTTGAAAAATCAAATTCCTTGCCATTAAAAACATTTATCCTTAGTTTCATTTCTTTTATAATGTTTTCTCTTTTTAGAAAAATGTATTGTTTATTTATGAAGGGGAATGTTGGCTGTGTTTTTTCTTAGGCATTTATGTAATGTGGGAGTTACCCTATTTTTTTCTTTCTCACCAAGGGAAGATTGGTTGAATGGTATACCCTGTGTCAATTGCACAATGATTTGTAAGAAATTACGACTCTTCCTTGAAACAATTGGGTGAAAGCACAAACCAGAGACAGTTGTACCCTGAAGCCCACAGTCTTTCTAGCTGTTTTTCTGCCATCTCTTCATTTGTCCCAGATGTGTGAGGATCCTCCTCTTCCTTGTGTACAGACAGAAGCCTTCTTTATTATTCATTTTTAAGGAGGATCTAGCATTTTCTCAAGAATTTTCACCAGGCGCTGTGGCTCACGCCTGTAATCCCAGCACTTTGGGAGTCCAAGGCGGTCAGATCACCTGAGGTCAGGAGTTCAAGACCAGCCTGGCCAACATGATGAACCCCGTCTCTACTAAAAATACAAAAAAGTTAGCCAGGTGTGGTGGCAGGCACCTGTAATCCCAGCTACTCAGGAGGCTGAGGCAGGAGAATTGCTTGAACCCGAGAGGCGGAGGTTGCAGTGAGCCGAGATCGCGCCATTGTACTCCAGCCTTGGGGGACAAGAGTGAGACTTTGTCTCAAAAAAAAAAAAAAAGAATTTTTGATGTGTCATTCCTGGCTACTCAGGAGAGAGAGAAGCTAGGTCTCTCCCTGCTTGGTGTAGTTTTGCTTTTGGGTCTCACCATTTGATTTTTCTCCTAGGCTTAGCATTTTTTATTTTAAATTACAACTGTCCTTTCTACATGAGTTATTCTCTCTGTCATCTCTATCTTTAACATCTTCTGTCTCTCTTATAAGTATTTTCAAGTATCTCCATTTAAAACAAACAAACCACACACATGTCTCTTTGGCCTCTATTATCTTGATAATAGCTTTTCAACAACCAACCTGTCATTCTTTGCTTTTTCTTTTTTCCCACAATCAAGCTGCTTGAAACAGTGTTTTACTCACCATTTCAAAGAAAACAGACACAACTGTACCCCTCTTTAAATATTCTATGTCTTTGAATGGCATAATTCATGCATGAAATCTTAGAATTGCTATCGGATGCCAGGCATTGCCTACTCAATTGCCCAAGTCACTAACTTGAGAGTTATCCCTCATCCCTCAAATCCAGTGAGTGATAATTATTTAAACACCCTCTGAGCTGGATGCAGTGGCTCTTGCCTGTAATACCAACACTCTGGGAGGCCAAGGCAGGAGGATCAGTTTAGCCCAGGAGTTTGAGACCAGCCTGGGCAACATAGGGAGACTCCATCTCTATAAAAAATAAAATAAATTAGGCATGATCATGTGTACCCATGGTCCCAGCTACTTGGAAGGCTGCAGAGGATGTCAAGCCTGCAATGAGCCATGATCATGCCATTGTACTCCAGCCTGAGTGACAGAGCAAGACCCTGTCTAAAACAAAGCAAAACAAAACAAAAAACTATCTGAAATCTCTTTCTTTAGTTGTCTTCTGCTTGATTTAGATCAGTAATAAGCCTCATCTGTAAAATGAAGATTAATTATAGTACCTACTTCACTTTTAGTGAGTAATGCATAAGATAATGCATGTAAAATACCCAGCTCAGAACTTGACACACAAATATGCAATAACAATCAGTTATTAATACCACTACTAATAATAAACATTACTAGTACTATTATTGCTGCTACCACCAGTATAACAATTCCACATGTATTGCCAGTGATTTGGCCCTTCTTCTCCATGCTTCTTTTTGCCCCCTCCTTTTAATTGTATCAGTTTTTCCTTTAATTCCAACTTTCTCTTTCTGTAGTTTGGAAGGCATATATACTATTTCTGTTCTTTTAGTGATTAGTCTTAAAATTTTAATATGCATATGTAAAGTCTGAAGTTGATCAATATCTCTTTTTTCTTCCCACGAAAAGAAATTTAGGAACTTTTAACTTCAATCACCTACTTCTGTCTTACGTGCTGTTATTATTCAGTGTTTTTAATTCCACTGTAGTTTTAACCCCTAAAGCTGTACATTATTATTTGATGAAGGCAGTGTTTACTTAGATGTGCCTACCTTGTAACTGACTTCTTTGCTCACCATTCCTTCATCATATATAAGATTTTCTTGAACTATATCCTTTTCTTGAACTATATTTTGAGGACAGTGTATCTGTATATAAGATTCTAGAATGACAGTTATTTTCACTTTGATAACATTTCAGTCATCTGCCTTCTATTATTGCTTTTAGGAGAATTTATCTGTCTACCTGTCTTTAGGTAATTCCTTTGTTTGACGGGGGCTGCATTCAAATCTTCTGTTTGTCTTGTCCTTCTTTAGTGGATGTGTGTCTAGATGTGGCATTGTTTTTTGTTTATTCTATTTGGAATTTGTTGGGTTTTTTAAATCTGAGAATGTATGTCTCGCATCAAGTCTGGAAAATTCTCAGCTTTTCAGTTATCATTGATTATTGCTTATTCTCATTCTCTTTCTTTTTATGTCCTTCAAACATGATTAGAAATATGTTAGACTTTATTACATCCGTATAAATCTAAATATACCTTTTGTATTTTCTAATGCTTTCTTTTCTGTTCAGCATGATTTGTTTTTCAGATACCTTCTAGTTCATTAATTCTCTGTTTAGCTGTGTCTTGTCTGCTTTTATGCATTCTTGGTTTTTTACTTTATTTATTTATATTTTTTGTTTTTGAATTTTTTCAAATTTGCCCATTTTCTGGATAATGTATGTTTCTTGCTAACATTTTTGAGTTCCTCTTTTATTTCTTTACCATTTTAAACAAAACTAATTTTATATTCTATATTTCATAGATCTATCACATGAAGTTCTGTTTCTATTGTTTTTGCCTGATGTTCAATCATGATTCCTCATGTGTTTTGTAATTTTAGACTCTGAGGTCATGTTGGCTAGTACTTCATTTGTGGGAATCCTAGGGAGCCTGGGGTCACCTAGAAAGATTTTGCTTCAGAGAGGTTCCACAGGTGCTGCCATTCTGAGAGCACCTGAAGTTGAATTATGCCCTTGGAGCTTCCCATCCAGTGCAGGTCCAGATCCATAATCCTTATCTGTAATTTGAAAATTAAAAATGCTCAGAAAACCAAAATTATTTTTGTAAATCATTTCATAGGAAAAGTTGACCATATATAGTCTTTATATACTGCCTATCATGATGAGTCATATGTTAAGCTATAAAAATATTGTCATATTATGGTATGCTGTTCAGATTATAGTGAGGTGTTACTTAATATATGATGTCTGTACCATAATACCTTTGTAGAATCTGCAAACTCATGAACTCTGAAACATATATTGCCCTAAGGGTCTTAGATATTGGAGTGTGGATCTGTAGTATAAATTTGAATCACAGAGTTCATCGGGGGAAAGCTATGCTTACAAATGCCCCAGATATTTTTTTCCCTTATCTACCCAGAGCCTAGGAAGAGCAGAACACATTTTCCCTCGTCTCCTTTTGCTGAGAGGTATTCTTTTTTGTTTTTGTTTTTCTCTTAATTTTACTAAGGGAGTAACCCTTTGAGGATCCTAGCTTTATATGGTGGTCTTAGTTCCAACTAGTCACCTTGCTTAGTCTCAAAGGCCTTGTCCCCTGTTCCCCACAGGGCTGCTAGAATCTAAGACTCTAAGCCACTTAGATTAACACATGACTTCAGGGCAGTCTCCTCTTCAGTATTACTTTACCATGTGGTTTTCTGCAATTTCTTTCTTTTTTTTTTTTTTTTGGCCTTGGAGATTGCTTTTATTTTCTTGTGAGTTCATCTAAATGAGTGGAAGGATGCCTGTAATATTTATCCAGGTTATCAGGTGTTTTTCCCTTGATAGTCCACCTGTATGCTAGATGTGGAACCAGCCTATTTTCCTATTCTTTGTTTTTGCCTACACACACACACATACCCCACAGTTCATTGCTGAACTACTTTGAAACATTCGATTCACTATATTCTGCATTACTTTTGGGCCTTTGCATGTGCTGTTTTTAAGTTTTAATATATTTTTAAAATCTAATTTCTAAAACTCTAGTTTTAGGCTTTCTTTTCAGTGCCTACATGGCCCCCTGTGCATTTGTTTCTTTCATATCCCTCCCAGAGCTATAGTGGGATTCTCTTCAGTGGTTGTTTTCTTCCTCTAGTCTGTAGTTTCTTTGAGACTGTCTTATTCCTCACGCCAAACATAGCATGATAGCAGGTTTTGGTAAATATTTATTGAATGATTTTTATTATGCTTCATATTTCCCTAATTTTATACCTTTGTTTTCTCATAAACTTTCTACTTAAAAATTTTACTTTTACCCAATAAACTTCGGAAGAGCAAGGAGTTAAACTCAATTCTTTCTCTCAAAAGACTATAAAAGCAATAGAAGTGTAATATTGGAGGAATACAAACAAATAAACATTAAATTACTTAATGTATATAATTAATGTGTATTTCCTGACATCCTCTCAACACTTGCATGACCATGATCTGACAACGATTTAATCTGGGGAAAATCAGAAAATTGATATTAAAAGTTAAAACAATGAGAAAATTGGTAAATTTGAAAAAAATGTTAGATTTTAACAATTATATCCATAATTTTTGGGTTGTGAATTTAAAGCATATGTGGACTTCTCTCAGTACATACCATTAACTGTTAGATATTAGATGGTTAAGTATTAGTATTAGAGAAAATCCTTTGCCGGCATTGTGTGTGTGTGTGTGTGTGTGTGTGTGTGTGTGTGTGTGTGCAGCTATTTTCTTTAGAGTTGGATACAGTTGGGCAGCATTGTTTTTCAATATTCATTTTATAATTTATAACTACATATATTATACCTGGTTAAGATAATTACAAAAGAAAAACAATTTCAAAAGTGACTACACACTTTCAATATTCACTGAAATGATAGTATTCACTAAGTTATTGGTGATACTATTAATTAACGTGATAAAATTTCCATTAACAACTTGGGGGCTTTCGACAAGCAGTAAGGAAAGGGGGCAAGATTAACCTAAAACTTAGGGTTCTTTTGCCTTTGTAAAGAAAGCAATAAATAACAACATATTTAATTTTATTTTTAATGACCTACTTGGAAAAATTAGAAATTGCTTTCAGTACTGAGTCTTTCACTAGCTTACTTAGCACAATCCCATTATTATTCATTTAACAAATATTTGGATAACTTCCAAATGCCAAGAATTGTTCCAGGAAACAGGGATACCATGGTGAACAAGATATGCATGGCCTTTGGCATCAGAGAGCTTGTGACTTAGTAGGGGAGACAGAAAATTAAAGAAATAATTACAGGTGATTCAAAAAGAATTCAGTTTTAATAAGGAAGGTGAAGACTACAGCGGAGGCACTTTGCAGAGGAAGAGATGTTTAAGCCCAGACTTAAAGAATGAAGGGTACTTAAAGTAGGTGAGGTGTGAACAAGAACTGCTGCAGAATGCTGTGTAGGAAGAGGCTCACAGAGAGCAAGGCACATTTTAGGAGTATGAAAAAGTTGAAGGTTGCTGGACGAATGAATTTAGGAAGACAGAGAATGTTAAGAAATAACACCAAGGTTGTAGATGGCCTGAGATCTGCAGGGCTTTTTAGGCTTAGGAGAATCTTAGAAGTTGATCAGCCTTTTCATTTTTATAGATGAGTGAGCTGAGTCCCAAAGTGGCAAAATTATACTTTCTGTATGTGTTAATACTGAATGATTCTTATCTACCTATCTTGAATAGGTGCCCTAATATGTAATTGCCTTGTTCACCTAGTTCTGATTGTTACATCTAAACCAGTGGATTTCACTGTAATATCGCTATGCACCTGGTTAGTGTCAAAGTGTAGAGCCTACAGCTCTTCCAACTTCTAGCTAAATAATTCAGTTAGACAATGGCTTCATGTAGTTTTGTTGTTTTTTTCTCCCTAAAACATCTAGGTTGCAGTGTGTTCATGTTTTTCTGGCCTCTTCATTATGTATTTTAACATGTAACATTCTGGTTTTGGCTACCCTTGAGTGAGCATGACTGTACCCATGGAAGTTTCCATAGGAGGCTGATTGGAGACTGTGCTAATGAGTGGGCTGTGACCAACTGTTTAACATATGCATCTCCTCACTGCTTTGTGGTTCTTTCCCACCCCCCTCCCCACAATAATTCTCATTATTGTTCCAAAGGAGTTGCTTAATTTTTAGTTATATTTTATTGCATTTTGTAAAGGACTGTGTTCCTTGGTGACATAACTGTGCCAGTGGTCTATTCTATATATATCTTAATGGAATAGAAATTTGACTTTGGCCCCTATTGTAGATTTTACTAATCATTTCGTAGGATAGTGCTGTGAATTAAGAAACAAGTGTTTTTTCAGTTCAGCTCAGCATTACTTTCTCAGGTGGAAAAATAGTATGAAGCGAGCACTCAATTGCTGCAAGTGTAAATGGGTATAAATATTTGGGAGGGTGGGTTGGCAATATTAATCAAAACCCTTGAATATCCTTTGACCAGCAAGTTGAATTCTACAGCTTTATATCAGGTAAATAATTGGAAAAATGTTTTGTTTCCCCCAAATTTGTTGCATCAATGTATATAGGAGAATGCAAAATTGAATATACCCAAATACTTTTTTTAAAATGATAGTGTATTCAAACAATAAGATACTGGCCAACCTTGAAAAATGAGCTTGTTAAAGTATATTTGACATGGAAAAGAAAATTTATGAGGTGTGATCATAAATCCATAAATCACAGTTTTCTTTCTTTTCTTTTCTTTTTCTTTTTCTTTTCTCTTTTTTTTTTTTTTTTTTTTTTTTGAGATGGAGCCTCACTCTGTTACCCAGGCTGGAGTGCAGTGGCTCAATCTCGGTTCATTGCAACCTCTGCCTCCTGGGTTCTGGTGATTCTCCTCTCTCAGCCTCCCTAGTAGGTAGGATTAGAGGCTCATGCCAACACACCCAGCTAATTATTTTATTTTATTTTTAGTAGAGATGGGGTTTCACCATGTTGGTCAGGCTGGTCTCAAATTCCTGGCCTCAAGTGATCCGCCCACCTCGGCCTCCCAAAGTATTGGGATTGTAGGCATGAGCCATTGCACCCGGCCCCACAGTTTTCGTTTTTTTAAAGTATGTGTACGCCCATAATTTTGGAAGAATATATGTCAAAATATTGTCTGTCAGTTGAAAGATTTTTGTTTTCTAATTTATACCCGTATTAGTCATGACTGTTGTGTTGGCAGGTTACAGGACCATAGATCAAAATAGTTTTGGCAAAAAGAGAAGCATTTTGGCCCTTGTAACCAATATGAGGAAAAGGCAGGGGTGAAGCTTGACCTCTCTAGTGCTTGTTCAGGATTCTTCCTCCACCCCCTGTTTCGCTTGTTTCTGTTTCACACATTAGTAGTGAAGTACCTATTCCATTCTTGAAGACTTTTTCAGTGATTCTGAACTAAAGCTCCCAGGTTCACATTATCATAGCCTCACAGAGAGAAATGGGTTCTCTTCCTAGAGAGAGAGTTTTCCAAAATCATAGGGAAGAATTCTGATTTGCTTAGCACAGGTCATGGTTGACCCATGTATATGGCACGATATTATGATTGTCAGTCTCAACCAGAACTACATTGTTGGGAATACCAGGAGCTAGTGGCATGCTACAAGCTTAATTTTTTGCTCGTATCATGGTCTGCCATGGATGGCTCCTCCTTTCTAGAAATTCTGTCATCTAGAGCTTCAGAGTCCTCCACTGTCATCTATGCATCTGGCTGACAGAGGGAGACAGACAAAAAGGGGAGTATTGCAAGAGAAGATGTAGGTCCAGGCCTAAATATCATTTCTACCTGTATTCCATTGGCAAGAAATCTATTAATGGCCTCATCCAAATGCAGGAAATGCTGGAGATGAAGCCTAGTTGTGAGTCCAGGAGCAGAAGGAAATGGGATGTGAATACACAGCATTCATTCTATCATGCCCATGGAAAAGGAAATTAGATTATAGTTTTTTCATCTGTAACTTAAAAATACTTCTTTTATGTCAGTGGACTCACTGCATATTCCTCCATTCTTGGTAGACATTGCAGATTAATCCTGGCACTCTTTTCTGCAAAGCTTTGATTTTGCCTCAAAATGCATCCATATACAGTGCTTTAGATTGTCACTGTCAATCAGTGTTGACACTTAAGATGAAATAGACTTGCTATCCCTAGTCTAGGCAATTTATCCATGCTGGATACTAAAGCAAGCTGCTCACTAGATTTACATAGACCCAGAAATGGCATTCAGCATGGATGGTTCCAAGCTGGGATTCATCTGCCAGTGGCCTTATCTTTATAAGCTAGTAATTCAGTGATTTGTATTGTTATGCCCTAGGGAGAAGTTCTTCCTCTCTGCTTGATAGCAAAAGGTAGTTGTTCTTGATTTTACATTTTGCATTAGTGGAGACAGTTATAGCTATTGTGAGACAGGGAAAAGACATTTTGAATTTTGCATTTAATATTTAAACTTTCTTCCAGCATCGCGTCTGATATTAATCAGTTGCCTTAAAATATATCTAATGCAAAGCATATTAGTACCCAAGAAATTTTCTTTGAGTTGCCACTTAGGTACCTACATGATTATAGTTTCTTTTTCAATTTAAAATAATTTTTTATTCAATTGTTTGATGTATGATACATTAGCAGTCTCTCATTCACTACAAGATTCAAGTGAAGAAAAAATAAAGGCGCTCTTTAGAGTGAAGGAGAGGCCGATGTGTGGAGCACTTACTGTGCCTGGCCCATGTATGTGACTGATTGACTTCATCTTCACAAAGCCCATTAGTTAAATACTCTTATTCCCAGTTTACAGAGGAGGAAAACAATGCCCAAGGAGGTTAAGGAATTTATCCAAGGTCCCACGCCTAATGAGGGGAGGAGTCAGGATTTCTTCAGCGGTCCTAACTGCAAGACTTATGCTTTTTTCTTTTACATAGTGATTTTTGTTTGTTCTCTGTCTCTAGTGTCACAGGTAGCAATAATCAAAAGCAAAAACAAAAACAGTTAAAACATCAGGCCCAATGTGGTGGTACACATTTGTAATCCCAGCTACAGGGAGCCTAGTAGTTTAAAACCCAGCATGGGCAACATAGTGAGACCCTGTCTCAAAAACAAAAAACAAAAACACACCACATGACCATATGATTGTTTTGGGAAGGAAAAATGGGGTGAGATCCAAAGATAGCTAATTAACTAGATGGGTAAAGCTCTGTGAAGGCCCATCTCTAGCTAGTAGGGAAAAAAGTGGAAGGGGGTGGGTTCAAATGACTGTCCTTGAGCCAGTCTCACCCCTCATTAGTTATGTCTTTTGATGATTTGCTACTGAAGCATTTATTTTAACATGCTTGTTAATTAAGGACCTTGGGGGTGGTGGAAGGTACAGCAGAAAGGGCACTGATTTGTGATCAGAGTGCTTAGTGTAATTCCAGGCTCTGCTGCTTTCTGCCTGTGATCTTAGCTACATTAATTTAATTTCTTTAGACCTCAATCTCCTCTTTTATAAGGCATCATGGGGTTATGGTAACATTTAAATAGGTAATTTTTTTTTTTTGAGACAGAGTCTCGCCATCTTGCCCAGGCTGGAGTGCAATGGTGAGATCTCAGCTCACTGTAACCTCTGCCTCCCAGGTTCAAGGGATTCTTCTGCCTCAACCTCCTGAGTACCTGCGATTACAGGTGCGCTCTACCACGCCTAGCTAATTTTTGTATTTTTAGTAGAGATGGGGTTTTGCCATGTTGGCCAGGCTGGTCTTGAACTCTTGACCTCAAGTGATCTACCCACCTTGGCCTCCCAAAGTCCTAGCATTACAGGCGAGTACATTTGTTAAAAATGGCAGTAACAGCAACAACAAACTTCAATCTTTAATTACTCTATAAATTATCGTTATTAGAGGAAAGAGCCTTTCAGAATCTAATAGTTCTTTTCATAGGTATCTTTCAATACTGTAAGCAGAATAGATATGTACAAAGAGCTCACCCTCAGCTGCTCTGGGCTTATCTCTGACATCTGCTTGAGAGATGATAGTTTATTCTAGGAAGATAAGAGTACAGAATGGGGCAATTATGCCTTCACTGTACTGTTTCATAATTTATTTGTTGATAAATGTTGTAATTATCAAAATATAACTTATACTTTATTAAAATCATCTCCTAAAATCAAATAAAAATGACTTTGGAGTGTCTGTTATGGCTTTCCTTTATTAGTATAGATTGTTGAGACTTGATAGGTTTGGACTTAGCATTTTTTAGATATTACTTTACACTTTTCAAATATTTAGGTTTTTGTTAACGAAGATTATTGCTTCTTTAAGAAAATAATGGTGGTTGTCCATTGAAGTATTTCAGATACATGGAAAGCAATAAAGAAAAACATATATGGAGTGACTTTATTATTGGGCCTGGGTTCTTCGTGGTCAGCATCGTATACTATTCTTAGGTTGGAGCTGAAGACGTAAATGCCAACAAGGAGACACTAAATATATTTGCATTGAGCACTAATAAATTGCCATTGAGGAACAATTTGTAAAATATTTAGAAAAAGAGTTGATCTAGTAGGGAAGTTAATTAGAAAATGACCATCAGTAGTTGTGGTGAATCTCGATATACATTGTATATACTAACAGTGAAATATATTTGGACTTTGACCATTTTAGTACTAATGAAAAGGCAGACAAGACTGAGTAGAACCATATAACAGAATTTAGTTAGTAAATAAGGTTACTGATATTCATTGTTTGGATTGAAGATGTTTTGAAGAACTGTTAGTGGATAATTTAATCATTTTAAATTTTACATTTAAGAGTTTAGTCCTTATAGCTAACAGTAAGCTATGTAATTGTGGTTAAGAATTTATAACATTTAATAAACTAATTTACCAGGTACAATATAATTTTAGGGAGGTTATAATTCATAGAGCTTGTCAAAATCTTAAGTAGGTCATCATTAAGAGCTATCTTATTTTTAAACATTTCATATGTGTTGTTATGTATTTCCTAAAATTGCTACAATTAGCCAGGCTCTATTTAAGAGTGTGAAAAGGGCAAATGTCTACCTTGACTTAGAGGTACCATTTTTGAGTTAAACTTCATCAGTAGCAAAGCATTAGACTTGAAATGCATAAGAAATTCAATATTAGCAATTTCTACATCATAGTGTGATTATGTATACCAAATTTTGCATATCTTATCTAAAATGGTGTTATAGTGTAGTTTAACTAATTTTCCTTATATTTTTTGAAAGTCCTTAAAAATATGCCTTTCTTACACTAATTAAGTAATAATTTTTAGACTGCTATTTAGTATAGGAGCTAATCTAATACTGCCCATCTCATTTTTCTTATATGTGAAGAGTTAAAAATTGAAAGGTCCTAGAGCATGAGATATACAAGCAGAAATTGCCCATTATAAGACTTACCTCTCTCTTGTGAGCTAAAGATTCATTATTCCTGTTTCAAAATTTATTCCTATGGAAATGCATCCGATTTTAGTAGGCTTTCTCTTTCTTTAGAGGTACGTTAGTCAAAATGGATATAACCAACCAAACAAAACGCTTGTTCAATGTATCTGTTGCTTTAGCAGAGAGTTGAGTATTTTCTTATTAATGTGTAACTGAGCTGCATTGTTTTCGTAGACCTACAAACCTTCTTTCAACAAGTGCTTCCTAATTTTGAGATCTGAAAGTATGTTCCAGCATCTTTTGAGTCATACAACCAAAGTATGAGGAGATCACAAGTCTTTTAAAAAGTTGTGCTAAAGGAGAAATACTTCAGAAATATGTTACATTTGTTTTGGATCACAGTATTATTTATTTCTCAAGAAGAGATTTGTTCATCATAGTAGTATTAGTAAGTATTCCCTGAAAAAAATTCAAATATTCAAATTAAGTTATTGCTTTCGTAACCATAATCATTAGGAAAACTCTCAAATGTGATGCTCACTTTTATCCTGTGTTTATACAAATTTACTTGAGAGGATTTTTATATTCAACAAAAATGCAAACAAGATTTTAACTCATTGTTCAGCAAAAGGGTCGAATAGGAAAAAATCAAGATTAGTAAAAATGTTTTAATTTATAAAATGAGAAAAAGTAAATGATGAGAAATAGAAAGGAAATAAAAGGAAAAAATGAGACAATTATAGTAATATACTTAAGATGAAATTTTATATCTTGAGAAAAAGGTAAAGAGTTAAATGTCAAAATAGAATGTGTAAGATAGAAAAGAAAGGAATGCAAGACTGCTAACATGAAGAAATAAAATGTTTGGAAACAAATTTTTGGCATGGATTAATAGAAAATTATAAGGATATTACCATATTCACAATCTTTGAGGAGTGATGTCAAAAATTATTTAATGAATTTTTTTCTAAATGCGTGTCCTCATTCTTTTCTTTACTGTCTTCTCTTTTGATTTTTGTACTTAGATTATGGAATGAAGGGAGCACCATCATACTGAATTTGAATTAATTTTTACTAGGTATTTTTATATTTATCTCAAAGTTATTTGGAGGTTTTCATTTTTAGTGCTTATCTTGTGTTCATTTTTACTAGTAGTCTACCACTTTTTACCTTTTTTTGTATGAGTAAAATATATTAAATTTCATTTGTCATAGCTATATTCAACTAATTTTTACTAGAGACCATAGTATATTCTCCTAGGTGTTAGTTTTCTTGCTTTTATGATTTTATAATTTGTTATGAAAACAAAAACAGAATTTTTAATTTTGAGGGATTAATTGGATGACAGTTTGAAAACTGTGCTATGTAGTCTCATAGACATGTTATAAAGACCTCAGTATACTCAAGTATAAAGAGATAGCTGACAGTTCACGAATCATAATGGCTGCTCTGTTATCAAGCTGTTTTGGCCTGCCACCAGCTTCCCTTTCTTTGGGTGGTCCTAAATGTCTTTGTCCCTAATGTTGCAGATGGGATAGCAGAAGGTTTCCTAAGCCCCACTCTGAGCCATGATGGGTGGCACACCTGATGGCGAAAGATCTTAGAGCATAGACACCCTTGCTACTTCTAAGCAACACTTAATTTCACTGGGGGTTGGGGGTATAGGTAAGCAGAGGGTCTTGCACGAACTTACCACTTAGTGAGATGATGTAGGAAAACAGAAAAGACACGGCAGCCTCTAGTGGGAGCCTTATAGCAGAGACATATAAGCAAACTAATAATAACATGCCATTATAAGTGCTATCGTGGTGGTATGACTGATATGTTTTGAAAGCACAGAAGTGGAAATGGCAAATTTTGCCTGAAGATAGTCAGGAAAGGCTTTTTAGAAATGGTGATGTTCACTTTGGGAGGCTGAAGTGGGTGGATCACAAGGTCAAGAGATCAAAGCCATCCTGGCCAACATGGTGAAACCCCGTCTCTACCAAAAATAAAAAAATTTAGCTGGGTGTGATAACATATGTCTGTAGTCCCAGCTCCTCAGGAGGCTGAGGCAGGAGAATCGCTTGAACCTGGGATGTGGCGGCTGCAGTGAGCCGAGACTGCACCACTGCACTCCAGCCTGGCAACAGAGCAAGACTCAATCTCAAAAAAAAAAAAAAAAAAGTGATGTTTGGCTGAGTATTGAGGGACAAATAGGAGTTTTCCAGACAAAGAAGCATGACTAGACATGGCATATTTTGTATACAGTAAAAAGAAAGGAAGGTTGGGGCTTTGTAGAAAGAATCACTGATGTCAGCCCTAAGTTTTATTTTATTAAGCAGTGAGAAGCCAATGCAGAGTTTCAAACAGTAGAGTTCCATTATTACTTTTATGTTTTACAAATATACACTGGTTATGTAGAAGATGGCTTCATTAGAGCAAAAGGAGACTAGATAAAAAGATATTAGGGTGAGTCAAGTGAGAATAAGAGCCTGAATAAGGAAATAACCAAGGGAATAAAATGGAGAGACTAGATTTGAAAGGAAATTCTGATGCAGAGGCTATGGGGTCATATATGAAATGTAAGGGGGAGAGATAAGAGACCAGAGAAACCTATATTTTAATCTTGGCCCATAATGGAGTCAACCTCCATGGGTTTGAAAATATTTTTAGATATCTCACGCTCAACACATCCAGGATTGAACCCGTGTCTTCCACGTCCCTCAACCTATCTTATCTCAGTCATCCACCTCTCGGTAGATAACAACTGCATCTATTCAGTTGCTCAAGCCAAAATTTTGAAGTTGCTTGACTCCTTTATTTCTCTCCTACCCCCATTTCCTTCAGTCAGTCAGGAAAATTAGTTGGCTCTACCTGTCTACAAAATAAATATAAATCCTACAATCTCCTCTGCCCCTGCTAGTCCCAGTTTTCATCATCTCTTACCAGGACGACTGTGATGGCTGCCTGATTCTGCTTCTGTCCTTCTCCCGTTCCCAACAAAGTACTCTTAACACAGTAGTTGGAGTAATCCTTTCAAACATATTTCCAGCCATGGCACTGCTATGCTAGTAACCCCCATTTCACTCAGCCAAACTTTCAAAGGGTTTATAATGGCCTTCCCAAATATCTGGATAAGTGAATGAGTGAAGTGGCCTCTGCCCGAGATGAGCTTACACTGGAGAGGGAGAAAAAGGAATATATGTAAAAAGAAAATCATATTATTAATTATTTTTAAGTTCTTGGACACACCGTGATACAAGTATAGTTTAGAAATTCTAAACCACTTATATTTTAGTTGAATTTCAGGTGAATTTCATCACAAACATATGGCCCATGTAGGATATTATTATTCTTATATCCTGAAGGACATGAAATAATTTGCTGCCAATTTTTTCTTAAAACAATATTTTCATTTTCGCCGTATTAGGTA
The DNA here is from genome assembly GCF_000001405.40 of Homo sapiens. NCBI lineage: Eukaryota > Metazoa > Chordata > Mammalia > Primates > Hominidae > Homo > Homo sapiens. The sequence goes on along the minus strand of NC_000006.12, from coordinate 83,687,255 downwards.
AGAATAACTAAAACCATACAGTAAGCATAAGTTCATTTGAAGTGACTGATATTTTACCACAAATCCTCCTGAACACCTCACTCTATCTATATTACAAGAACTCATCAAACCCAAGTATGAGATTATCAGCAGGCTAAAGGGTTAACAGCTAGGTTGCATGAAGCATAGGGTACCTGGCTAACTGTAATCAAATAAGTCATGTTAAGTCCTGTATTATGTCCATTTCTCAGTACCAAAACTTAATAAACTTGAGCTTTATGAAGGACTTACATTTTTATATAAAAATTATTATCCAAGAAAACCAAAACCTAAGTAGCATAACTTTCAGGCCCATCAACACAAAAAGGCATTATTGTTAATTAGCAAGAGTGTACAGTTAACACACTGGTAACAGTGCCTCTCTTTTTTCCTAATAGGCTTTATAGAAGTTGGCATTCATCTTGTCCTTCCTCAGTTGTACTCTCATGGGAAACAGCAGTAAAGAAAAGTTTGATTATGGTCTACTAATTGAAATTAGAATTGGTAAATTTAGTGTCATCCATTGAATCATTCTGTTAATCCAAATGGATATAATCATTGGCATAAAAGATGTTTAAGCTGCTGTGTATTACACTTGAAATTTAGCTGAGCCACCTAAAGCACTAGATAATATAAAAGTATGAAAGTGATTATTTTCCCATATAGTGGCCTGGGCCCAAATTGGGCCCTAAATTTCAGTAATTTATTAGCTGAATTAGTCACCAAAGACCTACTAGCCACAGTTTAAAGCACAAATCTTTATAAGTGCTTTGAACAAAAGAGACTCTTCCTTAATGTTTAAATTTGAATAAAACTCCTTACACTCTACCCTTGATTTGTTGTTAAATACCTCTGTAGCCAGTAACTCTTAAAAAACTAAGTAGTGAATTTTATTGAGAGTTATATAAATATTATCAGCTTATTCAGATGAGCATTCCATGTCACCAAAATAGTGCTTAACTGAGTAACCAACTATTACCTGTGAGGGTTCATCTAATTTCGTATGTTTTGCAGGCCCGGTGCAGGAAGAACTCAAGTAAAAGACAAGAAAAAACAAAAAACAGTGTTGATTGTGGGATATTAAGGAAGGCTAGAATTTAAGCAACTGAGGTAAAAGCAGAGTATGTTCCAGGTTCACAACAAACATTTAATCAGTGTCTACTGTGCATCTACTGGTCTAGACGCTTGGGGTACCTTAATGAACCAAACAGCTGAAAATGCTTTCCTTGTAGAGCTTACATGTGAGGTAAGGATAAGAGAATCAAAAAGAAATAAACAAAAAGGTAAGTCAATTGGGTAATATGTTAAAGGTGAAAAAAAAAGACCTATTTTTTTAAAAAGATGGAAGCACAGATATGGGAATGCATTCGGTAGAGCGTTGAATGTGAGATAAAGATGACTGGATTTTCTTTGTAGGTGATTGGCTATTGAAATTATCTGGAGCAAAAGAATGATCAGCTCAAAGAGTTGTTTTGAGAACCTCAGTTTTGTTTAATGCACAAAGGATTGGAGAGATGGGAGATCTACTTGATAGACTGTCTTAGAAGTCCCGAAGCAGGTTCTGCAAGGTTGGTAGGAGGTGGTTATAGGGAAAAGGTTAGAGTTGAAGACATGAAGAAGTTCATACCACTTAGTATGGTGTCAACATAGGAAAAGGCAAGGGTCAAAGATAACAGAGGTTCATACCCTAGTTTTGCCCCATAGAATTATTAAAGAAGAAATTAAACAGTGTGTTATAGTCTTACAACCTGCTGAAATTAGTGATTATTCTTATGTTTTCCTAACTTTAATTATTTTTAATGACAATGGGATGGATGTTTTCTGACAAGGAAAGCCGAAGTATTTATTATTTCCTTATTTTTCTCTCTTAGTCTGTGCCAAACAACACAGCAGGCATTGTTCCTGCTACTTCTAGCTTTTTGCCAGAAGCAGGATTTTTTCCATTATGGAAGGAGGCCTGGACCCCTGAACTGTCAGGTGTTGCTATATTTATGGGTGGCACAGAGGGAGTTTTCCCCAGCCAGCAATTATACTCTGAGGGTGTGACCTGGCAACTGTGTTAACATGGGGTATATTCTGACCATTCCTTTAACTTTCTTAAAGCATAAATACTGGGACTGTGGTATCCAATCATAATTCTTGTCTTGTTTAGACACTGAGGGACAAGTTTTGCTTCTTTTTCTAACAGGAACTTAGATCCATAAAGGAGTATGTTCTTTAAAGAGAATTTTAACAAGGTCTGTGCCTATATTGAATATTCTCCTCCCTTTTTTGCTACTTGTTGGTTATCTTCTAGGAAAGAGGCACAGATCTTGGTGTTGTAACTCATTTTAAGAATAATTGTCATGGCTTTCTCCCTCCATCTGTTCTTTTGAAAAAGTGGAGTCATTGCAGCATGGTTCTAGGGTTTCTTGTAACTGTGATTAATGTCAATGTGATATTAAATAGTTTCTGATTTTTTAAAAAATAACAGAGCTCCAAGACTTGGAGCAACTATTACAGGTTTTTAAGATAAGGAAAAAGGAGCATTTATTATGGTTCTCTCAAAAAAGACTTGTTTCATATCCACTATATTTCAGGAATTTTGCTGGTGAAGCAAAGCTTGCATTCTAGTAAAGTGCACAGATATGTGAATAAATCTTCATGATATTGTGAGATGAGCTATAAAGGTGTATACAGAGTGTGACAAAAAGGACTTTGTTTGGCAAGGTCCAAGGAAGCTTGCAAAGAAGGTATTATATGAGCATCTAGGATGAATTGGAGCCCACTCATGGACAGGTGGAAGAAGAAAATGCCAGGCCAGGGGAATAGCGTATGCAAACACATACAGTTGTGAAAGAGCATGGGGGTTCTTGTTTGCAAGCAGGTTGTGTGTTGTATGTGAAGAAGTAGCAGGAAGTAATGGAAGGTGGGTGGCAGGAGGTCTGTGTCAGCCTTTCCCAACCCATGTTCCTCATCTGAACCATAGAATTCAGAGCATGATTTGAGTGAATATTTTCTTAATTTTTTCAATGATGGTATTTAATGCCAGTCCAGATGCATGAAAGAGAAGTTAACTTCTTACATATAATGACTGCTTTAGGGTATTGGGAAACCCAGGTTGAAGGGGACTAGATTGTATGAAACTATTCATTTCATCAGACATAATCGCATTTGTATTTAGAACTATACTTTTGAGAGCTGATTAAAAATAGAAGGAGAAAAATGGCAGGGAAACAAAGGTATGAGGCAATTGTGATAGTGATCCTCACAGAAGATAGTTCGAAGATTATTAACACAGAGCAGGGAAACTGTTCCAGAGATTTGTAGGAGGTAGTATCTGTGTGGTGTGGTGGTTGACTGAACGTGGAAAACAAGAAAGAAGACAAGGATGATGCTGAGCTAGAAAGCCAAGGGGCCTTTGTGGATGGTGGTACCATTATCTGAGCTAGGCAAAGTCGGTTTGAAAAGAAGGTAATGATTTCCATTTTTGTCTTACTGATCCATCTTAGACTATCCAGGTCTACTAGAAGTATGGGCATGGAAGAGATTGATTAATGTGTTAGTCCATTTTGTGTTACTATCAAGGAATACCTGAGGCTGGATGATTTATAAAGAAAAGAAGTTTATTTGACTCATGGTTCTGCAGGTTGTACAAGAAGTGTGGCGCCAGCACCTGCTTCTGGTCGGGACCTCTGGAAGCATTTACTTGTGGTAGAAGGCAAAGGGGGAGCAGGCATGTCACATGGCAAGAGAGGGAGCAAGAGAGAGGAGGAGATGCCAGGCTCTTTTTAACAATCAGATCTCCCATTAACTAATAGAGAAAGAATTAACTCATTACCGTGAGGACAGCACCAAACCATTCACGAGTGATCCACCCGCAAGGCCCAAACACCTTCCATTAGGCCCGACCTCCAACATTGGAGATCAAATTTCAACATGATAGTTGGAGAGAAGAAATATCAAAACTGTATCACTTACTAAGAGAGTCTTGACTAAGAACAGAAGAGGACTGAGGAAATCATCTTAGGCACACCCATTATTTAAGAGATTGGGGGAAGAAGGAAGGGCCAGTAATGAAGGCTGAGAAGGAAAGACAGAGATAAGAAAAAGGCCAGAAAAGGGTGGTTTTCCCAAATCCCAGGAAATATGACTTTTAAAAACTAGGTCAGGATTGACACACAGAATAGGGTGGAAACTGGAGAGTGCCCATTGGTTTTGGCATTTTAGAGGACACAGCTGACCCTGGAGGAGATTAGGAAGCATGATGGGGATGATGGTCATATGGTAGAGGCTTCCAGAGGCTAGCTGGTTATAATGATGTCCCAAGTCTTGAGTGAAGAAATGGAGACAAAGAGAAGGTGTGAGATTAGGGAATCTAGAGTATAATACAGGCATAAGAGAGGGATCTTATGTTTCCTTTTCCTCAAAAAAAAAGGCTAATTTAAAGGGAATTGAACAATGAGAACACATGGACACAGGAAGGGGAACATCACACTCTGGGGACTGTTGTGGGGTGCGGGGAGGGCGGAGGGATACCATTAGGAGATATACCTAATGCTAAATGACGAGTTAATGGGTGCAGCACACCAGCATGGCACATGTATACATATGTAACTAACCTGCACGTTGTGCACATGTACCCTAAAACTTAAAGTATAATAATAATAAAATAAAAAAATTTAAAAAAATATATACTTAGAAGATACAGTGGACAGGGTATAATAGAAAGAATAAAGAAATAAAGAGATAGGCCAGGTGCAGTGGCTCAAGCCTATAATCCCAGCACTTTGGGAGGCTGAGGTAGGCAGATTGCTTGAGCCCAGGAGTTCAAGACCAGCTTGGGCAACATGGCGAAACTCCATCTCTACAAACAAACAAACAACAAACACACAAACAAAAACACAAAAATTAGCTAGGTGTGGTGGCATGTGTCTGTGGTCCCAGCTACTCAGTTGGAAGCTAAGGTCGGAGGATCTCTTGAGCCCAAGAGGTTGAGGCTTCAGTGAGCCATGATTGTACCACCGTACTCCAGCCTGCACAACAGAGCGAGACCCTGTCTCAAGGAAAAAAAAAAAAAAAAAAAGAATTAAAGAATAATGACAGAGTAGACAGAAGAAAGCCTGCTGCAGGAATGAGAGCCCAGAATATGGTGTGGCCTTAGGAAGGAGGAAGGACTCTTTTTTTCTCCAGGATTGGAGAGAGAAAACAGTGGACCATCATGTCACCAAATGGAAGTGAGGTCCAGAGGGTATCAGTAGAATTCAAGGAAGCTTTCATTAACCTGTGACTTAAAGAAACATTGCTGTGTGCTTATTGCTCCCCATTCTGTTACTTGATAATGGGTCCTCTGTGACCCATAGTTTCAAATTTAACCTAATATGGAGTTTAAACTGTTTTTCAGTCCAGGATTTTTGCCACCATTTGTCATTCTAGAACACTTGGGGGAATGGTAGACCAAGATTGGTCATCTTTTATACAGCTTATTATGTCCAGAGTTGATATTGATTGACAGATACCCCTCTCATCTCTCTTTCTCTCTCAACCCTTGCTCTCATAGAGCACTGCTGCTCAAAGTATACATCCCTTTAGTTACCTATATTTTATAGTATTCTGTACCTCCAGTAAATACAGTTCTTTTCTTTTTCTTGCTTGTTTTTCCCTTGATGTTTTCTAACTTTTTTTTTCTGAGCTGGCTAGTAATCTTTGTCATGTTGTAAACTATAGATGAATCTTCTGTGGATTTTTGTATATGTACCATTGGTCTTTATCTTGAGGATCTAAACAAATGAAGGAAAAGAGTTGAAGAGAAATGTAGGAAATAGACATCTTTCTCTTTGGACAGCAGGGCTTTAGAAAAGCTCTGAGGTTGTGTGTGTTGTTCCACAGGGCCTAGAGAGATAGAAAACCTCCTCAGAAGCAGTGACTGCTCCTGGTGAAAATCAAAGTTCAGGCCAATGCTATCTGGGGACCTTAGGAGAAGGAGGCAGCCAGGATAGGAAAGTTTGATAGGATTTTGTGGGAACCTACAATTGCTTCAGAAATTATTAGGTTGAGTTATATAAAATTGCTGATGGTGTTAACCATTTTTGACTGACAAAAAAGGTAATTTCATATAATTCAACCTAGTGATTCTAAGATATACTTTTGAATCATAACCCCTTCAAAAGCTAGGGACTCCTATGCTTGATTATGTGTGAGAGTCCCTTTTCTGTAAATCTTTTTTTGGTTATAATTGTAAGCACTATGCACACATATTAGGTTCTTACAGACTGTTACTCATGCAGCATGGTCATTTGGCCACAACCAAAACTAGGTAAGTATTGATCACAAGCTGGGACAGTTTCCCCGGGGTCCTACTGCAGCCCAACTTCAATCCCTGAGATCTCCAAATTCTTACTGTAGGCAAACAGTTCTCAACAGTCTACAACAATGTCTGGACATGCTTTTGATTGTCTTGGAGGGAAGGGGGATTCTATTGGCATCTTGTGGGTGGTGGTTAGGGATGCTGCTAAACATCCTCAATACACAAGACATCCCCTCATAATGAAGAATTTTCTGGCCCAAAATATCAGTAGTGCCAAGGCTAAGAAACTTGTTCTAGACTGAGCACTAGAGAACTCAAGAAAATACCCGCAAACTTGTATATCATCCTTTTTAGTGGTATGCAAAATTTATAAAGAGAAGGGCAGAACTAAGAAGAATTAAGTTTGGAGAAGATATAATAGAATAAAACAGATTGCCTAAATATCCTACAGTTGTGAAGCTGCCTGTCTGGTGAACATGCTCAGAGCACTTAGATTTGGATAGTTTTAAAAAAGAGTTGGGTCATCAGAGAGTGAGTTTTCGATGGAATGTGACAGTGCCAAATTTTTTCTACTGCTTGAATGAAAGGAAATGAAAACAAGAACAGAAGTTATAGAATAGGGTAAGAGGGACGTTGCCATACAGAAAGTAAAAATTTAAAACCTTACTTATTCCTTTTGAATTGAATAATTGATGTGTCTACTACTATGGTTACTGAGTTGGGTAACATTTTCGGGTACAAATAGTGGTATAGGTATGAATGGGGGGGAAGTAATATGATAAACTCTTTAATCCTAAATTTTTAAACTTGATTGAGAGAGGTCTAGCCTTTTATTTGGCATAAATTATCTGGGTGACCCAGAAGGTTCTGTAAATATATTTGACTGAGTTGCTTTTAGCTCTGAGAGCTATAAAGAGATATTAAGAGGTGTCCTTATAAAGAGCTGTTAATAATTGAGTATATGAAGCATTATCTGTGCTATGGGAAAGATAGCTGTATTTTCATTTAGGTTAACTTTTTGAAAAAAAAATGTAAGTGGACATGAGTAGTATATAATTTTGTGTTGCTGATTGTGAACACTGAAGCTTTTTAAATCTTAGAAATCACTTTATTCTAGAACTATATTCTGATTAATATTTAAGTTCTCCAGGTAGCTCTCCAAGCTTGAAGTGCATTGAAGCCTAGGGCTGAACTACTTGAAGAAACTAATCGTTGTTACAGTGTTTTAAGGATTAAAAACATAAAGTTCTATTTGGGGGTGTCAGAAAGATCTTTCCTCGCGACCCCAAGCTATAGTGGAAGTAGGAACTTCATTCATTTTTCTACCTGTTGGATAGAAGAGAATGGAACGGGTTGGCCTGGTCAAGGATCTCAGATGTGCAGGGCCTTGTAGAAAAAGAAGAGATAGGGATGGGGCCTGGGGCTTCAGGGGTAGACCTACTGAAAAATTTGCCTTTCTGCTGCTGTCGACTTTTATTTCTAAATTTCTGCCCAGTCTTCATTTCTCCCCACAATTTACTTATCAGCAAATGTAGTCTCAGCAACTTCTCTTCAGTGTTTTTAAAGAAGTGTAAAAACCATTTTTTAAAAAACTAGTTTCCCTTTTCTTTTTTTCCCCTAGGAATTAAGGATATTTATGGAGGGGAAGCTTAAATTCAGGTGTCCCTGAGTATCTATGGTGGATTGATTCCAGGACTCCCTGTGGATACCAAATCCCGTGGAAGCTCAAGTCCCTGATATAAAATGTAGTGTTTCCATATAACCTGTGAACATTCTCCTGTGTGCTTTAAGTCATCCCTGGATTACTTATAATACCTAATACAATGGGAATGCTATATAGATAGTTGTTATCCTATATTGGTTTTCTATTTGTATTTTTTTAATTGTTGTATTTTGTGTGTGTGTGTGGTGGTTTTCTTTTCAAATATTTTCCATCTGAGTTTGGTTGAATCTGAGGATGTGGACCTTGTGGATATAGAAGGCCAGCTGTATTTTTTTTTTTCATTTCACTTAGATATTATTTCTTTCTTTTTACTTAAATCCTGCAGTAAAGTAAAATGATGTACTGAGAACTAAAGTTGTATTCCTTGGTACTTCCGAGAGAAAACAGACTTGGATTTTTATTGGATGATTCCTCCTAGGAAGTAAGATGAGGGCGTTCAAGAATAATAACAGTAAGGCTTTGGTAAGGCCAAAGAGGTGGGATAATGCTGGGAGATGGTGCCAAGGATTCTCAATAGGGGAGGAGCAGGAGTGGAAGGTAGAAGGTTAGATCCAGTGCTGTGATAACCTTGGAATGAAAAATAGAAAAGAATTTGAGAGACATCTTAGAGATTAGGTTATAGATACAGCAAAGGAGAAAAGTCCCAAATGCCTGCAGCAGCAGTTGCCATTTCTGAACTATTTATTTTTAGGAAACATAAGTTTCACGTGTGTGGGTAGGCAGCTTGATTGGAACAGAAAACTGATGCCTTGTGTCTGCTTTTTGAGTCCCATTTATGAAACGCTGTTTTTTTTATGGCTCGAGAGCACTCTACCAGGAAGTATTGAATATAAGGAGTTAAATAAGGATAAAATAGCTATTCTTTTCTGAGGATAGAGTAGGAAGTGATGGGTTGTGGTTAGAGCATGAGGGTTAGATATTTTTAAAAGATGTTCAGGGCTGGTCAATCGGTGTTGGGAGATGGTAAGTTAACCAATATGGTAAATTCTTCTCTAGAGACACCTAAAATACTGTTTTGGAGATAATTTGAATGTAAACTCCTGAAGTTTACTTTTAGTTCAAGATTCTTTGAAAAAGAAAAAAACCTCAAGGCTGTCATGTAAATAGGACATGTGTTAATTTACCTGACATACTTGAAGACTAGACATGGTAATTGATCATTGTGTGGCAGTAGCAGGAAATCAGTAACCCAAGCTGCTCATATCTTCTAAAATCTCCCTAGCAACAAAGTCAGCAAAGGCCATCCTTCCAGCAATTACTGCCAGCTTAGAGAACTGGCTTGAGATTCTTTGTGGATTGCCCAGAACACCAAGATCTTCTGTTTCAGTAGTCTGTTACAAATGGTCATCTTCCACCTCTATAGAATGATCTGTGTTTTTACTTATCCTTTTAAAGTTCTATTCCTGTAAATTTCTGATTCTTAAAGCACAGAGTTCTTTTGAGAATCCCATGACAATTTATAAGAAAACACTCAAAAGAGGATAAAATATAAAAGCAATGTAGTATTACAGCTGGCATGCATGTATTATTTCTACCTCACAGAAAACTGTAGGATAAGGAAATTGAATTACATGCTTAAGGTCACATTGTTAATGCCACAACAAGCTGTGCACAAACCCTAAAAGACAAAAATATAAATTTCCAATTTTTGTCTAAATAATTTTCTACTACCCTAAGGATTGACAATATTTGGCACACGGGCAGCTTCTCTCCACCATCCCCTTCTGAAGTAATAGTGGTGCATGGCCCTAGTTTCAGACTCATGCACATGGTTGGAAATTTTGCTGGCTCTTTGGAGCTCTGTGAGTTCATGGTGTTACATTCATGGTCATTATCTCCTCTACTCTAACTGGTCAGAAGAATCATAATCAGTAATTTATAATGTTCATTTTGAAGTGTTGCTGATGCCTGTACCTCAGACTGGTCTACATTGAGAGCATTTTGGGGTATAGCTTGCCAGTGATTCTGAAATGACTGACATAACTCTGAGGGTACCCCCTTACCTGCTCTGTAGAAAGTAGACATCCCTTTGGATGTGTCTCAAACATTGCACAAGGCATGGGGTCTCCTGTGGTTGGGAATGAAGTCAAGGAAGAGAGTGACAACTAGGTGGAAGTGGGTGGAAAGAGAAACATGAACTAGATACAAGCACGGCTCACCTACAGTGTTTTTCTTTCCTTTTTCCAGAGAGTGTACAAGAGGTATTTTGTCCAGTTGTTCAGGGGCTGCAAGCTTATCATTCTTTGTTCCTTTTGGTATCTAATGTCCTCTTTCCCACATCAAATCTATCAGCTATTCCTCTTGGCTCTGCCTTTGGAATATCCAGAATCCTACCTTTTGTTTTCCTGCTTCTATCCCATTGCCACACTAATATAAGCTCATTAACACCACTCACCTGAACTATTAAAATAACCTCTTTTATTTGTCTCCCTGACTCCCCTTTCCTCACCCAGTCTTTGCTCCATATAGCCACCATAGTAATTCTTCAAAATAAAACTTGACTCACAATACTCCCCTGACCAAAACCCTCTAGCAGCTTCCCATTACATTTTGAATGAAATATCAAGTCCCTTCTGTGACCTATAATGCTATAATGCACAGAGTTGTCTGGAACCTGGTCAGTTCTCTGTCCACCACTCCGTCCCTTGCTTGCTCTTCTCCAGTCACACTGGCTTTCTGGTTCTTTCTTGAATCCATCAGGCATGCCCTTGCCTTAGGACCTTTGCTTTTGCTGCTTTCCTCTGCCTGGAATGTTCCTTCCCAAGATGACTGAATCGCTGGCTTTCTCACTACATTTAGACCACTTTAAATTTCATTTCCTTGGGGAGGCCTTTTCTGATCACCCTATCTGAAGCAGTATCCTCTATCTATTTCTCTTCTTACTTTTTTATTTTTCATAACATTATCTGTGCTCGACATTGTATGTCTAGTTGTCTGCGTGTTTCCTCCATTAGAATGTGTGCTCCATGAAGGCAGACACTGTCTGTTTTGTTCACTGCTATTATATCTAGATGATAGATAGAACAGTGCCTGGCACATAGCAGGCACTAAATAAAAATGTGTTAATGAATTAATATATTAATCAACAAAGTATGTCACATTCTTTTTTTTTTTTTTTGAGATAGGGTCTTGCTCTGTTGCCCAAGTTGGAGTGCAGTGAGGCAATCATAGTTCATTGTAACCTTGAATTACTGGGCTCAAGTGATCTTCCCACCTCAGCCTCCCAGCAGCTAGGACTTTTTGTAGAGATGATGATGTCTAGCCATTTTGCCCAGTCTGGTCTCGAACTCCTGGCCTCAAGCAATCTTCCTGCCATGGCCAAATCTTTTTTGACATTGGCAGCCAAAGGGTGAATCTAATTATAACTCTGTGTGTGTGTGTGTGTGTGTGTGTGTGTGTGTTCCTTCAAGTGTATCAGGCTCTGTGCTATATACTTTGCTTGCATTACCTAGTTTAGTAAAACAGCTGTCAGGTAGGTGCTATTATTATCTCCCTTACGGTAATAAAGAAATGGAGGTTAAGAGAGGCAACTTTGCTCAAGTTCACACAGTATTAAATAATATAAGGTAATTGAACTAGGTCTCCTCTGGCTCCAAAATCTTAACTCAATAACTGTGATATATGCTGCGTTTCCTAATTTTGAATCTGCCAAAATCCTATTGGGGAACAAATAGTGTAAGAGAATTTTTGTAGCATATATTTCCACAGAGGACTACAAAAAATTACAAAGTATATATATTTTTTTCAAAATGAAAGAAGTTACTGAAATAGTTTAGAAACTAGATTACGTTAAAGTTCACATGTTAATGAAGAAATACAAGTATTTATTCAGGTATATCAACTAAAGTAAATAATGTTACTTTGAAGTTCACATGTTAATATAAAAATACAAGTATTCAGCTGTATCAACTAAAGTAAATAATGTATTTTAAAGCTCACATTATCTTTCTATTTAAAGCATTTATTTGAGGAAGGATATCTGTTGTTAAATTCTACAAATAAAATTTATTGTATTAGGCATATTTATAAGCTGCTCCCCTTTATCTCTATAAGCTTAGAGGGTGTCTATTCTTTTCTTACTTGCCCTATTCATCCATTGTCTACAGTTAGCAATTAAAGGTTATCACTTCTTATTCTTGTTTTCCCCTCCTTTGTTCTCATTTATGCAGTTCTCAGCACCTCCCCTTCAGGTATCCCTCCCACCTAAACCGTCAGTAGGTCGTTTCATTTGACAATGGAGAGCCCCTCTAGCTCAGTCTCGCCTAGACTTACACAGTTCACCCAATACCTCTCCTTAGCCTCCCTTCTTCTGGGAAGTGCATGAAATGTCCAATATCCTCTTTAGATTCCTGTTCTGATGATTTCCCTGTCTTTCCCATGTTACCTCAGAACTTCTATATGCATAATTTATATTTTATAAAATTGTTTCACATTGTTAGGTCTTCATTCCGCATGGGAAAAAGATAGCCCCTTTCTCCTTCCCGAAATATAACCCATTAAATATCTGTAACCAACTCACCTGAAACTGAACTTAGAAAGGGCTCTTATCCCACAGGAAGACACTACTAGAATTTTGAACATTCTTTGAAAGCATAGAAGCCTTGAGATTTTGAGGAGCAGTAAGATACTCAGAGAAACTTAGAGCTGGAAGATACTTGAGAGGCCATAGGTCTGGTTCCTTTTCTTTGGTGTTTTGTTGTAGCTTGTATTACTTAGCATGCATTTGGTTGCAAGTAACAGAATACCCCAACTAAGGACAAAACAATAAAATTATTTATTATCTTTCTTTTTTTTTGAGATGGAATCTTGCTCTGTCGCCCGGGCTGGAGTGCAGTGGCACTATCTCCACTCACAGCAACCTCTGCCTCCCTGGTTCAAGCAATTCTCCTGCCTCAGCCTCCCAAGTAGCTGGGATTACAGGTGCCCACCACTGTGCCTGGCTAACTTTTTTGTATTTTTAGTAGAGACAGGGTTTCACCAGGTTGGCCAGGCTGAGATCAGGTTTCAAACTCCCGACCTCAAGTGATCCGCCCGCCTCGGCCTCGCAAAGTGCTGGGATTATAGGCGTGAGCCACCACAACTGGCCTACTGTCTTTCTTAACAAGAAGTTCCCAGCAAGGGTACTTCCAGGGTTTGATTTTCAGTTAAAAACAAAACAAACAAACAAACAAAAAACATGATTCAGACCCAGGTGCTTTCTATAACTCCCATCTGTTATCTTCAACTTATAGATGAAGTCTGTCCTCCTGTTGAGATGGCCATGACATCACATGCATACACAACAACATTCTTGATGGAGAAGAGACATGTTTCCATCCTGTTTATTATATTAATAACAACTGTTTATTATGAAAGAAAGAGTCTTCCCAAGTGACTCAGCAGACTGCTGCTTACATATCTAGCTACAAGGGAAGCCTGGATTGCACCTGTCTGGCATTTTGGCCTTTCTGATGGGCAGAGAAGGGATGGGGGCAGGATTCTGCTGGCAAAGAAGAGGGAAGGAATAGCTGTTGGTGAGGCAATGTTAATGTCTGTCATTTGTGCTGAACCCAAGAAGAAAAACGTCTGAATCATCTGTATCACTTTTTCGTATTGTCTGGATAGCAACAATTTATTTCTGTTTACAAATGTTTGCAAGTTTGAACTCTTTGATTGTTGTTAACTAGAAGAGAGGGATCAAGGAAGGGAGGGAGGTACAATGGATATTAGTTTGCAGGGGCTACCAAAACATCATAGACTAGATGCTTATAAACAACAGAAATTTGGTTCTCACAGTTCTGGAGATAGGAAGTCCAGCATAGTCAGGTTTTGGTGAGGGGTCTCTTCTGTACTGCACACTGCTGACTTCTCATTGTGCCCTTGCATGGAGGAAAGAACTAGTATGCTCTCTGGGGACTCTCTTATAAGATACTAATCCCATTCATGAGGCCTCTACTCTCATGACATAATCATCTCCCACAGTCTTCCTCTCCTAATACCATTACATTGGGGGTAGATTTCAACATATGAATTTGGCTGAGGGGACACAAATATTCAGTCCATAACAGAAAGAGAAGAAGGAAGGAATGAGATGTAAATTTAAAAGAATTACAATGAATAATCTTGCATATATATATAAGCTTGTCCATGTGGCAAATATTCTGAGCTATTATTATGTGACAGGAATATTTTAAAACTGCATTTTAGTGTGACCTTGGACTTTGGTCTGTAGTTTCTCATTTCTCCTTGTGGAAGCTCAAGTTTACAAGATGATTATAAAATAAAAGAATGACCAGTTTTTATTCCCCTTTCTGACATTTGTGCAAAGGAAAATTGCTGTACTAGTGGGGTTTTACAGAGTCATATAATTAAACTTAGGGAGAGATTTTAAAATGGAATAGAGGATACTTTCCTAAATTAGGCTGCTGATAAAAGTATACATAACAATGAAATAGAAAGTAACTCTTTCTAATTTGTTGATTCACTTATGTCTAGTAAGAGTTATTGAGAGAATTGGCCTATAATATCTACTATTAATTTTAGTATGAAAGTATTTTAGATTCAGGCATATGACAAGCCAGTTACAGCCATCTTTCATTTACTAAGTGTCTTTTATACATGAAGACCTGTGGTAGGTACTAGGGATCCATAAATACAGATATGGCCCCCTTATTACCTGTTAGACCTTGAGCTCCAGTCGGGGAGAGACCTATGTAGACTAACAATGATAATTCTGTGTAATAAGGACTACAGTAGAGTCATATAGGGTGATAATTACCACAAATGACAGTGTTCATCACATAAAATAGTTAATATTATTCTTATTTCTAGGTGAAAAAAAAAATGGAGCTGCAGAGTGGTCAAATTAACTTGTCCATAAGTAGCAGAGTGAGATTGTGAACTAGGCCTCTTGCCCCCAGTCCCATGTCCTTTGCCTTACTTGCATGGAAGAGAAAATCAAAGCCTCTCTTCTATTTGAAGGTAATATCAGAAAAGACTTCGTGGAGAATATTGTATTTGAGATTGATCTTGAGAGATGAGCTCTCTATAGAGTGAAGGCAGAGACGTTCTAGGCAATGAGAATAGCACGTAAAGGTATCATAATTTTGTTGGCACAATTTGTAGCAGAGAAAAGATTAGTAAGGTAGCTGAGTCTTCTGATGAGAGGCCGTATACTCAAAATATAAGGTATAAAGTACATACTTCAGACATTTATATTTTATTAAATGGACAGCAGTAGGCCCCAGGGGGTTTTGAGCAAGTGACAGCTATGATCAGAAGGGCACACATGGGTAATTAATTTTTCACAAAAGTATCTAGTTGTGCTGGAGATGACTCAGAGAAGAGTTTATAGAGCAGTCCAAGCAACAGATAACAAGGGCCCTGTCATAAACAGCTATCTTTTCCTAGGATTTAAGTGATTGACAATCTCATATAGTAGTGGGAAAAGAAGTAGGTGACCACAAATTTGAGAACTATTTATATTTGTTGCTATTTTCTTGTTTTAGTGAACAATTACTTATATCTCCTGAAAGTTAAAGTTGTCTTTCTGCTTATACCTATTTCCTTCATTCTCTTGTTTATGAAAATCTCACCTTAGAGAGATTTAATTAATCTTTCTAAGATTAATTTTCAATTGCTTCAAACTACCAAAAAGAGAGACTGATACTTTGTGGCAAGATGGGGTAACAAGTAACAGAGTGAGATTGTCTTTATTTTCACTCATGCCTAAGACAACCAAAACACTGGACAAAAGCATATTAAATAAGTGTTGTCAGTATATTGAACACCAGGCAAAGTAAAACTGAATTTATCACAAGTGACATGATCATACATGCAGAAAATGTGATGGATTCTACCAAAAAGAACTGATAAGGAAGTTTAGCAGAGTTTCAGAATACAAGATCAAGATACAGAAATCATTTATATTTCTCAATATTGGCAAGAACATTTAGATACTGAAATGAAAAATAAATATCCCCATATCTTGAAGAAGTATAAAACATTAGGAATGCATCTGGCAAAATATGTGTAAGACTGATGTACTGAAAAGAACAAAACATTGCTGAGAGAAATTAAAGACCAAAATAAATAGACAGACCATGTACATGGATTGTAAAACTCAATATTGTTAAGATGCCAGTTTACCCCAAATTGATCTATAGGGTCAACATAATCCCATTCAAAATCCCAGAAGACTTTTTTGTTGCTGTTAAAGTTGATAAGCTCAGTCTAAAACTCATACGGAAATACAAAGGACCTAAAAAAGCCACAAACCATTTTGAACAAAATATAATAAACTTGAAGGGCTAACACTATCTGATTTTATGAATTATGATAAATTTATAGTAATCAAAGTAGTGTGGTATTGGTATAAAGACAGACAAATAGGTCAACAGAACAGAATAAAGAGTCCTAAAAGAGACTCAAAGATTTGTGGTCCATTTATTTTTGACAAAGATGCAAAGGCAATTCACTGGAGAAAGAATAGTTTTTTTTCAGCAAATGGCATTGGAAAAATTTGATATCCATATGCAGAAAAATGAAACATCCATACCTCATGCCATTTATAAAAACTAACAATGTATTATTGACCTAAGTGTACGTACAACCCTAAAACTATAAAATGTGTAGAAGAAACGTAGAAAATCTTTGTGACCTTGGATTAAGCAAAGATTTCTTAAAAGAAAACCTCCATAAATAGGACTTCATCATAATTAAAAATTTCTGTTCTTTCAAAGACACTGTTAAGAAAATGAAAAGGGAAGCCATAGATTTAGAGGAAATATTTGCAAGTCACATGTATGATAGAGGACTTGATCCAGAATAACTCAATAATAAAATAATCCAATAAAAATAGGAAAAGAATGTATACCAATGGCAAATAAACAAATGAAAAGCTCGTGACATAAATGTTTAACACCATTATAGTCATTAGGGAAATGCAAAGAAAAACCACCGAGAGATATCACAACATACCTGTTATAATAGAAAAAAAAAAAAAAGGACCATATCAAGTCTTAGCAGAGATGTAGAGCAACTAGAATGCTCATACACTGCTGGTGGTAATGTAGCATGGTAGAAATGCCATCAGGCAAGAAAGTAGTTCCCTAAAATTAAATATTTGAACTTGGGAAGATATATCTGGTATCTTTTTGGTAGTTTGAAAAACAGCTTTCTGAAAGCAGTTCCCTAAAATTAAATGTTTACTTAAAAATGACTCAACTATTCTACTTCTAGAAAATTACCCAAGAGAAATGAAGGCATATGTCCGTATAAATAGATATATGTAAATGTTCATAGCAGCTTTATTTGTAATCACCAAAAACTGGAATCACCCTTAATTGTTCATCAACAGGTGAATGAATAAATAATTTTTGTATGTTCATCTAATGGAATACACCTCTACAATAAAAAGGAATGAATTATTGATACATTCAATAACATGGATAAATCTCAAAGTAATTAGCTAACTGAAAGAATCCAGACATTCCCTCTCAAGAAAAAAGTTTTATTCCCTTCACATAAAATTTAGAATATGCAAACTAATTTATATTGACTGAAAGCAAATTGGTGGTTGCTAAGGGACAGCAGGAGAAGAGAAAGAGGAATTTTTAAAGGGTATGGGGAAACTTTTGGAGGTGATGGATATGTTCATTATCTTATTTTTGGTTTTGGTTTTATGAGTGTATAGGTTTGTCAAAACTTATCAAATAGTACACTTTACATATGTGCAATTCTAATATCAACTATACTTCAATAAAGCTGTTTCATAAACTACCAAAAAGATACCAGATATATCTTCCCAAGTTCAAATAAAACTTAGAATTCTAAGAAACTGATACATGACCTATACATAGCATTTAGATCTCACAATTTTTAAGAATTTTTTCTGTGTGTTTGTATCTATACTTTATTTTTTTAAATTCTTTAAATGAAAATTATCTTTTTGGTGAGAGAGTAGAGAAGTAGAAACTTATATAATAACTACTTATGAGAGCATTTGAAGCAATGACTATGGAAAAACACTTTTAAGTATGTGCATACCCTACAACCTAGCAATTCTCTTTCTAGGTATACAGATGGCCATGACCTATGATGGTTCGACCTCTGAGTTTTCAACTTTACAATGGTGTGAAACAATTCTGTTTTTCACGTTCAGTACAGTATTCAATAAATTACATGACATATTCAACACTTTATTATAAAATAGGCTTTGTGTTGGATGACTTTGCCCAACTATAGGCTAATGTCAGTGTTCTCAGCACATTTAAGGTAGGCTAAGCTAAGCTATGATGTCCAGTAGGATTGGTGTGTTAAGTGCATTTTCAACTTAATAATATTTTCAACTCACAGTGGGTGTATAAGATGTTACCCACAATAAGTCAAGGAGTGTCTATAGATGAAGAATAGTTGCTCTCAAACTGGTCTCAAGACTCTTTTGTACTCTTAAATTACTAACGAACTGAAAAAGCTTTTGTGTATGTGAGATATTTACTATATTAAAAATTACTCGTCACTTACATTAGGTACATCTCCTAATGCTATCCCTCCCCCTTCCCCTACACCACAACAGGCCCCGGTGTGTGATGTTCCCCTTCCTGTGTCCATGTGTTCTCATTCTTCAATTCCCACCTATGAGTGAGAACATGTGGTGTTTGGTTTTTTGTTCTTGCGATAGTTTGCTGAGAATGATGGTTTCCAGCTTCATCCATGTCCCTACAAAGGACATGAACTCATCATTTTTTATGGCTGCATAGTATTCCGTGGTGTATATGTGCCACATTTTCTTAATCCAGTCTATCATTGATGGACATTCGGGTTGGTTCCATGTCTTTGCTATTGTGAATATTGCTGCAATAAACATACGTATGCATGTGTCTTTATAGCAGCATGATTTATAATCCTTTGGGTATATACCCAGTAATGGGATGGCTGGGTCAAATGGTATTTCTGGTTCCAGATCCTTGAGAAATTGCCACACTGTCTTCCACAATGGTTGAACTAGTTTACAGTCCCATCAACAGTGTAAAAGTGTTCCTATTTCTCCACATCCTCTCCAGCACCTGTTGTTTCCTGACTTTTTAATGATCACCATTCTAACTGGTGTGAGATGGTATCTCATTTGGTTTTGCTTTGCATTTCTCTGATGGCCAGTAATGATGAGCATTTTTTCATGTGTCTGTTGGCTGCATAAATGTCTTCTTTTGAGAAGTGTCTGTTCATATCCTTTGCCCACTTGTTGATGGGGTTGTTTGTTTTTTTCTTGTAAATTTGTTAGAGTTCTTTGTAGATTCTGGATATTAGCCCTTTGTCAGATGAGTAGATTGCAAAAATTTTCTCCCATTCTGTAGGTTGCCTGTCCACTCTGATGGTAGTTTCTTTTGCTGTGCAGAAGCTCTTTAGTTTAATTAGATCCCATTTGTCAATTTTGGCTTTTGTTGCCGTTGCTTTTGGTGTTTTAGACATGAAGTCCTTGCCCATGCATATACCTAATGTACATGACGAGTTAATGGGTGCAGCACACCAACATGGCACATATATACGTATGTAACAAACCTGCACGTTGTACACATGTACCCTAGAACTTAAAGTATAATAAAAAAATATAAAAATCAAAATAAAAATTACAACTGGGACAGTTTTTTAAAATTCACTTTTAAATAATAATAAATCTGTTAACATGTTACATATAAACATGTTAATACAAATAATACTTTTAGGGGAAATGATAGTTCTCAAAAAAAAGCAGTGAAAAGAATATTATCATTTTATATTTTTATAAATCTTTTTAATTTCTTACTCAATAAAAGACCAGCATTTATATCTGTTTCTGTAATCAACCTGTTTGCATATATTATTTTAGTTAGAGTGTGTGAAGAAAATCTGGCCTCATAAAGATACTCAGTTAGAAAAATGAGAACTGTTTTAATAACCTTTTCAGAAAATTGTGAATATTCTTTGATACTACACTACAATTCTCCAAGTTGTAGTTTCTTAAGTTTAAATTGCAACCTTGACTCTGAAACTGTATCAGTGAACTGTTTATCTTCTGTTACGTTTAAATGCATTGGTCTATATGGTACTTTGAATGCATTTTTTTACCCATGCGTTATTTTGTAATGTTATGCGCTAGTCATTTGGAAAATATTGGTTCACTGAGTTATTTACACCTTCCAATGTTGACTCATTTGATTATTTTAGCTAAAGTATGTCTTTTATACATTTTGCTCAATAAATATTGTACACAGTGCTCTGCAAAGTGTTGTATGTGAAACAGACATTACTGCTTTTAAGGAGCTGTGATATGGTAGAAATTATGACAAATATACATCTATTCTGAACACCCAGCAGGAACAAAGTACCTCACGTTTTAAAGCACAGGAAGGCCACATGGGACTGCATTTGAAAGGGGCCAGGAAAGACTTCCTGAAGGATGAGTAAAAGTCCAATAAAGGAAAATATTGAGAGAAGGGTGTTGATGGGAAGGGGATGATGACAGAAATTTAAAATCAGTATAAATTAAGAAATAAGCCTGCCTTGATCCACTTATAATTCCGAACAGTTATTGATATCCTTTAGTCTAAGGAGTTTAGATATTTTTCAGTGGTAGAATATCAATTTTTAAAAACATTTATTGTGAAGAGAAATGCAATGCATAAAATGTATAGTTTAATGATTACTGAGTGTGGATTTGGAGTAAGAAGAATACATGTGCATGTTTGTTGCAAGCGCATGTTTGTTGCATGGGATTGCCTAGGAACTGGGTATCACATGCAGGTCTCTGCAAGATAAGTGTGGACTGTAACAGAAGTCATGCAGTGTCTGCTGTCCTGAAGAGGTCATCCTGTACTGTTGGAAGTACTTAAGTCTGTACTGTCCCACTGTGGCTTAGCTTCTGTTCCTTAGCACATGATCTTTGGTTGTCCCAGCTAACTCTTTGACAGCATTAACTGCTTTTCTGAATGCTGGGCACTCCCTGTTGGCCAGTAGATAATTTTTTTAAAAAATACACCTGGACTCATACTAATAGATGTGAACAGTGAATGTATTATAAAGGTTTACTCTCTTACAAACTCAGGTTAAATTATAGTAATTTAATGCATGCATGTTGTTCTACAAAAGCTTACATGTGTACAAAATTCTTTTCTCTTTTAATATTTGACCTCATCCTGCCACTCATATGACAAGTGTATTTACTAGCACCTTTCAAAGTTCAAATGCAAATGAGATATGCTTTTAGCTGTTAAGTTTGAAGAGTACATTTATGTTATTGCCTTCAAATGGCATATAGAATAAGTGCCCACATTTGAGACATTGTGCTTATAGCAGTAACAAAGAAGATTAAATACATGAGGCTTAGCCTTCCTGGAGTTTATAATTTTAAAAATGGCATAAGTACCAGCAAACAGGTAAATTCAGAAGAGAGTACAGAAGAAAATTAAGTAGCAAAATATACTCAAGAATAAATAAATATATTGGGTAAATAATATATGTACATGTCCATGGGTAAAATATTACAGTTTAATTTTTTAAATTTTGTTATCAGCTATTATCAAAGTACTTTTAAGGTCATATATTAGTAAACAGGCTTATATGTTCCAAGTTTGAAATGAATTTTTGCATGTAATTGTTAATATCATTGATTAATATCTTCTATTTTCATAGATTTGATCCAGGCTACCAACGAGACCAATGTTAATATTCCTCAGATGGCCGACACTCTCTTTGAGCGGGCAACAAACAGTAGCTGGGTGGTTGTGTTTAAGGCTTTAGTGACAACACATCATCTCATGGTGCATGGAAATGAGGTAAACTAAGTAAACTTTTCTTTTTTTGATGGAGGAAGGAGGCTTTTAGGAAGAGCATGGTGATGATTTAAGGCTCTTTGAATTTTCACTAATTAGGAGAAAAAGAAAAGGAAATACACAGTTCCGGATCATCTAGAATACAAGTTTAATCTTCTCCTTAGCTAGTTAACAAAAAATAAACTTTAAGTTAGACATTGTCTTAGAGATATGAGGAATAGGTACACCTCAGAGATATTGCAGGTTTGATTCCAGACCACTGCAAAAAAAAGCTAATATTGCAATAAGCGAGTCACACAAATGTTTTGGTTTCCCAGTGCATGTAAAAGTTACATTTACATTTATACTGTACTCTATTAAGTGTGCAATAGTATTATGTCTAAAAAAAGTACATATCTTAATTTAAAAATCCTTTATTGCTAAAAAATTATTATCAAATGATCATCTGAGTCTTCAGTGAGTTGTAATCTTTGCTGGTAGAAGGTCTTGCCCTGATATTGATGGCTGCTGACTGATTAGGATGGTGGTTGCTGAAGGTTGAAGTAATTGCAGAAGTCTCTTAAAATAAGACAACAGTGAAGTTTGCCACATCAATTGACTCTTCCTTTTACAAAAGATTTCTCTGTAGCATTCAATGCTCTTTGACAGCATTTTATCTACAGCAGAACTTCTTTGAAAATTGGAGTCAATCCTCTCAAACCTTGCTATTGCTTTATCAGCTGTTTATGTAATTTCTATATCCTTTGTTGTTATTTCAACAATGTTCACAGTATCTTTACCAGAAGTAGATTTTATCTCAAGAAACTACTTTCTTTCTCGTCCATAAGAAGCAACTCCTCATCCATTCAAATTTTATCATGAGATTATAGCAATTCAGTCCCATCTTCAGGCTCCATGTCCAATTCTAGTTCCCTTGCTATTTTCCCACACATCTGCAGTTACTTCCTCTACTGGTCTTGAATCCCTCAAAGTCATCCATAGGGGCTGAAATGCTCTTCTTCCAGATTCCTGCTAATGTTGCTATCTGTATGTCCTCCCATGAATCACAAATGTTTTTAATGGCATCTAGAATGGTCAATCTTTTCTAGAAGGTTTTCAATTTACTTTGCCCACATCCATCAGAGGAATCACTATCTGTGGTAGCTATAGCCTTACAAAATGTATTTCTTAAATAACAAGACTTGAAAGTAAAAATTACTCCTTGATCCATGGGCTGCACAATGAATGTTGTGTTAGCAGTCATGAAAACAACGTGCATCTCTTTGTGCATCTCCATCAGAGCTCTTATGGTGACAAGGTGCATGTCAATGAGCAGTAATATTTTGAAAGGAATCTTTTTTTCTGAGCAGTAAGTCTCAACAGTGGGCTTCAAATATTCAGTAAACCATACTATAAACAGAGTGTGCTATCATCCGGGCTTTGTTGTTCCATTTATAGAGCACAGGCAGAGTAGGTTTAGTGTAATTCTTAAGGGCCCTAGATTTTCAGAATGGTAAATGAGCATTGACTTTCACTTCATGTCATCAGCTGCATTAGCCCCTAACAAGAGAGTCAGGCTGTCCTTTGAAGTTTTGAAGTCAGGTACTGTATTCTCCTTTCTAGATAAGAAAGTTCTAGATGGCATCTTCTTCCAATTGAAGGCTGCTTTATCTACATTGAAAATCTGTTTCATGTAGCCACCTTCATGAATTATCTCAGCTAGATCTTCTGGATAACTTGCTGCAGCTTCTTCATCAGCACTTCCTGCTTCACCTTGTACTTTTATATTGTGGAGATGGCTTCTTTCCTTAAACCTCATGAACTAACCTCTGCTAGCATCAAACTTTTATTCTGCAGTTTCCTCACCTCTCTCAGCCCTCCTAGAATTGAAAAAAAGTTGAGGCCTTGCTCTGAATTAGGCTTTGGCTTGAGGGAATGTTGTAGCTGGTTTGATCTTTTATCCAGACCACTCAAACATTCTCCATATCAGCAAGAAAGCTATTTCACTTTCTTATCATTTGTGTGTTCATTAAAGTAGCACTTTCAATTTTCTTCAAGACTTTTCCTTTATATTTACAACTTGGCTAACTGGCACAAGAGAGCTAGCTTTTGGCCTTTCTCAGCTTTCGACATGCCACTCTCATTAAGCTTAATCACTTCTAGCTCTTGACTTAAAGTGAGAGATGTGTGACTCTTCCTTTCATTTGAATATCTAGAGGTCATTGTAGGGTTATTAGTTGGCTTAATTGCAATATTTTTGTGTCTCAGGGAATAAGGAGGCCTGAGGAAAGGGAGAAAGTCAGGGGAACAACCAGCGGTGGTGCAGTCAGAACATATGCCACATTTACTGATTAAGTTTGCCATCATTTATGGGCACAGTTCATGGCAACTCAGAACAATTACATTAGTAACATCAAAGATCACTGATGACAGATCACCAAAACAGATATAATAATAATGAAAAAGTTTGAACTATTGTGAGAATTACCAAAATGTGACACAAAGTGAGCACTGATAGACTGGCTCATCCCTGAGTTGCCACAAATCTTCAATTTGCAAAAAGTGCAATAAAAAAGAAGCTCAATAAAATGAGATATGCCTGTGTTAAAATTATAGGTTCAAAAAATGGATATACCATGTAAACCTATTTTTAAGCAAAAATGTTAGGAGAAGGAACAATAAAATTATTTTTCCCATAGGAAAGATTTCTTTGAATCTTTGAGTGAAAATTGCATTCGTAAGATATTTATTTTGGAAAATACTGATAAAATTAAAATTACCAATTTTATGTAGGATGCCTACTGAATCCTAATAAATTGTAGTATTTCCATTATGTGTAGAAATGAAAGATCGTACAATTTAATTCTAATTCACAAAGCTTTTTTTCCCCTCAGAGAAATTCAGCATTCTAGGAAACTTTATAACTGAGTAAAAGAGATCCCAATGAGAATTTGTTAAAAAAAAAAATCGCTTTAGTGTCAGAAATTGTTTAAAAGTATGATTTTAAAATGTGTGTTTAATTCTAATTTTTGTTTTTCAGAGATTTATTCAATATTTGGCTTCTAGAAATACACTATTCAATCTCAGCAATTTTTTGGACAAAAGTGGATCCCATGGTGAGAATATTTGTATTTTATAATTTTTTGCCAATGCTTTGATTTTTGAAGTGAGGCTATTAATCCAAAATCATTGCAACTGATAGCTTCATTGAATATTTAAGAATGTAAAAATAATTATATTTAAATATAGCTTTAAAATATTTAATTATAGACAACTCAGCATATAAAATATATATTAAGTTTATTTTGGGCGTTTTTACCACGTTTACCTTAAAAAGTAACAGTGGGTGTGCTAGACCCACAGTTGTTTTTTATGAAGGTACAGGAGACAATGAAATAAAAGATGTCTTCTCAATTAAAAAAAGTGATTCGAGTCTTAAAGAAATGTTTTGTGTGGATTAATAGGGTTTGAACTGCATTCATTTGTTCATTTATCATATTCACTGTTTATCTGTTGTGTGTAAAGCAAGCACATCAAGCAAATGGAACATTATCAGATGGCTGCATGAATTAAGTCTGAAACTGGCCATTATTTGAAAAATGAACAAAAGTTCAAGGAAAATTTAAAAACATATTCTGTACTGGAATGGTGGAATAAGTAATTGAAGAATCCTGGAATGCCTCATGGCAAAAGTATTTTTGCCTAGAAGCAGGATTTTAAATGAGATCTATCTGATACAGTTATTGACCCTATCCTAGGACTATCACCATTTAGAGAGTTAAAAAAAAATAGTACTATGCAAAGCACAGTTGAAGGTATTTTATTAATTAGTTTTATTTCTTCTTTCCACTCTCCCAGGTTATGATATGTCTACCTTCATAAGGCGCTATAGTAGATATTTGAATGAAAAGGCTTTTTCTTACAGACAGATGGCCTTTGATTTTGCCAGGGTGAAGAAAGGGTATGTTTTTGTCTTTCTTATATTTATTAGAGGAGAATAAGTCTTTGAGGCATACTTGATTTATTTTAACTAAGCTTAAATGCCAGCTAATTTTCTTGAAGGCCCAGTTTACAATAACCTAAAAAAAGGAACTCAATAATATTGTAGAAGTTAGCCTTGAAGTTGCAATATGCATTATTTTGTTTATATCTTCATGCAGAAAAATCTGATTTGCTTCTCAGTTTATATGCTATAAAATTTTTTTCTTCTCTCTAATCCCAGGACAAATTATATAACATTTTATTTGTTAAAAACTCAAAATTTTTAAACATGTATATACCTTTAAATAATTTAAGAAGGAGGGAATTAAGACAAGATTCACTTAAAAGTATAGTGGCTGTAGATGACAATAGCTATTTGGCCTGGCACAGTGATACCTGTAATCCCAGTACTTTGGGAGGCCAAACTGGGAGGATCATTTGAGCTCAGGAGTTAAAGAACAGCCTGGGCAACGTAGGAGTTAAAGACCAGCCTGGGCAATGCAGTGAGACTTTCTCTCTACTAAAAATTAAACAAATTAGTCAGGCGTGGTGGTGTGTGCCTGTAGTCCCAGCTGCTTGGGAGGCTAAGGCAGGAGGATTGCTTGATCCTAGGAGACTGAGGCTACAGTGAGCTATGTTCATGCCCCTGCACTCCAGCCTGGGCAACCCTGTCTCTAAGACCCTGTGTCAAAAAAAAAAAAGATGGAAAATAGCCAATAGCTATATAAATATTTTTTTTTTAATTGAGGTGAATCTGAACTTTGATCTGGTTTTGAGAGACGTATCATTCTAGAAAACACATATATAAACACACACCATAATCAAACTAATTGTTAATACTACCAATTAAGAAAACCTCATTGAAACAGAAACACTTGAATTTTATCTATAATTACCATTTATTTCCCTCTAAATAGATGCATAAATCTAGTCAGAGGCATTCAGCCACACATTTGTGCATATCTTATATCTGTTCCTCATTTGAAATAATGGCAAGGTACTATAGCAGCTTTAATATTTTAGTCTCAAGAATCCACACAAAAAGATGTAACTTTATTTTTGCAATGGCTAACCTGACCTTAGTTTGGGGCTACTTTTTTTACCATGGTGGTGAAAAACATCAACTTGCCTATTCAAAATAATTTATTGTAGATGAATACTTTATAAAAGTAGGTGTTTTCCTTCACCCTCTTCTCACGAGAGATGATTCTAGTTCATATGCCTTCCTCTAACTTCTTACATGGCACCATGCAACCATTGCTGATGTTCCCAGCTGCATTGTGACCTCTGCAGTAGGTCCATGGCCTTCCTAGAAACTTCTGCACCCCTGTATGAACACATATGGACACTTCAGGTTGCTTTCTCCACTGTTGGTCTGGGAGAGACCCTGAAAGTTGCCATGATCAGCATGTCCACATCATCTGGGTATTTTCTTCAGCTATTACAATACTGCTGCTCCTCAACCATCACCATCACTGGATACAAGGGCTTCCTAAGAGACCTGAAGGTGGAGACAAGGTGCAGTGCACCCTCCGACATCAGCATTAACCTTCAGTCTCATCTTCTGTAGCTAAACTCTTACCTTTGTTTGGGAAAAGTGTTCTTATCAGCATGCATTTTTCTTCCCTTGATGGTTAATAGCATAAACCTTGTACTCCAAGTCATACAGGTTTTATAAACTTCCAAGACATGTTTTCTCTTTCTCAAAAAAAAAGAAAAAAAAACTGGCTTTTTTGAAAGCTTATATTTTGATTGGGCAAAGTGGCTCATGGCTATAGTCTCAGCACTTTGGTAGATCATGGAGGGAGGACTCTGTGAGGTCAGGAGTTTAAGACCAGCCTGGGCAACATAGTGAGACTCCCATCCCTACCAAAACAAATTTTTTAAAAATTAACCGGGTGTGGTGGCATGCACCTGTAGTTCCAGCTACTCATGAGGCTGAGGCAGGAGAATCACTTGTGCCCAGGAGTTTGAGATTACAGTGAGCTATGATCATGCCATTGCACTCCAGTTTGGGTGACAGAGTGAGACTGTCTCAAAAAAAAAAAAAAAAAAAGAAGAAAACATACTTTTCAACACTATTACCTTTATTATAGATTTAGAAAAATCCATTCATAAATTCAGCTTGCCTCTTTTATCCAGACCCGATTGCTTTCTTCCTAAGGGCAGTACACATAGAAAACAAACAAGCATTGCCTGTGCAATGGAGGAATAAGAATAGATAATAGATAGAGGGGGGAAATGACTACAACCTTGTAATACCTCAAATTGATCCCACAGGATTAATAAGGAAATGGGGTGGTGTGGGGGAACAGCTTAGAACAATTCATATGGTCTTGAATTGTCCATATCCAATGAAATTGTACCTTTTTTTTTTTTTTAATTGTAGGGCCGATGGTGTAATGAGGACAATGGCTCCCGAAAAGCTGCTAAAGAGTATGCCAATACTACAGGGACAAATTGATGCACTGCTTGAATTTGATGTATGTATCTCACTAGAAAATGTTTCATACACAATCAATGTTGTCTTTCATTTGAAGATGGGCTACAGGTAAATCCAAAGATTTCCTCGGGAAGCAGCTATAGATCTTCATTTAGATGAATACTTAGTTCAGGCTGTTAAGCTCGGTAAAGATTATTTAGGTTCCCCTGATTTTTCTAAGCAGTTTACCAGGTGTTTACATAAGTCATGGAAAAATATGAATGGTACATTCTTGGAACTTCATGTTCTGAGCAGGATAGTGACTTCCTATTGTACTTGACAGGATGAAGTATCTGCAAGATGTGCCTTCAGGCAGTTAAATAACTTGACCTGCTGTTAGAAATCTTTTTTATTTTTTATTTTATTTTATTTTGTTTTATTTATTTATTTTTTTGAGACGGAGTCTCACTCTGTCACCCAGGCTGGAGTGCAGTGGCGCGATCTCCGCTCACAAGCTCTGCCTCCTGGGTTCACGCCATTCTCCTACCTCAGCCTCCTGAGCAGCTGGGACTGCAGGCGCCCGCCACCATGCCCGGCCAATTTTCTGCATTTTCAGTAGAGATGGCATCTCACCATGCTAGCCAGGATGGTCTCGATCTCCTTACCTCATGATCTGCCTACCTCGGCCTCCCAAAATTCTGGGATTACAGGCATGAGCCACCACGCCTGGCCTAGAAACCATTTTATGCAGATTGCTTAAATGACACTATCCACCAAAGAATTGTGTTTAATCTTAGATAAATTAGTGAATTGTTTCATTGTCAATATCCTGGTTGTGATATTGTACTATAGTTTTATAGGATGTTACCATTAGGATAAACTGGGTAAATGGTATATGGGAGCTTTCTGTATTCCTTCTTACACCTGCATGTAAATTTAGAGTTATCTTAAAATAAAAAAATTAATTTTGAAGAATCTTGAGGCTGGGCATGGCTCACGCCTGTAATCCCAAACTTTGGGAGGCCAAAGCAGGCAGATCACTTGACAAGGTCAGGAGTTTGAGACCAGCATGGCCAACATGGTGAAACTCTGTCTCTACTAAAAATACCAAAAAAAAAAAAAAAAAAAAGCAAGGTGTGGTGGTGCATGCCTGTAATCCTAGCTACTTGGGAGGCTGAGGTGGGAGGATCGCTTGAACCTGGGAGGCAGAGGTAGCAGTGAGCTGAGATCATGCCACTGCACTCCAGTCTAGACGACAGAGTGAGACTCTGTCTCAAAAAAAAAAAAAATCTGAAATCTGATTCATGAAAGTAAAATATTTTGACATGTAGAGACATTATTAACTCATATTGTTCAGCCTTTTTGTATTTTGGTAGTTGCCTACAACAAAGATTTTCCTCAAATTTTAGTAACTTAGCATCTCTGTTAAGATTGTATGGTTTAGTCTATAATTAGGTGCTAATCACAACACCTAACTCCTGTGAAATTTCATAAAAGCAGCAAACCATCTTATTTTTTAACAGATTTTATGATAAGGACTTCACTAAGTATCTGTCGAATTGCCTTTTAGCTTTTATTTTCTTTTTAATTCGTTTATTTTTCTTTACTTTCCTTGACCTTAGTAAGGGTTCTGTCTTAAAAGAGAAAGTCATAAAGGGAAAAAGAAAAGGATTGAGGAGTGGGGAGAAATTATGTGCCTTTGTGTTGATGATTAGAGTAGTTTGGAATAGGTGAACAGTTATGAGTCTCTAGAGTTATTTTAGAGGTAGCTGACTAAGGTATTCCCCATGCTGTTCTTCCACACTGAGTCATTGCAGGCCCCTGGAGCCTGAATCCTTTCACAGAAACTATTAGATAGGAGAAGTGGAAGAAATGTAACATAACAGTAAAAGTAACAAAACACCAGATTTTCAAAAGTTAAATTTGAATAATCTATGGATTAATCTATATAAACACATATATATATAATGCATATATCTGTCTTTTAATCGATAAGACTAACCTCATTGACTTAAATTGAAGCAAAAACATATGTAGTCCATCTTTTGATATTGGTAGGGTTACTAAATGAATTACCAATGTTTGTAGAATATTCATGAATTTCTTAGTAGTCATTTGAGACATTTTAATGTGATTCAAGAAAAATTAAGACTTAATGATATGCCGCTAATATTAAATTTTTCTGTTTTTCTAGGTGCATCCAAATGAACTAACAAATGGTGTCATAAATGCAGCATTTATGCTTCTTTTCAAAGATCTTATCAAACTTTTTGCTTGCTACAATGATGGTGTTATTAACTTACTCGGTAGGTGGAACAACCGAAACATGTCTGGGCTGATGGGATACACAGTAAGATTGATGAATTCTGTGGGGTGAGTCTGTTGTCTCACTTGGTGGGCAATATTGTGTGGAATATCATGATAGTGAGTAAGTCCACAGATGGTGGTACTGGCAGAACGATATGGGCAGAGATGGTAAATCCATATCTAGGGTAACTGGGTGCTAATCATAGTGTAGACAGATTGCTGCTAACCACCCCTAGTAAAAGGAATTAATCCTCAACCTGTTACTTGGTGGATGGCTGGTGTCCCTGGCCTATCGTGTTATGATGAAAGCTCAGTGTTGATCCAGGGTGTTGGCCAACTGAGGACTCAGCAGTGATGATAGGCATATAAGCCTTGGCGATGGGAAGCCTATGCTGTTTAGCCTATTCATAACCTCCATTTCTGATATATACCCACTTCCTATAGAGTTCTCTTAGCCGCCCTCTGATTAGAAAGAGCCTTTTTGTGGGATATGCCCTTTGGTTTTTATTCAAATGGGATGAATATAGTCTCATGCTCTCTATCCATTATGAGAGGTCCATCCATCACCTTTTCTCCAGAACTCCTTGTCACCAATCCTCCAGTTTTATTTTTTTCAAGTACCTTATCATCCAGGCCAACAGTTAGTTGCTACACATAATTTGGTGTAGTTCAATGTTTCTTACCATTTTTCCTTTACCATAAAGTGGAAAATTAGATAGATATATTACTGGAAATTTGACTCACTGTGAAGATTTCTTTCTTTGTCAAGGCCATCCCTTTGTGGGGATATTATTCAGCTTTTCACTTCCAGGTGGTGCCAACATGAGGAACCATCTCTAAACCAAATTTGAATGTTTTCTTCCTCAGTCAGCTGGTGATAGGGAACTCCCCCAGAGTCCATGGGTATAATTTGAGGGAGAAATGGGAAAGAAAAAGAGTAGATGCACTGGGAATATGAACCATCTGTTCATACAATCTACCTGCTTATTCACAACCTGCTTGAGGCTTATCTCTTATAGACTGCTTCTTTTGATAATGGAGTATGATTGCACTTGTTCAACTTTATTATTTGGTACATTAGATAACACCCACTTTAGGTCTGATGATCACTTGATGTTCTTTGGTCAAAATTTAAGTCTCTAAAAGTAAAAGGTAGGTAAAAATAAACCAAGGTAAACTGAGGTAAAAGTAAACCAAGAGCATTTTTTCCAAAGGAGATTAGCTAATGTGTGAAGAAGACATAGCCCTACTCCAAAGCACTGGAGGCCTGTATTGGAGTGTACCAGAGGTACTCTACAGCATTTGAATCTGCTGTACACACTTTAAGTACCTTTAGATCTGCTGAAACAGAGCCCCACGTGGCATCAGTTTGGAGAAGTTGCAGAGTCTTCCCTTAATCTGAGCCTGACTCATATGTGACACTATACCAGATGCTTTGCTTAGAGCAGCACATACACATGTCCTCTATGTTGCCACCAAAGCAGCTTAGCAGACTTCTGCCTCTTTTTAGTTACAAAGAGTGCAAGGTACAAAATTTCTCTTTTACACGGCAAGGATTTCTCTGAAATGCACAGTCTTTGGGGCCCTTAGAAACTTCATTGAGGTGACTGGTCTCTGAATTTTCATGGATTCTCCCATACTTTGACATGCATGTGACTTATCAAGGCAGCTAAGATACCGTCAGTTCTTGCCCACTAAATACATTCAGCCTTATGTCATCAAAATGATATCCTATGGGAGTATGACAGCCAAAGAGGTTGATATCCCTGAAATAAGACAGTGAGGCTTTAATGGCATCTCTGCTAGATGACAGAAAACTACTTCTGATGGTTTCTGTTTATTGAGGTAGAGATAAATCATTACCTAGTTCTGTAGCTGCCTATGAGGTACCAGGAGCTACATTGATTTTCTTCTGGTAAATGAGGATATATCTGGAAACCTGCACATTAGCAGTTATCATCTGATTAAGTTTATAATCTACTGTTAACCTCTCAAATACATACATCTTTTCATAAAACAAATATGCGAGTATACTGAGAATGTGATGGAATTTCTACCCCCGTATCTTTGCAGAAGTCAGAAAAACAGTGTGGATTCTGCTAGTTTTGAAGTATATCTACTCAAACTATGCATTCAGAAAACTGAGGATATAACCACAGATAGTCTTGTGCATTCACTGGATCTAATTTCCTTTTGTAACTTAATCCCCATAAAGCCTCCACTCAGATAGCTAAAACATATAGTGACATTTTGGGTCCCCAAGGAGTAGAATGAGCTTAGAGTCAGTGTCCTTGAAAAGTCTGGGTAGGTAAATCTGACTTCCGGTTTCCAGTTCCACATGGAAGGAGCTTAGAAGTCACCAATATGTCCTAAAAATAAGTACAAAGCTGAACAGACTGAAAAATCAACAGCTCTTCTGGGATCCACAAGAGAGGGGAGGACATAGGGCAAACCTCTGCCCCCAAGATTGGAGAGACAGACAAATACAAGGAGTCATGGATTACTGGAACAGAGACTCACGAGTGGAAGCTGCCATAGGAACTACTGTTGAAGTAGGAAGATCTGAACTGTGATTAATGAATTGTTGGATGCTCAGTGTGGCCAAGTCTGAGAATTAAAAACTCCAAGGGAACCCAGTCATAGAGAGCACCACACTTTTGTTTTACCTCCAGGAGCTCAACTAGGCTCCTATAGTAAATATTAGGGAAAAATCTCCTTGTGCTTCCAGGACGGGGAGGAGAAAAGGAACCATTTTGAAATATGCCAGAGCACTCTTGTCCTTAAGAAGGAGCAACTACTTAACCAGAGCTTTACCTGATGTGCTGAGATTTTATCAGAGCCTAACTGGACTGGGGCAAGAGAAATACCCAACTCCAGCCCACTACATCTATTTTGTCCAAGAGGAAAAACCAAGAAGCATTTGTGAAGTTCACAGTCCAGAGGCATAGACTCACTAAAAAGTGAGACCTAAACACAGGACTATGGAACACTTCCCCTCTCCGCACCTTAACACTACATTAATAAAGACCTATTTACAGCAGTTCCTTTTACCTGGTACATCATGTACAGCTATCAAGAAAAAATTACAAGTCATACTAAATGACAGAAAAACATTCAAAAAGACAGAGCAAGCATCAGAACCCGACATGGCAGGGATGAAGGAATGATCAGACTGGGGATTTAAAGCAATTATGATTAATAGGCTAAGGGCTCCAATGGATAAAATAGGCAGCATGCAAGAACAGATAGGCAATGTAAGCAGAGAGATGGAAATCCTAAAAAAGAACTAAAAAGAAGTACTAGAGGGCAAAACCACTTTGGGATTATTAGCAAACAGGACATGGCTGAGGAAACAATCTTTAAGCTTACAGATATATCAATAGAAACCTCCAAAACTACAAAGCAAAGAGAACAAAGACTAAAAACAAGACAAAAACGGCAGAACAGAATAAGACTGTGGGACAACACAAACAACTAAAAACAAAACAAACATCAGAACAGAATAAGACTGTGGGACAGCAACAAAAGGTGTCATATATGTATAATGGAATACCAGAAGGAAAAGAGAGAAAGGGACAAAATATTTGAAATAATAACGACAGAGAATTTTCCCAAATTAATGTCAGACATCAAACCACATATCCAGGAAGCTCAGAGAACACCAAGTAGGAAATGCCCCCGAAACTACCTTAAGGCATATAATTTTCAAACTATTGAAAATCAAAGATGAATAAATAAATCATGAAAAAGCCAGAGGGAGAAAACACCTTGTCTGTGGAGGAGCAAAAATAAGAATTTTGTATGACTTCACTTCACAAACCATGCAAACAAGAAGTGAATGGAGTGAAATGTTTAGTGCTGAGACAACCCACTTAACCTAGAATTCTTTACCCTGTGAAATAGTCCTTTAAAAGTGAAAGAGAAGACTTTCTCAGTCAAACACAACTGGAAAGAATTTATTGCCAGTAGATCTGCATTTGCGAAAAATG
This sequence comes from Homo sapiens, assembly GCF_000001405.40. Taxonomy (NCBI): domain Eukaryota; kingdom Metazoa; phylum Chordata; class Mammalia; order Primates; family Hominidae; genus Homo; species Homo sapiens. Next base: position 83,652,763 of record NC_000006.12, on the reverse strand, counting down.
CTAAAAGAAGTTTTGTAGGGAGAAGGAAAATTATATGGGTCATAAACTTGGGTTTACATAAAGAAAGGAAGAATATCAAAAGAAGAGTGAGTGAAGGTAAAATAAAAACTTTTATTTCCCTGATTCTTAGTTGATCTGACAGACAACAGTTTGTTCAAAATAATGATAGCAATAATATATGTTTATGTATTTATAAAGCATATACCTATATGCTTATATATAGGTGAAATGAATGACAGCAGTAATACAAGGGATAGTAGGGAGGAATTCAGATGTTTTGTTGTTATACTCACACTATCAATGAAGCATTATGGTGTTATTTGAAAGTGGCCTTGGATTAGTTGTAAATGTACATAGCAAACTCTATGGGAACCACTAAAAAAGTAAAAAAGAAGTGTAATTGATATGCTAAGAAAGGAGAGAAAATGGAATCTTATAAAGTGCTCATTTAAAACCACAAAGGGTAGAAAAGAGTGGAAGACAAAAATAGGAACAAAGAACAAAGGCAATAAATAGAAAATAGTAACAAATATGGTAGATACTAATCCAGCTATACCAAAAATCACTTTAACCTCAATGGTCTAAATGCATCAATTAAGACAGAGATTACCAGAGTAGATCTAAAAACAAGACCCAACTATATGTTGTCTATAGGAAATCTACTTTAAATATAAAGACACACATAAATTAAGAGTAGAGAGATGGAGAAAAATACACCATGCTAACACTAATCAAAATAAAGCAAGAGTAGTTATATTAATTTCCAGACATGGCAGATGATAAAGGGGTCAATTTTTTCAAACAGATGCAACAGTCCTTAATGCATATGCACCTAACAGCAGACAATCAACAAATATGTGTGGCAAAAACTGCTAGAACTGCAAGGAGAAATAGATGAGTCTACTGGTAGATTTGGATCTTCAACCTCCTCTATCAGTAATGGACAGATTCAGGAGGCAGAAAATCAGTACAGATGAAGTTGAACTCAACAACACCATCAACTAGATATAATGGACATATATCTATATAGACTACTTGACCTAAAAAGAGCAGAATGCACATTCTTCTCAAGCTTGCATAGAACATTCACCAGTAGAGACCACAATCTGAACCATAAAACACATCTTGACAAATTTAAAATAATAGGAATCATACAACCATCTGCTCTCAGACCACAATGGAATTAAACTAAAAATAATAACAAAAGTAACTGGAAAATCTCAGAATAGGTGGAGATTAAACACACTTCTAAATAACACATGGGTCAAAGAAGAAAGCTCAAGAGAAATGTAAGAATATTTTGAACTAAATGATGCTGAAAATACACCTTATCAAAATGTATAGGATGCATTGAAAGCAGTGCTTATACGGAAATTTGTAGTATCAAATGCATATACTAGAAAAGAAGAAAGATCTAAAATCAGTCACCTAAGCTTCCACCTTGGGAAACAAGAAAAAGAAAATTATTCAAAGTAAATGGAAGAAAATAAATAATAAGAATTAGAGCGTAAATCAATGAAATTGAAAACAGGAAATCAATAGAAAAAAATGATGAAACCAAAAGCTGGTTCTTTGAAAAGATCAATAAAATCAATAAGTCTCTAGCCAGACAAAGAAAAAAAAGAGGACACAAATTACTGATAACAGAAATTAAAGAGGGGAGACCACTACAGATCTTATGGATGTTAAAAAGATAAGAGAATATTATGAACAGCTGTATGCCCACAAATTTGATAATCAAATGAAATGGACCAACTCCTTGAAAGATACAGTCTATCTAAACTCATACAAGAAGAAATAGACAACCTGGATAGGCCTCTATCTATTAAAGATACTTAGTCAATAATTAATAACCTTTGAAAACAAAAACCATCAGGCCCACATGGGTTTACTGGTGAATTCTACCAAGCATTTAAGTGAGAAATTATACCAATTCTTTACAATCTCTTCCAGAAGATAGAAATAGAGAAGATTCTTCTTAACTCCTTTTATGAGGCCAGCATTACCTTAACCTCAAAACCAAAGACATTACAAGAAAAGGAAAGTGGCCAGGCGCAATGGCTCATGCCTGTAATCCCAGCACTTTGGGATGCCAAGGGGGATGGATCACTTGAAGTCAGGGGTTCGAGACCAGCCTGGCCAAGATGGTGAAACCCCATCTCTACTAAAAATACAAAAATTAGCTGGGTGTGGTGGTGGGCACCTGTAATCCCAGCTACTCAGGAGGCTGAGGCAAGAGAATTGCTTGAACCAGGAGGTGGAGGTTGCAGTGAGCTGAGATTGTGCCACTGCACTCCAGCCTGGGCAACAGAGTGAGACTCCATCTCAAAAAAAATTAATTTGACTATTAGATTACCAAGCCAGGCTATTAAATAGCTAATATTCTCAGATCTGCCTGTATCTTGTATTATGTCCTGAACCATTCATTCAGTCTCCTAGCCTTCTGCTTCAATATTCATAAAACAACTGAGGTAAATTAGCTAATGTCTTAGATGTCTTCCAACATTAATGTCCGAAGATTTTATTAACTATTGCAATTGCAAATTGAAAATGCAAACTACAGAAAGTACATTATTAGAATTAATACCATGATTTGAATTTTTCATTTATGTATTTTTAATAACCTTTTGCTGTAGGCTTGACTTAAAAAATTCAGTTTGCTTTTGAAATATAACCATGAATAATATTCATCTGGAAAAGAAAGTAGAACTCGTAATGCCAGCTATGGGGTAAAAAAAAAAAATCTTCAACAAATTATAGTAGAACAACTGGATATCCACATGGGAAAGAAATGAACTTTGAACTTTATCTCAATTAGTTGTTCAAAATATACCTACAAATTCTTTGATACTCATCCCCTAAAAAGGTATGAATTGGCTGGGCGTGGTGGCTCACGCCTGTAATCCCAACACTTTGGGAGGCCAAGGTGGGCAGATCACTTGAGGTCAGGAATTCAAGACCAGCCTGGCCAACCTGGTGAAACCCCATCTCTACTAAAAATAACGAAAAAAAAAAAAAAGCCAGGCATGGTGGCTCATGTCTATAGTCCCAGCTACTAGGGAGGCTAAGGCAGGAGAATCACTTGAGCTGGGAGGCAGAGGTTGCAGTGAGCCAAGATTATACTGCTGCACTCCAGCCTGGGCAACAAAGGGAGATTTCACCTCAAAAACAAACAAACAAACAAACAAAAAAGGTATGAACTAACTCCTATCACCTTCAATGTGAGATGGACTTAGAGACACTTCTAATGAATAGAATGAAGCTGAAGCAATGGTGTGAAGCTTTGACACTAAGTTGTAAGAGACACCTTGATTTCTTCCTCACTAGTTCTTGCTTAGATCATTTGCTCTAGGGAAAGCCAGCAGTAAAGTTGTGAGGACACTCAGACAGCCTGTAGAGAGTTCCATACAACAAGAAACTGAGACCTTCTGTCAACAGGTATGTGAGTGAGCCACCCTGCAAGCAGAACCTTTGGCCCCAGACCACTGAGGGCTACAGGCATGGCCAGCAGTTTGACTATAACTTCATGAGGTCCTGAGCCAGAATCATCCAGCTAAGCCACTTCCAAATTCATGACTTATAAGCTGTGTGAGACCAGAAATTTATTTGTTGCTTTAACTGCTAAATTTTGGAGTAATTTGTTATTCAGTAGTAAATAATATGCCTCACAGCAGGCCTAGAAGTGAAATCAAAAGAATTATTGGCCTAAATATAAAAGTTAAAACTAAAAAGCTTCTAGAAGAAAACAAGGACTAGGCAAAGATTTCTTAATTAAAATACAGAAAACATGAACTATAAAAGAGAAAGTTAACAAATTGGACTTCATCAAAATTACTCATGCTCCTCAAAAGACATCATTAAGAATGAAAATACAAGTCACAGAGGAGGAGAAAGTATATGTATTTATGTTTTAGGGATGCCTATCAAGAACAAATAAAAGAACTCAGTAATGAAGACAACTCGATTTTTATAATGTACAAAAGATTTGAACAGACACTACAAAAGAAGATATAAAATGGCTAATAAGCATATAAAAATTATCAATGTCATCAGTTACTGAGGAAATGTAAACTAAAATCACAGTGAGATACCTCTTGGACCTACTAGACTCAACTAAAATTAAAACTACTGATGGTATCAAGTATTAGTGAAGATGTACAGTAACTGGAACTCCTATACACATCTGATAGAAATGTAAAATGGTAAAACGTCAAATGATTTTACCATTTTACATTTACTGTTTTCCTTAAAAAGAAACATACACCTAACTTATGACCCACTAGGATCATATCCTGGATGCTTACCCAAGAGAAATAAGAACCAGTATCCATACAAGGACTAGCACATGAATGTTCAAAAATGTTCATAATAGAAAAAAAAAACCATAAAGAAACTAAATATTCATTAATAGGTACATAGATAAACAAAAGATGTATTCATATTATACAATGCTATTCAACAATAAAAAGGAATTAACTGTTACATTTATGTAATAACATAAATGAATTTCAAAATCATTAGGTTCAAAGAAGCCAAAGAAAAGAGAGTGTGTAATGTATGGCTATTTACATAAAATTTTAGAAAATGCAAACTAACTTACAGTGACAGAAAAGAGACTAGTGGTTACCCATGGTTCAGAGTGGAGGAAGGAATGAACTGCAAAGGGACACAAGAAATTTTTTGAGAGTAATAAAAATGTTCTGTACTGCTGTGGTTTTAATGCTCCCTCCAAAACTCATATTGGAATTTAATTGGCATTGTGATAGTATTAAGAGGTGAAACTTTTAAGAGGTGACTTTTGTCAGGCATGCACTCTCTCACCACGTGATACCTTCTGACATGTTATGATGCAGCAAGAAGGCCCTTATTAGATACAGCCCCTTGATCTTGGACTTCCAGCCACAAGAACTGTGAGCCAAATACATCTTTCTTTACAAGTTATCTGGTGTGTGGTATTCCATGATAGCAGCAGAAAATGGACTGACATGTACCTTGCTTGTGACAGTAATTGATGTTGCATATAACTGTCAAGACACATAAAATCTACACCTTAAATGAATGTAATATATTATATATAAATAACATCTCAGTAGATTTTATTTAAAATTAAAAAAGAAAAGGAAATTACAGACCAATATCTCTCATGAACATAGTTGAAAAATCCTCGATGAAATATTAGCAAATTAAATCCAACAATGTATAAAAAGAATTATAAACCATGACCAAGGGGATTTACCCAGGTATGCAAAGCTGGTTCAACATTTGAAAATCAATTAATGTAATCTGCCACATCAATAAGCTAAAAGAGAAAAATCATATCAGTAGATAAAAGAAAAACATTTGATGAAATCCAACACCCATTCATGACAAAAATTATCAGTGAACTAAGAATAGATGGGGAACTTCATCAACTTGATGAAGAATATGTACAAAAAACTTAATAGCTAACATCATATTTAATGGTGAAAAAGCTAGAAGCTTTCCCAGTAAGATCAGGAGGAAGGCAAAGTGTCTCCTCTCACTACTGCTTTTCACCATCCTACTGGAAGTTCTAGCTAATGCAGTAAGACAAGAAACGGAGATGAAAGGTATACAGATTTGGGATGGAGCAATAAGACTTCTTTGTTCCCAGATTATATGACCATCTATTGTAGAAAATCCAAAAGAATCGACAAAAAAAAAAAACTCCTGGAACTAATAAGCAATTATAGCAAGGTTGCAAGAAAAAATGGTTAATGTACAAAAGTCAGTGGCTTTCTGATATACTAGCAATGAACAAGCAGAATTTGAAATTAAAAACACAATGCCATTAACATCAGCACTCCCTAAAATGAAATACTTAGGTATAAACTTAACAAAATGTCTCTAAGATCTATATGAGGAAAACTATAAAACTCTTATGAAAGAAATCAAACAACTAATAAATGGAGAGATGTTCCATGTTCATGGATAAGAAGGTTCAATACTGTGAATATGTCAGTTCTTTCCAACATGATCTATAGATTCATTGCAATAGTATTCAGTATTTCAGCAAGTAACTGTGGATATTGACAAACTGATTCTAATCAGGTAAAAGACCCAGAATAGCCAACACAATATTGTTGAAGAAGAACAAAGTTGAAGGACTGACCTATCCCACTTTAAAACCTACTGTAATACTACAGTAATCAAGATATTGTGGTATTGGCAAAAGAATAGACAAATAGATCAGTGGAACAGAATAGAGAGCCCAGAAATCAATCCACATTAATATAACCTGATCTATAATAAAGGAGCAAAGATAATCTTTTGAACAAATGGTGCTGGAACAACTGGACGTGCATACACCAAAAAAATTAATCTGGACACAGACCTTATACCCTTTACAAATATTAACTCAAAATGGATCACAGACCTAAATGTAAAATGCAAAACTATAAACATCCTGGAAGGTAACATAGGAGAAAACCTAAATGACCTTGGATATGATGGTGACTTTTTAGATACAACATCAGAGGTGTGATCCATGGAAGAAATAATTGAAGAGCTGGACTTTATTAAAATTAAAAACTTCTGCTCCATGAAAGACAGTGTCAAGAAAAAGAGTAAGATGTGCCACACACTGGAAGACAATATTTGCAAAAACCACATCTGATAAAGGACTGTTGTCCAAAATATACAAAGAACTCTTAGAACTAAAAAATAATAAAACAACCCAATTAAAAATGGGCTAAAAACTTTGATACCTCACCAACAAAGATATGCAGATATTATTCCGTGCTAAAAGGAAATGCAATATCAATCCATGAAAAGGCGTGAAGGAATCTTAAATGCATATTACTAAGTGAAACCAGTCTGAAAAGGCATGTTTTCAGCTCTCTGACATTCTACAAAAGGCAAAGCTATGAAGACAGTAAAAAAGATCATTGGTGTTTAGTGGAGGTCTTATTCTGTCTCCCAGACTGGAGTGCAGTGGCACGAACACAGCTCACTGCAGCCTTGACCTCCTGGGCTCAAGTGATCCTCCTGCCTCAGCCTCCCGAGTAGCTGGGATTACAGACACGCACCACCACTCCTGGCTAATTTTTGAATTTTTTTTTTGTAGACATAGGGGCTTGCTATGTTGCCCAAGCTGGTCTCAAACTCCTGGGTTCAAGCAGTCTTCCCACCTCAGCCTCCCACAGTACTGGGATTATAAGCATGAGCCACCATACCTGGCCAGATTTTTAGGACAGTGAAAATACTCCGTATGATACTAAAATGGTGGATTCATGTCATTATACATTTGTCCAAACCCATAGAATGTACAACACCAAGAGTGAACAGTAATGTATGCTATGGACTTGGGGTGATAATGATGTTCAATGTAGGTTCATCACTTGGAACTAATATGGCACTCTTTTCAGAGGTGTTGATAATAGGGGAGGCTGTGCGTGTTTAGGATCAGGGATAATATGGGAAATCTCTGTAACTTCTGTTTAATTTTGTTGTGAACCTAAAACTACTCTTTAAAAAAGTATTTTTCTAAAAAAAAAAAAGTCAGGATATATCCCTTTACCCTGTGCATAGTCACTATGGTAAAGGTCCATTTGCAGAAGACAAGGAAAAAGTACTTTAAGCAGTGTTCAAGGACTTTCCTCAAGAATATCTGGAGAACTTGTTAAAGCTCAGGTTGCTGAACCTGTTACCCAGAGTTTCTAATTAGTAAGTCTGAGGTGGGGCTTGAGAATTTGCGTTCCTAATAAGGGCCAAAGTCATGCTGTTCCTGGTGGTTTGGGGACTTTAGTTTGGGAATCATTGTATTAGAACCACTCCCAGATGCTCAGACTAGCATTTTGAATTTACATATTTTGGCGTATTCACCTAATTTGATAAATTTTGAGGCAGGTGTATTTTTCATTTGTTTACCTGATAGTGCTAGGAGTTAACCTTATGAATATGTTGTGGGTTAATTTTAGTCAAGGATTTCGTGACCAATACTTTACACCTAATGTTGGAATCAATATTGGTGCTATAAATCTTCACAAATGCTTTATTGCTATAATGAAACTCTGACTTGTAAGTAAGCTGTCTCCCTGACTAATGGTCATTAGTAACAGCTTATGTAGAAACTCTCAGTTTGTCTCTCAGAGATGATAATTTTTTTCATTTGGTTTCTTTCCTAGGACAATTATCCTTCAAAAGTTAATACTAGTATGACAAGGGTAATTTATCACAGCTTTACAAAGGTTCATGTCACAAACATGAAATTTGATCATTTCAAATATTGAAAGTTAACATATGTTACCTTTACTGTGAAAGAAAGGTAGAGGCTCATTTTTGGATGACCAATCCCCTCTTTAAAAGTGCCAGTTTTTTTAGGCCCTGCACTGGTCTGGACAGGGGAGTCTCATTAGCTGTGCCTGTGTCAGTGAAATAGAACATGTTGCCTTTCTGTGTCAATGCTACTATTATAGAAACAATTATGAGATTATGACCTAAATCCACAATGATCGAGTGCTTTTTATTGCTGAGTCCTAAATTATCATGAAGGATACAAACAATTTTAAAAGTATCCAGAGGAGACAGAAAAAAAAATTGGTTAAAATTTTGGTCACTGGTTCTAAAAGGAAATTGAGATATTCAGCTTGATTTTTCTTTTTGTATTATTGCTGAAGATCAGATGCAAAGATATAAACTCAGATTATACTAAAGAGAAGTAATTTGGATATTTGAAAGAAGTTTTTTATATGAAGATTGTTGTAGAAAGAGAGAACAAAAAGTATGTTTTGCCAGAATAAATCCTTATTTTCAAATTTCTTAACAAGAAAAGACTTTCGTCTTATAGCACCGTGAGTTTATCCATTGCATTAGAAAACAGGACAGAGTGGATAAAGAAAGTATCCTTAGATTTGGTCATTTTTTAAAAGACTGTCTTTTCTCTAAACTCCTAGCAAGTAGGAAACAGTATGTGTCTGTTTTCTTGATCTTTTTGCTTCCCTTAAATACCCTACAGGGGAGGTCCATGTAAAAAGTTAAAATTACCCAAAGACTGTCAACAGAAGGTAATGAAGTGTAACTGCTCTTGATAATTAGTTCTTTGTGTAATTATATATTACTAAACTTCCCTTAAGAAAATTAAAAATACTTCTGAGGTAGTAAAATTACATGCTGAATGAAATAACTCTCAAGTATGAGACAATATTAAAATAGCATATGTAACCAAAACAACATGGTACCGGTATCAAAACAGAGATATAGACCAATGGAACAGAACAGAGCCCTCAGAAATAATACCACACATCTACAACTATCTGATCTTTGACAAACCTGACAAAAACAAGAAATGGGAAAAGGATTCCCTGTATAACAAATGGTGCTAGGAAAACTGGCTAGCCATATGTAGAAAGCTGAAACTGGAACCCTTCCTTACACCTTATACAAAAATTAATTCAAGATGGATTAAAGACTTAAATGTTAGACCTAAAACCATAAACACCCTAGAAGAAAACCTAGGCAATACCATTCAGGACATAGGCATGGGCAAGGACTTCATGTGTAAAACACCAAAAGCAATGGCAACAAAAGCCAAAATTGACAAATGGGATCTAATTAAACTAAAGAGCTTCTGCACAGCAAAAGAAACTACCATCAGAGTGAATAGGCAACCTACAAAATGGGAGAAAATTTTTGCAACCTACTCATCTGACAAAGGGCTAATATCCAGAATCTACAAAGAACTCAAACAAATTTACAAGAAAAAAACAAAAACACCATCAAAAAGTGGGAAAAGGATATGAACAGACACTTCTCAAAAGAAGACGTTTATGCAGCCAACAGACACATGAAAAAATGCTCATCATCACTGGCCATCAAAGAAATGCAAATCAAAACCACAATGAGATACCATCTTACACCAGTTAGAATGGCGATCGTTAAAAAGTCAGGAAACAACAGGTGCTGGAGAGGATGTGGAGAAATAGGAACACTTTTACACTGTTGATGGGACTGTAAACTAGTTCAACCATTGTGGAAGACAGTGTGGCAATTCCTCAGGGATCTAGAACTAGAAATACCATTTGACTCAGCCATCCCATTACTGGGTATATACCCAAAGGATTATAAATCATGCTGCTATAAAAGCACATGCACACGTATGTTTATGGTGGCACTGTTCACAGTAGCAAAGACTTGGAACCAACCCAAATGTCCAACAATGATAGACTGGATTAAGAAAATGTGGCACATATACACTGTGGAATACTATGCAGTGATAAAAAATGATGAGTTCATGTCCTTTGTAGGGACATGGATGAAGCTGGAAACCATCATTCTCAGCAAACTATTGCAACGACAGAAAACCAAACACTGCATGTTCTCACTCATAGGTGGGAATCGAACAATGAGAACACTTGGACACAGGAAGGGGAACATCACACACCAGGGCCTGTTGTGGGGTGAGGGGAGGTGGGAGGGATAGCATTAGGAGATATACCTAATGTAAATGATGAGTTAATGGGTGCAGCACACCAACATGGCACATGTATACATATGTAACAAACCTGCACGTTGTGCATATGCACCCTAGAACTTAAAATATAATAAATATATATATAAATTAAAAAAAGAATACTGAAAAAATAGCATATTTTAAACCATGTGCAAATATAAAATAATGAACTTATAAAGAAGATGCTAGGCCATCAGGTATAAACCAGAGTTGCCTGGGAACTACTGTAGGCAGACATGGCCTGCTGTGTCTCCATCTGCAGTGTCAATAATTATTGACTGAATGATCAATGAATAACTGATTAAAACACTGATGAAGTACTGGTTTTCTTCAAAGCATGTATGGAAAAATTATACTCTCATATTGCAAGGGTAATGGAGCTGTAGTTCCCTAATGACAGCATTCTAGTCTTGAGAGTGTGAAAGAGAACAGCAAAATAAGCTTCTGTTTTTCTGTCTAGAAAGCTAAAGGTTGAGAAAGAGAGCATAAATAGACTAGAAAGTCATGAAGAATATAGTAAAACAAATTTTTTCACAAAAGTCTACTGTTTTATAAATAAAAGCCACATCATGATGTTTGAAAGAAATAATTTATGACCAATAAAAGCAAGTATCAACTTAGTGTAGAAAACTTAAAGAATTCTTTAATTCAGGAAGGTTTATTGATTATTGTCTTATAATTTATAGATTATTAGTTTATTGCGAGCTAATAAGAAAATAAGGATTCTGTAGAATGCAGTCATAAATTTTGAGATTATCCTTAGGAAGAATTTGCTGCTGTTTTCCAAGACAGGATATTGGATATGGAACATGAATTTAGCCAGTTGTGGCAATTCATATATTCTTCTACTTTAGTTCTGTTTTCATTATTTAAATTGTTTTATTTGAGACAGATGATTATCTTGGAACATAACACTTTTCTTAATCTATTCAGGTTCCCTTTGTTTAGGTGCCTTAATACCTCATATAAGTTTTACTGCCAAGTGTTTTGATTCAAACATTAATTAAGTTTTGAGTAGTAATCTTAACATAAGCTTAGAAAAAAATAGAACATAATACTCTTTTCAAATTGCTTATCTCTTTATCTTCTCTAGAAAAGTTTTTTGAAATGAAGAAAGGACAATGTAAAGATGCTCTAGAAATTTACAAACGATTTCTAACTAGAATGACACGAGTGTCTGAATTTCTCAAGGTTGCAGAGGTAAGTAATATTAAGTTTTCTTGGGAATATAATTTTTTAAATATTTGCTCATGTATCTGGAGTATATATAATAGAAGGTGTAAGAGAGTCACAGTATATTAGGGTTGGAAGTGCCTCGGAGTCACAGTATATTAAGGTTGGAAGTGACTTTGGAAGTCGTGTCATCCAACTTCTCACTCAGAGCTGTACTCTGTACTCCTGCATCCTAATCAGATGATCATTCTGCATTCAAATAAAAGTTTCATGGATAATAAGCTCATTTGCTGCTTTGCAAGGTGGTCCATTCCTCCATTCCACCTAATAGCTATCTTTAATTGTTAGAAAATCCTTTATTTTCATTGAACCTTAGGTTTGCCTTTAGAAAAGCCTGTTTATTATTCTTAGCATGTAAATGATAAATCATAAATTCTTACCTTTCTTACTTTGGCAATGATTTATACACAATGAAAAATAAGACAGAAAGCATAATTTGTTTTATAAAGTTTATAAATTCTTTCTTCAGAATGTGTCTTTATACTTGATTAGAATACCTGTGTAACTATGCAGTTGGTGTTCCTGAAATTATTTGTGAATTGGTATTTTCTCTTATAAAATCCAATTAATGATTCATGCTGATATTGGAAATTATAACATTGTTATTATAGTCCTTTGGAAGAATGACAAGTGTATTTTTATCTTACATGTCAATTAACTGATTACTAGGAACTGATTGGAATGTTGTATGAAAGAGGTTCTAAGGCTCAGCAGCAAACCATACAATGCTGTGGATGTGGGACATTCATGCCATGTTTTTGCTGTTTTTGTCATTTTGAGAATATACTGCATAAACAAGCATTTTATACACACGATTTAAGAAGTACTCTAGTCCATGCATTGTGTTTAAAATCTTTTATTCATAGAAGTAATAATTGTCACATGAAAATTCTGGGACCAAAATAATATCACAAAATGCTGATTCTTGAACTTTCACCCATACAACATGTAGTTAGAATAAAAATCTTTTTTAAATATAAGGGAAACAAAAGATAAAGATTAGCTTATGTAAATTGTATATACATTAAAGCACATTCACGTTTCTTTCCTCATGGGTTTATCAGTGTTGGTAGTCTTTAAGAAATGATAGAATTGCTTAAAATTTTTTCTTTTGCTGCTATACAGGTGTTTTTTGTATTTGGTATGATTTTGCCATGGTTTAACCGTAATTATCAGCCTAATCTAGTAAAATTTGCCTAATTTCTTTCTGTGAAAAGATAAATTATGCCTGAGTACGGAGAACAGATTATTTTGTTTCATTAAATCTTGGTGTACATTCATCCCAGTTTCTCATTTGTTATTGTATGTAAGTAAGGAGCTGGCATGTGGCAGTCTGGGGTATACACTTCTCTAATCAGCATTACAAGGCTGGGCTCATGATTCCCATGAGAAAAGTTCTACTTATGTGTCAATTCCTTCTGTTTTAACATGTAAAATTTTACTTTTTGTCTGTTGATACCTCATGTTAGCACAAGCCCACCTGAGGCCATTAAGAAAGAGATCTGCAAAAATCAGATATCATTGTAAGAGTCTGTCTTTAAATAACTGGATAATAAATTTAAAAATTATTTTTATTTGAACATTATGATTAAGACTTTTTCATAGAATGAATACTAATTTACAAAATTATTTTTAATAGAGTAAACATTAAATCACAATGGGACAACCATAACCATTTGTGTTTTCTTTCACATTTAAATCACATTGTTCATAATTTGGACACACAATGTTTGAATACCAGTGTTGAGTGGTTTTGTTATGATTGGTTAATATAGAAATTTTTCAACCAATGTACAAATCTCTCTCTACTGTATAGTACTCATGTGGTCGATGTATGGATTCATACTCAATAGCTATCCCATAGTTAGTAACATTTACCTGAAGAGTCTCAGGAAGACTTCTAGAATATGATTTTCAAAATACAACTTTATATATTGGTTATTTGGGAAATAGTAACAGTAAGTTGCTCATTGTATTAAAGAAAAGGTAAAGTAGTTGAACAAGTTCTATGGAACTATTCAAATTTCTTAAATTGCTTGAAGTACAGAAAACTTACTATGCCTTATATTCTTATCTGAAGTCTCCTATGGCAGACAAGTAAAACTTGGTAAAATAATTTTTACTGGTAAGATATATTTCTGCTAAATACTCTTCTCTTTCATAGAACCAAGTTATTCTTAGTTTTCTATTCTAAGGTAGATATCGGAATCGTAGGAGCTACATCTCCCAGAATATTTGCAGACAGAAAGTGATGAGATTTCTGTAACACACTTTAATCCTCTAATGATATTGTGGTTCAGAAGTTCAGAGCAATAAAAATAGCAATGTTGAGGAAGAATTCCTAAATTGTCTCTTTGAACACAATTATCCATTTAATGGAAATACATCACCTTTTCCTGAACTGATTTCAGTATTAGGGATCCATAATATTTTTATTTTAAAAAATGCCTCTTTCAGTGCCTTCTTATCACAGTAGGCAGCGAGTCAGTCTCATAAAAATGCCTCTTTTGTTCATATTAATATTTTTAAATGGATCATCTAAAGTGGTGTTAAAACATACAAATAAACAATGCAGTTGCTTTAACTGATAATTTCCCTAATTTGTAATAATATAAGTGGCTTTAGGGAAGCATCAGTGGCTAAACTGTTCCTAAAGCCAAAGTTCAGTCATTAGAAGGATAATTCCAGAGAGGGAAGGAAGACAGCCAACTAGACAAAGCTAGCAAATGCCTCTCCCACCAAGAGGAACCAAAATATCGAGTGAATCATCATGCTGATGATCAACAGATCTTTTGAGAGAAAATACTGAAAATCAATAGAGAGGCAACACAGTTGCCTTCAACATAGTTGAAGAGGGAGGAAGCCGGGAAACCTGCTCGGAGCCACCACATGCCAGCTGCAGTAAAACATGACCATAGGTGCCCATCCCCCAAGGCGCTCCATCTTGCTCTGCAGTTCCTGTTCTCTACTGGCCAGGACCATTGCTGCAGGACCAGGATGAATGCCCCCTCACCTGCTGGCCCCTCCCAAGATTTCCTGCCTGGCCACTCCCACAGGAGGATATCCACAGCGCAGCCCCCGCGCTTCCCTACCTGAGTGTTTTGCTGGTGGCCTGGAAGCAGTCTGGCACCCCCAGCACAGCCAGTGCTTAACCCCGAGGGGCCAGAAGACAAATCTGCAGGCCTGGTTTCAACTCCCTGGGACTCAAGCACACTGCCCACGAGTATCGTGCTGAGATCTATGGCCTGAGCTCAAGTGGAGGAAGAGCTCCCAGTGTCAGAACAAAAAGAAGATTGTGACTTAGGTTCTTATGCTGGTGCAGGTTCTTGTACAAATGTAGGAGCTGGGTGTCCCTCCCTTCACAAGACCCATCTGAGAAGGGTGCCGCCTGAAAGCCACATCTTCTTTCCCAGGGAGCCCTGCAGCCCACATCATCTGGAACAGCTCAGTGATCTGAGAGCAGAAGGCTTGGAACAAGTCTAGCCAGTCAAAATGCTCCTGGGGCAGACACTGGAGGAAGACCTGTTGGGTCAGAGGAGCACAAGCTGAGTGGGCCCCACAGCTGTCTGCCAGGCTGGAAACCCTGGGCCACAGGCACTTTTCCACTTGCGTATACATGATACCATTGCCCTGCCCAGGGATTCTTCACCCCAACCCACTGCAACACCAGACCGCTAGTAGTCATATCCCACAACCTGCTCTGACTCTCACAAGCACAGTGGGCCCCCCAAGAGTTAGAGATCTCCTGATGATCTCTCAGCTGGGACCATCCCTAAAGGGAGAGGGTAGCACAGCCTGCCAAAGCCCCCTTTTGAGCAAAGAAAACATGGGTGCAGCACCAGTACTTGAAGGGGACAGCACCAAGGCCCAAGGCCTGGAAACAAACTTGGACTGAGACTTATCTCTTGGCCCCTGCCTCCCCTCCCCAGAGCACTGCCACATACGCACTGAAAAATAAGAGGTGTCTGGCTGAGTAAGAGTATATCTGCTGGCCCTGATGTCACTGTGAAGAGCTGTCTACGAGACTGCAACCTGAATGGCACCACCAAACAAAAATACATTGTTTCACCGTGCAACACCTCTGAAATGCACCACAGGAGCCCATCTATAACCTCAGAACCTAGAACAGAGCCTTGACCCTCTGAAAGCGCTCAGAAACGAAACCGATCAACTATATACAACATTCACCACAGTCAACCCTTACGGGAAAAAAGAATGTAAAAACAAAAAGCCCTATCCAAATGAAAGCAAATTGACAAAGAAAAAGAAAAGCCAGCTCCCTCAGACGAGAAGGAATCAGCTCAAGAACTTAGGCAATGCAAAAAGTCAGAATGTTTTGTTTACCTCTAAAGGATGGCATTAGCTCCCTAGCAATGAATCCTAACCACATTGAAATGTCTGAAATTATAGACACAGAATTCAGAATCTGGATGGCAAGGAAGCTCAATAAGATCCAAGAGAAATTTGAAATCCAATACAAGGAAGCCAGGAAAATGATCCAAGATATGAAAGATGAGATAGCTATATTTAAAAAGAACTAAACTGAACTTCTACAATTGAAAAGTTCACTACAGGAATTTGAAAATGTAGTTGGAAGCCTTAATGACAGACTAGATCACACAGAGGAGAGAATTTCAGAGCTTGAAGACGAGTCCTTTGAATCAACCCAGACAGACAAAAATAAAGAAAAAAGGAATTTTACAAAATGAACAAAACCTCCAAGAAATATGGTGTTAAGTAAAGCAACCAAACCTACAATTCATTGGCATTTCTGAGAGAGAAGAGAGAGTGAGCAACTTGGAGAACATATTTGAGGATATAATCCACAAAAATTTACCCAGTCTTGCTGGAGAGATTGACATGTGAATACAAGAAATTCAGAGAACCCCTACAAGATACTATACAAGATGACCATCCCAAGGCACAGAGTCATCAAGCTTTCCAAGATCAACACAAGAAAAAATCTTAATGGCAGCTAGAGAAAAGGAACAAATCACCTATAAAAGGAACCTCATCAGGCTAACGACAGACTTCTCAAAAGAAACTTTACAAGCTAGAGATTTGTAGCCTATTTTTAGTATTCTTAAAGAGAAGAATTTCCAACTAAGAATTTCATAACCTACCAAACTAAGCTTCATAAGTGAAAGTGAAATAAAATCTTTCCCAGACAAGCAATTGCTAAGGGAATGTGTTACCAATCAACTGGCCTTAAAAGACGTGCTTAAGGGAGTTCTAAACTTGGAAACAAAAGAAACCTGCTACCACAGAAACACATATAAGTACATAGTCCATAATTCCTACAAAGCAACTTCACAGCTGAGACTATAAAGCAACCAACTAACAATATGATGACAGGAATGAAACCTCACATATGAATACTAACCTTGATGTAAATGGTACAAACACCTGACTGAAAAGACACAGAGTGGCAAGTTGGATTAAAAAAAAAGATGTACTGTCTTCAGTACATCCATCTCATGTAATGACACGCATAGCCTCAAAGTAAAGGGATGAAAAAAGATCCACCATCCCAATAGAAAACAAAAAAGGACAGAGGTTGTTGCTCTTGTATCAGATAAAATAAACTGAAAACCAACAACAGTAAAAAAAGAAAAAGTACAAAGAAGGACATTACATAATGATAAATGGTTCAATTCAACAAGAAGACTTAATTTTCAGCCAGAGATGAGAGATTAGGGGGGAAAAAGACTTAACTATCCTAAATATATACACACCCAACATTGGAGCACCTAGATTTATAAGAGAAGTACTTCTTGACCTAATAAAAGACAGACAGCCACACAACAATAATGAGGGAGTTCATCACCCCACTGAAAGCATTAGACAGATCATTGAGGCAGAAAACTAACAAAGAAATTATGAACTTAAATTTGACACTAGACCAATTGGACCTAATAGACATCTACAGACTACTCCACCCAACAACCGCAGAATGTATGTTCTTGTCACCTCTACAGGGTACATACTCTAAGATCCACCACATGCTCAGCCATAAAGCAAATCTCAATAAATCAAAAAAATCAAATCATAACAAGTATATTCTTAGACCACAGTAGAATAAAAATAGAAATCAATACCAAGAGGAACTCTGAAAACCACACAATTACATGGAAACTGAACAACTTGTTCCTGAATGACTATTGGGTAAACAACAAAATTAAGGCAGAAATCAAAACATTCTTTGAAACAAATGAAAACAGACACAACATACCAAAATATCTGGGAGGCAGCAAAGGCAGTTTTAAGAGGAAAGTTTATAGCACTAAACACCTACATCAAGAAGTTAGAAAGATCTCAAATTAATAACCTAACATCACACATAAAGGAACTAGAAAAACAAGAACAAACTAATCCCAAAGCTAGCAGAAGAAAACAAATAGCCAAAGTCAGAGCAGAACTAAATGTAATCAACGAGAAGTGGGGATCGTGGTGACTGGGAGGCAGGACTAGATTGCAGCTCCAACTTGAACCAACAGAGCAGCATATGGAGGCTCGCATTGTGAATTTTTGCTCCAGAATGACTGCAGGAATAAATCAGGAAACCTGAGATGACCCACAGACTCCCTGAAGAAAGCAGATTGCTCCTACCAGACCCAGAAGACACCCCAAATACTATGAGTGCCCAAACTGTGGAGGCAGGAAAGGGAGATCCTCTGCCCCTGAACACACACCCCGCACTGGGGAAACCGTAGGCCTAGATAACAGGAGAAGATTTTGACCTTACCTGGAACTGAGTCAATTTAGAGAGCCAAGCAAAATACAGGGATAGAAGAAGCAGTGAAAAAAATCCCTGTGGGCTTACTGGGTCCCCTAGCAAGCCGTTTTTGCCTGGCCTTACAGGGGTCCTTCAGGACGGTGGCCAGAGGCACTGGGAAAAGGCCACAGGGAGAAAGAAATCTCCAGCTGAACTTTGTAACAATTTTTTTTTAATTTTATTATTATTATACTATAAGTTTTAGGGTACATGTGCACAACGTGCAGGTTTGTTACATATGTATACATGTGCCATGTTGGTGTGCTGCACCCATTAACTCGTCATTTAGCATTAGGTATATCTCCTAGTGGTATCCCTCCGCCCTCCCCCCACCCACAACAGTTCCCAGTGTGTGATGTTCCCCTTCCTGTGTCCATGCTGATTGAGAAGCCTCTTGGCCAGAACTCGGGGGAGGGTGTGAATCTGTGTGCAGACACCACAGGCAGGGGAAGAAGAAAAGCTGTATTTGCCTTCGCAGCTGGGAGTTGGGTAGCCTGGGGCAGATTCTGAGATGTGCTTGCCCACTGCCTGGAAACACATTCAGTGCTGTTGCTGGGGGGCACAGTGGGAATGAGACTGGTCCTTTGGATTGCATGGGAGCTGAGTGAGGCCTGTGACTGTCGGCTTTCCCCCACTTCCCTGACAACCTGCATGACACAGTAGAGACAGTCATAATCCTCCTAGGAACATAACTCCATTGACCTGGGAACCTCACCCCCAACCCCCACAGCAGCCGCAGCAAGACCCGCCCAAGGAAAGTCTGAACTCAAACATGCCTAGCCCTGCCCTTGCCCAGTGGTCCTTCCCTACCTACCCTGGTAACTGAAGACAAGGGGCATATACTCTTGGGAGTTCTAGGGCCCTGCCTCCCACCTCTTCCTCCCCATACTACCACAGCTGACACTGTCTAGAAAGTGCCACCTCCTGGCAGGAGGCCAACCAGCACAAAAATAGCGCCTTAAACCACCAAAGCTAAAAACCCTCACAGAGTTCATTTCTGCCACCTCTACCAGAACAGGTGCTGGTATACATGGCTGAGAGACCCACAGACAGTTCACATCACAGGACTCTGTGAGACAACCCCCCAGTACCAGCCTGGAGCCTGATAGACTTGCTGGGTGGCTAGATCCAGAAGAGAGATAACAATCACTACAGCTTGGCTCACAGGAAGCCACATCCATAGGAAAAGGGGGAGAGTACTACATCAAGGGAAGACCCCATGGGACAAAAGAATCTGAACAACAGCCTTCAGCCCTAGACTTTCTGTCTGACAGAGCCTACCCAAATGAGAAGGAACCAGAAAACCAACTCTGATAATATGACAAAATAAGGTTCTTTAAATCCTCCAAAAAAATCACACTAGCTCACCAGCAATGGACCCAAACCAACAAATCCCTGATTTACCTGATAAAGAATTCAGGAGGTTAGTTATTAAGCTAATTAGGGAGGCACCAGAGAAAGGCGAAGCCCAGTATAAGGAAATCCAAAAAATGATACAAGAAGTGAAGGGAGAAATATTCAAGGAACTAGATAGCATAAATAAAAACAATCAAAACTTCAGGAAACAATGGACACACTTATAGAAATGCAAAATGCTCTGGAAAGTCTCAGCAATAGAATTGAACATGTAGAAGAAAGAAACCCATAGCTCAAAGACAAGGTCTTCAAATTAACCCAATCTAGCAAAGAAAAAAGAATAAGAAAATACGAACAAAGCCTCCAGGAAGTCTGGGATTTTGTTTAACAACCAAACCTAAGAATAATTGGTGTTCCTGAGGAACAAGAGAATTCTAAAACTTTGGAAAATATATTTGGGGGAATAATTGAGGAAAATTTCCCCAGCCTTGCTAGAGACCTAGACGTACAAATACAAGAAGCACAAAGAACATCAGGGAAATTCATCACAAAAAGAACATTACCTAGACACATTGTCATCAGGTTGTCTAATGTTAGGATGAAGGAAAGAATCTTAAGAGCTGTGAGACAGAAGCATCAGGTAACCTATAAAGGAAAACGTTTATAGTTATACCTTTAAAGGTATAACTATACCTTTAAATTATACATTAGCAGCAGATTTCTCAGCAGAAACCCTACAAGCTAGAAGGGATTGAGGCCCTATCTTCAGCCTCCTCAAATAAAACAATTATCAGCCAAGAATTTTGTATCCAGTGAAACTAAGCTTCATATATAAAGGAAAGATACAGTCTTTTTCAGACAAATGAATGCTGAGAGAATTCACCACTACCAAGCCACCACTACAAGAACTGCTAAAAGGAGCTCTAAATCTTGAAACAAATTCTGGAAACACATCAAAAGAGAACCTCTGTAAAGCATAAATCTCATAGGACCTATAAAAAATATATAATTTTAAAAACAAAAACAAAAAACCAAGGTATACAGGCAACAAATAGCACAATGAATGGAATGGTACCTCACATCTCAATACTAACATTGAATGTAAATGGCCTAAATGCCCCACTTAAAAGATACAGAATTGCAGAATGGATAAGAATTCACCAGCCAACTACCTGCTGCCTTCGAGAGACTCACCTAACACATAAAGACTCACACAAACTTAAGGTAAAGGGGTGGAAAAAGACATTTCAGAAAAATGGGCACAAAAAGTGAGCAGGAAGAGCTATTCTTATATCAGACAATACAAACTTTAACAGCAGTTAAAAAAGACAAAAAAAGGACATTATATAATGATAAAAGTCTCGTCCAACAGGAAAATATTACAATCCTAAACATATATGTACCTAACACTGGAGCTCCCAAGTTTGTAAAAACGATTACTAATAGACCTAAGAAATGAGATAGCAACACAATAATAGTGGGGGACTTCAATACTCCACTGACAGCACTAGACAGGTCATCAAGACAGAAAGTCAACAAAGAAACAATGAATTTAAACAGTACCCTGGAACAAATGGACTTAACAGATGTATATAGAACATTCCATCCATCAACCACAGAATATACATTCTTTTCAATAGCACATGGAACTTTCTTCAAGATAGACCATATGAGAGGCCACAAAATGACCCTCAATAAATTTAAGAAAATTGAAATTATATGAAGCACTCTCTCAGACCACAGTGGAATAAAACTGGAAATCAACTCCAAAAGGAACCTCCAAAACCATGCAAATACATGGAAATTAAATAACCTGCCCCTGAATGAGCATTGGGTCAAAAACGAAATCAAAATGAAAATCAAAAAATTCTTCGAACTGAATGACAGTAGTGACACAACCTATCAAAACCTCTGGGACACAGTAAAGGCAGTGGTAAGAGGAAAGGTCATAGCCCTAAATGCCTACATCAAAAAATTTGAAAGAACACAAACAGACAGTCTAAGGTCACACCTCAAGGATCAAGAGAAACAAGAATGAACCAAACCCAAACCCCGCAGAAGAAAGGAAATAACCAAGATCCAGAGCAAAACTAAATGAAGTTGAAACAAAAAACAATACAGAAGATAAATGAAACAAAAAGCTGTTTTTTTTTTTTAAGATAAAATTGATAGACCATTAGCAAGACTAACCAAGAAAGGAAGAGAGAAAATCCAAATAAGCTCAGTAAGAAATGAAATGGGAGACAGTACAACTGACACCACAGAAATACAAAAAATCATTCAAGGCTACTATGAACACCTTTACACACATAAACTAGAAAACCTAGAAGAGTTGGATTAATTTCTGGAAAGATACAATCCTCCTAGCTTAAATCAGGAAGAATTAGATACCCTGAACAGACAAGCAGTGAGATTGAAATGGTAATTTTTAAATTACCAACAAAAAAATGCCCAGGACTAGACAGATTCACAGCAGAATTCTACCAGACATTGAAAGAAGAGTTGGTATCAATCCTATTGACACTATTCCGCAAGATAGAGAAAGAGGAAACCCTCCCTAAATCATTCTGTTAGCCCAGTATCACCCTAATACCCAAACCAGAAAAGGACATAACCAAAAAAGAAAACTACAGACCAATATTTCTGATTAACATAGATGCTAAAATCCTTAACAAAATACTGGCTAACTAATCCAACAACATATCAAAAAGATAATCCACCATGATCAAGGGTTTCATACCAGGGATGCAGGGAAGGTTTAACATATGCAAGTCAATAAATGTGATACACCACATAATCAGAATTAAAAATAAAAATCACGTGATCATCTCAATAGATGCAGAAAAAGCATTTGACAAATTCCAGCATCCGTTTATGATTAAAACGCTTAGCAAAACTGGCATACAAGGGACGTACATCAATATAATAAAAGCCATCTATGACAAACCCACAACCAGCATAATACTGAATGGGGAAAAGTTGATAGCATTTCCTCTGAGAACTGGAACAAGACAAGAATGCCTACTCTCACCACTCCTCTTCAACATAGTACCGGAAGTCCTAGCCAGAGCAATCAAACAAGAGTACGAAATGGCATCCAAATTGGTAAAGAGGAGGTCAAGCTGTTGCTGCTTGCTGATGATATGATTGCTTACCTAAAAAACCCTAAAGACTCCTCCAGAAAGCTCTTAGACCTGATAAAAGAGTGCAACAAATTTTCTGGATACAAAATTAATGTGCACAAATCAGTAGCTCTTCGATACACCAACATTGACCAAGCAGAGAATCAAATCAAGATCTCAACCCCTTTTACAATAACTGCAAAAAAATAAAATACTTAGGAATATACCGAACCGAGGAGGTGAAAGACCTCTACAAGGAAAACTACAAAACACCGCTGAAAGAAATCATAGACAACACAAATGAAAACACATCCTGTGTTCATGGATGGGTAGAATCCGTATTGAGAAAATGACCATACTGCCAAAAGCAATCTACACATTCAATGCAATTCCCATCAAAATTCACTATTCTTCACAGAATTAGAAAAAAACAATTCTAAAATTCATGTGGAACCAAAAAAGAGCCCACATAGCCAAAGCAAGACTAAGCAAAAAGAACAAATCTGGAGGCATCACATTACCTGATTTCAAGCTACACTATAAGGCCATAGTCACTAAAACAACATGGTACTTGTGTAAAAATAGGCACATAGACCAATGGAACAGAACAGATAACCCAGAAGTAAACCCAAATACTTACAGCTTACTGATCTTCAACAAAGCCAACAAAAACAAAGTGGGGGAAGGACAACCTTTTCAATAAATGGTGCTGGGATAATTGACTAGCTACATGTAGGAGAATAAAACTGGATCCTCACCTCTCACCTTATTCAAAAATCAACTCAAGATGGATTAAGGACTTAAATCTAAGATCTGAAACTGTAAAAATTCTAGAAGATAACATTGGAAAAACCCTTCTAGACATTGGCGTAGGCAAGGATTTCATGACCAGGAACCTAAAAGCAAACGCAATAAAAACAAAGATAAATTTCTGGGACTTAATTAAACTAAAGAATTTTTGCAAGGCAAAAAGGAATAGTCAGCAGAGTAAACAGACAACCCACAGAATGGGAAAGAATCTTCACAATCTATACATCTGATAAAGGACTAATATCCAGAATCTACAATGAACTCAAATCAGCAAGAAAAAAAAATCCCATCAAAAAGTGGGCTAAGGACATAAATAGACAGTTCTCAAAAGAAGATACACAAATGGCCAACAGACATAAGAAAAAATGCTTAACATCACTAACGATCAGGGAAATGCAAATCAAAACTGCAATGCGATACCACCTTACTCCTGCAAGAATGGCCATAATCAAAAAATTAAAAAATAAAAAAAAAAACAGTAGATGTTGGCATGGATGTGGTGATCAGGGAACACTTCTACACTGCTGGTGGGAATGTAAACTAGTACAGCCACTATGGAAAACAATGTGGAGATTCCTTAAAGAACTAAAAGTAGAACTACCATTTGATCCAGCAATCCCACTAGTGGGTATCTACCCAGGGGAAAAGAAGTCATACTTGCACACACATGTTTATAGCAGCACAATTCACAATTGCAAAATCGTGGAACCAACCAAAATGCCTACCTATCAATGAATGGATAAATAAACTGTGATATATATATATATATATATATATGTAAAATGGAATATTACTTAGCTATAAAAAGGAATGAGTTAGTGGCATTTGCAGTGACCTGGATTAGATTGGAGACTGTTATTCTAAGTGAAGTAACTCAGGAATGGAAAACCAAACATTATATGTTCTCACTTATAAGTGGGAGCTAAGCTATGAGGATGCAAAGGCATAAGAATGACACAATGGGCTTTGAGGAAATCAGGGGGAAAGGGTGGGAAGAGGGTGAGGGATAAAGACTCCAAATACAGGTGCAGTGTACACTACTATGGTGATGGGTGCTCCAGAATCTCACAGATCACTACTAAAGGACTTACTCATGTAACCAAACGCCACCTCACCTGTTCCCCAATAACCTATGGAAATTAAATAAATAAATAAATGAAATTGACACCCCCAAAACATACAAAGAATCAATGAAATAAAAATTGGTTCTTCGAAAGGATAAACAAGATTGATCGACCACTAGCTAGATTAACAATGAAAAAAAGAGAAGATCCAAATAAATACAATCAGACAGACAAAGGTGACATTACAATTGATCCCACAAAAATAGAAAAAATCCTCTAGACTACTACGAAAACCTCTATGAACACAAAGTAGAAATCTAGAGGAAATGGATAAATTTCTGGAAACACACAACCTTTCAATATTGGACCAGGAAGAAGTTGAAACTCCGTTATTGGTCTTTCAAGTTCTGCAACTGACTTCAGTAGTAAAAAAACCTACTAAGAAATAAAAGCCTTGGACCAAATAGATTCACAGCTAAATTCTATCAGATGTAAAAAGAAGAACTGGAAGCAATTCTACTGAAACTATTTCAATGAATTGAGAAGGAGGGATCCCTCCCTAACTCATTCTGTGAAACCAGTGTCATCCTGATACTAAAATCTGGCAAAGGCACAACAAAAAAAAGAAAACTACAAGCCAATATCCCTGACAAACATAGATGCAGAAATCCTCAACAAAATAATAGCAAATCAAATCTAGCAGCACATCAAAAAGTTAATTCACCACAATCAAGTGGGCTTTATTCCTAGGATGCAAGGTTGGTTCAACATATGCAAAACAATAAATGTAATTCACCACATAAACAGAATTAAAAACCATGTAATTATCTCAATAGATGCAGCAAAAGCTTTCTGTAAAATCCAACCTCCCTTCATGATACAAACCCTCAACAAATTAGGCATTGAAGGAACGTACTTCAAAATAATAAGAACCGTCTATGACAAACCCACAGCCAACATCACACTGAATGAGCAAAAGGTGGAAGCATTCCCTTTAAGAACTAGAACAAGAAAATGATGCCCACTTTCACCACTACTATTCAGCATAATACTGGAAGTCCTACAGAGCAGTCAGGATAGAGAAAGAAAAGGAATCCAAATAGGAAAAGAGGAAGTCAAACTATCTCTCTTTGCTAAGGATATGATTCTACACCTAGAAAATCCTCAAGATTCCATCAAAAAACTCCTAGACCTGATAAACAACTTCAGTAAAGTTTCAGGACAAAATCTACCTACAAACATCAAAATCAATAGCATCTCTATGCACTAATAACTTCCAATCTGAGAACCAGATGAAGAATGCAATCCCATTTACAATAGCCACAAAAAATTGAAAACCTAGGAGTACCTCTAACCAAGGAGATAAAAGATCTCTACAAGGAGGACTACAAAACACCAATGGAAGAAGTCAGAGATGACACAAACAAATGGAAAAACATTTCATGCTCATGGATTGGAAGAATAAATATTGTTAAAATGGCTCTACTGCCCAAAGCAATCCGTAGATTCAATGCTATGTCTATCAAATTATCAACATCATTTTCCACAGAACTAGAAGAAATTATTCTAAATTTATATGAAGCCAAAAAAGAGGTGGAATAGCCAAAGCAATCTTAAGCAAAAAGAACGAAGCCAGAAGCATCACATTACCAGACTTCAAACTATACTACAAGGGTGCAGTAACCAAAACAGCATGATACTGTTACAAAAACAGACACATAGAACAGTGGAACAGAATAGAGAACCCAGAAATAAAGCAGCGTACCTACAAACCACTGATCTTTGATAAGTTGGCAAAAATAAGCATAACAAGGGGAAAGGACTCCTTATTCAAAAATGGTGCTGGGAAAACTGGCTAGCCATATGCAAAAGAATGAGACTGGATCCCCCACCTAACACCACATATAAAAATTTACTAAAGATGGATAAAAGACCTCAAACTATAAAAATGCTAGAAGGAAACTTAGAAAATGCCCTTCTGGATGTTGGCCTTGGCAAAGAATTTATGACCAAGTCCTCAAAAGCAATTGCAACAAAAATTAAAATTGACAACTAAGACTTATTTAAAGAGCTGCACAGCAAAAGAAACTATTAACAGAGTAAACAGACAACCTACAGAATGAGAGAAAATATTCTTCACCTTTGTTTCTGACCAGTGACTAATGTCCAGAATCTATAAGGAACTTAAATAAATCACCAAGAAAAACAACCCCATTAAAAAGTGGGCCAAGGACATGAACAGACACTTCTCAAAAGAAGACATTTAAATGGCCAACAAACATGAAAAAATGCTTAGCATCACTAATCATCAGAGAAATGCGAATCAAAACCACAGTGAGATACTATCTTACACCCAGTCAGAATAGATATTATTAAAAGGCCGAAAAACAACATGTTGGCAAGGCTGCAGAGAAAAGGGAACTCATATATACTGTTGGTGGGAATGTAGTTCAGCCACTGTGGAAAGCAGTTTGGAGATTTCTCAAAGAACTAACAATAGAACTTCTGTTTGACTGAGTAGTCCCATTACTGAGTGTATACCCAAAGGGAAATAAATTGTTCTACCAAAAAGACACAGGCACTCATATGTTCATTGCAGCACTATTCAAATAGCAAAGACATGGAATCAACCTAGGTGCCCATCAGTGGTGGACCAGTTAAAGAAAATGTGGTACATATGCACCATGGAATACTATGCAGCCATAAAAAAGAATGAAATCATGCCCTTAGCAGCAACATGAATGTAGCTGGGGGCCATTATCGTAAGTGAACTAATGCAGAAACAGAAAACCAAATACCACATGTTCTCACTTATTAGTGAGAGCTAAATCTTGGGTACACACATGCAGATGAGAACAGTAGACACTGGGGCCTCCAAAAGCAGGTACAAAGGGAGGAAGTCAAGGTCTGAAAACCTTCCTGTTAGGTACTGTGTTCACTATCTGGGTAACAGCATTAGTAGAAGCCCAAACCTCAGCATCATACAATGTACCCTTGTAACAAATCTGCACTTGTACCCCTGAATCTGAAATAAAAATGGAAAATTTTTAAAAAGAAATAATAATATTTGGTAGTTGCAGAAAAAGTAAAGTCTGGAATTCTGGATTCAAACATTATTTGATCCAGAGAGATTAAGGCAAGTGCTCTACGTCAGTGGTCTCAACAGCAAGTGACTTTGCTTCCCTCCCCTCCTCAAAGGATAGCATTTAGAGATGTTTTTTTGTTATCACACTGGAGAGGGTGTCTACTAGCATCCTGTGGGTAGAGGCCAGGGATGCTGCTAAACATCCTACAGTGCACAAGACACCCCCCAACAAGAATTATCTTCCCCAAATGCCAATAGTGCCAAGACTGAGAAACCCTGCTCTAGACACAGAGAAGAAAGAGGAAAGAAGGTAGTTCAGCATTTGACACACAAATGGATTTTCTGATCTCCAGTTTGCTTTATTGTCTTTGTAGCAGCCCAGCACTTTTGCTTCATGTGTTTACTTCTACATTTCCATCAGTATAATCAAAGCTCTTCATTTCTCAAGGAGATACACTTTGGCTTAACCCACTTTGTTTCTTTGAACCTCAATTTCATTATTTATATAAAAATGATACGATTGAACTTGTGATTTGTGTTTTTCCCCAACTTTTCACTTTGAATAATTTTCAAACCTACAAAAGAATTTATGTATAATGAATAAATATGGTCTCTTCATTGATTTACCTTTATTAATATTTTTTCATATTTGCTTTTCCTCCCTTCTCTCTTTCTCTGCCCCTATCCCCATGCTAACAAAATTAACAATATGCATATACTTTTATCTGGTAATTCCACTTCTACAAGTATATCATACAGATATATACATTACACATGCAAAATGGTGTGTGCAGCACTGTTTGCAATGGCAAGAGATCAAAAGCAACTTTAGTGTCCATTAATAAGTTACTAATTAAATATAGGACAAGGAAGTTCTATGCAGCTGTTTATTAAATGAGGATATTCTGTGTGTTGATATGGATATATGTCTAAGATATATTTTTTAGTGAAACATAAGTTCATTATATATAATATGTTATTATTTGTGTTGTAATGGGGAAATAAGTATATATTTGTATAATTTCATATTTCCTTGAATATACATAAAGAAACTCTGAAAGGATACATAAGAAACTAACAAAGTTAGGTCTGTGGGAGAAAGAGTGGAAATTATACCCTGAATGAGTTTTAGAACTAAATGAGCATTCCCTATCCAGAAGCTGGGCATAATTAACTACTAAATTTAGTCTAAGCAGTGTTTTACATTTTGAGCTTCTGTTAACTAAGGATACCATTACATTTTATGCTTCAATTTGTTGTCATTTGTTTTTGGATTCTAGTAGAATTCTATACATTTGTTATGTCTAACTATATTAATGAAATTACTGCTCTATTATATTGAGTGAAAAACTGCATAAAAAGCATATGTTCCAAGTGAGAGTGATACATAAAATAATTCATTTACACCAATATTGAGCTGTTTAAACTAATTGTGTAGGTGATCTTCCATTAAATGAAAAAAATTAATTTTAAAAGTTCTACTAATTTCTAATTTTTTAAATCCACAGCAAGTTGGTATTGATAAAGGTGACATTCCTGACCTCACACAGGTAAGCAACTCTCCCAGTGGAAGATTCAGTATGCATGAGATTATTACAACATATATTGCCACAAATGGGCATAGTCTTGTAAGCATTTCATGCATTTTGAACTTAGGCCAACCAACTTTCTTGGAAATTATTCTACCTTATTTATTGTTTCTAGCCATTGAATATATTTCTGGAGGTAATAGGAAGATTTTCTTGTTCTTATGATATAGTTTCTTCTTTAAACGCAACTGAATTTAGTAAATGAACTCATCTTTTCATTTTAAACTTGATCAAAAGGAAACCTTGAATAATGTTAATAGAAATGCTTTGGCTATGAAAAGTCACTATTTCTAGGCCTGATAATCAGAATATTAGAACTTTTCCTCCTGCTTGTCTTCCTAGTTTCCAACATGTCCCAGATATGAAGGAGACCCATGAATAGGGAAAACTCTGATGTCACAGTTGAACTACTTGTCTCCCCTATGAAATGGAGAAATGTCCATGTATAAAATAAGCTAATAAAATAGTAGTGGTAGATGAGCAATTTTTCTGGAGCCCATCTAGTAAATGACAACAATAGAGGGGCTTCTGTATCAATCATTTTATCTGTGAAGAGGGTACTGTGTATGGATCCTAATATATAGATTCAAGGTCATTCATGGGTATAGTATAACCTTTCTCATAATTGGCAGGAACTGTTTTTACTTAAGCACTCTGTTATGGTACAGTTATATCCCAAACATGTTATTTAACTAGCAATGATGTTATTGTAGAGATGATAGGAGAAAACACAGAGCTGCTATCTTATTTACCAGTAATGAATATATGAACTTTCTGTCCTTGTAAATATAGTCATTATAATAGAAAAAATTGTCATAATGAAAGATACCTACTTGTTAATAATATCAAAGTGCATTTAGTAATTTGCTGTCCTTATTATGCCTTGAAATGTTTCCATCTTTAAAATAATATTAATCCTTAAGTTTTTATTAAAAATTAGGGAAACTCAAAGAAATGTTATTTGTATTATTAAAATGCCAATTAAATATCAAGAATTCTTTATGAATAAAATTCACAGAGCAATCCAGAACATGATGGCATTGTATTTTTTAGTGAAAAGTTGAGAAGCAGTTCTTTTTCATAGACAGAATATTGGTATAAAATATTTCTGCTACTATGAGAAAACAGTGTTTTTTGACGAGGCACATACCTGAATAAGATATTGGTATCATTTTGGATATGGCCAAAAAATTAAGTGTGCATAAAGTGCCACTAAAAATCTCTTTATTAGATATAGATTTATCTTTGTAACACTATAATTAAAAGCAAAGAAAATAAGTGTGTTTTCATTTAAACTAATCATTTTTAGTAAAATTTATAGTACATTTTAAAAAATAATCCACATAAGTAATACATGTTAACTTTTAAGACATTAAAATATTTAGCTCTGATATTTAGAAGCTAATGAATAGCTTCTAGAAGTGGCAAATCATCTTTATTTCACATCTATGGACACCCTTACTGTAGAATAAAAGAGAAAGTAGGCTCTCAGTTAAGAATATAGGTCCTCATCTATCATACTTAGTTTGGGCAGTCTGAAAGGAAACAAGGAAATATTCAAATGACTACTTAAATCTGTTTTTGCTTTTAACATTAGACAATGAGAGCATGTCATTGAAAGTACATCATTGAAATCATATACTTGGATTAAATTTTTAATGATACTATTATAGTCATTATAATATTTATAATCTCCCCCTCAAGAAGCCCAGAAACATTATATTTTACTGAATGATTTAAGATGTGTGTTTTCATAATTTAGGGAACAGAGACTCCTCCCTCAAAGAAAGTAAAATCTTGCCCTGGGTCTGTTAGAAAGCTATTCTATGGTAGAAATTCATTAGAATCTATTAGCACTCTATTCTCTTCTTTTGTTATGACCTTAAGCGCCACATAAATTTCAATATTAACATTTATTTTTATGTGATACATATACACCATGGGATACTATACAACCATTAAAAAGAAAAGATCATGTACTTTGCAGAGACATGGATGGAGCTTGAGGCCAATATCCCAAGTAAACTGATGCAGAAACAGAAAACCAAATACTGCATGTTCTCACTTATAAGTGGGAGCTAAACATTGAGTATATATGACACACAGAAGTGAACAACAAACACCGAGGCCTACTGGAGGGTAGAAGGTGGTACCCCTGTGACATGCAATTTACCTATATGACAAACCTGCGCCAAGTATCCCCAACCCTAAAAGATTTTTTAAATGGGGAAAAATATTTATTTTTAAATTACCTGTTCAGGCTGGGCGCGGTGGCTCACGCCTGTAATCCCAGCACTTTGGGAGGCTGAGGCAGGCGAATCATGAGTTCAGGAGATCGAGACCACGGTGAAACCCCGTCTCAACTAAAAAAAAATACAAAAAATTAGCCGGGCGCGGTGGTGGGTGCCTGTAGTCCCGGCTACTTGGGAGGCTGAGGCAGGAGAATGGCGTGAACCCGGGAGGTGGAGCTTACAGTGAGCCGAGATCGCGCCACTGTACTCCAGCCTGGGCGACAGAGCGAGACTCAGACTCAAAAACAAACAGAAAAAAAAAAAACCTGTTCATAGAAAAATTCCTCTAGTTCAATACAAGAATATGATATGCTTCTGAAATTTCTTAATACTGTGGTTTCTTTTGGGGTTGTGAGTGACATAGAGCTAAACACCCTTCTTCATTCCTGTGTAGAGCCCCTCGGCAGGTCTAATGGAAGTCTCTAATTGACCTGAGGATTTAGACCTCTGACAGTTATGATCAGGTCTGGGCTAGCATGTGAATTGTTCTGGGGTTAGTCCTTTAGAGAGCTGTTTCATCTTTAAAACCAGGATTAATCTGCAGATGGGTCCGAAGTACCAGGTTATATGGATTCGGTTCTACTCTTCTAAGATTAGATTCTGCTTTCTACCAGGCTTGTCTGCGGCCACCATGGCCATTCAATCTAGCCAGGTAATGAACAAAAATACCTGTCAGAAGAGAGTGTTAAAGAAGAGATGGAGATCAGAAGGGCTTCCTACTGGGAGTAGGAATAGAATGCTCATAACTTAAAAAATGATTAGAATTCCTCTTTCAGCAAAATGGAATGGAGGAATTTCATAGATATCTTTATGAATTTAATGGATATCTTTTAGGTTAGAGACTGTACATTAAACATGAATGCAATCATCTGTAACCCTTTTTAACTTGTACACATAATATCATAATTATTACATTTAAATTATTCACCAATATCAATGAAATTTTTAAGGACATTCAAAAATAACTGTTTTGGGTAAGAACTGAATATATCAGAACTGAAATATTTCTCCTCAGCACTTTCAAATTGTTTCTTAGATCTAATGATAAGAATTTGAATGATCTTATGATTGCTTTTTTTAAATTTGGTTTTAATGATGCTTTATAAGCTATAGCATCTAAATCGTAGATGGATGCTTTCTTTTGGAGCCTGGGCTCACAATCAGCTATGAATTTGTTCCGAGAAAAGAATTTTTTAATATTATTTCCTGTTTGTGGCATGTGTACATTCCAAATGTAAATATCTTCATTTATGAAAAAAATCTTATGTTTTTGATGTCAGGAATTCTGGTTGATACGAAAACTACTGGTAAAGAAGGGTCTCCTTTTAAAGACCATACAACTGATGAATCGGTAACCATATGTTGCTGTTATCAGCTTTCACAGGCTGACTCTTGTTCTTTGGATTGGTGTTCCCATCTGATTGGTCTATTGACTTTGACATTTTTAAAAACAAGCAACTAAAGAGCCTGCTCATTATATTTTGTTATATTAAATTCCTTTTACAACAGCAGAGGCATTCTCAAAGTTTTTGCTCCTTGGAAATTTAAGAGGTGGTTTTCATTTATTGTCTACTGCATGCCCGGATGTCCTCACTGCCATAGATGCAGTTGAGAAAAGGTAGACATTCCTGCACGCCTGGATATTACTATCAAAGTACTTTTTTTCCTCCAAAGACATTTGAGGAATTTATTTCTGTTTGATTTTACATGTTTTTATAAGAAATATAAATGATGAAGCACTTTCAAACTTCTAGGATGGAATGCTCCAAACTTTATTTCCCTTTAAGACAAAAGTCAGTTTGATAGTCTTGTATTCCTTGATCAAATTTCTCTTTCAGCTATTGTGATTTTTTTTTTGTGACTTCTACTTATTTTTTCAATTTTCTCACTTAGAAAGAAACTTTACAAAACGAATAAAATGGGGACCTCTCTTCCTGGGTTTTTTGTTTTGTTTTTTTGTTTTGTTTTGTTTTGTTTTAGGTAACTAAGAAACTTAATAGGAGAAAATATTACCTATTTTTGGTTATCCCGTATTTGTTGCTATTTTGTGACTAAAAATAGCATTTTTCTTAGACCATGTTTTAAACTTAGGTTTAGCCAAAAAAATCACCCTTTCTTTACATTACATTAACATTCAAAGTATCTTAAGTTTTCTAACTGGAAAGAAGTTCTATGGCTTATTTTTTTTCCTTACTGCGATCCCAATGAAAAAATATAAATATGAAAAGTTTATATGCCCAGACCTCCTAAATTCCATCATCGTCATCATCATTATCATCATCACTGGCAATTAGTATGACAATTTTGAAGTTATCAGATGTGAATTCATCTAAAAATTTTGAAGCCATTTATTTTTTTATTTTTAATGTTACTATGTACATTCTTTATTCAATGAGCATTTCTTTATAGTTTATAATCTGGTATCTATAACAAAATTTTCTGTATCTCTTAAAATTCATTTTTTAAACTTAGAAATATTGTCTTAGTTGTGTTTTATTAGAATTTATTAAGTCCATTTTCATCTGAGTTGTATTTTAAAATCCTAATTTTTGTAATTTTCTAAACTTATTAGATGCCGATAATCTTTTTTTTTTAACTCTATAGTTCAAAGCTTTTAAAATAATGCCGACAGGGCTGTTCCTTTCTATCTTACCTTCATCATTTTGATCAAATTAATATTTTGGTTCACTTAGTAATTTTTATATATCTAAATTTACATGTTTTAGTTCACTTGGTAATTTACACTTATAATAATCACATAATTACAAATATAATAATCACATGAATGTTAAGACAGTTTTAAGAGTCTATTAGTGAAATGAAAAATGAATATTAAATAAATGTCCTGAATTTTCAAAATTAAAGATTTTTAGTAAGAATTTCATTCTGTCATTAAAGGTACAGTGTAAAAGATACAGTTATATGAATGTCTGTGAATTCTGTGAGTTCCTTTATCAGTTACCATAGTTACTTCAATGTCCTTCAAAATTAATTTCACATTAATTTAAAGAAGAATTGTCAGAATTAAATATACCTATAAGGGTAGTTATATATTTCATTTAAGAAATGCTATTCTTTGAATGCCTATGCTGCTGTTAAGGTCTAATTTGTATTACAACTATTTGAGAAAGATGAAATGAAATCTCTAATGCTTAAGGAATAGATTGGGTGAAAAATTTGCGTGAACCTATTATTTCTCCTTAAGTATACAGTGAAATGTCATCACTTTATATTGCCTAAAATATTATTTATAAAAGGAAACATTCAAGTATTTCTTAATAAGAGTTGAAACTTATTAAATTTGCCAATACACAGTGCTCTGATATTATATTTGCTAAAAGTTACTTTATTATACATATAAATATATTTTTATATATAAATAGGTCAATAATAAAATCTTAATTGTTATTGATTATTAGAATTATATTCTTTTCCCCACAACTCTCACTCACCACCTTTTTAAAATATATTTAAATGGTTTTTCCTAATATTTCAGACAAACATAGATAAGTGAGATTTTACTGTATTTTCAAATTTCTGTAAATTTGTATTTGGGCACTCATATTTTTGACTTGAATACAAACACTTATTCATTTTTACTATGGTCTTATGAGAAGGAGGTGGTGAACTTGATTTGAGTTTACTGCATATAAGTAATGTATTAGTAAAAGTCTATCCAATGTAATCTCTACACTGAAACCACACTGTAATGCTATTTGTTATGCAGTGGAGTTAAGTCTATTTAAGATGGGTCTGTCTGAAAGTCTATGGAATTTAAATATTTAAATACTAAAAGAACCTGCAATTAAATTATCTCACATATATATCGGGGTCCATCCACAGACTTCCACCATACAGTTACAGTGACATTACAGTGTGTTTACATTGAAAGTAAACAATGCAGACATTTATTTTTACTTTCTTATTGTAGGCTCCCAGCAGTCTTATGGAGACGCTTGAACAGCATCTAAATACATTAGAAGGAAAGAAACCTGGAAACAAGTACGCATTAGTTGTATATTCTAAATAAGATGAAAAATACTACAGTCGTTCTTCTAAGAATGAGATTTATCATGGTACAACTTATATTGCTCTAGTTTTAGGGTATGCTTTGTTATAATTTTCTGGGCTCCCTCAGAACCCCTACTCTTCCTATTAACTTATGACAGTGGGTATAGACAATCTCTCTGCAGGCTAATGCAGCAAATTAGTAGATTGTACCTACATTAACTGAACCTAATGATTTGAACATTTGCCTTTAGAAGGAATTCACAATATATGGAAAAATAGTTACTCCTGTTTAAAAATCAAAGCTGTTATCATTGGACATGAGTGAAAACAAGCACAATTTCACAAGCAGCCTTGAGCACTCTATTATCGTTATCAACCCCACTGTGAAAAAAGAAAAGCCCTCAAGTATAGTTTTTTGGACTCCAGTATCTCCCTACTTGAACTATTAGGCATGGCATACTACTGACATTTTATTCATAGATCCTTTTATATAGAGAATAGCAATCAAGCAATGATAAGTACAGTTTTACTAGATTTTCATACCTCTGTGTTTGAGTACTTATATTTTTGACTATTTTTCCTCACTACATGCACGAAATGTCCAGGTTCCTTTTTTTTTCTTTTTCCATCTCTCCAGCAGGTCTGAAACTTGTCTATTCACAAGGCCTGGTGTTTTCCAATCTTTGTGCCTTTTTCAGACTATAATTCTGCAAGTCTTAGGATGCCCATCCTCCTTGTCCTGCTTTGTAAATCTTATGCATCCTGGGAAGGCCATCTCTAGTCCTACCTTCTCATGAAGCCTTTCTTTATCTTGAACTGCTCAGTATTGTGGCTATTTCTTTTTTTACATGTATGATTTAAGTAGATTTTCTGAATCTAAAGGTTAGGGACTATTTTATACTTCATTATGTCCATTTAAACACTTAATGTATGTCCTCTACAGGGAGAGCTTGGAATCTGTCTCTGTTGATGATACCAGCTTTCTGTTTATTCCATTTTGGTTGACAGCAGGAGTTAGTAGAGACAACCCGTAAAATGATCATTTCAGGGCTGTAGGCTGATCACAGATTTTACCTATGACAGAGCTATCAAAATGCAACTATTTTCTGACTTTGTTGCCTCTGGACATTCTCCCAGAATCTAGGCTTGTGTCTTGATGTTACTTTTTTTTTCTGGTTATTTCATTAGCTGTGTTATTTCTATAATATTTTTTCAAGTTAGTGTAGAAATTATTGCGTGTTTTAAATTTGCAGTGATAAGCAACAGTATAAGAGTATTACAGACAATTATGGCAGAGCTATTTGGAATGATGGATAGTAGGAGCTCTCAGGGGCTCTTTCAAGGTTGTTTCCACAGTCCAGGCTCTGCCTCCAATCTCAGCGTGGCCGGGGATGATCAGACTTGACATGAGAGTACATTAGATCACAATAAGAGATGCCCTAGTTCAGTTATTTCTAGGCCCACCCTCTATTAGGGTATCTGGGAAGCCAAATGAGTTGCCTAGGATTTAAGCAAATGGAGACAGGAAGCTGAGAAATGTTTCTGTTCCTGTGACAGAAGGACCTCTTTAGCTAAGGAAATATGTACATCCGCTAAAGTTAAAATCTCTGTCTTGTGCAGTGCTGGATGCACACTGTAAGTCAGCTTCTCTGCACTCTTCCACTCAGGGTCCCCCAAACCCCATATAGGGCCACACCCTTCCCTTGTTTTTTGTTAAATCTATCAGTGCTGCAGTCACAGAGAAGCCTCCTTGGGTAGCTAGAATGGGTCTCATTAGCCCTGACTTCAAATCTAAATTCGCCCCCTTGTGGTCACCACAAGCTATTTTTGGAAAAAAAAATAGCTATGGACATTTAGTTACATTTCTAGAGAAGTGAAATTTAAAATTCAATAGTCCTCCATTTCAAATTACTTTTTTCTTAGAATAATTTTTCTTTTTCCTTTAAAATCATTTTATGCTTGTCATATTTCTCTTCTGAATTGGCTAAAACCACATTTGAACTTGTCTTTTGCTTATTCCCTATTTTTTAAAATAAATGAACTATAATAGTTAACTATTCTCTTCTTTGTATGTTTGTGCTTACCTTGGAACTTAAGTGAAGGGTGAGTACTGTATGGAGTGAGTTTTTTGCATTTGGTAATTACTAAAAATGCAAAAAACACTCTTAAGATTCCACATTTGGTATTTAGAAGATTTAAAACTGATTTCTGTCCCTTTTACACATCTGTGTTTTTTCATTATGCTTTATTTTTGTCTCCCAAGTTGACTAGCATAAATGGTTTTACTTTCTTTCGGTCTTCTTGGATATAGACTAACAGTCTCTCTTAGATGTATATATGTATTTATATTAATATATTCCTCAGATTTTAGAAATGAAATATTTTTTATTTGTTTAGTAAACAAAAGACTTCCCCATGGCTTATAGCATAAATGCGAAAAGACAAATTTATAAAGAAAATTAATTACTTAAAATTGTTTTATTTGTCTTCTGGTCACAGTATAAAACTATTCTAACCTCCAAACCAAGTATATACATAAATTGAAGCATTTGCAAATGTCTGCTATGAAGAATATGTATGCCCTTTATATTTAGTACCTTGTGTCCACTGCTGTTTATTTCTGTAATTTTATGCAATACTCTGTGATATACCTTTATATATTGTCTGTTTCTATAATTCCACAGGACAAAAGAGAGAAATTTATTTTATTATTTATGTGGGTTTACTAAGTGTTGAGGTTACAGGAAATTTAAGATAAATCTTTTGTAATTCAAGTTATTTGAAGGATGTAGATAGATCTTTCACATCTGTATTTTTTTCTGGCTAGCACTTATACTCAAAATTATGTAGGGATTATTGTTATGACTCATATAAAACTTAACAAAATATTCTATTTGACAGCTTCCTGTTAACATCTTGGAAAGAAATATGGACATTTGCTGTGTTCATAGTGAAACCCATGAGTTTGTAGTAATTTTACAGAATTTAGAGTAGATTACTTATATGGGTCATTCATTTTCTTCTAAAATTACCTTAATGCCTTGTTTTTCCAACATGGTTCATTATCTACTAGATTTTTCTAGGTGAAATTATTAATAGAAGTATTGGTCTTTTTAACAAATATTGTCTATATGTAAATGATGTAGTATCTTCTTTCCTAAAGGGCAATGACTAACATTAGGGTGGAAAATCAAGTGAGAAACACATAAGAAGAGCAATTTATATGTTGTGTAAGAGAGAAGCAAATGTGCCAAGTTTATCTGTGTTTTGGGGGTTGGAATGTGGACTGAGCATAGGCTCTGAGGGGCATATAGACTTGGACTAGAGTCTGGAATCCACCGTTAAAGCATGATGAGACATGGGAAAGTTATTAACCTCTCCGAGCCTGGGAACCTTCAGAGTTTAATCAGTGATTAATGGTGCTTTTGAAAGCTATGGCCCCATTGGAGCACCTCTGGTTCTCAACCTTTTAATTAAATCATGGCAGAAGCCAACTCTGGTTAGAAAACAGAGGTCACGCATCCTGACAGTTTTGTTTCACAGAAAATAACTTTTTAAAGACGTCTGGTTAATTTATTGATTATAGAATGAATACCTGAACATATTCTAATATAAAAATTCAAATAATACAGAAAATGTCAGATGATATGTAAAGTGCTAGGGATATAAAACAATGGGATGAGTTCCTTCCTTTCAAAAAACTTAGTATCTAGTGAAGAAGATAGAGAATTAAACAGGCAACTAAGATGTAATGTGGTAAGTGGGATATCTCAACAGAGACAGTAGGAGGGTTTTGTTTGTTTGCATAATTCATGGGATAACTGCAAGTATCATTTACTAATATTGTTTATGTGGAAGCTTGGCAAAATGATTCTTGTACCAATTATGATTTTTCATACTTAAGTATGATACTCTTTTTTATAGCAGGTAGAACAATTCTATCATTTTTATTATATCTTCATTCTTGCTGTGGGGTAGAAGATGTTATAGAAGAAGTTATAATATTTTAGGTATTAGTTTGGAAATGTATTTCTAAAGCTGTTGATATTTTTTTTTTTTTTTTTTGAGACTGAGTCTCGCTCTGTCTCCTAGACTGGAGGGAGTGCGGTGGTGCGATCTCGGCTCGCTGCAACCTCCACCCACCAGGTTCAAGCGATTCTCCTGCCTCAGCCTCCTGAGTAGCTGGGATTACAGGCGCGTGCCACCACACCCAGCTAATTTTTATTTTTTATTTTTTTGTATTTTTAGTAGAGACAGGGTTTCGCCATATTGGCCAGGCTGGTGTCGAACTCCTGACCTCAAGTGATCTGCCTGCCTTTACCTCCCAAAGTGCTGGGATTACAGGCGTGAGCCACCGCACCTGGCCTCTTCTCTTTTCTTTATTAGTATTTATAATTGTATCAATACCACTAAGAATTGGTTTATGAAAATTGCTTGAGAGAGAAACAAATTAATTTAAATTAATTCATTCTTAGAAAGTGACCATACCAAAGGCTTCTATGTTTTCTTTGTAGAATTCATGCTACTATTTTCTTGAATTTTTATTTAGATTTAACTCCCTTCCTTTTCCATACGTAAAGGGAAAAAATAGTGGAAGTGGAGAAATTATTAGCCAAAACTCACTAGGACATTTCCCACCGTATGCTGTACTAGATTTTTAGGTTCTTAAGGAATTTACTGTAGATATTTCAGTAGACCCTTTGACACGGACAGTATAGATAAAGGTATATCCTTTCCCTCATAGACTATATTACTCTTAAGATAACATTTAGCCAAACTACATGTAACCAAGTTGTTACCCTTATGCTTGTTATATAGCAGAAATCTCTGTGCCCTTGCTACCTGTTGTTTATATTCATTTTAAGTAGAAATTAAATTCAAACAGGAAATGGCAGGCATGTA
Source organism: Homo sapiens (assembly GCF_000001405.40). Classification (NCBI taxonomy): domain Eukaryota; kingdom Metazoa; phylum Chordata; class Mammalia; order Primates; family Hominidae; genus Homo; species Homo sapiens. The sequence continues at coordinate 83,612,057 of NC_000006.12, read as the reverse complement.
TTTGCAAATGAAGTTGAACTTAAAAGATATTAACTTGGGCCTGGCGCGGTGGCTCATGCCTGTAATTCCAGCACTTTGGGAGGCCGAGGCAGGCGGATCATGAGGTCAGGAGATCGAGACCATCCTGGCTAAGACAGTGAAACCCCGTCTCTACTAAAAATCCAAAAAAAAAAAAAAAAAAAAAAAAAAAAAAATTAGCCGGGCGTGGTGGCAGGCGCCTGTAGTCCCAGCTACTTGGGAGACTGAGGCAGGAGAATGGCGTGAACCCGGGAGGCGGAGCTTGCAGTGAGCTGAGATTGCGCCACTGCACTCCAGCCTGGGTGACAGAGTGAGACTCCGTCTCAAAAAAAAAAAAGAAAGATATTAACTTGGCATATAATACTGTTAAATTTGCTATATCCAATAAGACAAAAATTCATAATATTGTACAAAATTCTACTTACTAAATTTCTGCTGTAATTTTGTTTTGCTGCTGCTATGTGTGTGATATTTTCTCTGTAGATGAGTAAAAAGTCATCCCTGCCATGCAGTAAGGCGGTGAATATAGGCTGCTTATTGAAATGTATTTAGTCTTCATCTTGTTTTGTTATTCATTTTTCACTAACTGAAGTTAGTAAAATGTGAGCTGTTCTGGCAGTTATTTCTGAAGCACTTTCCTAGAAGTGATCTGCAATAGTCAATGCTACCAGTAATATAACTTAAAATTCACGCCTTCCTAATTTTCCCTCATTTTCTTAGAAAAAAGCATCGAAGTTGCTGTTTTTTTCCTAGCTCCCACTAATTATAACAGGATGATGGGAATATTTTTCCTAGAATATTCTTGCTAGAGTTTTTATTACAGCCATGGGGGGGGAAAACAGACTTCAAGAGTATGAATATGGAAGCCGAGACATATTTCAGCACAGGGCCTGTAGGGATCTTCACAGTGTACTTTAACCTAAGTGATTTAAACCACTGGGTGTTGGGGTTTGTCATAATTCTGCAAAGCATGGTTTTTTCCAAGCCTTCTGAAAATGGTTTTAAATTCCCATTTAGACAGTTTGTTTTTTATGGACATAGGCAATAATGTTTGACTCAAAGAATTTGAGTTGCGAGAGATATGGAAAATAATGTTGAATTTAAGTATTTCTAGTACTGGAAATTAAGTAGATGGAAAACAGTGGAAGGGGGTGTCATTATTAAGTAAAAGATTAAAAGTTTTTTAAAAATAGCCTGTCCATTATTTTAAAAGTCTGTATATAAAACAAGTTAGTGCTTGACCAAGTGAAATCCAACTTAAATGCTTCTACAAATATATTCACATATATATTTATATATATATATATATATATATATATATATATATATTCAGTTTTAATTTTTTTTTATGTTGCCTTTTAGATCTGGTGCTCCCTCTCCATTAAGTAAGGTAAGTTTGGTTTTTTGTTTGGGGGTTTTTGTTTTTTGTTTTTTACCATTTTACCATCATAAAGTGTACAGTTCAGTGGCATTATATACCTTAACATTGTTGTACAACCATCCTCTCTATCCATTTCCGGAACTTTTTTTTTTATCTTTCAAAACTGTAACTATACCATTAAACAATAACTCCCCACCTCCCTCTCTCCCCGATCCCCTGGCAACCACCATTCTACTTTCTGTCTCTATGAATTTGATTACCCTAGGAACCTCATATATGTGAGCGCATATAGAATCTGTCTTTTAGTGACTGGTTTATTTCACTTAGCATATCTTCAAGGTTCAGCCATGTTGTACCATGTGCCTGAATTTCCTCCCTTTTGAAGGCCGAATTATATTCCATTATATGTATATACCACACTTTATTCATGCATTCATCCATCAGTAGATATTTGGTTGCTTGTATCATTTGGGTTTATGAATAATGCTTCTGTGAACATGGGTGTACAAATATCTATTTAAGTCCCTGGTTTTGATTCTTTGGGGGTATATACCCAGAAGTGGAATTGCTGGGTCATATGGTAATTCTAATTTAAATTGTTTGAGGAAAGGTAAGTTATGTTTTTATGTATCCTCCTTTGTATTTGTTTCTAAGTCCAATGTAGTATAGTATATGTAATTTAGTCCTTTGTTTGGACTAAATATTTTTAAAGTTGGAGAGATTTTCACGTATTTATATTGCAACAGAAAACAAATGTTATCAGTAGAATGTTTTAATAGTTGTAAAACATTTTTACATATTCTAAATCAGAGTCGTATGAGGTAGGTAATGTGATATTGTGCATGTTTCAAAGGTAGAGAAATCCATTGTAATTGGGTGTCTTTCCACAAATATGCCTTTTAGACAGTTGACTATAATAACTTTAATAACTCGTTTACCTCCTTGTCTCTTTTTTACCATGTGAAAGGACAGGATTAGGGTTATTAGTGACAAGAGTATTTACTTCTATAGGTCTGTAGTTCACATTTACCATTGTATTCTTCAGACAAAAATGTAATAGATGTGTTTTTTCCTCTTTGACAAATTTCCATTATATAATTGCTGTCATTACAGATATTCAAGGATATCATTATGGCTGCACTGGTGATTTCCAGACACCATGTACTATGCCAGTGATGGGTTGGCTGGCTGCCTAAGATCCCCTCAGGGACCTTGAACAATCAGTCAGATAAAACAAACAAGTGAAAAGCTCCATTTATTCTGATATAAGGCCAGGTTTAAAACCATTATGTCTATGTGAAAAACTCCAATATATGACTGCTGAGTAGAGTGTCGTAAAATTGTGGCATCCTTTGGGTTGGTCTGTTTCTACATTTTGGCCAAATTGAATTTTTTTTTTTCTTTTTCGGCCAAATTGAATTTTACTGACTTTTTCTTTTTGTAATAACAGATTATTTGGGTTCTGTTTTCCTAGCTCTTACATCTCCTCAGAGCTTGTTGTTACAAGGCATTTTTTAATGGGCTTCTGTAGAGTTTCATTTTTTGCATTTATGTTGATAATATTTATTGCTGTCAATAAGTTCTCAGTGTTTCATCAATATCATTTTTTCTAAACTTATTTACATGCATTGGCTTTTAAAAACCTTTTCTTAGAGGATTTCTCAGTGTTCCCAATGGATGACATACAATTAGCTTTAACTAGTCCTTTCTCTTCCATTGATCATGTTTTGTATTCCATTTGGAAGATTTGAATTTTTGTTGAAGAGAGAGTTCTGAGTTGATATTTTCTGATTAACAACATCCACACTGCTCATGTGTCCACCTTTCTTGAAGTGCTAAATGCTTGGCACTTGCATAACTATTGAATTTTGACTTTTGGATTAGTATATTCTTGGACAAACATAATATTTAAGTCTGTAAATTTCTGTAAATTTCTGATCTCCTCAGTTTTTTTTTTCCTCAAATTATTCTTTTTAAAACTTCCTTTATGTTTGGTCTCTTTGAAGTCAGATGCCCAGTTAGGGGAGTATCTGATAGCCCTGGCTTGGTCTTGGTCTTCATGAATCTTCCTGCTGTTATGTCTCATCTCCACTAACAGAACTAAGTATCAATACATTGTTTTGAAATGTTCCATTAATCTTTCTCTTGTGAATGAATGGAGAATTAAATATACCAGACAAAATTGTTTAGTTACAGTAACTAAATAAAAATCTTGTAATATATTAATTGACTATTAATACCTCTTCTTGAAAAATAAATACTAGATTTTATTTTTACCTTTTTAGTTTTATCTATGTCATCTTAGTGATGGGCTATAGTCATGATATCTTCAAAACATCAGTGACTTGAATCTTGCTTGTGAATCGTTCTCTTCCAACTGTGAACTATTTTGCAAGTTAGATTTCTGGATTTGAAGGTCATCTGAGAGGACCTCACATGAAATCTTTTTAGGATGACAAGAAAAAATAATGACATTGGTTTTTTTAGCAATTATTACAATTGATAATTTTTGAAATTTTTTGCAGCTAGTAAGATCTTTCCTAATAATTTTATGTTCAGGAAATACATTTAGCTTTTATTTTAATTAATGAATGGAAGTCATTGCAATGTTAAGCCAAATATTTTATCATTTTATATAAATTACATTTAAAATTTGTAACATGTTTTAGCCAATATTGATTATTTATTACAATCCTTGATTTCAAATTTTATTGAGTTTTTTTTTCCTCCACAAAGAATTACAAAAAAAAAATTGCTGGGCATGTCATGGTTATACAAAGAAAAGTCCTGCTGCCCTGTGTCCTGTAGATTCATATTTGACTCAAGTGTGTTGTGCATCTTCACTTTCAGTCTTCTCCAGCCACAACTGTTACGTCTCCTAATTCTACACCAGCTAAAACTATTGACACATCCCCACCGGTTGATTTATTTGCAACTGCATCTGCGGCTGTCCCAGTCAGGTTGGTAAATAAATATGCAGTTAACTGTTTATTAATATTTTATTAGAGTTTGGTTTTATTTTTATGTGCTGTACCCAAATGATTTCACCAAAGGAAATCTAATCCTAGTAATGTTGAAGTTTTTACTACACAAAGTACATTGTTTTACTCCTGTGCCTCTTAAATCATTAGAAAGACCTAAGCTATAGAAATCACCTTGTTGTCACAAACTGAGAAAGGAAATGGAAGAATGATACACACAATTTATTCTGAAATTGGCTGATATGGAAAGTGTTTTCTAAAATTAGTTTCTTCTTGTGGGAGATTCAAAAGGTATTTTAAAATGCTTTAAAACACACACACACACACACACACACACACACACACACAACCCAACTTGGAATTGTTTGACCAATTAGCTAGTGCGTATGAGGAACTCACACTCTGGTGGTAGGAGGAGGCCTTTGGGGTATTCCTAATCAGTTTTTATAGAACCTACAGATCAGAACAGTAGTGAGAAATCTGGGGATGACTGTGCGTTCTTTGAAATCTCTAGCCTCCTAAAATCAATCCCCAGCTCATAGGTGTGTCCTCAAATAATAAATTTAGGTCAATTCCTTAGTTCATTTGCCTTAAGAGGATTCTAATATCATTTTGTAGTATCTTTGACTCTGATTATGAATGCCCTATGTTTGGAGACTTGAACTTTGAACTGAGCAAGAAATCCAAGTATTGTACCCATGTTAACTGTGTGCTTTACTCTCTACTTGCTTAGTTCTGCATTTTATAATAGCAAATTTGGCATAACCAACTCCTTTCTATTACTGTTCTAATTAAATTGCTTCTTACAAAAGCTTTAAGATATTAATAATAAATATGTATTCCTTTCCTGGTATTTAGTCCAGTTGTATTTATGAAATGGACATCAAAACTAGCAATGGTTTCAGTGGTTTTGAAACTTTTTTTAAAAAGCAGCAGAATCCTTTCTTCAAAAGAATATTACTTGGAAATCTAATATGTAAAAAAAGATAAAGATGAAACTGCTGTTTATGAAGGCAGGTGGGGAACCTGGGACCCTGATGGCTTGGCACCTGGCCTGGTAACTTTTAAGCCAGTGCTCCTCAAATCTGAAGGTACATGTGAATTGCTTTGGCATCTTATTAAAATGAAGATTCTGAGGTGGTAGATACAGGGTATGCCTGAGATTTTGCATTTATAAAAACATCCCAGGATGCTGCTAGTTTGAGGCCTATACTTTGAATAGTAAGGCTGCTCCTTGGAGATTCTACAGACAGAGAAGCTTTGAAAAGCACAGCCTCAACTGAGTAAAAATAAAAAATGCAGTAGTCGTTTTAGGTAAGTCCTCTTACAGGCAAACTTGATATATTATAGTCTAACGTAGGAAAAAGATAAATTAGTGGTTAATAATTCCCTTTAGTGTTCTTTGGTTTATAAATAAATTCTTCTCAAGACATGAATTTTTTTTCTATACAAAAGATTTTAGGAAATAGAGAAAAGATAACCTCAAGGTTATGATTTTGATTTCCCTGTAGAATGCTGCACATAGATCAACTCCAGCCCACTCTCTGTTTTTGTAAATAAAGTTTTATTTGAACAAAGACATGTTGATTTGTTTGTGTATTGTCTATGTCTTAATTTCATTCTACATTAGCAGAGTCAAGTAATGATAGAGACCAACTGGCCCTCAAAGTCTAAAATACTTACCATCTTGCCCTTGACAAAAGTAGTTTGCCAACTCTTGGTATATGCTATAGCTCTATACTTTCCAAAGTATTATTCTTTTATTGGATTTAAAATACCTAAAATCTTTGATGATTTCTGCATGTCTTTATTCAAAAACACCTTTATGTTATAAAATTTCAAAATCTGATTTTAATGTTTTATTTTCCTTTCAGCACTTCTAAACCATCTAGTGATCTCCTGGACCTCCAGCCAGACTTTTCCTCTGGAGGGGCAGCAGCAGCCGCAGCACCAGCACCACCACCACCTGCTGGAGGAGCCACTGCATGGGGAGGTGAGTAAAACCAGACAACCTTGCCATTTCTCTATTCATTTTATTTCATTGTTTTTACTTAGGCTATAATTGTTAACATTTACCTTTTGATTATCTAAAATGGTATTAGAAACTTGGAGGGAAAATGTTAAGAATGGCATTTATTGATTGAAATATATATTGAGAGAGAGAGACAGAGAAAGTGCCTGTAATACAGTGAGAATGTTCAAATAGTCATATAGTTTTTATTTTAACAGTTGGAACAAGGAAGTTTTGTGGGTTTTTTGTTGTTCTTTTTTATTACTACTCTAAAATTCTGATTATTTTTAGTAATTGTTCTCTAGAGACTCAGGCCTTGAGGATTGAGTATTCCCCTTAATTTATGGTTACTCAAAGGTAACATTTCCAATTTGGTTTGGTCAGGTGTAGCCTCGTTCCTGGATTCTTTTAGGCCTGAATTGATTTTATTCACATTGTATTTGACTTCATACAGTTGAAATCTTTTTACAGATTCTTATTTGTACCAGAAAAATCCATACTTTAAACTGATTGACTGAGAGGAATCACATCTAAGCACTTGATTCCCACTTTATTTATGGATCTCAGGAAAAAAATCAGCCTTTTATAAATATTTGATTTAAAACATTTAATATTAATATAAAAATTAAAGTAATTGCTTCATAATGCTCAAAGCTGCAAAGAGTTGGTTTTAAATACCATGCCTTCCTGTACCAAACTATCAGAATAAAATTTTCAAAAAGTTTAAGACATGCCTTGTACAACTATAGGAGCAACAGAAATAAAAGACTTAGTAACTCACTAATGAGGAAACCAGCAAGATGATAAAGCTGTCTCAAAGAACATTTTGAGGAACTGAGTATTTATAGGTATTTTAAAAGGAATGTTAGAATAAGATGGCTAGGTTAGATAGAAAGCTGTTAATGACCTATAGGGTAATAAAAATCATAGCCTTGAGGTTATCTTTTCTCCCATACAGAGATTATTTGCATCACTAGCAGACAAGATCTGTAACAACATAACATTGGAGAATCAGAGCCTTTAGTGCACAATAATAACTAAGTCAAATGAAGTTATATTTCTCTAAATAATTGAATGTCCTTTGGTGGTCTTGTTAAACAGTGTGTCAGTATAACATCAAAAGTCCTATCTGTAATCTCTTGATCTCATTTCCAAGTTATTTTGGTAACAAAAATAAGAGAAAGATAACCAGTTCTGAAATAATGTTGCTAACTATAAATAAGAACATTTAAAATGTTGGCACGTTTCCATTTTAAATATGTAAACCTTATCCTATATTGAAATGTTCAACTCCTAAGGCTACAGCTATCAATTTTTAAAATAAAATTGTTCTCTCAGCTTTATTTAACTTTATTAAATTTCTATTGGTAAAGGAAAATATTGCTAAAGAGATTTTATAAGGGCATTCTTTTTTACTCATGTTTTTATTCTGAGCTTCATCACTGATTATTTTAATTTGCTAATAATTTATTTTCATTACCATATTGTCTTTGTTAGAACTTTAATGAATAAACAGTGAAACTGTAAACTAGTCCCTTTTCCATATTCCCTGGCATGAAACTGAAGATAAATTTTATCTTTTTTTAAAAAATTTTGGCACTAAAAGAATGCCAAATAAAAGGAAAAAATAAAAGGTGAAATTTTGTTGAATTGCAATATAACATTTTTATTCATTTTCATCTCTAAATACTTTTTGCTAAGACACATAATATTGTAAGGAATTGATTGTAATAACCAATTTTATTAGAATACATTTTAGCCTTTAAAGTTAGAAATATGTAACTATTGATGATTGAAACATTAACATACCATTGGACATAAAAAGACAAAGCAGAGCAGTATGGTTTTAGCCAGGGCTGTACTATACAGACAATGTAGATCATGCATTGCTCAAAGGCAGGGCAAGGGGGCTGAAATCCAGCCAGAACTCTATAGTCACGCTGTGAGCCTTTCTCATTATCCTTGAGAAAGAGATGCTTTACTTTTTCTAATCTGTCTCACTACAGGGAGTACCTTTTTTTTTTCTTCTTTTTAAGATATTATAGCTTTTATTTTAGAATATAGCTTTTATTTTATTTTCAAATTTTAGCCATAAGACAGTAAAACGAACTCACTGATTTACCAAAGACAGTTGGATTAAAAAAACTGAGTGCAGTGGCTCATGCATGTAGCTTCTGAGGAGGCTGAGATGAGAATCTCACTTAAGCCCAGTAGTTAAGAGTCCAGCCTGAGCAACATAGTGAGATCCTTTCTCAAAAATAAAGAAAAAAAAATCACAAAAAGGCAGTTGGATCCAAATTATATTTCTGACAAAATGGGGCTTGTTCACATGGCTAAACATCAGTTGTCCCAATAGGTAAGCTAATGGGCCAAAATTTGGGGTAAAGCAGTTTCCATAGTAGTTTGATTTTAAAAGCATATTTTTATGCTTTTTTCAGTTATTTTAAATGACTATAAGGTTAAAGTTTTTTTGATAAACACATAAGATTAATTTTACAATAAAAACTAAGATAGCTCTCAAGTTACAATGAAAGCTAATATTGATTGAGTGCTCCTGTGACAAGTACTATGCTGGTCATCACTACACTTACCCAAGAAAGGTACTATCTTTAACCTGTTTAAAATGATAAATATGTGAAAACCATGTAAACTTTCTTATTTCTTTCTTTTTTAACTTTAAGTTCTGGGATACACATGCAGAATGTTTGTTACATAGGTATACATGTGCCATGGTGGTTTGCTGCACCTATCAACCAGTTATCTAGGTTTTAAGCCCCGCATGCATTATGCATTTGTCCTAATGCTGTCCTTCTCCTTGCCCCAGGGAGTACGTTTTTATAATTAGTACAAAGGCACCTTATAGGGCCTGATGTTCACCTTTTGATGATTAGACAGCACTTTTGCCGCAACAAAACATCTACAACTGCAACATTTCATAGCAATAGAAAAGTCAGCTTTGGGGGGAAATGCTAATAAAGAAATTCTCTAATTTCTAAGCAAAATAGTAAAAATTATAAGACTTTAAGAAATTGAAATAAACTTCTACAATTTGCCCGGTGGATACCCAGTCATGGTTGAAGGTGATGCTAAATTGTAACAGATATGTGTTTGTTTATTTGACTAAGCAAAAAAATAAAATTGTTTTCTCAATCTTGTTTGATAAGATCAAGCCACTTCTATTATTGAAGCATATTTGAATTCTGTATAACTAGGCAGTAAATTATAAACTGTAAAACTCTGTAAGCCTAATTGGATGGTCTCATTTCCAAGGACCATAGCCACTTCAAATGTCTCTAAATTTTTCTTGGGGGTTATAGGTACCAACACACATTTTTATTTCAGGGGACACATTGTAATGATAGCATTTTTTTTCCTGTTGGTGTAAAGCAACCAAATTTTAGCAAATTTATTTTAGTAAATTTAATTTAAATTGTGCATGTAAGATTTGGCATTTCTACAGGCTGGTGATGAACCCAATCGGCTGAAAGAATACAGAGGATTTTTTAAATCCTCATCTTTGGCTCCCTAATAGAGTGTTTTTTATTTTCTTCATAGTAAATTCATGTTGCAGAAGCACAAATAAGTGTGTGTTGTGTGTCTGTATATTTTAGACATGGGAAAACAGTTTCTTTTTATACATGCTTAAAGTGAAATTTCTACTTTTTTTGAGAAACATGGGATTACTGCCAGAATTTATTAGAATTAAAATTATCTACCAACATGTATTTGAAAGCTAATCAATATTATGTGATCATATGACTCTGATATCTTCATGTATAAGGTTAGCTACAGCACAAGTAGTTTTGTGACCCATTTGCTTGTTAATAAAATCTGAAGTACATGTCTAAAGGTGAAACTTGGTCTAGAGGATCTCTAGGTCCCTTCTAGCTTAAAAGTTCCATGATAATAGGTAGTACATTTATTTTTTAATTGCAAATGGTGTAGAAGACACATAAAGCTAAGGTTTTTTTAGTTAGTGCCTTATCTGGCTTGGACATTGGTATGGTTGCATGTTTCAACTTTAGCTCTTATTTATTCTTATGCTGCCATGTAATGGACATCGGTAGACCTTTTGGGAGAGGGTGAGTAAAGCTTTGTTTTTAAACTTCCATTTTGACAGACTTCTGTATGTAACAACTGTCCTTATTTTGATCATTTGGAGTCTGGTATATCTTTTGTCCTTTGCTTTTCTTCTCTCCGTTTGCTCTCTGTCTCTGGTGAAATATAGATTCTTTGGCTGCACTTTCCTCTGTTCCCTCTGAAGCACAGATTTCAGATCCATTTGCACCAGAACCTACCCCTCCTACTACAACTGCTGAAATTGCAACTGCCTCAGCTTCTGCCTCCACTACTACAACTGTTACTGCTGTCACTGCTGAAGTGGATCTCTTTGGAGGTTAGTTAGTCTCGCTGCTACTTTCATTTTTTCAGGATTGCTAAAATTACTTGGGAGTTAAGGTCTTTAAAATTTTTTCCGTTATGTAACAGCATGTCAGAGTGTTTAAGTACTTTTTCAATGTTTATTCATGTATATTTATCTTCACTAAATTCATCAACTTTCTCTTCACTTAATTTTAGTAATTTTATAGCAGAGATTGCAATGCATCAGGCCCATTTGATTTTCACGTTTTTTAACATTAGAATTCATGTTGCTACCTTCAGAACTCCTGCCTTTAGGTTCCTGCTCTCCAGTGTCTGTATAAAAGTGGTACCAGAGCTCTCTGTCACCTTTAGGTTTATTTAGCTTTTCGGCCAGATTAGAACTAGCCCAGAGAATATTTGGGGAATGTAGGAGGAGCAACACAGGCCTAAGTTGTTTCTTAATGTTTAGGGCAAAAAATAATCTAAGAGTAATTCAGGTTTGGAAGCCTTTGAAGAGAGTTAAGGGATGTGCCTGTTTTTACAGCTTTAAGTTTGTTCTGTCCAAATAAAAACTTGGATCATCTTTGGTTTTGGAACTCTGAGAAAACATCTGAAGCAGCACTTGAAAGGCTGATTGAAAACAGATTTAAGTCAGTCTTTGAAATGATTGTCTAAAAATATGCTTTCCATGGAAATGTAAATTCTGACCCACTATAATATGCCTGGACCTGATGAGCCATGTGAAGCCAGTTTATTCATATATGTATCCCCATCTGTGTGGTACCAATGTCCACACCTAAAGAAGTTCTCATATCAAACACATACGTCAAGTGATGTTATAGTCATTATAGTTTTGTGTATCTTCATTACCATATAACATCTTTCCTAGGGCATTTTGAGAATATGGTAAAGAAATTGGAGGAAGAAAATGGTGAAAGCAAGAGAGATTTGGCAGGCTTTGGTGTAATCAATATGTACCCCTGGGAACATACATTTAACACACTGTCACCTACCACTCTGCTACATGCCATGCTCCAGTCTCTAAGGTTGGCCAACATCATCCAAGACAAGGAGCACTCCACTAGACACAGCTTTGTTGCCACTGCTGCACAAAAGACATTTTCTGCTGCCTTGCTGTCCATTCCTATGGAACAGGAGAAACCTGTTTGTAAAAGAGTAGGAGAAAAAGGATTGCAGACCCTTGAATAAAGAGTCACCCATGGTCTGGCGCAGTGGCTCACATCTGTAATACTAGTACTTTGGGAGGCCAAGATGGAGAATTGCTTGAGCTCAGGAGTTTGAGACCAGCCTGGGCAATATAGTGAGACCTTGTCTCTGCAAAATAATTAAAAGCTAGCCAGTTGTGGTGGCAAGCACCTGTAGTCCAAGCTACTTGGGAGGCTGAGGCAGGAGGATTGCTTGAGCCCAGGAAGTGGAGGTTACAGTGAGCCTGATCACGCCACTGCACTTTAGCCTAGGTGAAGAGCAAGGCCCTGTCTCAAAAATAAAATTAAATTAAAAAGAGCCACCCACTATAGAGGGTTAGGTTTTCATTTATGCCCCTATATCCTTTGAAACCAAAAATTTAAATTTTAGCTTACATTTATAAAATCAACTTCCTCTTCCTTCCACAAATCTAAATCAGGTGGTAAATAGAGTTTGTCAAAGTTGTTTAGGCCTGACTAAAGGTAAGCCTCTTGACCTCCTTTGGCCTCAGTTCTCCCATCTATACAATTGGAAACTTGGTCTAGAAGATCTCTAAAGTCCTTCTAGCTTGAAAGTTCCATAATAATAATAGGTAATACACTTAGTAAATGTTTTAATTTAAAATCTATCCTTCCCCCACCCTCTGTTATTGATGTAGCTATGGGTAGTTTCTCATAGGCTTGTGTTAACAGAAAAAAAGTAAGGAAAATATGGACAGGATGCATAATAATTTTGTGCTGAAACATTTCTACGCCTTAGCTGTTTAGATTTTTTGTTTCCAGTCCACTTATAAGGAGTTGATTACCTCAAAGAAATCAATCAACTCTATCTTACTTCCTGCATAGCCCTCTAGAATAATAAAGACTAAGATATTTCTTTGAAATATTCTTCATGCCATTATGCTGTTTTTGTTTGTCATTTATTTCTGTTTTGACTATATTCATCAAGTGGAAAAATCTGTATGTTTAGAAAATTTTCATGATGGCATTCTTTGTAGCTTTAAATATAAGCTTAAAGGATGAGTACTGCAGAGAATCATGCAACTTAATGTCAAAGAATGAGACTGTTCTTGTGATTTTATCAATATCCTTTCCAGTCATCTGGCTGAGAAATGAGTGTACAATGACAATTACATCTGAAAATCACATCATAATTATTTTATTGATCTGTTTAGTTCTATAAATTGTCTCCTGGCTTCTGATAGCTATACAATTTCCATCCTTTATGTTCAGGAGTCTATATATGTCATTATCTGTTTTGTGATTTTCAGTGATTTTCTGTAATTTCTTTCATGCCTTCATTGGTTTTTAAGAAATTATTCAGAGATTTAATTTTTAATAAAAACCTAAGCTAAAATCTCTTTGGCCATTTTGTGTGGCCATTTTTTAAATATTTTGTCTCTCTACAATGGGTAAGTGGTAGAACTCTAGAATAATCAGAAAACCAGTTATGTTTTGTTTAACACAGCATAACTTTACAACTTTAAAACATGCCTTTTTGAGGTCCTATGCAATATGTACAGCAACTAAGTAGATTTCTTTAGAAATAAAGCTTAATGGATTTTAATTTCAGAAGGATGGCTATTTAATTTCATCCCTATCAAATATTAAAACTGTTAATGTATTTTAGTACTATATTTAAATTACACATTTTAAAAATAGTAAATTTTTGTGATTTTTAACAGAAATATTCTTATTGATACACAAGTAATGTTTTAGTCCTTTCAATGTAGGTAGTTCATGTAAGTCATTAAAAAATTTTTGTCAGCTACATTTATTAAATGCTTCATTTTTTAAAGTGAACTTTTAAGAAATGAGATCTTCTTTTTATGATCATGCAGAACAGGATTGCAAGGGCAGTGTTACGCCTTTAAAATTTAGTAAAATTTATAAATATTGACAAAAATAAAAGGCAAAATCCTTAAAAATAACCTATTTTTATACTGATGCAAATTTTACTGACAATAGCACATTGATTTGAACAACACAGGGTTTTTCTAAATACTAGAATGCTAAATTGATGCTAATTCCTCTGCACACCAACAAGGATACCCTTTCAATCAAATGTGTCAATTTGTGAGCAAACCTTCATAAGGTTAGTAGTCTGCAAACATTAAACCAAAGTGACTGGAAAACCAAAGAACTTACCTCACAAGCCTGATCACATTGGGTACATGTTGGTCAAAAAACTAAGTTAACCAACCTTCCTTAAAACCAATAATTAAACACTTTCAACTAGATTTCATGTTAGAGCCTTATAACCTGGGACCTTTGGAGACAAAGAGGAACCAGAATGTGACATTTGGGCTGTTGAGAACAATTGGAACCTTTGTGCTGAGTGTGTGATTTAAGATGGCTTATGTGGCCAAAGTAGATGGGGAGAGAGAATAGGTCAGGCTGAGGGAAACAACAGCTCTTAGATTTGAGAGAGGTAGTCATATGATAAAAAGTTTGAGAGGAAAATTCTGTCTTAGAGTGCTGGAAGGGGAAAAAAGACTAGTCTGCAGCAGTCAGCTCAGTTTATGGATTAAGGCCTAGACTGAGTCCATAATTGAAGAACAGCAGGAGCACGCATTTCTAGGAAATAGAGCTGGTTGAAAAACTGACAGAATGTAGAAATTAACTGCAAATGGGTAACATGAAAAGGAGAGCTGAACTGGAAATAACTTTAGTTTGCAATACTGGAAAGATAATGCTGCCATTTATAATGAAAAAAACTAGATATTTAAAAAAGTTTTGTTTATTTTTTAACAAATTCAAATTTTATCTCTCACAGTTCTGGTGGCTGACTGAGCTCAGCTGGGCAGTTCTCACTCAAGGTCTCTTTTGTGGCTGCAGTCAGACAGTGATTGGGCCTGGTACCATCTGGACACTCATTCATGTCTCCTTCGGGGCTAGGAAGATTCAAACAGCTGGGGGTGGGAGCAGCTGCAGCTCCTACCTTTAAGAAAATTTCTGACAGGTGTAGATGAGTTAAGTTGATAATATTTAGTTTCAAGTAACAAGAGAAGAATTAAAAGGAGATATCTTGCTGACAAGGGGATTTTTTAAAACCCTCTTCTAAGGATGTAGCTATAACAATATGGGCTTTATCTCCTTACACATAAGTGATAACCTAAAGGGGTCAGCCCATAAATATCTATTTGATCCCTGGCACTAATGTAACTGATGTTTATTCAATTATAAAGAAGGGAGTAATATAATAGAATGAGGCATATTTCATAAAAAATGCAGTACAGTGGCTAAACACATAAAGCTCAGACAGCTCTGAGCCAAATCCTAACTCTGCCATTTTCTTGCTGTGTAACTTTAGTCATCAGACTTTTTAAAAAAAAAATCTTTAATTGAAAAAGTATATACATATATATATAATGTACAACATGATGTTTTGAAGTGTGTATACATTGTGGAATGGCTAATTGAGCTAATCAACATAGATGCATTACCTCACTTATTGTTTGTGATGAGAACACACACGCTTTAAGCTTTGGTTGTGTTATCTACAGACTGGAGACAGTAGAACCTAAATCACAAGATTGTTACAGATAAATTTAATAATGGCAATATATATGACTGCTATGTGTTTCTACTCTTTGCAATATTATTGGCCTCAGTTCCAAATTTTATAGGAACCAAAAAAAAATAAAACAACTGACCTGACTCATGGCAAAATATTTACAGCCCTCCCAACATCTTTTCATACTTCTCTTACATTCTTCTGCCCTGCTTGTAGAGGGTGTGTTGCTCTAAGTCCTGAAGTATAGTATCTTTAACATGGCATTTAGAAAGTAGGCCTACTCTATCCCTTGATGTATTCTTCATTCTTTAGTTTTATTTATTTGGCCTCTCAGCTGACCTGACACTCAAAACCTATATTCCTGGCTGGGCATAGTGCTGTAGGCCTGTAATCCCAGTCCGTGAGGAGGCTGAGGCCAGAGGCTCACTTGAGACCAGTAGTTCAAAGCTATAGTGAGCTATGATATTGCCACTGCACTCCAGCCTGGGCAACAGAGCAAGACTCTGTCTCTAATAATAAATAAATTGAACATATATTTCCTCAGTATAACAAAGAGGAACAATCAGATCAGATTAATCCATAAGATATGAATAACTGATGTCCTGTTGTCCCTTCTAAGGGATATTTGTGATTTGGTAAAGGGCCTTTTAACCCAAGTAAGTATCTAGTTTAATGTTTGTTATTCCACATAAAACTAGAACTCTGCATTACTAAAGAGTGTTTCATACTCAGTTTGGGACATGCCAGGTCAAACTGAGAAACAAGTATCTTGACAGTAGCATGTCCTAGAGCCTAATATACTAAGTAAATCACCAAGGAAGAGCATGTACTGTGTAGCCCTTCCCAAGTATATATGACATGTTATTTTCATGACTGAAGGAACAGTGTTCCAGGAAACATGAGTAGATATTGCGGAAGACAGTATTTGGGGATGGAAAGTCTAGCAGGTAAGTGACAGGTTCTAGGTGGGTGCTGGTCTCCACTCTCCAGGGTTTTCTTCTCCTAAGCCTGTCATGTTTATCATGGCTTGATTCCTTCTGTACTTTTGAAACTATAGCATCTCTATGCAAGCTCAAAGACTTCTTACCTTAACTAACATTGTTGGTAGAAACACACTGGGAAGCATCTGTACACATCAGCCATTTGTAAAATGGGCATTTATAAACTGTGGCTGCTCGTATGTTAATGATATTCTATAAATAATAATACACTTATAGTCTTAAAATGTGAAAATATTGTTTTAACCTGTTGAAAATAGATTATTTTCCAAATAACTAGAAAAATATAATTGCATTATGGTATCATACCCTATTTTTATCTCTTTATGTCTTTAAAATAACTTATTGGTTATGTTTGAAAATGCTTTTCAAGGATAGTGAAGACTTAACACTTAGGAATGCTTAGTAAACTTAGTAAGAGTGTTTCATACTCTCATACTTAGTAAACCTTAGTAAACTTAACACTTAGGAATGCTTAGTAAACCTTAGTAAAATTATTGGTTATGTTTGAAAATGCTTTTCAGGGATAGTGAAGACTTAACACTTAGGAATGCTTAGTAAACCTTTCATGTTAACACTGTAATTTTGCCTGTACTAGATTATAAAAAATCTTAAAACTAGAATTATTTACATTGCCATTGTATATTTAATTTTATTGGCATTAAAGAAGATATTATGTTTGCTAGAAACTATGAGACAGGGACATTTTAATAACAGTGAATCAGTGTTACCTGGACATGAAAGTTTAATGTCTTAAATTACATAATAAAAATATTTTTTGTTTTAATTTTTACATCCATTAATTTCTAATGATACATAAAACATGCTTCTCAGAGCCCTTATACAATGAGAATCTCATTACCTTTTGGATCCTATTAGGCCTCAGCAGTATCAACATTGTATCACTTGCATGTTAACTAACATGAAGGTGTGCAAAGAATAATTGTTTTGTGACCACCGACAGCGCATGGGCCATAAAAATGCATTTTTAAAAATTCATGTTGTATAAGGGAGCCTTCTTCACAATTTAACTTGGTTCTTTTACTGTATTTTCTTCTCTTTTTATTCTTTTAATTTCTGCTGTTTTAAAAACCGCACCCAAGATGCCTTTGCAGCTTCTCCTGGGGAGGCCCCTGCAGCATCCGAAGGGGCCGCCGCACCAGCTACCCCAACCCCTGTAGCAGCAGCACTTGATGCATGTTCAGGAAATGGTGGGTTTAAAGTCATTAGCCAGTCTGTTATTCTTCTGTCCTAATGTAAAACCCCCGTAGTTAGAAGAGGCCATATGTTTTTCTAATTTTACTTTCTTCTGAGTGTAAAGTATCATTCATCATAACTAAATAAATAATGCCAGCATTTAAAACATTAAGACAATGAAGTACATACTTATCAAAATTGACAATTTCTTAAGATTGACAATTTTTGTCAGTGCAAGTATGCTGTCTTAATGTTTTTTTTTCTAATGCTATATTGTACTCTTTTGTAACATTGAGTTCAAATATATTGGCATGTTTTAATGAATTTTCAAAGCTACCAGATTGACCAAATAAAGTGAAGATTTGAAGGATAGCAATCTCTGATCCTAGACTGTAGGTTAATCTTACGGCACTTTGCAAAATGCTTTAGTTTGCTAACTTGTGGTACCTACTAAGTTTTCCTTTTTCTTTAGAAAAACATCCTAATCACTAACCCCTGCCAGTAGGATAGTAGTTAAATCCAAGGAGCCTCACACCTAGCTAGTGTGTAAATATCTGTATAAGGTGTCTCTTGCCATAGTTATGATGCTGTCTCTTGTCTCTTTCCTTACTGATGCTGTGTGTGTCTCCACTTTCCTTTCCAAAAGACCCCTTTGCCCCGTCTGAAGGTAGTGCAGAGGCTGCACCTGAGCTGGACCTCTTTGCAATGAAGCCACCTGAGACCAGTGTTCCTGTAGTTACCCCTACAGCTAGCACAGCCCCTCCAGTTCCCGCAACTGCTCCTTCTCCTGCTCCTGCCGTTGCAGCTGCTGCTGCTGCCACTACTGCTGCCACCGCCGCTGCCACCACCACTACCACCACCTCCGCTGCCACCGCCACCACTGCTCCTCCTGCTCTAGATATCTTTGGTGGTAATTTTTTGTTATTGTTGTCGACCTCTTTCCGTCTAGTGGATTGAATTCTGATCCTTGAGATGTACTGCATGAAGACTGTGTAATTAAATGGTTCTCTAGAAACCATTTGCTGCTTAATTCAGAGTTCTTCAAAGTGCTAATTAAGGACTGGGAAGTGATGCTGTGTCAGGCTTATTGTTCAAGTTGAGTAAAGGCATGTGTGTTCTTGGTCTTAGATTTATTTGAGTCCACTCCTGAAGTTGCTGCAGCGCCTAAGCCAGATGCTGCTCCTAGCATAGACCTGTTTAGTACAGGTAAAACCAAAGCAACCCTTTTTTTTCACTTTAGTTTCTTAGATGTTTTCCTGATTAAGCTCTTTGTACTCACCTGTGATAATGCATTTGTTAGATTTTTGACTTTGATTTCAGCTTTCTACTACTTACCTCTGCTTGGTTTTGGTTTGTTTCACTTTTGGAAGATGCTTTCTCCTCTCCACCACAAGGGGCCTCTCCTGTGCCTGAGAGTTCTCTCACTGCTGACCTCTTATCTGGTGAGTGCTTTGCCAAGGTCAGGACTTCAGAGATGTCTTGTGGAAGTAATGCATAGAGAGAAGGATATAACATGTGGGTTTTTCTTGAGTTCTTTTAAATTTAAAATGTACTTCAAAAGAAAAACTCACTCTTGGGACCATCATCAACCGTTGAGGGTTAATATTTCAAATTTAAGGCTAGTGAAAATTTTTTTCACACTGAAACCTCTGACCTCAAGGAGTCAATTTTATTTTGTTCTGGAGAGCGTGTATTTTAAAACCCGTTTGCTTTTCCTTAACTGTTAAGATTGTCTACAGTCTTTCTGCCTGGAGTGAACCATGAAATCCCAAGATGCCATTTGTCAAGGCTCATGGTTTTCTTTTCCCTTGGGTGACATGCACTTTTTCCTGTCTGTGCTTCACTGCAGTGGATGCATTTGCAGCACCATCTCCTGCAACCACTGCCTCGCCAGCAAAGGTGGATTCTTCAGGTGTCATAGACCTTTTTGGGGGTGCGTATTTCTCCTCCATCAACACTTAAGGAATCTTTTTTTCTTCAGAATAATTTTTAAATCTATTTTATTATATTTCATCATTTTTTCTTTAGGCTATATAAAATTCTGTCTCTTAAATGTAAACTTAAGTTTTTAAGATCATTTTCATTTCTTCGTCATCATCATCTTCATCCTCATCATTTCATCATAACTTTCAGTGCATGACCTAACAAAACACATAATTTTTCACTTGGTGTTTTCAACTTTTTGTTCTTCATCCTAATGTAGAATTACCTGACTGGAATTTCCTTCAACTGTTCTTCCTTGGTGATCCTGATCTGTTGGCTAAATCAACATCTCTAAGTTCTTAAAAGCCAAATAAACATGACCTATTAATAGATAATTTAGAAATGAAAACAAGCCAGTTAAAACTGAAAGCATAAGTCTAGATGTTGTACATTATTCTGTAGGTTTATTTATAATGTTTTGCTATCCTTACAAAGAGTTAGAAGGATTGGAAAATGTGTTGCTGATTTAAATATATTTCCCTCTTCCTTTATGTGTTATCTGAGGGCAGGAAGATGTACTGAATTAGCTCTTGAGCTTAAATACTATCCTTAGAAAGCTTAACCCACATTGAGTACCTCCTGTACATTGAAGCATCATGGACATTCCATGATGCGTACATGAGGAATACAAAGATGTTGCAGTGTCTGACATTTAGGGGCTCAAGACTTGTGTCAGATAAACACTAAACCTTGACATGTAGGTACAAATCATATTGCTGCTCCTTGAATTAAGTTTATTAATTTTTTAAACATTTAATAGAATTCTAAATGGAAAAATTCTGTTTTATTACCTTTAGGTAAAAAGTTTAAAACCTTGCTTCTGTTTTGACAGATGACAAGGTTTAGTCCAAAAATTTTATTCTTAGAAAAAAAAAAGAATTCCCTTAATCTTACAAAGAGGTATTACTTGTTAATATTTTAGAACTCTTTTTGAGAGAATAAACCGGTCAGAGCATAATTCAATTCATGTGATCATTTCACACACCCACAAAAGACAAGCTCACTGTACACTGTCATGTCTCTGCATTTCTCTACATAATACTTAAATTACTTACTGTACTTACTTTTTACACTTTCTTACTTTTCCGCTGCACAATGGATAACGGATAGATGCATTTGGAAGTAGTGCTTCTGAACCCCAACCTGCATCTCAGGCTGCTTCTAGTTCATCAGCATCGGCAGACCTACTAGCTGGTAATTAAATTAAAATGGTATTTTGTAGAAGTTAAATTTGGATATATTTTTATAAGTAACAATTATAAAAATTACATAAATTGCAGGGTGCATGTTTTCTTTTTCTTTCAAGACATAAAATTGAGGGAGGGGACAAGTATTGAAAAACTGACTGTTGGGTACTATGCTTATTACTTGGGTGACAGGATCAATCATACCCCAAACTTCAGCATCTCATAGTACACCCATGTAACAAATCTGTACTTGCCCCCCCAAATCTAAAACAAAATTGAAATTGTTTTTAAAAAATAATTTTAAAAGACATGAAATTGAAAATTCAGTCATTGTACGATAGAAGTTTGATTATTTCTCAGGGTCTTAAAGTTGCAGCTGTATACAAGCCACCTTTGTGGCTTCTTGTATGCTCCAAATCTGCCTTATTTTCAGCCAACATGTTTCCTTTAAATTATTTAAAGGGTAATGTGCTTATGTAACAATTTTTGTCTTGTAATGTCTATGCCCATCTTTTTTTAAAGGAAGTTGTGGGGAAATGTACCATGATGTTTGAAAATAGATTTCGTAATATATGAATCACTCCAAGAGAAACTGTTACAGACTCCTACCATTGGGTCAAAACTGCTATTACATAGACCACTGTTTTTGTTTTTTGTTTTTTTTTTTAACAAGCTGATCATTTTTCTATGTGAAAACTCATGGGGTGATCTCAGCTCAACAGGGTCATAGTGTGAAATAGATTGGTACAGTTTGCCTTGGATTACTGCTTGTGGCCCAAGTAGTATATATAGAATAAAAGGAAACAGTTCAAGGACTCAAAAATAGTAAAAGCCAAGTATTGGTCTTCCTTGGGAGCAAGACAAAGTGTGTGCTTAGTGATAGCCTTGACCTAGAAATTATTATTTTCATAAGCAAAGCATTATGAAAGACCAGTTGCAAGACCACAGTAGTAAGTTTAAGTTCAGATTATTAGTCAAACTCACAAGACATTGTTGGCTTACCTTACTCTGATTTTACTTAGACAGGTACATAACAGGAAGCACAACAGTAGTTTCACAGAGGACTCAGTCACTCAGATGCAGCTTCTGAGGCCCCTCCACAGTCACCACAAGGGTTGAATTTTGGTCCTAAGGTTGACAAGGGGCTGACGAGAGCATGGGTCACATCACCACTGGGAAGCTGCCATGCATGTCTGAAGTCTTGCATCTTAAATACCGTGCTAGTGCTAGCCATGTAGACCTTGATAAAGCATATGAATAGTTCCCTTTTTTAGTGTGGATATAGCCCATAAAATTACAAGTTATACAATAAACAATCCTGGCACCAGGTACAGCAAGCTGAGGAACATTTATTCTTGGATTAGTGGTGAGTAATGGCAGATGCTAAAAGACCCTCATCAGCCTTCAGAGTTGTAGGGAGTTTGAGTTGAGGTCAAATCTTTCCTCAGGAAGCTAAAGCAGGTAGTCGTAGCCCAGCTGTTAACCTTTCCTTCCATCAGTAATTCAGACTGGCTATTTAACAGTCTTTCCCAGGGGCAATAGTTCTCTAGTGTCTTTCCCATCCTTTCCTGACTACTATGATCAAACATAACAGTCTTGCATGCTGAAACCACTCATACCAGTGACTACCACTAGGTATTTTCCTCAGCACTGAAGAACCAGGGCCCCACCATGATATTGCTGAGAACTTATGCTGAGAAGCTAGCATAAGAAATTTTAACTTACTTTTAATTTCCGTAGGGCTTAATTTTGGGGGCTAATTTTTCATACTTCCCTGTTTTGTTATAGAAAAATATTTCTCACCCTTGTTCAAGTATCAAAACATAAGGAAATCATATTCTCACTAAAGAACATCATGGAATATTTGGAAGTTGCAGAGATGATAAGAGGCAGTACACTTAACACAAACCACAGCTGGTTACTTGGAGAAATAAACTGCTAGTTTGCCTGGCTTTTATCCAGGCCTAGATATTCTTATATCAGCTTCCAATTGGCTACAGAAACTTTCAAACTCTTACTAAACCAATAAACTTCATACACATTTTGGGGGTTCAGCAATAAGATTTTAACATGCCACAGAAATAGCATAGTTTTAATGGCTATTTGAGGGATCATGACCTTGTTAACTTTAAAATGAGATTAGTGATTACAAACATTTTGCTTTGAAGTTATAATTAAGATTAAAACGGCCCATAAAATCAAATATTCTGGCCTTTCACAGAAGCCTATGAATTCTTTCTTTCTCTCCTGGGTATCCCATCCCCTGCCACAGATCTCAAATGGGAATTTGAAGCCTACCAGACAGTAGCCTGGCAGAGCGGTCAGCCACTGTTGACCACCTCCAGTGCTACACAGCCACATTGTCTACTCCAGGATCCTCCTCCATTGTGGCCTCTCTGTGTCCTCCAAGGCTAGAACCTGAGATATTGTGTTTCTCAAAGAGCCCAGAACACTAGAAACTGGAGCTGAAAGGCCTTTTCCTGTGGGAAAAGGGAGTGTTCCCATCCAATTCCAAGTTAGAAGTCAGTAACAGAGCCAAGAGATTTGACCCTGGGGGATGCAATAAGAATCTAAAAACACATCTAGAACAAGCCTGAAGGGGTTTGTCACCTGCTGCCAGGTGTAACTGCACATACCTGTGCCACAGCTGCACAGCTTGGTATATGGACAGGTCCAGCAGGGGAAGTCTACAAAAAAAGTATGTTAGTTCACTTTACAAAAAATAAAATTATTCAATTGTGTTGTCTATTCTGAAATCTTATTAAAATGGGGTAGAAAAGAGGAGAAAATCATCAATGAAAGTACCCAATGTCATCTACATAGGTCTCATTTACTACACACTTTCCATTTCTTCTACTGCATCTTCTTGTGACTCTTTCAGTGATAGGCAAAGTTATATATTGTGTACACTTTCTTATTTCTCTCTTTTCTATTTAAATAAATTAATATTCAATGTAAATCAGTATAGATGAGTTTAATGTCTCATTTGCTTTCAAAACAGTTCTTGTAATTTAATGTATACATATGTCAGTGCCTGATTTATTTGGCACAATGTGAAATATTATTTCACCTTATATCCTGATATAAGGGGTTGGATGCAGTGTCCCACAATCATAATCCCACCACTTTGGGAGGCCCAGATGGGCAGGATCACTTGAAGTCAGGAGTTTGAGCCAGCCTGGCCAACATGGTGAAACCCTAATCTCTACTGAAAACAAAAAACAAAAATAAGCTAGCATAAGAAATTTTAACTTTTAATTTCCATAGGGCTTAATTTTGGGGGCTAATTTTTCATACTTCCCTGTTTTCTTATAGAAAAATATTTCTCACGCTTGTTCAAGTATCAAAGCATAAGGAAGTCATATTCTCACTAAAGAACATCATGGAATATTAATATAATTCTATCCTGTGAACTAGGAGCAACTTTCCTAGCCAAAAACAAAAAAATAAAAAATGAAAAAAATTCTGCTAATAAACGCAATATAAAACCACAGTCACATTTATATTTGTAACCTAGCTGACAATTGGCTGTTTCTGAGTTTTCACAATTCTCGTACATTTTTATTTAATGCATATTAAGTAGGACAAATATTTGGGGCACTGTGTGTAGTAATTTGCAGTGAAGCTTAGCATTTGTATTATAGTTGTGTCTGTGTTTATTTGGGGGAGGGATCAGCTAAGTCCACAGTCTATTGAAACTAAGAAGATTTTTAAAAAAAAATAAATAAATGAGCCTAGTCATACATAGCAAGCCCACAAATATGATCAGAATCAAAGAGAGAGAAGAGAGAAAAAGATTCTCTAGAATCCTGTGATTGCCTTTAGTAATAAAACTGTTTTGAGAAAGAATGAAAAAGAAAAATAATATGCAGACACTGTCATGGGAGGTTTAGACTGTTCAAAGGGAACCTTGGTCACTGGACTAAGGACTCTTACCCCATGCCTAAGATTAGATTTTTTTGAGTGAATACATTTACATGTGAATCATAAAGATAAGGCAATAAATATATGATATAATTAAATTTTAAAATGATTTTAGAGATTTTAAACTAAACATTAAGAACCATTTTAAAATTGAGGCGAAAGCTTTGTTAAAAATTGGTATCATTTTGAAACTTGAAAACAAAGACTAACTAGATAGTCTTGAAAATGAACCTATCTATCATAAAAACTATTCTTCTTTATTCAAATTCAGTTTTAGAACTGTCAGATAATACCAATTCCAGAATTAAACAGCACTTGAAATATTGCCTTAGTCGTCTTCTACCCCTTGAGTAAAAATTTTAAGGTGTTTGGTGCATGCAGTATAGTGAAATGATAAAAAATTCTGGAGAGGACAACTTCCAAAGAGGCCAGACTAGAAAAATCATTATCAAAATAATGAAGAAAGGAAGGAATAATGGGGGTGGGGGGAAGCAGAGGGGAGAATCCATAACAACAATGAGTAATTCTTTCCAAGCCATTGAGATTACTGGTAGGATACAGATATTATCCATATCTCAGGTAACATCTGAATGAAAACTTGAAAGTTAAGTTTTTAAATAATAAAAGTAAATATTTCATACAGTGAAGAGTAAAGCTGTCAAACTCTGCTCAAAATATACCAACTGAAAATACAGATGTTTGAAAGCTAGAGGCAGACTACTGGATGACAAAGGTAAAAATGGACTGTTAAGGAAGTTAGGTGTGTTGAGGAATATGCCTAACATCTGAGGTTGGCATCGAGCAGGACAACCATGTTTTTCCATCATAGACACAATTTTAGGGTGACTGCACTATAAATCTGTACTAGTATAAGAGAATTTCACATCCTATCTTTAATTGCAAAGACAAGGGACTATATGGTCCAGCCTATGAGGCCCTTTGTAGTTTTGCATTTGTTCTCTTAACCACATTAATTGCTTAAAATGAGCCACAGAAGTCCTTGAACTGAATTTAAAATACAAACATGCCCAGTGTGGCATTAAAAAGTAACAATTTCCTATAAAAGGTAAAAGTCTACAGAGGATCAATTCTATCATCCTGTGTGGAAGTGTCTTTAGCAGTAGTTTTAAAATTGCACTCTTGTGGCCGGGCACGGTGGCTCATGCCTATATAATCCCAGCACTTTGTGAGGCCGAGGCGGGCAGATCACAAGGTCAGGAGATCGAGACCATCCTGGCCAACATGGTGAAACCCCATCTCTACTAAAAATACAAAAATTAGCTGGGTGTAGTGACACACGCTGTAATCCCAGCTACTTGGGAGGCTGAGGCAGGAGAATGGCTTGAACCCAGGAGGCAGAGATTGCAGTGAGCCAAGATGGCGCCATTGCACTCCAGCCTGGTGACAGAGCGAGACTCCATCTCAAAAAAAAAAAAAAAAGAAAGAAAAAAAAATTGTACTCCTGCAACTGAAACAATATGATGTGTTAGATAGACTATGTAGACTATGACAGTCAGACTTGATATATCTGAATCAATAGAACTTCATTAAGAGTGTGGGCTACTCCCCTTTAGAATAACACATTCATAAGACTAATCATCTGTGATTAAAAAGCAGTGTATCAACAGATGGTTGAGTACCTGAAAACAGTTGGCTCTTCAGTTATAGTGTAGGACAGTTCAAATATGATTACAGGATGCACAAAAGCCTTACTCTGTTTCCAATTCCATTCCATAGAGCACCTTTCTTTTTTTTTTTTTTTTAAGCAACAAGGTCACCCTCTGTTGCATAGGCTGGAGGGCATTGGTGTGAACATAGCTCACTGCAGCCTTGAACTGATGAGCTAAAGCAATCCTCCCACTTCAGCCTCCTGAGCAGCTGGGACTGCAGGCACATGCCATCATGCCCCCTGGCTAATTTATATATATTGATATATATAGATAGATATATAAAAATGAGGTCTCGCTATATTGACCAAGCTGGTCTCAAACTCCTGGCTTCAAGTGATCCTTCTGCCACAGCCTCCCCAAATGCTGAGATTACTGGCATGAACCACCATACCCAGCTAAACGTCTTTCTTAATGTAAATTAGAACCACATAGAAAGATTAGTTGTTTAGGTTTTCCTATTAACTCTATTCCAGGGCCCTAAAACTTTTCAGTTAGTTACCAGGAGGAATTCCTCAAATGCCTCATGAATGACTGTAATGTTCCTGTTTAGTTCTTCATTATAGCAATTATTTTTTTGAGATAATCAGTTGGTCCTTTTATATCACTTAATAGCTGTTTAATTATTCTAGGCTTGTGAGGGCACTTACTTCATAAGAACCGAGTATAATGGGAAAAAGTCATCCTGCCAGATCTCGACAATTTTATAAATGTATGGGAAGGTTACCACTACAGCATTTTTTCTGGATGTGAGAAAGAGGCTGTGTGGTACAGTGGCAAAGAATCCAGACTCTGGAGAATTCCTGTTTGGAATCCTGGATCTGCCATTTGCTTTCATATGACCTTAGACAAATTATCTAACATCTCTGACCTCAGCTTTCTCATCTTTGAACCTCATGGGGTTGTTATAAGGATTAGATAAGCTAATGTGTGTTTTAGATTGAACCATTTAAAACTGCTGATTTTCTAGGATCAAAACAGTCAAATATCAGCCATTCGTGTCGTTCATAGGGTTCACCCTAAAAAAGGAAACCTAGAACAGTGCCTGGCACTTGGTGAGCCCTGGGCCAATGTTGGCTTACCTTTAATTTTCTTAGAGAAGGCACTATTTTTTTTTTTCAGTGAACAGCTTTATTTATTCACCTATAGATGTGATCTTAGCATAAAGTAGAAATAGCACTAAGCAGAGTGTCCTAGGTAAATGCACTCTTTTTCCTCTTTTTACTGAATCTTACCAGTGTGTTAACTTCTCTTTGAGTCATTTCTTCTAGCCATGAGATGACAGGAAGGAATCAGATGATCCTGAGGCCCTTTCCATCACTAATATGCTGTGATTCTAAAATAAATTGTCCTTTCCATGGCCAAGTTTTAAGAAGTCAAGAGTCAAGTTTTCTCCACATTCACCTATAGAAAGAGAATCACAACATAGAACAGTTGCCTAAATTTACCAGACAAATTCCAACTTGAGGTACGGGGTAATGTTTTTTAAAAATCAACATTAATACAGCCACCAATCTTCCTAAAATCAAAATGGTCACATTCACAAAAATAATTACTTTTAACCTACCTTGGCTGGGATAAGCTCTTACTGATTTAGAGAACGTCTTCTTCAGTAAAGAAAGTTATATGATACTTATGCCATTCAAATACTAAAATCACTTAAAGTAGCCATCATGAACTGTAAAGATCATCTAATAAAAAACTTTTTTCCAAATTAAAATTTTTTCATACACATATGAGGAAAGCCTAAACCCACATCACTGTCAATTTCTAGGAATAACATAACTCAAACAGCATTGCCACCTGCTTTAGAAAATAGTAGATAATTTTAGTGGAAATCACTTTCAAAATTATAAATCGATTCTATGGAACGTAAACTTAAGGATGTTTTTTGAAACATTGTTTTTGCAAGCAGTTTGTGAAGAAGAGACAATGTGGCTGGATTTGAAAGGAATATATACTTAAACTTTATGTAGGAATGACTTCTGGTAGTAATAAATTCTTTTATAATAGAATATCATCCAGTGTCTTGTTAAGAAATCACTTCCTTCAGAGGCTGTATATTTTTGTTCAGTAGCAATGCAGAGTGATCTCTGCTTCTGTTTCTGTCTGTTGATTGAGAGAAATGTTTTGCTTCCAGCCGTCAAAGGATAAATACTTAATCTGAGGTTGGATTACTTTACAGTAGTCTTTGATTTGTCCTCACCTTTTATATTCAAAAGTGTCCTTCATTTAATAAACATTAATTCAGTGTTTTAGGCACTGTGCAGGATATTAGTGGAAAAAACATGAAAAGAAGACACAGTTCCTGGCCTCAAAAAGCCATCTGGGGTTGGAGTCGGGGCAGTGGGGATAGATACATGTAATGAGAGTAGCAGGGGGCCATGTACCAGGTGCTGAGGATACTCGGCATGTATATGGGGATGTGGGTGGGGTGCAGCTGGTAGTGGGTAGCAGTGTGAGGGCAAGGAAGTCCTCCCAGAGCAGGCATCTGACACTGCGAGTGGCGGATCACAGCTGCAGCCTGCTTTGCTGCAGGGGCCAGTGAGTAGAGACAGAAGGACCTGATCACTACACGAAGGAATTCAAATTATATGAACTGAAAAATGATGGGAAGCTGATAGAAGATTTTGGAGAAGTAACTTTGTCAACATTTTCCACTTGGAAAGATCATTCTGGCTGCACTGTGAAGACTAGATTGGAGGAGATCTAGACTAGAGACAGGATGCCATCCCACTCCGTGACTGTTCATGAATCCAGAGAGCAGGGTTGCGGGGGCCTGCACTGGTGGTAACAGCAGTGGGGCTAGAACATGTATGATAGATGTTAAAGATTTGATATGTATTTTTATGATTTGTTTTGCATTTTATTATAATTTGCAGTAAACATTTTCTAGAAACCGGATATTATGATTTGAAGAAACATAAAATTTCAATGTAATGAGACTGTCTGAATTGTAAACCTAGTGATACCTTATTTGTTTATATACTCCATTGTAATAATAGATTTGCTTGCCATAGTTTCTCTTAATAAGGTTATACTTGTGTGTTATCTTATTTCTAATTAAATTAAATCTCTCATTAATGCATGTCAGATTTCAAAATATTATGCTTGAACAACTTTTCAGAAATGAGCTTCTCTGTTTCACTGACTGCTAATCAACATGCAATTAATTCCTTTTCAGTTTTCTATAACTTTTTAAATTCAGTTTTTATGGCCTTTACCCACCTTTATGTTATTTCTGCTTGTTTTTTTGGAACTTTTTTTCAGGATTTGGGGGTTCTTTCATGGCGCCTTCCCCATCTCCAGTGACTCCAGCTCAGAATAACCTGCTACAGCCCAATTTTGAGGCAGCTTTTGGGACAACGCCTTCAACTTCCAGCAGCAGCTCCTTTGATCCATCAGGTGAGGCAGTGACTTTCAAACATTCTTTTCATGTGTCCTGGTAATAAAAAAAAGTACTACCTAAGGTTAGTATGCTATCAGGAAATTTACAACAAGCAAATATTGAGTGATAATTTGGTTTATAAAACGTTAATAAATCTCTCATTTAGTAACTTAAATTAAAATTTATAGTACACATTGGTATCCATAAGAATAACCTGCAATCCTTTCTCTGTTTCTGTTTATTTTTAGCAGAAATCTAACTTAACCTGCACACCATCTATTTGCATGAGCTTACATGCACATGGTTTAGAGATGGTTAAAGAAAAACAGATACTTTGTACTAAATCTTTGTACAGTGTTTGAATATGTGAACACTCCCACTGCTGTTGCTTACATCCTCTGAAGCCTGCATGGCCCTCAGTTTTATGAAGTTGAGACACAAATAGTATTCTTTGCCTGCCTTTAACCTTTCATCACTGCTGTCATTTTGTTTGTATTCTCTTCCATTCTACTCTTCCCATGCTGGGTCCTTACTACAAATTTTCACTTGGTGAGTTTTTGGCAATTAAATGTGTTTCAGAAACACCCTAAATAAATCCTCTGCCTGACAATTTGGTTGCTTCTATTGCCAGTGCCTAGTTGAATGCTGTCATTTTTCACTTTAAAATTATTGTATAGTAGTTGTTATGGTAGATATGCATAGTTTTTTGATAAAATTTTACAACTACAAAGTTTTTGACATAGATAACATATTAGCAACATCTTATGCAAATGCTATGTGTCTGCATTTTGAATGGACTTTCTGTATTCTAGGAACTGAACAATTAGTAACTTATTTGGTGATCAGGAGCCATCAATGATGCATTTGATCCCTAATACTTAAAATAGTATTTAATTTACTTATGCCCTTAGAGTTACAACCAGAAATGATTGCTCTAATGAGTGAGAAAAAAATCAAAATTATTACTTTTGAAATGTGATCAACTTTTTCAGGTACCTATTACTAGATGCTGACTGTTATATCAGATGTTATTTTGTTTCCTAATTTCGTAGGAAACCAAGAGATGCATTATTTTCTCATTTAAGAATTATTTTTAAGGTAAACATTTTAGGTTTTCAGAGTAAATTATTTAGATTTCACCATAAAGCACATTAGAAGTCTTTTCACTATTTTCTTGAATAAGAGCAACAATGGCAATATTGAATGCCTGTATAAAGCAAGCATTATAATAAACCCATGACATGTATCACCTAATTTAATGTTTACAACAAAGCCATGTATTGGTCATACTCTCCCCATTTACAGATGAGAAAACTAAAAAGCTCAGAGAGTAACTTTCTTAAAGTCATGTAGCCAGTGAGTCATGCAGCTGAATTGAAGCCCAGTTCATTCCTGTACATTATACAGATTTTTTTCCATCCTTGTTCATGTTCATTAGTATTTTCATACTTTATGAGTAGACATATGTCGACATGTTCTTCTTGGTGTTACAGTCATGAAAAGTGTGAATTACTTGCCTTCTTTTATAAGATTTTATATTCACTTGTTTCCATAGTATCAAAAGAGAGTTTTACTTTAATTTCGCATATGATCTTTTTTTGTTTTCAATTATTCTGAACCTAGTCTATTTGATTTCCAGTGTTTGATGGTCTAGGTGATCTTTTGATGCCAACCATGGCACCAGCTGGGCAGCCTGCACCTGTCTCAATGGTACCACCCAGTCCTGCAATGGCAGCCAGCAAAGCCCTTGGAAGTGATCTTGATTCATCTCTTGCCAGCTTAGTAGGCAGTGAGTAATCTAGTTTTTTTTTTTTTTCTTTAACTGAAGCATATGTGAATTGTTTTTTGTTTCTCTCTCTCTCTCTCTCTCATCTCATATGTTTTGTTTCTGGACTCTCTTATGGGTGAGTATGGCAGGGAGGGAATAGAAATACTTAGTGCTTTACCCAGTGCAGGTCCTTGGAAGGCAAACAGTTCCTATGCCATTGGCTCACGAGCAATACCCATGTCATTTTAGTCTAAATTATTAAAGGTATAATCAGGGAGCATATACAAGTATGAAACCAAGTGTATTATGTGTAAAAAGCACTTAACTTTCCATTTCATTTGGAAATAAGAACATAGGGTAACTTACATGAAGTATAGTATCTTTATAAATTGAGTATCCAACTGAGTTTCAGTCATTTGTTCAACAAATATTTATTGAATACCAAGCATTCTTCCAGGCTCTAGAGATAAACCAGTGAGCAAAACAGATAAAAATGTCTGTACTTATGGCACTTAGGAAGGGCAGACACAAACTTTAAAATAAATAAATTCTATAGTGTGATAGATCATAAGTTCCATGGAGAAAAAACAGAACAGACAAAGGAGAGCTGGGAGTGCTACAGGGTAGGAGTTAGAGTAAGCCTCAACAAGAAGGTAAAATTTGAGCAAAGATTTTGAAGGGAAAGGGGTAAACTACGTGATGATCTAAAGAAGGACATCTGCAGGAAAATGAAATAGTGCAAAGGCTTTGAGGCAGAAGTTTGCCTGGCAGATTCAAGGGACATCCAGGAGATGAGTGGCTAGAGCTGAGTGGGTAAAGGAGAGAGTCCTAGGGAGGAGGGCAGCTATTACAAAGATCGACCTTTGCTCTTAATTCTGAATTTTGTATTCATGTGAATGGGTTTACCACTGTAGATACGTAATATTATTCAAGGTAGTATCAAAAGTTTAGCAAATCACGATACAGACTTCTTTACCTGTGAATTTGCCTGTGGACATACATTTTGTTTTCCATTCCTTCCCTGTGATTTGAGCAACCATGAAAATACTTTTATGACACCCGGGGAGAGGTTATTTGAATATTTCCTCCTATACTAAAATTTCATCTCACAAAGTGACTGCTTTCTCTGCATACTATAATGTATCCCCTTTCAGAAATAAAGGACTTATGCCTCCAGCTGCTGAGAGTGCCACCAACACACAGCCCTCAGCTGTCAACCACCTTTGAGAATGATCCCAGCTGAAAGAAGCTAACCCGCTAGAGCAATACCCAAACAATCTTGAAAAAGAAAAAATTTGAAGCAATCGTGTTTCCAATTTCAAAACTTCTACAAAGCTACAATAATCAGGACAAATGGTACTGGAATAAGGATAGACATAGAGACCAAAGGTATAGAATAAAGATCCCAGAAATAAACCCACGTATATAGTCAAATGATTTTTGACAAGGATACCAAGACCATTCAGTGAGGGAAAAGACATTCTTTTCAGGAGAAAAAAATTGGGGAAAGACTAAATAACTTCATGAAAAAGAATGAAATTTTACCCTTTACTTAAACAAAAAAAAATTAATTCAAAGTAAGTCGTACAACCAAATGTAAGAGCTAAATCTACGCAACTTTTAGAAGAAAACATAGGAGTAAATCTTTATGACCTGAGATTAGGTTATGTTTGGTTTCTTAGATATGACACCAGAAGTACAAGAAACAAAAGAAAAAATAGATAAATAGAAATATATCAAAATGTAATACTTTTGTGCAGTAGACAATACCATTAAGAAAGTGAAAGGACAAACCATAGAATGGGAGAAAATATTTGCAAATCATTTATCAGATAAGAGACTTGTACTCAGAATAAAGAACTCTAACAATTCAATAATGAAAACACAAATAATGCAATTTTTAAAATGGCAAATAATTTATTTGAATAGACCTTTTGACCCAAGCACCCTATATTCTCCAAAGAATATATACAGATGGCCAATATGCACATGAAAAGATGCTCACCATTATTCATCAGTGAAATGCAAATCAAAACCAAATAAGATATCACTTTATACCCAATAGGATGGAGATAACTAAAAAGACATATAACCAGTATTGATGAGGATATGGAAAACTTGAAACCCACAGACATTGCTGGTAAAAATGTAACATGGTTTAGCTGCTATAGAAAGAAGTCTGATAGTTACTCAAAATGTTAAACATAGATTATCGTATGACTCAGCATTTCCACTCCTAGGTGTATGGAGTGGAAATGAAAATGTGTATGCACACAAAAACTTGTACATGAATGTTTATAGTATTGTTATTCATAATAACCAAAAAGTAGACCACCCTAATGTTCATCACTTGATGAATGGATAAAAAAAAATGATATATCTACATAATGAAATATTCTTTGGCAATAAAAAGAAATGAAGTACTGATACATGCTACAACTGGATTTACTGTGAAAACATGCCAAGTGAAAGAAGTCGGTCGCAAAAGACTATGTGTTTTCATATATGATTCCATTTATATGAAATGTCCAGAATAGACAAATGCATACAGACAGGAAGTAGATTGGGGCTTCAAGGGGCTGAGGGAAGTGGAGAGGAAGAGGAGTGACTGCCAGTTGGTACAGGGTTTCTTTTTGTGGTGACAAAAAAGTTCTATGTTAGCACTGTGAATAAACTAAAACCATTGAATTACGTACTTTAAAAGAGTGAATTTTATGGTATGTGAATTATATCTCAAGAAAAATGTTTTTATAAAACATTTTTCAGTGTTAGCTGACGCTTCTATTGAGACTGCATTGCAGTCTTGCCCAATCACAGTTTCCTCTCTTCCCTTTCAAAATAAATCTCCTGCATGCTAATCTCCATCCCAGAGCCTTCTTCCCAGGACACCTAGCTTGCAACAGAGGCCCAGGCCCTCAGGTAACTCATTCCCGTCTGCCATGAAATTTGACAAGGGATTCATGTATACATATGTAAGGTACACTTCTGCTTTCTTTTGCTTTTTCACATGAACAGGCATAAATACTTGGTTTAGCTTTTTAATCATTTAATATACATATATTTAGTTTTATAGTCTAATTGAAAAATAAATTTTAAAATAAATTTTGTCTTTTAAAAAAACTAAAATTATGGGTAATCATTTTTATATTTGGTGTTCAGTTAATATATACCTTATTCTGTTTTGTAATGCCAAGATTTGGTAAGAAATAAATATTAACTTCATCCTCTAATACATTGATTATGCACCTGATTAGGGCTGTTGTCCTGGCTGTTCCCTCTGCCTAGAAAGCTCTCACCCAGACTCTGCTCAGCTTTGCCCAAGTCTCACTTCTATGAATCCTTCCCCAAGCACCCTGTATAATATTCTCTGGCCCCATGTTTATCCTACCCCTTCAACCCCACTTACTTTGCCCTTCCTTTTCATTTTTCCATAAGCTTTCCTTATCGCCTTCTAGCAGCCTGTATAATTTACTTTTTAATTGTTTTGTCATCTGTCTGACACCATCGGAATGCAAGTTCCTCCAGGATAGGACTCTCTGACTGTTTTCTTTACTAATATGTTCCGGGTGCCTAAAACAGTGCCTGGCATATGTAGATGCTCACAAAATATTTTCTGAAGTAATAAATGAATTGATATTAGAGCAGATTGATTAAGCCGACTATGTCAAGGGATTCACAGAGCCACTAGAAGGACACATGGGACTCAGCACATCGTTGTACTCACAGCTGAGATTTATTACGGAAGCAGAGGAAGGATATATGGCTGATGATAAGGGGAAAAGACAAGCAGAGTCTAGAAGAGTCCACATGCAGACTTCCTTAAGCTATGTCTCTCCCTTGAGGAGAAGAACACACTCTTCACCCAGCAACAAAAATGCAGCAGCATGTGTGAGGTGTTTATGCCTAAAGAAGACCTTTAGAGACTCCACACCCAGAGTATTTATTGGGCAGTGATCATGTAGGCATTTCTGCTTGGCATGTGCCAAAATTTCAGACTTGCAGAATGAAAGTGGATATTCAACATAAACCATATCATGTGTACAAATAGTAGTGTAGGCACAGTGATCCACTTTTATCATTTAGGGCAAGTTTTATCCTAGTATAGAGAACAATTTACTAACCAAGTTCCCAGATAGCAGCCTTTCTAAAATAGCAGCATCAAACCTGCTATGTTTGCTCTTTTCTGGACACCAGTTGACATTAAAATGGATCCTTAAGTCTAACATGAAGTAAAAGAAAATCTTTAATTTATGAAAATATTTCCTAATATAGTTTCTTTTCTGTATAACTGAATGCAGTCATTCCTAGGCAAAATAAGGACTTTTTTATAGACTTCTGATTATTTGATCTTTTAAATGTCATATCATATAAACTGAGTGTAGAGATTTACATTCTTTTTTCTTTTATCCATTTATAGATCTTGGAATTTCTGGTACCACAACAAAAAAGTAAGTGTTTGGAAATTATGTGATTTCCTTTTGATGGTATATTTGTATTCATTTGAGACTATCAACCATTTTACTCATTGGAGTAATTATTCATTCTCATGCTAGATAATTTCAGATAATTTCACAATTGGTGTTTATTTCATCCCAGATTTTTGTTGTTATTCTACTGGAAGCTCCAAACTGTTGCTTTGCAATGAAAAGGAATAATCTATTTCAATCTCCGAGATTGTCACTAAGTTATATCTAGAAATATTTGGGAATTGTGGCTTGAATATTTTAATAGCATTACATTCTAGATTCATTACCATAGTTCTAGCTAACATGAATTTTAAAAAGTCTTTCATGGAGTATTAATTGTAAGGAAAGATAGTAAAAATGGTAAACAATATATTCTTTTTTAGATGTATATTTTGTCGTTGAAATTGAGACATATCTTTCAGTGGATGGTGTCTTACGATCACTGTAAGGCAGGTTGCAGTCATGATACAGTTGTGTGAAACATTCTGCTGAACCCTCTAAGATCCAGAAAGTGCCATCATCAGTGCATCTTAAATTCAACAAAATCGAAGTGTACAGTATATATGATATATTTATTTGCATTTTTAATAACAAATGAATCCAGTTGGATTTTTCTGACATACTTTTCTTTATA
The DNA here is from genome assembly GCF_000001405.40 of Homo sapiens. Taxonomy (NCBI): domain Eukaryota; kingdom Metazoa; phylum Chordata; class Mammalia; order Primates; family Hominidae; genus Homo; species Homo sapiens. The sequence goes on along the minus strand of NC_000006.12, from coordinate 83,575,370 downwards.
GAGGATAGGAAATTCCTATACTTATTGAGGTCCAAACTCTAAATGATTTTTTTTCAAATGCTTTTAAGCTTTCTTAGTTACAGCATGGCAAGATTCCTCTGTAAGTTTTAACTGCTGTTCTTATTACTATACCACTTGACTAAATAAACTGCTTTTAAACCCAAATAAAATAATCTAAGGAGCCACACACCATTTTTTTCTGATTTGTGATTTTTTGTTTGTTTGCTTGTTTTGCATGGTTAATTTTAGGGGAGATCTTCAGTGGAATGCTGGAGAGAAAAAGTTGACTGGTGGAGCCAACTGGCAGCCTAAAGTAGCTCCAGCAACCTGGTCAGCAGGCGTTCCACCAAGTGCACCTTTGGTATGTAGCAATCAGAGCCCAGGGCAGCGCAGGCAGTTTGCCAGTTTCCAAGTGTGTAAAGTAGCGTGCATTTTGCTAACTTTGCTGCCGACGGTGTACTTATTCCTCTGCATTGAAGAAATATAAGCAAGTAGCACTCCAGCCCAGGGGGCTGCCCTCCATTCTTAGGTATGAAAACATTTGATAGCCTCTGTTTTGCTGCGGGAAGTGGGAGAGAGAGTAAATAAGCAAGATGAAAAAACTAAGCAAGATGCAGAAGTTACCAAAATGCAGATTCCAATGACTTTATATTTAATAATGATTATGACCTTTTAAAAATTTTAAATATTTTAATTAATATTTATACTTCCATATTTGTAAAATTATGAAAATGATTTATCAAAAGCACTTAATGTCATTGATCATTTTATCTATCTTATCATATTTCTTGCCCAAATTTTCTGATTGTCTTAGTAAGTAATAACTTTTTTTCCTACCAGAAAGATTGGGCAGTTTTTTATTGTGTAAGTTCATTTTAAAATCCTATTACTTTTGCTCACCATTTTAAAAATTGAAACTACTCACACCATCTTTTCTATAAGGTTTAAATAGATTTCATGTCTGTATTTTAAATTTCTATTAATATATTAATACTGCCATTCACTCTGGGAAAGAACACATGACTGGAAATAAAGACTAACTATTGCTTTGTGAAATTTGCTGACACAAAAAGAACGTGTTTTCAGAGTAGCAAACTGTATAATTTTTCTATATGCACTCTGTGTTTAGCAAAACTAAGCTAATCACTGTTTCCCAAACTTACTGGCAGTTTTCCACCTTTGCTTACCACCTCCACCTATCTAAATCAAACCCATCTCTAAGGCTTTCTTGATGTTATCCTTTCCTTGTTACCTGAAATAATTCTTAATCATCATTCATCACCGCCAGCCAAACAAACATGCAAGAAGTAAATTAATATAAATTCTAATTAAAAATTTTCTCCCATTCTGTAGGTTGCCTGTTCACTCTGATGGTAGTTTCTTTTGCTGTGCAGAAGCTCTTTAGTTTAATTAGATCCCATTGGTCAATTTTGGCTTCTGTTGCCATTGCTTTTGGTGTTTTAGACATGAAGTCCTTGCCCATGCCTATGTCCTGAATGGTATTGCCTAGGTTTTCTTCTAGGATTTTTATGGTTTTAGGTCTAACATTTAAGTCTTTAATCCATCTTGAATTAATTTTTGTATAAGGTGTAAGGAAGGGATCCAGTTTCAGCTTTCTGCATATGGCTAGCCAGTTTTCCCAGCATCATTTATTAAATAAGGATTCCTTTCCCCATTTCTTGTTTTTGTCAGGTTTGTCAAAGATCAGATAGTTGTAGATATGTGGCATTAGTTCTGAGGGCTCTGTTCTGTTCCATTGGTCTATATCTCTGTTTTGGTACCAGTACCATGCTGTTTTGGTTACTGTAGCCTTGTAGTATAGTTTGAAGTTAGGTAGTGTGATGCCTCCAGCTTTGTTCTTTTGGCTTAGGATTGTCTTGGCAATGCAGGCTCTTTTTTGGTTCCATATGAACTTTAAAGTAGTTTTTTCCAATTCTGTGAAGAAAGTCATTGGTAGCTTGATGGGGATGGCATTGAATCTATAAATTACCTTGGGCAGTATGACCATTTTCACGATATTGATTATTCCTATCCATGAGCATGGAATGTTCTTCCATTTGTTTGTGTCCTCTTTCATTTCGTTGAGCAGTGGTTTGTAGTTCTCCTTGAAGAGGTCCTTCACATCCCTTGTAAGTTGGATTCCTAGGTATTTTATTCTCTTTGAAGCAATTGTGAATGGGAATTCACTCATGATTTGGCTCTCTGTTTGTCTGTTATTGGTGTGGCTCTCTTTACCTATCAATACAAAAATCTAAGGCCCCTCAGCCCACATTTGGAATTACCCACAACTTGTTTGCTACAAGTCTTTAGTCCCACTTTCCCACTACTTTCTTAGAAAAACTCTCTTGTGCAAGTAGCACTCCAGCCCAGGGAGCTGCCCTCCATTCTTAGGTATGAAACATTTGATAGCCTCTATTTTGCTGTGGGAAGGAGGAGAGAGAGTAAATAAATCTGAATAAAATTCCCAAAGGAAGAAAAAAGCTTTTTTAGAACTGATTTGGTGAGTCTGTTAATACTACATAATGACATTAAATCTCACAATGTAATCTATATTATCATTATCAAAGTAAAGGAATTAATTTTCCTATTCCCTTCTGTGCAGAATTAGAAAGGCCTTATTTGTTGTTCTAAGGAATTTATACTTTCGTGATGTTGCCCTTATCACCAGGATAAAACTTTTGTTTTTTAACAAGTTAGTTTCAGAACAATCACTGGTAGTAGCACAGTCTAAAGTGAGTTAGGGGTATTGGAAGGCAAGGTGGTGAGAACATTAGTATCTGGCAGACAGGCTGTAGGTTAAAAAAAGGAAAAAAAAAGTTGGCTGGGCACGGTGGCTCATGCCTGTAATCCCAGCACTTTGTGAGGCCAAGGCAGGCGGATCACTTGAGGTCAGGAGTTCAAGACCAGCCATAGCCAACATGGTGAAACCCCATCTCTACCAAAAAAAAATGCAAAACTTTGCAAGCCATGGTGGCATGTGCCTGTATTCTCAGCTACTCAGGAGGCTGAGGTGGGAGAATCACTTGAACCCAGGAGGAGGAGGTTGCAGTGAGCCGAGATTGTGCTACTACACTCCAGCCGTGGGCGACAGTGAGTCCCTGTCTCAAAAAAAACAAAAGGAAAAAACGTTTAGAGCCTGAGTTAGGGTAGAAAGGAAGAGAAGAAGACAAATTTTCAGTTAGAATCCACACAAGTGGGGATTTTTATGGATGAGGCAACTAAGACAGTGGTTGCCCAGTGTATTATTCCGTTTTCACACTGCTGATAAAGACATACCCGAGACTGGGCAATTTACAAGAAAAAGAGGTTTAATGGACTCATGGCTGGGGAGGCCTCACAATCATGGCGGAAGACAAGGAGGAGCAAGTCATATCTTACATGGATAGCAGCAGGCAAAGGAAGAGCTTGTGCAGGGAAACTCCCCCTTATTAAACCATCAGATCTCATGAGACTTACTCACTATCACCAGAACAGCACAGGAAAGACCTGCCCCTATGATTCAGTTACCTCCCATTGCATCCTTCCCACAACACATGGGAATTCAAGATAAGATTTGGGTGGTGACACAGCCAAACCATATCATTCTGCTCCCGGCCCCTCCCAAATCTCATATCTTCACATTTCAAAACCAGTCATGCCTTCCCAACAGTCCACCAAAGTCTTAACTCATTTTAACATTAACTCAAAAATCCACAGTCCAGAGTCTCATCTGAGACAAGGCAAGTCTCTTTCACCTATGAGCCTGTAAAATCAAAAGCAAGTTAGTTACTTCCTAGATACAATGGGGGTACAGGCTTTGGGTAAATACCGCCATTCCAAATGGGAGAAATTGGCCAAAACAAAGGGGCTGTAGGCCCCATGCAAGTCCAAAATCCAGTGGGAGAGTCAAATTTTAAAGCTCCAAAATGATCTCCTTTGACGCCAAGTCTTATATCCAGGTCACACATGATGCAAGAGGTGGGCTCCCGGGCCAGGCATGGTGGCTAACACCTGTAATCCCAGCATTTTGGGAGGCCGAGGCAGGCAGATCACAAGGTCAAAAGATCGAGACCATCCTGGCCAACATGGTGAAACCCCATCTCTACTAAAAATACAAAAATTAGCTGCTCATGGTGGCACATGCCTGTAGTCCCAGCTTCTTGGGAGGCTAAGGCAGGAGAATTGCTTGAACCTGGGAGGCGCAGGTTGCAGTGAGCCGAGATTGTGCCACTGCACTCCAGCCTTGTGACAGAGCGAGACTCCACCTGAAAAAAAAAAAAAGAGGTGGGCGCCCATGGTCCTCGGGCAGCTCCATCCCTGTAGCTTTGCAGGGTATAGCCCTCCTCCTGGGTGCTTTCACAGGCTGGTGTTGAGTGTCTGTGGCTTTTCCAGGACCATGGTGTAAGCTGTCAGTGGAGCTACCACTCTGGGGTCTGGAGGACAGTGGCCTTCTTCTCATAGCTCCACTTGGTGGTGCCCCAGTAGGGACTCTGTGTGGGGGCCCCCATCCCACATTTCCCTCTGCACTGCCCTAACAGAGGTTCTCCATGAGAGCCCTGCCCCTGCAGCAAACTTCTGCCTGAGCATCCAGGTGTTTCCATACATCTTCTGAAATCTATGTGGAGGTTCCCAAACCTCAATTCTTAGCTTCTGTGGCTCAACACCACATGTAAGCTGCCAAGGTTTGGGACTACCACCCTCTGAAGCAACAGCCCAAGCTGTCCCTTGGCCCCTTTGAGTCACAGCTGGAGCAGCCGGGACACTGGGCACCAGGTCCCTAGACTGCACACAGCACAGGGACCCTGGGCCCAGCCCATGAAACCACTTCCCCCCCCGCCACCCCGTAAACCTCCAGGTCTGTGATGAGAGGGGCTGCTACAAAGTTCTCTGACGTGTCCTGGAGACATTTTCCCCATTGTGTTGGTGATAAACATTCGGCTCTTTGTTACTTATGCAAATTTATGCAGCTGGCTTGAATTTCTCCTCAGAAAATGGGATTTTCTTTTCTGTCACATTGTCAGGCTGCAAATTTTCCAAACTTTTATGCTCTGTTTCTGTTTTAAAACTGATTGGCTTTAACAGCACCCATGTCACCTCTTGAATGTTTAGCAGCTTAGAAATTTATTCCACCAGATACCTTAAATCATCATTCTCAAGTTCAAAGTTCCACAAATCTCTGGGGCAGGGGCAAAATGCTACCAGTCTTTCTGCTAAAACATAACAAGAATCACCTTCACTCCAATTCCCAACAAGTTCTTCATCTCCACCTGAGACCACCGCAGCCCACATTTTCCCATCTTCTTCTGAGCCCTCCAAACTGTCCCAACCTCTGCCTGTTACCCAGTTCCAAAGTTGATGCCTCATTTTTGGGTGGCTTTTCTGCAGCGCTCCACTCTACTGATACCATTTTTACCATATTAGTTTGTTTTCACACTGCTGATCAAGACATACCCGAGACTGGGCAATTTACAAAAAAAAAGGTTTCATGAACTTACAGTTCCACATGGCTGGGGAGGCCTCACAATCATGGTGGAAGATAAGGAGGAGCAAGTCACATCTTACATGGATGACAGCAGGCAAAGAGAGCGCTTGTTTGGGGAAACTCCCCCTTATAAAACCATCAGATCTCATGAGACTTATTCACTACCACAGGAACAGCATGGGAAAGACCTGCCCCCATGATTCAATTACCTCCCACCAGGCCCTCCCACAACACATGGGAATTCAAGATGAGACTTGGGTAGGAAGACAGCCAAACCATATCATCCAGGTTTCTGTGTGAGGCAGTTTGCCAAATAATGAGGCCACTAACCCAGAAGGGAACAAGGGAAAAGCACTTTAAAAGTAATATTAAGTTGAAGAACTTCCTTGGCCATTACCCACCCTGAGATCAAGACTTAACTGTGCAAAGTTAAGAATTCATCAAGTACTTAATTAACAACTGTTTTGCATCTTTAGGATAACAAAGCTGCTGACTGATTGGTAGGCACTTTCACAGACTGAGATTGTCTCATTTTTTTAACCCCAAAACTCTTTATTTTTGTTTATGAAGCAGAAAAATTTTAATTATTGGTAATTAAACCCCAGAAAGTGAAATATGGAAAGTTTTAGCATAAAGTATCCACAGCAGCTACGGAAAGAGAAATTAGAACAATAGAAACTATTTGTTACAATAAAGAGTTACATAAAGTTTTATTTCTTTTATTTTACTTAGCATTTTACACCACAATATACAGGCTCTCTTATGCATAGTTATTTTATCTTTATTAATTCTTAGTTTTATCTATATTCTTTTATATAGATACTCCATTTTATTTTTTACAAAGCTGTTCTTTCCTAACAAAGCTGTGGCTTTGCTTTTACTTAAGAAATTATTCTGAGGGAACTATTTCAGCTTTCTCCAACATACCTTTACACCCTGCCTCCCCAGTTGATCTCTTCCAACCTTCTATTCCTTTATAGTCTCTTTCTAGGAATACTCAAGGAAAAGAAGCTAGAGACACCAGAAACAAGTGCTTCAGAAGCAGCAAAGCAGTGTTTCCAAATTTTCCTTGTAATCTACAGGTCTTTGCTATTGAGAAGGAGATGAAGGATGCAGATTTGGGAAGGGGAATCCTTTTGCTGCCTTTTTAAAGTTTTTATTGATAGATAAGCAGTAAGATTACTTTTCCCCACTTATTCCAAATTTCCCTTAATTGCTTCTTAGAGGTGTAGCTATAACACTTTTCAGATCACAGAACCCAAGTTAGATCTAAAAACCTTAGCAGGACTTGAATATTGAACTACGTCTGCTGGCAGGGCTCTGTCATCATGGCCATCAGGAGCCCTGTGCTTCCTGGGTTACTTATTCCTGTTTTACAGTGCACAGCAGACCTATTAAGTTATTATTATTATTATTATTATTATTATTATTATACTTTAATGTGCACAACGTGCAGGTTTCTTACATATGTATACATGTGCCATGTTGGTGTGCTGCACCCATTAACTCATCATTTACATTAGGTATATCTCCTAATGCTATCCCTCCCCACTCCCCCCATCCCACAACAGGCCCCAGTGTGTGATGTTCCCCTTCCTGTGTCCAAGTGTTCTCATTGTTCAATTCCCACCTATGAGTGAGAACATGCGGTGTTTGGTTTTTTGTCCTTGTGACAGTTTGCTGAGAATGATGGTTTCCAGCTTCATCCATGTCCCTACAAAAGACGTGAACTCATCCTTTTTTATGGCTGCATAGTAGTCCATGGTGTATATGTGCCACATTTTCTTAATCCAGTCTATCATTGTTGGACATTTTGGTTGGTTCCAAGTCTTTGCTATTGTGAATAGTGCCACAATAAACATACGTGTGCATGTGTCTTTATAGCAGCATGATTTATAATCCTTTGGGTATATAGCCAGTAATGGGATGGCTGGGTCAAATGGTATTTCTAGTTCTAGATCCCTGAGGAATCACAACACTGACTTCCACAATGGTTGAACTAGTTTACAGTCCCACCAACAGTGTAAAAGTGTTCCTATTTCTTCACATCCTCTAGCACCTGTTGTTTCCTGACTTTTTAATGATCGCCATCCTAATTGGTGTGAGATGGTATCTCATTGTGGTTTTGATTTGCATTTCTCTGATGGCCAGTGATGATGAGCTTTTTTTCATGTGTCTTTTGGCTGCATGTCTTCTTTTGAGAAGTGTCTATTCATATCCTTCACCCACTTTTTGATGGGGTTGTTTGTTTTTTTCTTGTAAATTTGTTTGAGTTCTTTGAGGATTCTGGATATTAGCCCTTTGTCAGATGAGTAGATCGCAAAAATTTTCTCCCATTCTGTAGGTTGCCTGTTCACTCTCATGGTAGTTTCTTTTGCTGTGCAGAAGCTCTTTCGTTTCATTGATCCCATTTGTCAATTTTGGCTTTTGTTGCCATTGCTTTTGGTGTTTTAGACATGAAGTCCTTGCCCATGCCTATGTCCTGAATGGTATTGCCTAGGTGTTCTAGGGTTTTTATGGTTTTCGGTCTAACATTTAAGTCTTTAATCCATCTTGAATTAAGACCTGTTAAGTTTTTATCGAACAAGTGGGAAGACATTTGCAATTCAGAAATATGTGCATTTTGCAGGAAGATCACTGTTAAAAGAAAAGCTTTAGACAAAATAAATTTAACAAAGTTGAGCTGGATGCGATAACTCACCCATATACTCCCAGAAACTGAGGCGGGGGGATCACTTGAGGCCAGGAATTTGAGGCTAGCCTGGGCAGCATAGTGAGGCCCCATCTCTAGAAAAATTAAAAAGTTAGCTGGGTGTGGTGGCACATGCCTGTAGTAAGAGCTATATGAGAGGCTGAGGCAGGAGGATTGCTTGAGCCCAAGTGTTTGAGCCTACGGTGAGCTATGATTATGCAAGTTTAACAGAGTTTATTTAAGTGAAGAATGATCCATGAATCAGGTACCTCTCGGAAACAGAAGAGGTTCAGAGAGCTCCAGCACAGCAGTGTGGACCATGAACTTTTATTGGCTGATAAAGAAGTACAACAAAATATATTTTGTTGATCAGAATAGAAGGACCATAATTAGAGGTTAGTTGTTGATCTCTGCTTGATAAAGTCTCCAGTTAGAATCTGTTCGTTGGCAATTTCTGATTGGTAAAGTCTCTAGTTTCATTTTATTATTTATGTTGGGCTTCATTTTGCTTACATGAGAACTCAAGGTGCTAGAGCTGCACCAGTCAAGTGGCATCCCAATTAAAAACTTATCACCACTGAATGTAAGAGTTAATCTACCATTTCAGCAAAATGACTAACTCAGACAATTTCTTCAAACTATTTGACCATTTATTTGATCAGGAATTTCTGCAGGTTCATTTTGCTTTTAAAGCTAATAAAGCCCTTTTCTCTTTCATAGCCTGAAGTCCTAATGATGCAATTCAGGTCTGGTAAATAGCCTACCACCTACCCTGTTGAAATGATGGGTAAAGCATTAATATGAAATATAATTTTATAGGTATTTTCTTTCTTTTGAAAAAATTTTTATTGAGATAAAATTCACATAACATTTAAATTCACTATTTTAACAACTTAAAGTATACAATTCAATGATTCTTAGTATATTTACAGCATTGTGAAACCATCACCATTATCTAATTTCAGAATATTTCCATCACCCCTAAAAGAAACAGTCCCTTTCAATTTCCCCTTACCCTTAGAGCCTTTTATGCCTGGCTTCTTTTACTTAGCATAACATTTTCTAGGTTTATCCATGTCGAAGCATGTATCAGTACTCCATTTTTATGGCTGAATATATTTCATTTTATGGATATACCACATTTTGTTTATCCATTCATCAGTTGATGAACACTTATGTTGTTTCTATTACACATAATAGATTTTTATTATCATATATGAGTTTCCATATGAGCGTATATCCTCAGTTCTATTTGGAATATACCTAGGAATAGAACTCTGGGTCATGTGTAAGTCGATGTTTAACTTTTGAGGAACTGCCAAGCGTTTCCATAGCAGCTACATTATTTTACATTGCCACCAGCAATACATAGGGTTTCAAGTTCTCTATATCCTCCCAACAATTGTTATTTTTCATTTCATTATTTATTATATCATTCTAATGAGCATGAAGTGGTATTTCATTGTGGCATTGATATGCATTTCCCTAATGACTAACAGTGTTTAACATCTTTTCATGTGTGTATTGATCATTTGTATATCTTCTTTAGAGAAAGGTCTATTTATGTTGTAGGGGAGGAAAAATTCTTTTTTCCTACTACCCTCCTACACTCTCTGGCTGGGGCTGTGAACATTGGACTGATCAAAGACAAATTAAAAATAATAAAACAAACAGAAGTTATTAGCACATGCATCATGCTTACACATGGGAGCACTCAGGGTGAGTAACTCAGAGGCTTGATTAGAACATGGGCTTAGATGGCATCTTAGCAAAGGAACAATATATTTTTAGAGAAGTCACAAGACAAAGGAAAAGGACTTTGACTCTCTAAGGTGGCAAATATATGGGAAACTAATGGCAGTTCAAGGCTAATTAGTCAAGTTTGTTTTGCATTTTGTTCTGATGCCCTCTCAGGCTGATTAGGGTCTCAAGTTATCTCTGGTGATGAACTTTTGTCCCTGATAGAGAGGGGAGGAGAAATATCTCTGTAAATTTATGTTCCAAATAGTGAGAGTGATGTACTGAAGCCTGAAAAGGCTTCTTTTCAGTTGCCTTCAGCTCAAAGTAATTATTATGCCAAAGTGTCATATTTTGGGGTGGCATATTCTGCTACCCTATAACATCCTTAGCCCATTTTATAATTGGGTTGTCTTTTTATTATGGAGTTGAAAGAGATCTTTAAATATTCGGGATACTAGATGCTTATCAGATAAATGATTTGCCAATATTTTTATCTCATTCTGTGAGTTAGCTCTTCATTTTCTTGATAGTGTCCTTTGATGCACAAAAGTTCTTAATTTTGATAAACTCCAATTTATCTATTTTTTCTTTTATTACTTGTGCTTTTGGTGTCATATTTTTAAAAACTATTGCCTTAATCATAGGTCTTGAAATTTTTTACCTGTTTCTTTCCAGGAGTTTTATAGTTTTACCTCTTACATTAAATTTTTGACCTATTTTGAGCTCGTTTTTTAATATGATAGGGGTCCAAATTTATCGTTTTGCATGTGGAGGTTCAGTTGTCTCAGAATCATTTGTTTAAAGGACTATTCTGGCTGGGTACAACAGCTCATGCCTCTAATCCCAGTACTTTGGAAAGCTAAGATGTATGGATTACTTGAGCTCAGGAGTCTGAGACTAGCCTGGGCAACATAATGAGACTCTATCTCTACAAAAAATAAAATAAAATTAGCCGGGTGCAGTGGCATGCACCTGTGGTTCCACCTACTGAGGAGGCTGAAATTAGAGGATTGCTTGATCCAGGGAAGTAGAGAATCACTTGAGCCAGGGAACTAGAGGCCGCAGTGAGCCATGATCATGCCACTGCACTCCAGCCTCAGTGACAGAGCAAGATCCTGTATATATATATATAAAAAAAAAAAGAAAAGAGAAAGAAAGAAAGGAAGAGCCTATTCTTTCTTGATTAATTGGTTTTGATAACCTTGTCAAAAATTAATTGACCGTCTGACATATTGGGCTGGATAATTTAAGAAAGAGAAAAAAAAATTAACCATAGAGGTATGGGTTTATTTCCAGACTCTTTATTTGCTTGTGTTGATCTATATGTCTGTCTTTATGCTAGTACCACACTGTTTTGATTAATGTACCTTTCTATTAAGTTTTGAAACCAGGAAGTGTGATTCCCCCAAATTTGTTCTTTTTCAAAACTGTTTTGGCTATCCTGGTTCTCTTGCATTTTTATATAAATTTTAGGTTCAGATTATCCATTTCTCCAAAAAAAAGTGGTTGAAATTTTGATAGGGATTTCATTGAATCTGTGTAGCAATTTGCAGATTATTGCCATCTTAATGTTAAGTCTTCCAACCCATGAACAAAGGGTGTCTTTCCATTTATTTAGTTCTTCTTTAATTTCTTTCAACAATGTTCTATAGTTGCAGTGTTCAAGTCTCATACTTCTGTTAAATTTATTTTTTAATATTTTATTGTTGATGCTATTATAAATGGAACTGTTTTCATAATTAAATTTTTCGATTATTCATTGCTAGTTCCCCAGGAACACTGCACTGAGTTTTGTATATTGGTCTTGTATCCTGCAACTTTGAAGAACATGTTTATTAGCTTTGACAGTTTTGTTGTATATGGATTCTTTAGGGATTTCTGTATAAAAGAAAGATTGTGCCATCGATGAATAGAGATAGTTTCATTCTTTCTTTCCCACCTGGATGCCATTTCTTGCTTTTTCCTGCTAACTGCCCTGACTTAGAACTTTCATAACCTCCTTGTCTTGTTTTTAGGTAGAAAGTTTTCAGTCATTTTTTTTCAGTCACTAAGTATGATGTTAGCTGTGGGCTTTTGTAGATACCCTTTATTGGGTTGAGGAATTTCCCTGCTTTTCTAGTTCGTTGAGTATTTTTTGTCATGAAAAGCTGTTGGACTTCGTCAAACAGCTTTTCTGCATCTATTGAGATGATCATTGTTGTGATTTTCCCTTATTCATTTTTGAGGTCTCTCTTAGGAAAGTGGCTGCAAACTCTAACCCTGCCCTGACAGGCCTCAAAAGCGGGTTGCTGTTTACAGTGTGTTTTTCATGGGATACTTCTTTATTGTGGTGGGAAGCCTCATGTCTAAGATGTCTCGTTCACAGGAAGCTTGTTTATACTGGCAAATGCCCTTGTGGCTCTTGTCTAACTTGTGTTGTTTATTTCTACCAAGATAGCCACTCTCTAAGAGAACTTGACCTGCAAAGAAGTTAGGTGTCAGTCAAGTGAGACACAGAGGAGGCATACAATAAAACACATGAAATTACAGAATCTGTAAGTAATAAAAGTTACAGATCCCAGGGAGAAGAGGGCAGCATGCCAAAGGGAAGTGGGGAGCCATCCAGGACACATGTGTTCAACCAGTGGGTAGGAGCAAAAGAGAGTGAGAGTGAGGGATCTGTGGGCCAAGGCCTTTATTGGGGTCCAGGATATCACCTAAGCAGGTTTCCCACAGGAATTTAATTGGTAGGTTTACAGCAAGCAGGCAGAAGTTCCATGGAATGATGCTGTGACTGAGAGTTGGTTGTTGTGGCGTATATGCACAGTTAGCTCTGCAGAGTGTGGGGGACAGTAGGGTAAATCAAGTAGGTTGTATCTAGCTATCCCATAGGGAAGGTGATGGTATGAAGCAGATATCTAGATGACCACCTTAAGGAACTGGGAGGAGGCAGAGAACTAGAAATTGTATCAAGAGTGACTAAGCCCTGCTTCTGATATGAGAAAATTAAAGGTGTATCCAAAATAGATGCTGAGATAACATAAATTATAAGAGTTAACTATAATCATGTAATTTTTTTCTTTTATTCTATTAATATGGTGTATTGCATTGGTTAATTTTCATATATTAAGCCAACCTTGCATTCCTGGGTAAAACCTGGTCATGGTGTATAATCTTTTAATATGCTGCTGGATCCAGTATGCTAGTATTTTGTTGAGAATTTTTTCATCAACAGTCATAAGGAATATCGCGCTGTAGTTTTCTTTTGTTTGTGATTTCTTTGTTTGCCTTTGGTGTCAGGGTAATACCAGCATCAAAGAATGATTAGAAAGTGTTACCTTTTCTTTATTTTAAAAAGCTTGAGAAGAATTGGTATTAATTCTTTATACATTTGGTAGAATTCACCAATGAAGATATCTAGTTCTGGGTTTTTCTTTGATGGAAGCTTTTGTTGTTGTTATTGATGTTTTTTTAGAGACAGGGTCTCACTTTGTCCACAGGCTGAAGTACAGTGGTGCTATTACAACTCACTGCATTCTCAAGCTCTGGACTGAGGCTGTCCTCCCACCTCAGCCTCCCGAGTAGCTAAGACTACAGGCACACACCACCAAAAATTAGGCCCAGCTAACTTCTAAAAAATATTTTGTGGAGATGGGTTCTTGCTATGTTGCCCATACCGCTATGTTGCTGGTCCTAAACTCCTGGCCTCAAGTGATTCTCCTGCCTCAGCCTCCTAATATGCTGGGATTACAGGCATGAGCCACCACATCCACCTAAAAACCTTGCTTAATACAAATTAGAGCCATATAGAAAGATTAGAACAATCCTCAAATGTCTAACCCAATACCATTAGAGGATATAATGATAGGAAAAGACAAGCTTAGGGAAGTTTGACTCATTTCCAGGGAGGATGGGTCTAAAAAGATACAGAGGAAGCCCAATGTTATGAGCAATCTGCAAGCCAGCAAGTCCAAATGACTCTATAACAGAGAACATCAAGTCAGTAGTCTTGTTTATATCATTGATGTGGTGCTAGAACCATTTTCCTTTTTAAATTTAAAACTGAAATTTGAGATTTTCTTTACATATCCACTCATACATATTTGGCATGCATTCACTTTAAAATTCTGTCATTTTAAAACCAAATTATGTTCGGCTTGGTACAGTGGCTCATGCCTGTAATCCCAGCATTTTGGGAGGCCAAGGCAGGAGGACTGCTTGAGGCCAGGAGCTTGAGACCAGCCTACACAGCATAGCATGACCCATCTCTACAAAAAAATTTTTAAAAATTGGTCAGCCATGGCAGCATGTGCCCATGGTCCCAGCTATTCAGTAGGCTGAAGTGGGAGAATTGCTTGAGTCCAGGAGTTCGAGGCTGCAGTGAGCTGTGATCATGCCATCGTACTCCAGCCTGGGCAATGCAGTGAGACCCCATCTTTAAAATAAATAAATAAATACCAAATTATATTGTTCTTTTTGTTTGTTTATTGTCGTGCATGTGTTTGTGTGTTTTTGTGTTATTTATATGTGTATGTCTGTCTATCTGTGTAGCAAGGAGCTGTACCTCCAACCAGTTCAGTTCCTCCTGTTGCCGGGGCCCCATCGGTTGGACAACCTGGAGCAGGATTTGGAATGGTGAGTGATGACGTGTGCTAAAAATTGTAATCAACATTTCTAAATAATTTGCCAAATCCCAAATTACTAAGTATTCCTACAGAATATAATTTTTCCCAAAACACAGTAAGTAAAACTTAAAAAGTTGTCATCTGCTTTAAACCTTAGGTAGTCTACACATGAAGTGATAAAATGAGTTATAAAATACTTATGTTCTACCATCAAATTAATTTCTATAGTACATTGTTATATCATTTTTGCTATAAAATTTACAAAATATAGTATTAGCCCAATCATCAAAATCAACCCTTCATTATTATACTAGGACTTTTTACTCACCAATTTTACCAGCCAATTTTAGGACCATCTTTCATAAAGAAACAAATTTTTCTCTTTCCAAGAATTATGCTTACAGAAGATGAATAAACAACAACAAAGCTTGGTTGGGATGGGGATACCATGTGGCCAACCAGGCTTATGCTACCCACCCACCTTAGCGACTCTCTCCCTCACAGTACAGCCTCACATTATCCCTAATTAAAATTACAAATTATGCTTCCTCATAGTCCTGGATTCCTCAAATATTGTCAGAAGTACATAAAAGCAATAAATGTCAGGATAGTGCCCTAGTGAGTTCCACTCATGCTCTGAACCACTCTCCATTCTTCCTCCTCAGCCTCCTGCTGGGACAGGCATGCCCATGATGCCTCAGCAGCCGGTCATGTTTGCACAGCCCATGATGAGGCCCCCCTTTGGAGCTGCCGCTGTACCTGGCACGCAGGTCAGTTTCTTCAATGTCCACAAATCAGTGACATTAACTAATAAGTGTAAAACATTGGTGTAGCAAACTGTTTAAAAAGTGTTTTTACCTAATGTAATCCTCATACCTGTTGCTTCAGAAGTAAAGGGAGCTTGGAAGACAGATCTGCAAAAGTGAGATTTGGGGGGGAAAAAGTGATGGAAATAACTCACTGTCTAAAGATCCCTCCATTCTCTTCCTACTTAATTCATATTGGTTCCTGAGAACATCCAGATATTCAGGGCATCCAAGGCATGTGTCCCAGAGAAATGAATGCTTCTGGTCTGTAGTTTTAGTATGTGTTCCCAGCGTTAGCCAGAAAGGTTGGCAGCACAGTCCTCCAGACTGCCATGTCCACCCAAGACTCGTGACACTAACTGCAATAAGTTTGCCAAACTGCAAAGTCTGTGAGAATACTCCCTTTTAGAATCTCCTCACTCCAGACGCAAGACACATATTTGTGAGTCCCCAGGACCACCCCCACTTCAGACTAGCTGGCTACAAATTCGAGGTTTTTCCATGGCCAGGTTAGATAGTTTCCTAGAATGATTCACAGAACTCAGGAAAGTACTAAACTTATAAGAGTTTTATTGTAGTAAAAGGATACAAATTAGATCCAGTTATAGGAAGAGATGCATAAACATCATCTGGGAAAGTTCTAAACATGAAGCTTCTTTGTCCTCAGAGGTGGGTTCTCCTGTGGACATCATCATGTGACAGTACACATGCAGTATCGCAAGCTCACCTGAGCTTCAGCATCCAGCATTTATTGATGCTTCATTATGTAGGATTGGTTGGTTGAATTGTTACCCATTTTGTGGAACTCAATCTTCAACCCCTGTTCCTCCCTGAAGATCAGGCTGGTTTCATGTGGCCCAAAGACCCAGCCCTAAAATCTCATGGTTGGGCTTTCTGCCTCCACTCTGAGTCACCTTGTTAGCATAAACTGTCAGGTGTTGTTCCCAGAGCCCACCTTGAATAACAAAGACATGCCTATCATTTGAGAAATTATAAGGATTTAGAGGTTCCCTTTCTGGGCAAAGGAAAAAACCTCAGTTTAGGTAAAGCTAAATTCCTTACTACACACTGTGCTACTTACCCTTCAAAAATGCCAAAATATGTTACACTTTGTTGAACCGTTTTGCTGCTAGTGGTGCTAGTCTTAGTGATGAATCATGCTTTCCTGATTCCTCTTTTAAATTGTCTGGCCAAGGTGATGTTACATGTAGAACCAAAGAAGTTTTCATCATGAGAAATTGACTTGGATGGGCAGGACACCAAATTACTACTTTGGTAGCAGCATGCTTTACAAACTAGAGCAAATAGCTCAAATATATTTTAATGATATGAGTAAATGTTTTCAGTCCTATAATATTTTTAACTTATCAAATCAGTATTTATACTGTCTTATCCATGGAATACCTGCTGCTGTGAACTTTCTGAGTATACTTTAATCCCTTTTGCTTCCTTGATGCATCTCTAAATCCATTGACCTGTTCCCAAAATTTCCTTTCAGCTTCTTCACTTTGCCCCTCAAAAGCAACAGGGACCAAGAGAAAGAATGGTGGATGTTGAAAGACAGAAATTTAGAATGTGAGAAACCCTAGCCTTCATGGCCATTACTGGCCATAACTGGCTTCAGGAGAAATTTTCTAGTCTATGTGAAGACTGGTGAACCCTGTGTAGTGTTGTTTTTGGGGACAGTCAGGAAGGTTTTGGGTATAATGGTTGAGGTTAGGTATAACTTAGATATACTTAAATTCTAAGGGATCTCATTTATCATAAATATTTCCTTGATGTTTGAATAGTTCCATGACTATCATCTTTTTGAAAAAAAAGAAATATTTCTGTTATTATGCACTTGGAACAATGTTACTGAGATTTCTTTTAACCTTATTGTGTTTGATATACTGAAAGCTTCAGAAATAAATAAATATAATTTTATTACTTAAGGCAGTTGTTTTTATTGTGTAATACCAAAGTTAGCAACAATTTATTTACTTAATTAGAAGAATGAAAATGAAAAATAGATAGTATGATGGGAATACATTGTTTCAATCAGTAATTGAATTCATAATAAGCCAGGTAATGATACACCATATTTATGTAATTTTTAGATTATATTTCCTATATCAGAGAAGAAGCATAATTATACTAGATAATAAAATAAATGTGAGTTTGTAGCTTCAGAAAACAAAGTAGTTTTTTTATTACTGATGCCTGGACTATCGCAGCATTCTTTCATTGGCTGGTATCATGATATTGTCATCTCACCTAATTATCAATTATGGACCAATCTTTGAATTGATTTAAGGAAGTTCAAGCCTTACTTTATTTATATATATATCTCTCTCTATGAAACAGATCCCAGGTTTTTTGTTGTTATTTTTTTGTTTGCTTATTTGTTTATTTGAGATAGGTTCTCACTCTGTTGCCCAGGCTGAAGTGCAGTGGTGCAGTCATAGCTCACTGCAGCCTTGAACTCCTAGGCAACAGGGATCCTCTCACCTCAGCCTCTCGAGTAGCTGGGACCACAGATGCAAGCCACTGTGCCCAGCTATTTTTTTTTTTATTATTTTTTGTAGAGATGAGGCCTTGCCTTGTTGCCCAGGGTGGCCTCGAACTCCTGGCCTCAAGTGATCCTCCTGCCTCGGCCTCCCAAAGTGCTGGGATTTTACAGATGTGAGCCATCACACCCAGCCCATATCCCAGTTTTAAACATGGAAATTTGACAGATAGATAATATAATTAGTCAGTAGTTTCTGGACATAGGACCAAATCTCAAAATCCATACTTCTGGAACTCTGTTCACTGAACTAATAAAAATATACAACACTGCCCCACAGTCCCAGCATGTTACTACAAGCATAGGAGATTAATTAGACTCAAAGCCTAGATGTCAACTATTACTCTATAAACTACATGAGATTTTTCAAGACCTTGTATCCTGTAAAAGTCAGCTCCCAGAAGTTATATCTGTGACACAATGAAAAAATAATTTAGATTCTGGTTAAACAGAAACAAGGCAAGTTAATTATTTGTTACTTTTGCAACAAGTCCAATATGATTCTTTCCTATAGTATTTAATAATTAGTTTTGGCCTTCTCTGAGAGCTGAATAGATTGCATTAGAATTTTAGTGGCATTCACTACCAGGAAACTATTTGGTCATGTGAAACAAACAGTGCCCTCAAACTTGACTGATTTTCACTTAAAATAATGTATATGAAATTCTAGTATATTTAGCTAATAAGTGTAAGTAATTTCTTAAATAGCTTTCTGCAAACCGTTTCCTATTTTTCCTTCAAATTCACTCTCACTACAGGAAAAGCCATTTAAATAGATTTATTAGTTTAGAGGTACTAATGACTGAAAGTAAAAATGCTTTTGTATAGAGAAAACGGTTGTTTGTTTGTTTTACTGTTTGTTCATAATATCTTTATGTTACTAGTGTTTCACATCTTCCCTAAGTCATACCCATATTGTTCTACTGGAGTCCCCAAATTTTACTTTGGCTAAATCTGATGTCAGAGAAGTTCAAGAAAGCCAAATATCAGTTGAAGTATATTTTACCAGTCCAGAATTAAACACAACTCTGTGACTATGTAGAACAAGTAGATTTCATAAGCCTTTAACCATCTAATCTTCTGCAGGTTTGTTTTCTTTGATATGTGTTCTGCCTAATGCTTTTCTCTCTCTCTCTCTCTCTCTCTCTCTCTCTCTCTCTCTCTCTCTCTCTCTCTCCCCCTCTCCCTCTCTCCCCCTGCCCCCTCTTCCCCCCATGTCTCATTCTCTCTCTGCTTTCTATTCCTGCTCTTTGGGGCTGGCTTTTTCCCATTAGCTTTCTCCAAGCCCTACACCTGCCAGTCAGAGTCCCAAGAAACCTCCAGCAAAGGACCCATTAGCGGATCTTAACATCAAGGATTTCTTGTAAACAATTTAAGGTATCTAATATTGAGCTTTTCCTGTAGGCTTGTAATAATGAGCTATACAATGCTTAGCTATTTCAGAGGTACTCATTATTTCTGCGTTTTGAATAGCTGTGTATAATAGTAATAATTTGAGTGTTTATACTTTTAAATTTGATATTAAAAGCTCTCTTTAAGAGTTTTTTAAATCTTAATTTATGTAACTAGGAGGGAAAGTAACCTCCAAATTGTCCTTATCCTGGAAAGCACAACGATTAGCTTTAATAAAGCAAAAAGGTGCCCAAGCTACTTGGTAAATTAGAAAATTACCACTTTATTACATGATGACTTGAATTTATAGAAAGCTAACATTTATACTATTGCATTTAGAAATCATCTAAGAATATATTTGACTGCATAATTGTATTTTTATTTTGTTTATCCTTCTTTTGCCTCATAAAGCTTAGATTATTACCCTTTACATTTCTGCATTCAAGCAGAGTTTTAAATTTCTAATGTTCTAGTTTTAAATTTCACAAATTTCATATAATTTATGAAATGACTCATGCTGAAGTTATGGAAGGAAACGAATGAAGGAAAAATGTTTACTGTTGACCCCAGCACCTAACACAGTGGGTAGGTTCTCAACAAATCCTTGCTGAATGGATGAACATAATTTACACGGTACTTTTCACATCCACTTCTCAATAGAACAGTCATGTGAGATAAACTATCCAGATATTTTTTGTCTCCATTTCACAGCTAAAAGAACTGATCCTTGGGCATTAAGGAATTTGCCCAGGGTCCCACAGGGAAGAATTGTAAGAGGCTCAGTGTTTTTGGACTCTTGTCCAATGTTGTTTTCAGTATGCACCTGCTGTGCTACATATATTTCTTAAAACCCTTCCCTAATGTCTACTAAGATTTTTGTGGATTCTTGATTTGTTTTTTTTTTCTTATACAAGATTAATGATGCATTATTCTAAGGTATTAACATCTCAGTCAAGTAAACTCTCCTTATGCCCAACTTTTCTATTCCACTTTGGATTGGCTAATGTAGACATAAGTGAGACAATGAACACTTAATAGTTTCAGGAGTGACCAAGGAAACTGCATAGAGCAGCCTGTATTCACCTCTTACTTAGTAAATGTTGCCCTAATCATATGCCAGGAACTTTGATAAGTACAGGAAACAGATATGCTTGAGACAGTCCTTGCCTGAGAGAGACAGAGACAGACAAAGAGAAAGAGAGACAGAGACAGACAAAGACAGAGACACAGAGAGAATTACTATTTTATGAAGAGTTATCTATGCGGCTAAGCCTTAAGACCCCACAAATGTTTCCAGCAGAAATGAATGATGCATGAATTAGCCAGGGAGATGAGTGGGAAGTGGCTGAGGAAAGGCATCGGGTCGCCAGGGATCTCTCTGTTCTCTTCTATTCTGTCACTGGTTCAGCTGTTTAGAAAGTGACTCATTGAACACCATAACTGAATACATGAAAAAATAATGTAAGGTCATTGCCATGCCCCCTTTTTCTTTAGCTGCCCTTTTTAAAGGTTGGCTGCTCTTAGATACTGAATGCTATACCGAATGTCCTGCTACTAAAATTTCTAATATGTATCTAAATTCAAATTTTTGTTGATATAATTATTATCTAAAATGAAACTATACATCAAAAGTTTTTTTTTAATTTCTGGCTAAACTTTAAAAATTTTAAGCTTGTTTTAAAGAGCTATGAAAAGTATGTAAATTTGAATTTGTCCATGCAGAGACCTTTTTATGTAAAAGTTGTTTTCAGAAACTATGAAGTAAAATTGCAAGGGAGGTAAAATGTTTGAGGACTATGTAATAATCTTGTTTTCTAATTCTAGTTTTTGTTTTCTTTACAGCTGCAATATTTGTGACTGAATAGGAAAATAAATGAGTTTGGAGACTTCAAATAAGATTGATGCTGAGTTTCAAAGGGAGCCACCAGTACCAAACCCAATACTTACTCATAACTTCTCTTCCAAAATGTGTAACACAGCCGTGAAAGTGAACATTAGGAATATGTACTACCTTAGCTGTTATCCCTACTCTTGAAATTGTAGTGTATTTGGATTATTTGTGTATTGTACGATGTAAACAATGAATGGATGTTACTGATGCCGTTAGTGCTTTTTTGGACTTCACCTGAGGACAGATGATGCAGCTGTTGTGTGGCGAGCTATTTGGAAAGACGTCTGTGTTTTTGAAGGTTTCAATGTACATATAACTTTTGAACAAACCCCAAACTCTTCCCATAAATTATCTTTTCTTCTGTATCTCTGTTACAAGCGTAGTGTGATAATACCAGATAATAAGGAAAACACTCATAAATATACAAAACTTTTTCAGTGTGGAGTACATTTTTCCAATCACAGGAACTTCAACTGTTGTGAGAAATGTTTATTTTTGTGGCACTGTATATGTTAAGAAATTTTATTTTAAAAAATATAAAGGTTAACGTCCATAATAAATACTTCTCTTTGAAGCTACCTTATCAAGAACGAAAAATCGTATGGGAAGAATCCCCTATTTATCACTGCTATATTAAAATATATATATTTTAATTATATTTGACAGGTTTTGCATCTAAATTGACCTATTTATTCATTCTTGATTAAATGCACTGAAAAGTAAAGGGTCTGTTTGTGTCATGTTCATGAAAATGCGGTTAGAGAGGTGCTATTCAAGTGATTCTGAAGGCACCCCAAGGTATATCTGTAATTTAAAGATTACTGCAAATATCTTTACTTTACTGTGGGTTTTTAGTACATCTGTTAATTTAGTGTTTCTTTGTGTGTTTTGTAGACTAGTGTTCTTCCATCCTTCAACTGAGCTCAAAGTAGGTTTTGTTGTAACATTGTGATTAGGATTTAAACTAATTCAGAGAATTGTATCTTTTACTGTACATACTGTATTCTTTAAGTTTTAATTTGTTGTCATACTGTCTGTGCTGATGGCTTGGCTTAAGATTTTGATGCATAAATGAGGTCACTGTTGATCAGTGTTGCTAGTAGCTTGGCAGCTCTTCATAAAAGCATATTGGGTTGGAAAGGTGTTTGCCTATTTTTCAAATTATTTAATAGATGTATGGTACCATTTAAAAGTGGTTGTATCTGAATTTACTGTGGGGATAACATACACTGTAATGGGGAAAAATTACCTAAAACCAATTTCAAAATGGCTTTCTTTGTATTTCAGTTTAAAAACCCAGTGCATGTACGCCCTCTGAGATGCAATAAACACCTTGAACAAAGAAATGCAAACATAACGTTTCTCTCTTTGATTATGTTTGGGAAAAAGGTCTGTTTCAAATGACACACACAGCAGACAAAATACTGAAGATTTTAAAATGCTGTTCATGCCAATAGAGTTTTGATTATTTTATAAAAAATTAAAAACAAGGAAAAAGAGCAACTTTAACAAGCCTTCATTAAACTTGGGTCTCTGTAACTGCTGCCAAATGAGTTGAAATTCCATATTTCAAAATGTATATGTATTTTTATGGTGAACTTTCTTTTATTTATTTTTTTAATTGTACTTTAAGTTCTAGGGTACATGTGCACAACGTGCAGGTTTGTTGTTACATATGTATACATGTGCCATGTTGGTGTGCTGCACCCATTAACTCGTCATTTACATTAGGTATATCTCCTAATGCTATTCCTGCCCCCTCCCCCCCACCCCACAACAGGCCCCGGTCTGTGATGTTCCCCTTCCTGTGTCCAAGTGTTCTCATTGTTCGATTCCCACCTATGAGTGAGAACATACGGTGTTTGGTTTTTTGTCCTTGCGATAGCTTGCTGAGAATGATGGTTTCCAGCTTCATCCATGTCCCTACAAAGGACATGAACTCATCCATTTTTATGGCTGCATAGTATTCCACAGTGTATATGTGCCATATTTTCTTAATCCAGTCTATCATTGTTGGACATTTGGGTTGGTTCCAAGTCTTTGCTATTGTGAATAGTGCCACAATAAACATACGTGTGCCTGTGTCTTTATAGCAGCATGATTTATAATCCTTTGGGTATATACCCAGTAATGGGATGGCTCGGTCAAATGGTATTTCTAGTTCTGGATCCTTGAGGAATTGCCACACTGACTTCCACAATGGTTGAACTAGTTTACAGTCCCACCAACCGTGTAAAACCGTTCTTATTTCTCCACATCCTCTCCAGCACCTGTTGCTTCCTGACTTTTTAATGATTGCCATTCTAACTGGTGGGAGACGGTATCTCATTGTGGTTTTGATTCACATTTCTCTAATGACCTGTGACATTGAGCATTTTTTCATATGTTTGTTGACTGCATAAATGTTTTCTTTTGAGAAGTGTCTGTTCACATCCTTCCCCCACTTTTTGATGGGGTTGTTTGTTTTTTTCTTGTAAATTTAAGTTCTTTGTAGATTCTGGATATTAGCCCTTTGTCAGATAGCAAAAATTTTCTCCCATTCCCTAGGTTGTCTGTTCACTCTGCTGATAGTTTCTTTTGCTGTGCAGAAGCTCTTTAATTAGATCCCATTTGTCTATTTTGGCTTTTGTTGCCATTGCTTTTGATGTTTTAGTCATAAAGTCTTTGCCCATGCCTATATCCTGAATGGTATTGCCTAGGTTTTCTTCTAGGGTTTTTAGGGTTTTAGGTCTTACGTTTAAGTATTTAATCCATCTTGAGTTAATTTTTGTATAAGGTTTAAGGAAGAGATCCAGTTTCAGCTTTCTGCATATGGCTAGCCAGTTTTCTCAACACCATTTATTAAATGAGGAATCCTTTCCCCATTGCTTGTTTTTCTCAGGTTTGTCAAAGATCAGATAGTTGTAGATGTGTGGTGTTATTTCTGAAGCCTCTGTTCTGTTCCATGGGTCTATATATCTGTTTTGTTACCAGTACCATGCTGTTTTGGTTACTATAGCCTTGTAGTATAGTTTGAAGTCAGACAGTGTGATGCCTCCATCTTTGTTCTTTTTGCTTAGGATTGTCTTGGCTATGCGGTCTCCTTTTTGGTTCCATATGAAATTTAAAGCAGTTTTTTCTGAATTCTGTGAAGAAAGTCCATGGTAGCTTGATGGGGATAGCATTGAATCTATAAATTACTTTGGGCAGTATGGCCATGTTCATGATACTGATTCTTTGTATCCATGAGTATGGAATGTTTTTCCATTTGTTTCTGTCCTCTCTTATTTCCTTGAGCAGTGGTTTGTAGTTCTCCTTGAAGAGATTCTTCACATCCCTTGTAAGTTGTATTCCTAGGTATTTTGTTTTCTTTGTAGCAATTGTGAATGGGAGTTTGCTCATGATATGGCTCTCTGTTATTAGTGTATAGGAATGCTTGTGATTTTTGCACATTGATTTTGTATCCTGAGAGTTTGCTGAAGTTGCTTATCAGCTTAAGGAGATTTGGGCTGAGACGATGGAGTTTTCTAAATATACAGTCATGTCATCTGCAAACAGAGACAATTTCACTTCCTCTTTTCCTAACTGAATATCCGTTATTTCTTTCTCTTGCCTGATTGCCCTGACCAGAACTTTCAATACTATGTTGAATAGGAGCGGTGAGAGAGGGCGTCCTTGTCTTGTGCCGGTTTTCAAAGGGAATGCTTCCAGTTTTTGCCCATTCAGTATGATATTGGCTGTGGGTTTGTCATAAATAGCTCTTATTATTTTGAGATCCATTCCATCAATGCCTACTTTACTGAGAGTTTTTAGCATGAAGGGCTGTTGAATTTTGTCAAAGGCCTTTTCTGCATCTATTGAGATAATCATGTGATTTTTTGTCATTAGTTCTGTTTATGTGATGAATTATGTTTATTGATTTGCGTATGTTGAACCAGCCTTGCATCTCAGGGATGAAGCCCACTTGATCATGGTGGATAAGCTTTTTGATGTGCTGCTGGATTCGGTTTGCCAGTATTTTATTGAGGATTTTTGCATCAATGTTCATCAGGGATATTGGCCTAAAATTTTCTTTTTTTGTTGTGTCTCTGCCAGGTTTTGGTATCAGGATGATGCTGGCCTCATAAAATAAGTTAGAGAGAATTCCCTCTTCTTCTGTTGTTTGGAATAGTTTCCAAAGGAATGGTACCAGCTCCTCTTTGTACCTCTGTAGTATTTGGCTTTGAATCCATCTGGTCCTGGGCTTTTTTTGGCTTGATAGGCTATTAATTACTGCCTCAATTTTAGAACTTGTTATTGGTCTATTCAGGGATTTGACCTCTTCCTGGTTTAGTCTTGGGAGGGTGTATTTGTCTAGGAATTTATCCATTTCTTCTAGATTTTCTAGTTTATTTGCATAGAGATGTTTATAATACTCTATGATGGTAGTTTGTATTTCTGTGAAATTGGTGGTGATATCACCTTTATCATTTTTTATTGTGCCTATTGGATTCTTCTCTCTTTTAATTCTTTGTTAGACTGGCTAGCAGCCTATCAATTTTGTTGATCCTTTCAAAAAACAAGCTCCTATATTCATTGATTTTTGAATGGTTTTTCGTGTCTCTATCTCCTTCAGTTCTGCTCTGATCTTAGTTATTTCTTGTCTTCTGCTAGCTTTTGAATTTGTTTGCTCTTGCTTCTCTAGTTCTTTTAATTGTGATGTTAGGGTGTCGATTTTAGATCTCTCCTGCTTTCTCTTGTGGGCACTTAGTGCTATAAATTTCCCTCTACACACTGCTTTAAATGCGTCCCAGAGATTCTGGTACATTGTGTCTTTGTTCTCGTTGGTTTCAGAGAACATCTTTATTTCTGCCTTAATTTTATTATTTACCCAGTAGTCATTCAGGAGCAGGTTGTTCAGTTTCCATGTAGTTGTGTGGTTTTGGTGAGTTTCTGAATCCTGAGTTCTAATTTGACTGCACTGTGTTCTGAGAGACAGTTTGTTACGATTTCCATTCTTTTGCATTTGCTGAGGAGTGTTTTAGCTCCAATTATGTGTGCAATTTTAGAATAAGTGCTATGTGATGCTGAGAAGAATGTATATTCTGTTGTTTTGGGGTGGAGAGTTCTGTAGATGTCTATTAGGTCTGCTTGGTGCAGAGCTGAGTTCAGTTCCTGGATATCCTTGTTAATTTCCTGTCTTGTCGATCTGTCTCATATTGACAGTGGGGTATTAAAGTCTCCCACCATTATTGTGTGGGAGTCTAAGTCTCTTTGTACGTCTCTAAGAACTTGCTTTATGAATCTGAGTGCTCCTGTATTGGTTGCATATATATTTAGGATAGTTAGCTCTTCTTGTTGAATTGATCCCTTTACCATTATGTAATGGCCTTCTTTGTCTCTTTTGATCTTTGTTGGTTTAAAGTCTGTTTAAACAAAGTCTGGTTAAAATCCTAGAGACTAGGATTGCAACCCCTGCTTTTTTTTTTTTTTTCTTTCCATTGGCTTGGTAAATCTTCCTCCATCCCTTTATTTTGAGCCTATGTGTGTCTTTGCACGTGAGATGGGTCTCCTGAATATAGCACACTGATGGGTCTTGACTCTATCCAATTTGCCACGCTTATGTCTTTTAATTGGGGCATTTAGCCCATTTACATTTAAGGTTAATATTGTTATGTGTGAATTCGATCCTGTCATTATGATGCTACCTGGTTAGTTGATGCAGTTTCTTCATAGCATCGATGGTCTTTATAATTTGGTATTTTTTTTGCAGTGGCTGGTACTGGTTTTTCCTTTCCATGTTTAGTGCTTCCTTCAGGATCTCTCGTAAGGCAGGCCTGGTGGTGACAAAATCTCTCAGCATTTGCTTGTCTGTAAAGGATTTTATTTCTCCTTTACTTACGAAGCTTAGTTTGGCTGGATATGAAATTCTAGATTGAAAATTATTTTCTTTAAGAATGTTGAATATTGGCCCCCACTCTCTTCTGGCTTGCAGGATTTCTGCAGAGAAATCTACTGTTAGTCTGATGGGCTTCCCTTTGTGGGTAACCCAACCTTTCTCTCTGGCTGCCCTTAACCTTTTTTCCTTCATTTCAACCTTGGTGAATCTCACAATTATGTGTCTTAGGGTTGCTCTTCTCGAGGAGTATCTTTGTGGTGTTCTCTGTATTTCCTGAATTTGAATGTTGGCCTGCCTTGCTAGATTGGGGAAGTTCTCCTGGATAATATCCTGAAGAGTGGTTTCCAACTGGGTCCCATTCTCCCCATCACTTTCAAGTACACCAATCAAATGTAGATTTGGTCTTTTCACATAGTCCCATATTTCTTGGAGGCTTTGCTCGTTTCTTTTCACTCTTTCTTCTCTAATCTTGTCTTCTTGCTTTATTTCATTGAACTGGTTTTCAATCTCTGATATCCTTTCTTCTGCTTGATCAATTTGGCTATTGATACTTGTTTATCCTTCACAAAGTTCTTGTGCTGTGTTTTTCAGCTCCATCAGATCATTTATGTTCTTCTCTAAACTGGTTATTCTAGTTAGCCATTCATCTAACCTTTTTTCAGCGTTCTTAGCTTCCTTGCATTGGGTTAGAACATGCTCCTTTAGCTCGGAGGAGTTTGTTATTATCCACCTTCTGAAGCCTACTTCTGTCAGTTTGTCAAACTCATTCTCCATCCAGTTTTGTTCCCTTGCTGGCGAGGAGTTGTGATGCTTTGGAGGAGAAGAGGCATTCTGGTTTTTGGAATTTTCAGCCTTTTTGCCCTAGTTTCTCCCCATCTTCATGGATTTATCTACCTTTGGTCTTTGATGTTGATGACCTTCAGATGAGGTCTCTGAGTGGATGTCCTTTTTGTTGATGTTGATGCTATTCCTTTCTGTTTGTTAGTTTTCCTTCTAACAGGCCTCTCTTCTGCAGGCCTGCTGGAGTTTGCTGGAGGTCCACTCCAGACACTGTTTGCCTGGGTATCACCAGTGGAAGCTGCAGAACAGCAAAGATTGTTGTCTGTTCCTTCCTCTGGAAGCTTCATCCCAGAGGGGCACCCACCAGATGCCAGCCAGAGCTCTCCTGTATGAGTTGTCTGTTAGCCCCTACTGGGAGGTGTCTCCCAGTCAGGAGGCACGGGGGTCAGGGACCCACTTGAAGAGGCAGTCTGTCTCTTATCAGAGCTCAAACACTGTGCTGGGAGAACCGCTGCTCTCTTCAGAGCTGTCAGGCAGGGATGTTTAAGTCTGCTGAAGTCATGCCCACAGCCGCCCCTTCCCCCAGGTGCTCTTTCCCAGGGAGATGGGGGTTTTATATATAAGTCCCTGACTGGGGCTGCTGCCTTTTTTTTCAGAGATGCCCTGCCCAGAGAGGAGGAAACTAGAGAGGGAGTCGGTCTTGCTGAGCTGTGGTGGGCTCCGCCCAGTTCGAACTTCCCGGCAGCTTTGTTTACACTATGAGGGTAAAACCACCTACTCAAGCCTCAGCAATGTCAGACTCCACTTCCCCTACCAAGCTCCAGTGTCTCAGGTCAACCTCAGACTGCTGTGCTAGCAGCAAGAATTTCAAGCCAGTGGATCTGAGCTTGCTGGGCTCCATGCAGGTGGGACCTGCTGAGCTAGGCACCTGAGGGAATCTCCTGGTCTGCTGGTTGCAAAGACCATTGGAAAAGCGCAGTATCTGGGCTGGAGGGTACTGTTTCTCCCAGTACAGTCTCTCACGGCTTCTCTTGGCTAGGAAAGGGAAATCCCCTGACCCCTAGAGCTTCCCTGGTGAGGCAACACCCCACCCTGCTTCAGTTCGCCTTCTGTGGGCTGCACCCACTGTCCAACCAGTCCCAGTGAGATGAACTGGGTACCTCAGTTGGAAATGCAGAAATCACACACCTTCCACGTCTATCTTGCTGGGAGCTGCAGACGGGAAATGTTCTTATTCGGCCATCTTGCCAGCCAACCTGATATCTACAATTATTGTCTATTTAAAAAGTTAATTAAAAACAAAGAAACACAGCAACGTAGAATTTTGCAATAAATTGTTATTAACTATAGTTACCATGCTGTGCAATTGACCTCAAAAACTTATTTTTCGTTGGTTTCAAAGAACATCTTTATTTCTGCCTTCATTTCATTCTGTACCCAGCAGTCATTCAGGAGCAGGTTGTTCAGTTTCCATGTAGTTGAGCAGTTTTGAGTGAGTTTCTTAATCCTGAGTTCTAGTTTGATTGCACTGTGGTCTGAGAGACAGTTTGTTATAATTTCTGTTCTTTTACATTTCCTGAGGAGTGCTTTACTTCCAACTATGTGGTCAATTTTGGAATAGGTGTGGTGTGGTGCTGAGAAGAATGTATATTCTGTTGATTTGGGGTGGAGAGTTCTGTAGATGTCTGTTAGGTCCACTTGGTGCAGAGCTGAGTTCAAGTCCTGGATATCCTTGTTAAGCTTCTGTCTCATGGATCTGTCTGATGTTGACAGTGGGGTGTTAAAGTCTCCCATTATTATTGTGTGGGAGTCTAAGTCTCTTTGTAGATCTCTAAGGACTTGCTTTATGAATCTGGGTGCTCCTGTATTGGGTGCATATATATTTAGGATAGTTAGCTCTTCTTGTTTAATTGATCCCTTTACCATTATGTAATGGCCTTCTTTTTCTTTCTTGATCTTTGTTGGTTTAAAGTCTGTTTTATCTGAGACTAGGATTACAACCCCTGCCTTTTTTTGTTTTCCATTTGCTTGGTAGGTCTTGCCCCATCCCTTTATTTTGAGCCTATGTGTGTCTCTACATGAGATGGGTCTCCTGAATACAGCACACTGATGGGTCTTGACTCTTTATCCAATTTGCCAGTCTGTGTCTTTTAATTGGAACATTTAGCCCATTTACATTTAAGGTTAATATTGTTATGTGTGAATTTGATCCTGTCATTTTGATGTTAGCTGGTTATTTTGCTCATTAGTTGATGCAGTTTCTTCCTAGCCTCGATGGTCTTTACAATTTGGCATGTTTTTGCAGTGGCTGGTACTGCACAAAGGAACAAGTGGTTGTTCCTTTCCATGTTTAGTGCTTCCTTCAGGAGCTCTTGTAGGGCAGGCCTGGTGGTGACAAAATCTCTCAGCATTTGCTTGTCTGTAAAGGATTTTATTTCTCCTTCACTTATGAAGCTTAGTTTGGCTGGATATGAAATTCTGGATTGAAAATTCTTATCTTTAAGAATGTCGAATATTGGCCCCTACTCTATTCTGGCTTGTAGAGTTTCTGCCAAGAGATCCACTGTTATTCTGATGGGCTTCCCTTTGTGGGTAACCCGACCTTTCTCTCTGGCTGCCCTTAACATTTTTTCCTTCATTTCAACTTTGGTGAATCTGACAATTATGTGTCTTGGAGTTGCTCTTCTCGAGGAGTATCTTTGTGGCATTCTCTGTATTTCTTGAATTTGAATGTTGTCCTCCCTTGCTAGGTTGGGGAAATTCTCCTGGATAATATCCTGCAGAGTATTTTCCAACCTGGATCCATTCTCCCCGTCACTTTCAGGTACACCAATCAGATGTAGATTTGGTCTTTTCACCTAGTCCCCTATGTCTTGGAGGCTTTGTTCGTTTCTTTTTATTCTTTTTTCTCTAAACTTCTCTTCTCCCTTCATTTCATTCATTTGATCTTCAATGACTGATTCCCTTTCTTCCAGCTGATCGAATCAGCTACTGAAGCTTGTGCATTCACCAGAATCTCTGGGACACATTTAAAGCAGTGTGTAGAGGGAAATTTATAGCACTAAATGCCCACAAGAGAAAGCAGGAAAGATCTAAAATTAACACCCTGACATCAAAATTAAAAGAACTAGAGAAGCAAGAGCAAAGAAATTCAAAAGCTAGCAGAAGGCAACTAAGATCAGAGCAGAACTGAAGGAGATAGAGACACAAAAACTCTTCAAAATATCAATGAATCCAAGACCTGGTTTTTTGAAAAAATCAACAAAATTGATAGACCGCTAGCAAGACTAATAAAGAAGAAAAGAGAGAAGAATCAAACAGACACAATAAAAAATGATAAAGGGGATATCACCACCAATCCCACAGGAATACAAACTACCATCAGAGAATACTATAAACACCTCTACACAAATAAACTAGAAAATCTAGAAGAAATAGACAAATTTCTGGACACATACACCCTTCCAGGACTAAACCAGGAAGAAGTTGAATCTCTGAATAGACCAATAACAGGCTCTGAAGTTGAGGCAATAATTAGTAGCTTAATAACCAAAAGAAGTCCAGGAGCAGACGGATTCACAGCCGAATTCTACCAGAGGTACAAGGAGGAGCTGTTACTATTCCTTCTGAAACTATTCCAATCACTAGAAAAAGAGGGAATCCTCCCTAACTCATTTTATGAGGCCAGCATCATCCTCATATCAAAGCCTGGCAGAGACACAACAAAAAAAGAGAATTTTAGACAACTATCCCTGATGAACATCAATGCAAAAATCCTCAATAAAATACTGGCAAACCAAATCCAGCAGCACATCAAAAAGCTTATCCACCATGATCAAGCGGGCTTCATCCCTGGGATCAAGGCTGGTTCAACATATGCAAATCAATAAACATAATCCAGCATATAAACGGAACCAAAGACAAAAACCACATGATTATCTCAATAGATGCAGCAAAGGCCTTTGACAAAATTCAACAGCATTCATGCTAAAAACTCTCAATCAATTAGGTATTGATGGGACGTATCTCAAAATAATAAGAGCTATTTATGACAAACCCACAGCCAGTATCATACTGAATGGGCAAAAATTGGAAGCATTCCTTTTGAAAACTGGCAAAGACAGGGATGCCCTCTCTCACCACTCTTATTCAACATAGTGTTGGAAGTTCTGGCCAGGGCAATCAGGCAGGAGAAAGAAATAAAGGTATTCAATTAGGAAAAGAGGAAGTCAAATTGTCCCTGTTTGCAGATGACATGATTGTATATCTAGAAAACCCCATCGTCTCAGCCCAAAATCTCCTTAAGCTGATAGGCAACTTCAGCATAGTCTCAGGATATCAAATCAATGTGCAAAAATCACAAGCATTGTTATACATCAATAACAGACAAACAGAGAGCCAAATCATGAGTGAACTCCCATTCACAATTGCTTCAAAGAGAATAAAATACCTACGAATCCAACTTACAAGGGATATGAAGGACCTCTTCAAGGAGAACTACAAACCACTGCTCAATGAAATAAAAGGATACAAACAAATGGAAGAACATTCCATGCTCACGGGTAGGAAGAATCAATATGGACAAAATGGCCATACTGCCCAAGGTAATTTATAGATTCAATGCCATCCCCATCAAGCTACCAATGACTTTCTTCACAGAATTGGAAAAAACTAAAGTTCATATGGAACCAAAAAAGAGCTCGCATTGCCAAGTCAATCCTAAGACAAAAGAGCAAAGCTGGAGGCATCCTGCTACCTGACTTCAAACTATACTACAAGGCAATGGTAACCAAAACAGCATGGTACTGGTACCAAAACAGAATCACAGACAAATGAACAGAACAGAACCCTCAGAAATAATACCACACATCTACAACCATCTGATCTTTGACAAACCTGACAAAAACAAGAAATGGGGAAAGGAATCCTTGTTTAACAAATGGTGCTAGGAAAACTGGCTAGCCATATGTAGAAAGCTGAAACTGGATCCCTTCCTTACACCTTATACAAAAATTAATTCAAGATGGATTAAAGACTTAAATGTTAGACCTAAAACCATAAAAACCCTAGAACAAAATCTAGGCAATACCATTCAGGACATAGGCATGGGCAAGGACTTCATGTCTAAAACACCAAAAGCAATGGCAACAAAAGCCAAAATTGACCAATGCGATCTTATTAAACTAAAGAGCTTCTGCACAGCAAAGGAAACTACCATCAGAGTGAACAGGCAACCTACAGAATGGGAGAAAATTTTTGCAATCTACTCATATGACAAAGGGCTAATATCCAGAATCTACAAAGAACTCAAACAAATTTACAAGAAAAAAACAACCCCATCATCAAGTGGGCGAAGGATATGAACAGACGCTTCTCAAAAGAAGACATTTATGCAGCCAAAAGACACACAAAAAAAGCTCATCATCACTGGCCATCAGAGAAATGCAAATCAAAACCGCAATGAGATACCATCTCACACCAATTAGAATGGCAATCATTAAAAAGTCAGGAAACAACAGGTGCTGGAGAGGATGTGGAGAAATAGGAGGAACACTTTTACACTGTTGGTGGGACTGTAAACTAGTTCAACCATTGTGGAAGTCAGTGTGGTGATTCCTCAGGGATCTAGAACTAGAAATACCATTTGACCCAGCCATCCCATTACTGGGTATATACCCAAAGGATTATAAATCATGCTGCTATAAAGACACATGCACACGTATGTTTATTGTGGCACTATTCACAATAGCAAAGACTTGGAACCAACCCAAATGTCCAACAATGATAGACTGGATTAAGAAAATGTGGCACATATACACCATGGAATACTATGCAGTGATAAAAAATGATGAGTTCATGTCCTTTGTAGGGACATGGATGAAGCTGGAAACCATCATTCTTAGCAAACTATCGCAGGGTAAAAAAACCAAACACCGCATGTTCTCACTCATAGGTGGGAATTGAACAATAAGAACACTTGGACACAAGAAGGGGAACATCAACACCGGGGCCTGTTGTGGGCTGGGGGGAGTGGGGAGGGATAGCATTAGGAGATACACCTAATGTAAATGACGAGTTAATGGGTGCAGCACACCAACATGGCACATGTATACATATGTAACAAACCTGCACGTTGTGCACATGTACCCTAGAACTTAAAGTATAATAAAAGTATATTTTTAAAAAAGACTTATTTTTCCCCTGTAATTGAAACTTTGTACCCTTTGACCAACATCTCCCCATCCTCACCTCCCGCCCCACCCAGGCCCGGTAGTCACCATTCTACTCTCTGCTTCTATGAGTTTGACCTTTTTAGATTTCACATATAGGTGAGATGATTCAGAATTTTTATTTCTGTGCCTAGTGTATTTCAGTTAACATATTGTCTTCCAGGTTCAACCATGTTGTCTCAAATGACAGAATATCCTTCTTTTTAAGACTAAATAGTATT
Organism: Homo sapiens; assembly: GCF_000001405.40. NCBI lineage: Eukaryota > Metazoa > Chordata > Mammalia > Primates > Hominidae > Homo > Homo sapiens. The sequence goes on along the minus strand of NC_000006.12, from coordinate 83,541,148 downwards.
CCACTGTGTATACATACACACCATATTTTCTGTGTCTGTTTATTCACTGATGGACAGTTAGTTTGATTCCATGTCTTGGCTATTGTGAATAGTGCTCCAGTGAACATAGGAGTACTGATATCTCTTCAACACTGATTTCAAATCCTTTGCATATATATCCAGAAGCAAGACAACTAGATCATTTGGTAGTTCTCCTTTATTAGAGTTTTGATAGCTGTGTATAGTATAATAGAAGAGCTTACACTAATTGACACCCCATCTTGAAGATTTGAATCATTTCATGTATGTTGTAATGATTGTAAAGGTGGTTCTCTCAGTATTTGTCTCCCTTCTCCAGCCTCGGTGACAGAGCAAGACTCCATCTCAAAAAAAAAATTGTCTCTCCTTTGTTCTCTTTTATGTTATTTACTGCACTTTTTTAAAAAAGGATAGACTCGAGACTTTGGAAGGAGTACTGAGGTTCAGAAGAAGGGGAAAGGTGGGGACATGTACAAAGAAATGAGAACTCGATGCACCGAAAGATAAATTTGTGCAAAGGCTTCTTTCTGACCCTTAAATAGACATCTTTAACAAAAGATGCCCACAATTTTGTTGATGGAAAAAGGCATGGTCTTGCAGCAGTGATTACATGTGGTTTGTGTAGAAGCACTTGTTGGAAATCAAAATAAGTGCGTATATTAGTTGAAGAGTCACATTGACCTATATTTTTGAAGCAAAATGTCTTGTTTGTTCTATTTAAAATATTTTGTTTTTTGTTAATCCTCTTGGGTTTTTTTTTTCTGGTTAGAAAAATCATTTAGTTTTATTTTTATTTTTTGAGGGGAAATAAATTTGTTGGTTTATGTTAAAAGATAAAGAAATTATTTTAAAACATATTAATATATGTCTTTAAGTTTATAAATCAATTTGAATTTTTCCTAGGCACAAATTCTTACAGATCAAATAATCACATAATAATAAAATTGAGCTCTTGATGAGAAGACAAGCTACAAGACATTGTCATAACTTTGGACAAAACAGATAATAGTCTTGTCTACATACAAACTAACCCATAAGATGATATGTGTTGTTTTCTTAGGATATTTCTTTTTTTAATTATACTTTAAGTTTTAGGGTACATGTGCACAACGTGCAGGTTTGTTACATATGTATACATGTGCCATGTTAGTCTGCTGCACCTTGCGTTTTAAGGAAATTTGTTTCTCATAGCCTGGTTGACAGCAGATTTCATCTCTGGATACATCATCCAGATGTCATCTGTAATGAGACATATGAGGGAGTGATGTTTTGTGATTTAGTGATATAGTGGTTAACCTTAGCTAAACTCTCACGTTAATTTAATTCTGTGAATTAATTTCCACTCATCGCATACACATTCAATTTTGAAACATAAAAGTTTTCTATAATTGATTCACAGAGCAGAGTTTTCAAACTGTTTAGTGTCAGGACCCCTTTACACTCTTAAAATCTATTGAGGCTCCTCCAAAAGCTTTTATGTAGGTGGGTTATGTCTGTCAATATTTACTGTGTTAGAAAATAAAACTGAAATTCTTTTACATTTGTTTAATTTTTATTTATGTATTAGATTGGTGCAAAAGTAATTGCTGGTTTTGCTATTAAAAGTAATGTAGTAAAAGTGGCCGAACGCAGTGGCTCATGCCTGTATTCAATCCCAGCACTTTGGGAGACTGAGGTGGGCAGATCACTTGAGGTCAGGAGTCCAAGACCAACCTGGGCAACATGGTGAAATCCCATCTCTACTAAAAATACAAAAATTAGCCTGGCATGGCGGCATGTTTATCATGCTATAATGTCAGCTACTTGGGGCTGGGGCAGGAGAATCACTTGAACCTGGCAGGCAGAGGTTGCAGTGAGCCGAATCATGTGACTGCACTCCAGCCTGGGCAACAAAGTGAGACTCTGTCTCAAAATAATGTAGTAAAAGTAAAAATATAAATATTAAAACCACTATATATTAAATAAAATATTTTATGAAAAATACTACTCTTTGCTTCTATGAGTGTGACTTTTTTAGATTTCACATATAGGTGAAATCTTAGAAACTTAAAAAAGTGGTCCCGTTTTGCCATTTTTGCAAATCTCTTTAATTTTAGACTTAACAGAAGACAGCTGCATTCTCATATCTGCTTCTGCATTCAACATGTTACAATAGCCCATGTCAGGTAGTTATTGGAAAATTCTGTTGTGAGCACACTTGTGGGAAAGTGAGTGTCTTAGTATTACTGTGAAGACAGTTTTGACATGGACGTTCTGAAAGGTTCTCTGGCATCCTTAGGAGTCCCCTGACCACACTGGAGGATGGGTGCTCCAGCTGGGAAATGGGCTGGCATGGCATGAGAAGCATCCATCGCAGAGATTAAACTCCATTTCTTGGAGACTCCTTACGCAGTTTCCAATATCCAGTGACACTTTCTAAGAACATAAAGATGCTGATGGATGCTTTTGGCCAATGATAAAATTTAAAGTGTTTCTACTTGGAGATCAAAAATATTAACAAACATACTTTGTGAATTGACGATGACTTTTTTAAAGAAAAAATATTTAGTAATGGATTAGACTGAGATGGAAGATGATATTGAACATAAGAATATTGAGAGTGAACACAGTAGTGTGGTGCAGGTTGCAACCATCAGGGCTGGAGGAGGGTGAAAATTTTTAGCAAAAGCCTATGACTACAAGAGACTGTAGCCTAGAACAGCACCCAGGCCTGCAAACAGTAGCCCCACAAAGCGGCAGGGCCTGGAGCGGTCCCCTTGCAATAAAGATAAAGGGAGACAGTCACCTCTTAGTGATCATTTTCTCTGGTGTTAAACCACCCTTTGATACTAAATTCATCTCCAGACACCCAACATCCTTGTGGTTCATCTTTCTTTTTCAGTGTATGAAACATCTTTGGGGTAAGTTAACTACTTTTATAATTTGTAGCGGTATCTGTAAACCAGAACCCACAATGGTCTGAAAAGTCTTATAAATGTGTCCCAAGGAAAGTCGGAGTTATTTTTTAAATCATCCGTATTTTGGATCACGTGGATTTTGGCACTGTATTGAAAAACAGGAAATGCAGTTGTGACCATGCATGTAATATTTCAGATGTAAATTTAGGACCAGATTTTTAGAAAACCTGTCTCTTAGGGAAAAAAAATTAAGATTTAGAGATAAATTAAAAGGAACATTTTGTTTAGACCAGAAAAAGAAAGGTAGCTAGGTGTGGCAGCTCATGCCTACATGTAATCCCAGCACTTTGGGAGGCCAAGACAGGCAAATCACTTGAGCCCAGGAGTTCAGCACCATCCTGGGCAACTTGGCAAAACCCTGTCTCTAAAGAAAATGCAAAAATTATCCAGGCATAGTGGCATGCGTCTGTGGTACCAGCTACTCGGGAGGCTGAGGTGGGAGCATTGCTTGAGCCTGGCAGATTGAGGTTGCAGTGAGCCATAGTTTTATCACTGCACTCCAGCCTGGGTGACAGTAGGGACTCTTTCAGAAAGAAAGAACAAGGAAAGGAAGGAAGGAAGGAGAAAGAAATGAAAGAGAGAAAGGGAAGGAAGGAAGGAAGGAAGGAAGGAAGGAAGGAAGGAAGGAAAAAGAAAGAAAGAAAGAAGAAAAGAAAAGAAAGAGAGAAAGGGAGGGAGGGGAAGGAAGGAGAGAAAGAAAAGAAAGAGAAAGAAGCAGAGAGAAAAAGAAAAGGGAGGGAGGGAGGGAGAGAGGGGAAGGAAGGAGAGAGAGAAAGAACCAAAGAAAGAGAAAGAGAAGGAAGGAAGGAAAAGAAAGAGAAAAGAAGAGAGGGAGGGAGGGGAAGGAAGGAGAGAGAGAAAGAAAACAAAGAAGAAAAGAAAGAAAAAAGAGAAAGAAAAGAAAGGAAAGGAGGGAGGGAGGAAGGAGAGAGAAAAGAGAGAAAGGAAAGAAAGGAAGAAGGAAAGAGAGAAACAAAAGAGAAAGAAAAAGAAAGAAGGAAAGAAAAGAAAGAAGAAAGAAAAAGAGAAGGAAGGAAGGAGAAAGAGCAAAGTTAGAAAGTTAGAAAGAAAGAAGAAAAGGGAAAAAAAGAAAAAGAGGAAGGAATGAAGGAGAAAGGAAAGTTAGAAAGTCGGAAAGTCAAAAATCAGAAAGAAAAGAAAGAAAAAGAACGAACGAAAGAAAAAGAAGAAAGAGAAAGAAAGAAAAAGAAAGAAGGAAGAAGGGAGGAAGGAAGGAAAAAGAAAGAAAAGGAAGGAAAGAAAGAAAAAGAAGAAAGGAAAGAGAAAAAAGGTGTAGATGCTATTTGAGTTCAGAACAAAATATAGTTATATGACTTACTGGTTATGTTGTTAATTAATAGGTTAGTTCACTATAGAACCACGTTTTTTATTTAACTTTCTTGTCATTATTAAGGGTATTGTCAATGTTATTGATAAGTATCCTACAACACTTTTTAACATACATGTCTAAGAATGAACTCATTATCTTTTTCCCCAAGCCTAATCTTTCTGTCTTGGTCAGTGTTCTCACCATCTACCCAGTCTCCCAAACCAGAAGTTCAGGGAACAGAACACCCTCAACTCTTCTCTCCTGTATTCAAAGGCCACTAAGTATAGTAAACATTCAGCTCTCTAAATATCTCACAAGGTGTCCTCTCTTGCCTTTCTCTCTGCCTTTTCCTTACCACGGCTGCTCCAGCAGTCTCTGTATTGGGCTCTTTTGCGTCTAATCCCCACTCAAACCACCCCAGTACAGCCTAAATAGTGCTTCCAGAAGGTTTCCTTCTCAAAATTCCCATTTGTTCACATTTACCTGACGTAAAACCTGCATCAATTCCTAGTAATCTAAAGGTTAAAGTCCAAGTACTCTAGCATACCATTCGAAGTCCTTCCAAAAGCTGGTCCAAGTCTAGCTTGGAAGCTTTGTTTCTTACCATTCCTGGCCACTAGGAGGCGCCAACCTCATATAGCAGCAATTTTTAAATACTGTCTCCTAAACACAGTGGCATTATGATATACTAGTTTCCACCAAAAACCAAACTTTAATTTGGGGGTATGTGCATGAGAGAGATGCTACTGTATGTGAGCCAATGACTGCCCACACATAGCCATGATGTGGCTCCAGGACATCTGTTCATGGAGCCACATCAGTCACGTACCAGTCTACATAAAGTGACACAACTGCACATTTGTTGGGTACAGTGTCACTTATTTCCCCAGACCATGAAGAATGCCTCTAAAAGTAAATGGTCCAAGTACAGTGGCAGAGTACTAAACTCAGTTCTGTCTCAAAAATAACAGTTTTATTTTTAGGTAATTGCTTGATAAAGTGGTACTTTTGTTTGGCAGCAGATCGTTGGCATTAAGTCAGTCCTGATTTTTAAAACAAAAAAGTAGAAGAAACTGCATTTTTGCAGGTATTGCAGAGGAAAAAAATTTTTTTTACTTTTTTTTAAGTTCTTTTTTTTATTATTATACTTTAAGTTCTAGGGTACATGTGCACATCGTGCGGGTTTGTTACATATATACACATATGCCATGTTGGTGTGCTGCACCCATTAACTCATCATTTACATTACATATATTTCCTAATGCTATACCTCCCCCCCTCCCCCCACCCCACGACAGGCCCCGGTGTGTGATGTTCCCCTTCCTGTGTCCATGTGTTCTCATTGTTCAATTCCCACCTATGAGTGAGAACATGCGGTGTTTGGTTTTTTGTCCCTGCGATAGTTTGCTGAGAATGATGGTTTCTAGCTTCATCCATGTCCCTACAAAGTACACGAACTCATCCTTTTTATGGCTGCATAGTATTCCATTGTGTATATGTGCCACATTTTCTTAATCCAGTCTATCATTGTTGGACATTTGGGTTGGTTCCAAGTCTTTGCTGTTGTGAATAGTGCTGCCATAAATATATGTGTGCATGTGTCTTTATAGCAGCATGATTTATAATCCTTTGGGTATATATACCCAGTAATGGGATGGCTGGGTCAAATCATATTTCTAGTTCTAGATCCTTGAGGAATCGTCACACTGTCTTCCACAATGGTTGAACTAGTTTACAGTCCCACCAACGGTGTAAAAGTGTTCCTATTTCTCCACAGCCTCTCCAGCACCTGTCGTTATCCTGACTTTTTAATGATTGCCATTCTAACTGGTGTGAGATGGTATCTCACTGTGGTTTTGCTTTGCATTTCTCTGATGGCCAGTAATGGTGAGCATTTTTTCATGTGTCTTTTGGTTGCATAAATGTCTTCTTTTGAGAAGTGTCTGTTCATATACTTAGCCCACTTTTTGGTAGGGTTGTTTGTTTTTTTCTTGTAAATTTGTTTGAGTTCTTTGTAGATTCTGGATATTAGCCCTTTGTCAGACGAGTAGATTGCAAAAATTTTCTCCCATTCTGTAGGTTGCCTGTTCACTCTGATGGTAATTTCTTTTGCTGTGCAGAAACTCTTTAGTTTAATTAGATTCCATTAGTCAATTTTGGCTTTTGTTGCCATTGCTTTTGGTGTTTTAGACATGAAGTCCTTGCCCATGCCTATGTCCTGAATGGTATTCCCTAGGTTTTCTTCTAGGGTTTTTATGGTTTTAGGTCTAACATTTAAGTCTTTAATCCATCTTGAATTAATTTTTGTATAAGGTGTAAAGAAGGGGTCCAGTTTCAGCTTTCTGCATATGGCTAGCCAGTTTACCCAGCACCATTTATTAAATAGGGATTCCTTTCCCCATTTCTTGTTTTCGTTAGGTTTGCCAAAGATCAGATGGTTGTAGATGTGTGGTATTATTTCTGAGGGCTCTGTTTTGTTCCATTGGTCTATATCTCTGTTTTGGTACCAGTACCATGCTGTTTTGGTTACGGTAGCCTTGTAGTATAGTTTGAAGTCAGGTAGCATGATACTTCCAGCTTTGTTCTTTTGGCTTAGGATTGACTTGGCAATGCGGGCTCTTTTTTGGTTCCATAGGAACTTTAAAGTAGTTTTTTCCAATTCTGTGAAGAAAGTCATTGGTAGCTTGATGAGGATAGCATTGAAACCATAAATTACCTTGGGCAGTATGGCCATTTTTACAATATTGATTCTTCTTATCCATGAGCATGGAATGTTCTTCCATTTGTTTGTGTCCTCTTTTATTTCATTGAGCAGTGGTTTGTAGTTCTCCTTGAAGAGGTCCTTCACATCCCTTGTAAGTTGGATTCCTAGGTATTTTATTCTCTTTGAAGCAATTGTGAATGGGAGTTCACTCATGATTTGGCTCTCTGTTTGTCTGTTATTGATGTATAACAATGCTTGTGATTTTTGCACATTGATTTGATATCCTGAGACTATGCTGAAGTTGCCTATCAGCTTAAGGAGATTTTGGGCTGAGACGATGGGGTTTTCTAGATATACAATCATGTCATCTGCAAACAGGGACAATTTGACTTCCTCTTTTCCTAATTGAATACCTTTATTTCTTTCTCCTGCCTGATTGCCCTGGCCAGAACTTCCAACACTATGTTAAATAGGAGTGGTGAGAGAGGACATCACTGTCTTGTGCCAGTTTTCAAAGGGAATGCTTCCAGTTTTTGCCCATTCAGTACAATATTAGCTGTGGGATTGTCATAAATAGCTCTTATTATGTTGAGATATGTTCCATCAATATCTAGTTTATTGAGAGTTTTTAGCATGAAGGGTTGTTGAATTTTGTCAAAGGCCTTTTCTGCATCTATTGAGATAATCATGTGATTTTTGTCTTTGGTTCTGTTTATATGCTGGATTATGTTTATTGATTTGCATATGTTGAACCAGCCTTGCATCCCAGGGATGAAGCCCACTTGATCATGGTGCATAAGCTTTTTGATGTGCTGCTGGATTCGGTTTGCCAGTATTTTATTGAGGATTTTTGCATCAATGTTCATCAAGGATATTGGTCTAAAATTCTCTTTTTTGTGTGTGTCTCTGCCAGCCTTTATGATGCTGGCCTCATAAAATGAGTTAGGGAGGATTCTCTCTTTTTCTATTGATTGGAATAGTTTCAGAAGGAATGGTACCATCTCCTCCTTGTAAAAATAAAGATGTTCTTTGAAACCAATGAGAACAAAGACACAACATACCAGAATCTCTGGGACACATTTAAAGCAGTGTGTAGAGGGAAATTTATAGCACTAAATGCCCACAAGAGAAAGCAGGAAAGATCTAGAATTGACACCCTAACATCACAATTGAAATAACTAGAGAAGCAAGATCAAACACATTCAAAAGCTAGCAGAAGGCAAGAAATAACTAAGATCAGAGCAGAACTGAAGGAGACAGAGACACAAAAAACCATTCAAAAAATCAATGAATCCAGTAGCTGGTTTTTTGAAATGGTCAACAAAATTGATAGACTGCTAGCAAGAGTAATAAAGGAGAAAAGAGAGAAGAATCAAATAGACGCAATAAAAAATGATAAAGGAGATATCACCACCGATCTCGCAGAAATACAAACTACCATTGGAGAATACTATAAACACCTCTACGCGAATAAACTAGAAAATCTAGAAGAAATGGACAAATTCCTGGACACATACACCCTCCCAAGACTAAACCAGGAAGAAGTTGAATCCCTGAATAGACCAATAACAGGCTCTGAAATTGAGGCAATAATTAATAGCCTACCAACGAAAAAAGTCCAGGACCAGACAGATTCACAACCAAATTCTACCAGAGGTACAAGGAAAAAATTTTTTAATTTAAAAGTTCTGTCTTCTAAGATTGTTAGCTGCAAATTTTTCTAACAACTCATCCATTTAAAGTAGGCTTAAGGAGAAAAAAAGTCCTATGTCCTCCTAGATCTCTCTCTAGGGTATACTAGTAAATTATTTTCTTCTATTTCCTGAAATTTATATTGTTTTGTGATCTGGAGTCTAGGTTAGTAGCAGTAGTTTAAATTCTAAGTAAAGCAAAAATTGCAGAGTTTTGACTCCTATCAATTAATAGGAGAGGAAGGGCTGGTCAAGGAAACACACAGGTATCAGAAAGAGGTCTCTCTTCCTTACCTTCCAGAAGCCCCTAGTACTCTGGGTATTAGATTGCTCTGAAGATCCCCGGATTGCTTAGCTAGCTGAGAAGAGGTAGGCTCCATAATGGACTGTTCTTAGAAATATGTTGTGTTGTGAGCTATACCACAAACTCTGGTAAGCTGAAGTTTAGGAGTAACATAATATTGGGGAAGGGAGGATGTCTAGTTTCAGAGAACAAAATTTGCACCAGCACACACAATCACCTTAGTTCTACAGGACCACATGATTGCTGATCTCTCCTCTTAGGAAATTCCAGTTTGTCTTTCACAAACATAAAGTAAAACAGAATGCAACTAATTTATTATATGCAACTATTGATTGTCTTAGGTAACTTTTGCAATTAACAATACCAATTACAATGATCAGCACATTATATTTGGTCAACATTTGCTCTCTACAGGGCAGTCCACTATGATTAGACAACTAAGGTATTTTATTTTGCATCCTGAACTTTTTTCATTATACCAGACTTACTGTGCCTATCTCACAGCACTGTATGTATGCATAAATTGGGTGCAGCTATTCGACAACTTTCAAACTTTCAATAACACACATTAGTCTTCAAAATACTCAGATATTTTTACCCTGAAGAATGACCAAAATATTGCGGTAACATTTTTTCCTCAATTTTTGAGGCTAGAATTTCATTTGAGCCTAAAAACAAGTCAATTCCATTGACCACTGATGTTTCTCTTATTTTAAACAAGACTTTAATAAAATGTCAAGCCATTTTCATGAAAACTTTTCTATCATGTAATGCCTTTCAAAACTCATACTGATCATGATTTTATATTGATTGCTCAGTCATCATTATAAACATAACATATATTGCTATGATTTCACAGGCTAATACGGCTCACAAAGCTACTTGCCCAAACTCAGTAGCTCCAAACTACTAAAATTTTATAGTACCTATATACCTGGGTTTTTTTATAGTTTAATGTTTTTTCTACATCCTCCTTCTCTGTCAGCTATCACTTCTTGAGACTGTTGGACTTGCCTCAGTAGCAGCCTTCTCATTATAGTTCCAGAAATCAGATAACCCAACTTGTTAAGATTATTTCTAGAGTAAAAGTAATTTTGTGGCATCTATGTCGGTTATTCAGAAGACACTGTTTAACTTAATTTTTTTGTTACATTTTAGATACTTGAAGTCATCAGAAAAGGAAGTTCTAGATAAGTGAGATATTGTGTGGTATATTACAAATTACTAATGAAATTAAATGCAAAATATAATATAGAAAAGTAAGGAAAATGAGTGTTAATTAGGCTGAGCAAAAGCCCAGAGGATCTTTCCAAACTCATCTGTGTTCGGTTGTGTGAACAGTGTTCAAAGTATTCCTCTTATCTATACTGCGTGTGAAAGTGTACACACACTTAAGTATAATATGAGCATGCACAGAGGATTTCAATAACATAAACACAAGTTCATATTAGTTGAATATTAGTAAACATTTACAAATACAAAGTGAAATATGATCATGCAGTCTCAGTTTGGTAAACTGTAAACCCAGTTGGTAAAATCACACAGGGAGGCAATAATGGATCCTATGATTGATTGCAATGTGGATCAAAGTAGATATTCTAAGTAAGTGGGCAACTTGTCCTCTGTGCTTGAGAAAAGTGAATGGATGTTAAGGTGTTACTGGAAATTTTTAAATACTACTAAGGCAAAAAGATTTTGGTGACAGGTTTTGAGGCAGAGGTTGTCTGATTAAATATTTACATGGCAGAGGAGAGGATAAGGTGTAGCTACAGAAGCTTGGCACTTGTCTGTTTGAAGGCAGTTTCTATCGTAAACATACATGAGTCAACAGAGAATGTGTCAAATATCTAATTCCTTAAGTCGCACGCTATAGTGTATTCCAATACTAAAATTCTCATTACAAGAAAATATTCCCATTATTTAAATATTTCGCTATATTTTTAATATGATACACAATTAAGACAATACCTATAGCATTTTGGAGCTTCAGCATATAGCATAGAGTAAGTAATGCCCTGAAAGAGTAAGCCTCAATGAATACTTGGTGATAAGTTTAAGCATGTATCCATCGTTGCCTCTGTGCCAGGTACGAGTACTTGAAATAATGATGATGAAAGTTAGGAAAAAGAGATTGGCTGTCCTGAGCTGCCGTTCATACCCCTTTGCCTAGTTTCTCTAGTGACACATGCTTGTGAATTCCCTGGGTCTGGCCCAAGGTGCAACTTGTAGGTTTAGAAGTTTAGTGCAACTTGTAGGTTTACATACGTGTTATGAACTGTGTGTCTGTGTCCCACACCCACCCCTAAAAATGTCACATGCTGAATCTCTAACCCCCAGTTGTGATGGTATTTGGAAATGGGGCCTTTGGGAGGTAATTGAGGTTAAATGAGGTAATAAGGATGGGGCCCTCATGATGGGATTAGTGTCTTTATAAGATGAAAAAACAGAGAGAGTCTGCTCTCCCTTTCTCTGTCATCCTGCTTGTGCACAAAGAAGAGGTCACAGGAGCATACAATGAGACGGCAGCCAATTCAAGACAAGAGAAGAGGTCTCAAAATGAAACCTACCTTGACTTTGGACTTCCTAGCCTCCAGCGTTGTGAGAATTAAATGTCTTTTGTTTCAGCCACCCAGTGTGTGGGGTTTTGTTATGGCAACACCACCACCTTACCTGTGGGTAAGCAAACTAGCCCATATTGGGATCAGAAGTCATTTTGCCCACCATGTTCTAGACAGTTAGCTAACTGGATCAAAACATCAGCTTTTAAATACAGAGAGGAAGAAGCAAGGAATTTCCCTCCCTAGATTTTATAAGTAGAAAAGAAAACCATCTGAGGATGGTTTTTCCGCTTAGTTGAATAGTGAATCAATAAAAACATGTGGGCGGGCACAGTGATTCTCACCTGTCATCCCAGCACTTTGGGAGACCGAAGCAGAAGGATCACTTGAGCCCAGGAGTTAGAGACCAACTTGGGCAACAAAGTAAGACCACATCTCTACAAAAAAAAACTTTAAAAATTAGCCTGGCATGATGGCACATGTCTGTAGTCCCAGCTACTTGGGAGGCTGAGGCAGGAGGATCTTTTGAGCCCAGGAGGAAGGCTTCAGGGAGCCACGATCACTCCACTGTGCTCTAGCCTGGGCAACAGAGCAAGATTTTATTGAAATTTTATTTTAATAAAAATTAAAACTTGTGAATCTGCCTATAGGTCGATGCTATTTGACGAGGACATGATTTCATCACTGATTAGACCAAATCTCCTAAATATCTCTGAACCTAATGATTTGGCCATTGAAGAAAGAGCAATGACCTAGTTGCAAAAATCAGTTTATTAAAAAGGCTCTTCTGTTAATTAAGTAAAGATGTTTTTGCTGATCATTTTTAGTAAAAGTAGTTTTATTGAAGTACTTTTAAAGCCTGGCAGGTACTTTTAAAAATCAGTAGCCAAAAAAGTATCTGTTATTGGGAAACCACCCTAAAGAATAATGATGCTAATTCTAGGTTATTTATAGCTATAGAGCCACATTCTTGTACTATCCAGTGCTTGGTCAAATTGCCTTATCCCAATATTCTTAATTAATAATCACAGTTTATGTTTGATGCGAATAAATACCTGAGTTACTAACACAAGGACAAAAACTTATGAGTAATTAAAATGGTCAACATTGGAATAAAATGCAAGACATACATAATATAATTTTTACACTATGTAGCAAACTGAATAACTTATGGTAAGTTATATTTCTGAATTTATTTTAATAACTAAACAATAAGGGGTGAAAATTTTTCTTATCACTGGACAACCATTTGCAGAGAATGTGATGGAAGGGGATTAAAACTTAAAGTATAGGGTTAAACTGATGATCTTTTATAGTCTCTTCTTATCCTGAGATTCTTTCTATGAAATAAGAATTTAAAAGAATTATTCTATCTACAAGTAAGAAGGGGTAAGAATGTGTCCAGAACTCTGATCTTGGTTATTGCTATTGTCTGAATGTTCACACCCCTCCAAAGTTTGTATGTTGAAACCTAACCCCAAAGGTGACAGTATTAAGAGGCAGAGCATGTGGGAGGTGATTAGGTTGTGAGGGCTCCTGCCTCATAACTGGGATTAATTCTCTTATAAAAGGGGCTTGCATAAGCTTGGGTGCCCATCCACTACATGAGGACACAACAAGAAGGTGCCATCTATGAGGAATGGACCTTCATCAGACACTAAATCTACTGATGCCTCCTTCTTGGACTATCCAGCCTTCAGAACTGTGAACAATAAATTTCTATCATTTAAGAGTTCCCAGTCTAAGATATTTTGTTATAGCAGCCTAAATGGACTAAGACAATCAAACATTATCTAAATCTTTTTCAAAATAAACAATGGATTAATTAAGAAGCATATCAAAAAGGAAAAAATTGTTAAGTTGCTTCTACCCACATGCATTTCGTTTGAACAAGAAAAAAATAAAATAAAATATGTTATTTAGATAAAGAGGGAATGCCACAATTTTAAATTTCAGTTGTTTTGAAAATGGTTATTTGAAATCCACCATTGGTAAGATTCCAGACAATAAGTCAGTACAGTCCTTTGCACACAGTAAACATGTATGCATGTAAGTATGTTTGTTTAGCTAAGTGAGTTCAATCTAGTTCTCAATTTCAAATCTGATAAACATAAGAGAAAAAGTATATGAAGCAAAACTTTCTGGTTAATGCAATACATTTTAGCGTTCCTAAATAGGTCATGTAAGATTCAGGATTCACTTGGAAAAGAAAAGTGCATGACAGAATTAAAACAAAACAAAACAAAACAAAACAAAAAACCTCTAGCCAGGCATGCTAATGCATGCATGCCTGTTATCCCAGCTACTTGTAAGGTTGAGGTGGGAGGATCTATTGAGCTCAGGAGTTCAAGGCTACAGTGAGCTGTAATTGTGCCACTGCACTCCAACCTGGGTGACAGAGCAAGACTGTTTCTAAAAAGAAAAAGAGAAAAAGTCTCTGCAAATTAAACAAGCTCAATTTTATATTTTTGAAAAGTATATTGGACAATGATTTTAAGAATTATATATATAATGAATATATACTCAGAATTTAACCTTAAGTACCAAACTATTTTATTCAGCACCCAAAGGTATTCTAAACTTACTCAAATGCTAGGAGTTATATTCAAAGACTCAAAGACGAAGATTCTGTGTAAGTGTCTGTGTGTTTGCAAGTGTGTAAGTATGCAAAATTGACCTTGGAACATTTTTGTTTCTGTGATCACATAGATGTTTTCCCCCCAAAAAATTGAGCAAAATGTTTGAGTCAATAGCCCTATACCACTGGAAACAATAATAAAATACTACTTAGTGAAATGTGCTTGGAATTAAATCAAATCATTAAAAAAAATAAAATGATAGTTAATACTTGCTAAAATCCTGTATACAAAACACATATGGCTGGGCATGGTGGCTCAAATTTGTAATCTCAACACTTTAATGCCAAAGCGGGAGGATCATTTGAGGCCAGGAGTTTGAGACCAGCCTGGTCAATGTAGCAAGACCCTATCTCTACTTCAATTAAATAAAAAATACAAAAGCATATATACAGATACAGTAAGAGTTATAGCTAATTTATGTTTTAATTTTTATGGAATTATTTTTAAGAGGTTTACATTATAAAAGAATCTGCACGGCCAGGTGCGGCGGCTCACGCCTGTAATCCCAGCACTTTGCGAGGCCGAGGCAGGTGGATCAAACGAGGTCAGGAGTTCGAGACCAGCCTGACCAATATGGTGAAACCCCGTTTCTACTAAAAATACAAAAATTAGCCAGGCGTGGTGGCACGTACCTGTAGTCCCAGCTTCTCTGGAGGCTGAGACAGGAGAATTGCTTGAACCCAGGAGACAGAGATTTCAGTGAGCTGAGATCACGCCACTGCACTCCACCCTGGGTGAGAGAGCCAGACATCTCAAAAAAAAAAAAAAAAAAAAGTCTGCACTTGTACTGAATTTCTGCTGTTTTCAACACCATTCACAAAATCATTTATCATAATCTAATCAATTACTTCTTGGCATACTAGTCCACAGTATAACTCCCCATTATTAAAAAATAATAAGATAAATTTGAACCCTGGCAGAATCAATGACTTAAGTGTGTCAAGAGAGAAGAGAATATGGCCTTAGAAACTACCAGAAAGAACAGACCAAACCAGAAATAAGGCCTGCAATTGCTGAATTTTACAGTGTACTTGATTATAGATCACTAAAATTCTTTAAACATAATGCCCTGAACTATTCTCTTTTTACAGCCTTTTAGCAAGTAGTTATTTATTCAATAAATACACATTGAGTGCCTACTCTGTGTTTTGCCCCAGGGCAGTCACTGGACTCTGCTTACACTACATGATGGCCAGAATGAGTGTTGCAGCCTTGGTTCCTAAGGAAAATAACCAGACCCTTCTTTTAAGTCATATTCATAAATTTTATTCATTTTTAGGAAAGGACATATCTAAAATTACTAATCAGAGAATTCACCCTATAGTCCTCATACAAAAGCTGGATTTTGTCAAGGAGAAAAAGACTCTTTCTTGAAAAAGATTACAGAATTCTTTGTCCTAAAAATGTAGCACCTCATACATAGAATGTATAGCATAAAATAATGTGGCTTTCAACACATGATCATTCATAATTTGTGAAGTGTCTTCCCTATGCATACATGAAAAGTCCATATTTTGAGTATTAGTTAAATAAAAACTTGAGATCTTAAAATGTCTCAGCTTCCCTATTTCTAAACTAGGTTTATTTCATAGAACAAACTATTTCTCCCATTTTTAAATAATACACATTGTAATTGTTATTTCTTAAAGCAGTAAAACAGTTATTAGTTTTGTTTATAATGCTTGCTTTTTCTTCTGATTTGTAATTCTTCAAAAAAACTAAACTAAATGTCCCAGACCCAACAGATAACACAATATAAACATTGAGGGCATGAGCTGAATGGATCCATCTCAGAGTAGTACAAACTGTGTTGTAACTTTCTGTCTCTATTCTGATACTAATTGCTTTACCATCTACCTTTATCTATGCAATTTCACATTTAATACACAACCAGCATCCTATTAGATTCTTCTTAGAGTAGGACCCTGAGAATAAGTCCATTAAGGAGTCACATGTTATTTATAATACCTGTTTGAAGGTTTAAAGTGTGTCTAATTTTTAAGAAGGCAACAAAATTTTTCTACAAATGAAACTCATCACCATGTAAAGAAGAGTATATACTTGGCATTGAAGTGCCCACCTAGTTTCAATATCTGCACCTATACATTTTTTAAATGGACGAAAATCTCCTGATTTTGAAAAATGTTGAAATGCTATTGACAGAGTTCAAGTCCAGGCATAACCTATGAAGTGATCTCACTACGGTAAGCAGAGCTGGTTTTCTCTGTGATTTAGATGATACACCGCCCTGTTTCAGGTCTCTGTTAGCCGTAAGCACAATTGGCATCGTTCCCGTGAATCCAGAGGCAAATCTGGGCGTATTTTAGGGGAGTGATGCGAACAGCAACGTTGTAGTCCTTCTGAACCCCGTGGACATCCACCCACTGGTGCCCTGAGTAGACCGCAATGATTTTGCGCTTCCAATTCTTTTTGTCTGGATCTTTCAGACGCAGATAGACCCCCGAACCGGTGGAGCCCGACTCAGCATCGCAGTATTGGTAAAGGAGATCATTGGATTCGTCGGACACACTGCAAAACCGATAGACCAACTGATCAGCCCTATCGTTATCAAATCCTGAGAAGTGGATCATTCCACCAGGCATTTTCTTGATCGTTGGGCTGATTCCAAGTTCCATGTATTTCTTTTTGTGAGCACGCTTCAGCTCCAGAAGAGCATAGTCATAGTCCAAGGTAGCGTCCCCCATGCCTCCTCGTGCCCAGCCCTTCGGAATGTGGGTATTCTTGACCCGGGTCCACTGAAAGGAAGGCCTCCCTTCGGCAATCCTCTGACCCCGGCCAGATTTTTTTCTTCTTCTCCCACCCTTCGCTCTCTCCCGCAGATGCTCTCTGGTACCCTCTCTTTGGTCACCACCACTAGCTTCTCTCCTGCTCCTCTTAGAACCTCGACGTTTCTTGCCTCCACTTTTATTCCTCATCTTCAACAACCCTACCCTTAGCTTTTTACTCCCTTTGACATAGTCCTTTCCATCATGAACACAGTGGGCAGCAGTTAGAACATGCTGAGGGGAAATGAGAATGCCACTACAGCCCGTGGAAAGCTTCACAGCTGTGCTGAAAGGGAAATTGGTTAAGAACCTTTTGTCCAAGATGCTGAACCTGCTGTCGGTGCCATACACCTGTCTCTTTCTCCTAACAGATACTCCCTTTGTGGTGATATTTTGAGTCGGCTCAAGAACCAAATCTTGAACTTTCACCCTGGTTAAGGTTCGGGTGCCATTCTCAAAGACAGTCTCATAGGAAAGATAATCCTCCAATTCAGAAAGGCTGGGAGTTGGGAGTTCTTTCTGGCATTCGATGCCACACACTGTATTTACCATCATCTTAGCATCTGCCTCAAATGCGGGGCTGGTGAGATGGAAAGTCCTTTCACTGACAATCCGGGGTACCTTTCTCAAGTGCCACATAAAATCCCATTCCATTTCAGATCCATCAATGAGGGTCCACCCAGGGGTGAAAAATATCAACCAAAGCAGCATATTTTCCATTTTGATCTTCTAATTTTGTCCTTAAAAATAGAAAAAGAGAGAGGTTTATAATGTTTCCTTTTTAAATCTTACTTATCCATTTCATTCAGCCCTTGGATCCTAAATGTACCTTCACCACAAAGAGGTGTCCTTATTTTCACCTTACCTAGATTTTATTGAGATTAGATAAACACTGGTAAGTGGGCTCACACAGACTTCCAAAATCAGTAAGTTGTTTTCCACCCAAACTTCCCTCCACCAGCCCTAATCCACCTCGCTCCCACCCCAACCTGTCATCTCCACCTCTATCTCCCCTAATAGCCTCGTGCCTGAGAGAGTAGAATACGGTAGTAGGTTGGAATCCTCTGTCGGCTAAGCCACACTCTCCTCCTTAGATATCCTACAACTTTTTATCCAGATGATTTAGAAATAAAGATAAAAGCAAATGTGCTGCAGTCTTTTCCCACACTTAGCTACTTAAAAATAGGGATCATAACTTCTCCATCTCTAGACTGTAACTGCCTAGCACAGAGCTCAAAAAACTGCTCATTGGATACAGTGAATGTCCATGAACCAGGATTCGCAGCCCAAACTGATGTGAAGGTGCAATGCAAATTCTTGGATAATGTTTTAAAGCAGTAAGAGTATTAGCAATAAATAAATTGCTAATTAATCTTCTATTGATCTGTTTTGATTTGTATAGAATGCCTGGTCATAAAAAGAAAATATATAGCACAGGCCATTTTATGCTAAAGTAAGAAAAATGTACCATGTATTTTTAAAAAACAAAGTTGTGCTTGAAACCACCCTCTAAGCAAAGCTCCATACAAAATGCCTTATGGTGGGACTTTACTGCATATTAAAATTATTTGTAAGAATTTATGAAGTACAGGCTGTTTGGGGGGGACATGAGAATGGTTAGATATAGTCCCTTTTCACCGTAGGTCTCACCATCTAAGACCAGTGTTCTTGTGTTATTTAAATATTGTTAAAGGTGCCAGTACATAATAAATTATATAATACCTCTCCTACTATTCACATCTTCTTGCCCTCTTTTTCTTTTCTTGAGGCTCACTGGCATGTACATGTATCTATTTAGTGGAACTGATATGTATCAGCCATCTTTGCTTGGAGGTGGGTATAGTAGGAGCATGCTGGAGCAGCAATTTTGAACCTCTGTGTCGCTAGTATTTGCCAACTATGCTCCAAGTCATTTTTAACTAATAGTTAAAATATCAAGACTTAAGCAAATGATTTGTACTTTGTATAAAGCAGAGGCAATGCAGCATTCGCTTATCCCTACAATACATTCATCCTCAATGCTTTCTGATAAGCTTTATTTTATTTATTTCTTTTTTGCATGGAAAAGAAAGCACATTAGCAATGGCCCACAGCCATTGTACCACAGGGTACACCCACAGGATGTGTGCACTGGCACAAAAGGGAAAAGTCAACCCTGATGCAAAGTTCAATATCGGTATCCCTTGATACAACAGAATTTATGTTGCCATATACAAATACAATAATTTTATTAACAAACTAAAACATTCTTTTGATGAAAAATGTATGCTACATTAACCTATTTATTGTTTAAATGTGATATATTAATGAAAACATAACATAATTAATTTGAACCATTATACATTTGGAAATATTAAGCAGGCCGGGTGTGGTAGCTCACACCTGTAATCCCAGCACTTTGGGAGGCTAAGATCGGAGGATTGCTTGAATACAGGAATTCAAGACCAGATTGGGCAACATACTGAGACCTCATCTCTACAAAAAAAACTTTTAAAAAATTAGTCAGGCATGGTGGCACACACCTGTAGTCCCAGCTACTCAGCAGGATCGCTTGAACCCAGGAGGTCAAGGCTGCAGTAAACCATGATCATGGCACTGAACTCCAGCCTGGGCAACAAAGTGAGACCCTGTCGAAGAGGAGAGGAGGGGGGGAGGTGAGGGAAGGGAAGGAGAAGGGAGGGGAGGGGAGGGGAGGAAATCTGCATTTACGTCACAATATTTTCTAATAGTCACCGCTGCAAAACAGTAATTATATCATCAAGGATTTTGTAGAGTAGAGCCACTTAGTATTTTATTTTGTCTTCTATGCAATTTTTCTCAATAGTATTTCATCAAGTTTATTTAATTAGAATGAAAAAGGCTCACAACTCAGTAACTCTACTGAGCGCTTGAAATTGTAGTTCCCAGGATGAAAATTTATGTCCTTGGCTGAAAAAAAAAGTGAAAATCAAAGAGTTATTTGCTGCTACTTAGCTTATCAACAAACCAAAATAGATAAAAATGATATATATCATTATGTATATTTTTAAATCTACTTGATTCTCAGCAAAATTTCAATCAAGGGAGTTGTTTTGGTGTGGGAAACTTTTTTCTTAATTGCTTTTTCATTTAGCTCTTTATGACAACAGCTGTCCACTGTGTACTTAATATATGATTACATCAAAGCTTGAAAGTCAGCCAAATATCCACGTCAAGAGACACAAAGTATCTCATTTGGTATATCTTAATGCTTGGTACTAATGATCTGAGGAGCAATACACTTGTGAAAGGCATTCCTGGGCAAAATAAAGGATGTCTAAATAGTGTTACTGTGATATTTTTTCCCCAGTTACGTTTATCCTGTGCCATAATTCTGTAGCCAGACTTTTAAGAAAGCCTCATCAGAGTTGAATTGTATTTAAGTATAATTTTATTTCTGGCTATGTAGATGACACTGGTTTATAAAGCTATTGTTCTAGTCAAAGGCCTTGGACAATACTTTGGAAATTTTCAATGCTATTTGAAACCTGGCTTGGTACAAAGCAATGATTTGACTTATCAAATGACAATACCAATGATATAGGCATGGTTTTCCTTCTCTGTGTTCACGTTCACATTCTCACAGCAGTTACGAACGGTGGTTGAGAGCCCATATCTTGGTTGCTCGCCAAAAGGAAACACCAGACCAGGGGTTCTCAAAGGACAGTCCCTACACTAGTAACTTCAGCATTACCTGGAAACTTGTTAAAAATGCTAATTCTCAGGGCCTGCCCCAGACCTACTGTTAGAAACTCTCCTGAAAGGGTGGTGGAGAGTGACTCCCAGCTAGGTTTAACCGGCCCTCCAGATGACTTTGACACTCAATAAAGGTTAAGAACCACTACAGTAGCCAAGGCTCTGGTGTAGCAACATGAGCCATACCCCAGAAGGTGGTCTTTCCAAGGATGATGGCTTACCCGGGTTTTAAATGACATCTGCTTCATCTCTGTGTACAAAATTAATTTATTCTGACTTTATGCTTTTACTATGTTAGCAACTGACAATATCAAATAACTCAGCCAATTAATAAAAAACAAACATAACTAACTTTTATTTTTATTTTTAATTATTTTTTGAGAGTCAGTCTGGCTCTGTCACCAAGCTGGAGTGCAGTGGTGTGAACTAGGATCACATAGTGATCCTATGTGCATCATATGTCTCAAAAAAGTGAAATTCATAAGGTTTATATGTAATGCCTCCAATATCTCATACTACAGATCATTCAATGGCAAAAGTGAAGTTCATAAGGTTTATATGTAATGCCTCCAATATCTCATACTACAGATCATTCAATGGCATTGGTTCACCAGCCCTGCCTGGTGCCCTTTGAGGGAGCTCTGTGCAGTGTACCACAGGAATAAAAACCATGCCCACGTCTACCCTTGGGTATGGGAAGGGCAGAGCTTTGTAATATGACCTCAGAATCACAGTAATAAGAGGACATGGATTTAGTTAGCCTAATTTGGCCTGTAATTTAAAATTGGGCAAATGTTTAAAGACACTTTCTTTTGGAAAATCTAAGTTTGTCTTGTGGTAAAATGTCAATGTGGCATAAATGATAGCTCTTACTGATAGAGCAATCCACAGTTTGTTCAGTGGAGACATCTACATATGCCCATTATCCAAAAAGGACTAACTCATTGATCTAAAAAGACACAGTCCCAGTTGAAGGGGCAGCTATAATATTTTGAAAGTCTAACATCCCTTGGCTTCCCCATCCCCCTCATTTTTCCTGTCTTCCAATATAACTGTGACCTTCACTGTCCATTTCCAGATGGCTTGCATTTGGGGCTT
This sequence comes from Homo sapiens, assembly GCF_000001405.40. Lineage (NCBI taxonomy): Eukaryota > Metazoa > Chordata > Mammalia > Primates > Hominidae > Homo > Homo sapiens. The sequence continues at coordinate 83,519,349 of NC_000006.12, read as the reverse complement.
CAAATTCCAATTTTGGTTAATGAAAGCAAAGTTGCAGTGATTGCTGCCCACCACTGTGAGTCAGCATACACACAGCTGATTATGGGCTGGATCCTGAAGACAGATTGAGTAGAAGGGAATTAAGGAAGAAGTAAGAATATCTGTGTATGTAGATGAACTCTTACTGATGGAAGAGATGTAATTACACATTTGTACCCAATCTATTAATAGAAGTGACCACACTTGACTACGAGATCACTTACTATTACCCTTTTGTTATTTGTTTATAGTTTCTTAGAAATGTGATTGCTGACAGCGTTGAGAATATTTGTGTATCTGTACCAGCATAGTGGTTATGAGTGCAGACCAAGGAGTGGGAAGGCTTGGGTTCAATTCCCTTTTCACCACTTATGAGGCATGTGCATGTGGGCAGTTCATTAACTCTCCAAGTTTCACTTTCCTCATCTGCAAAGTGGGGATAATATTATAGTAATTTCGACTTCATAACATTGTTATGGAGATTAAATGAGATGATACACGCAAAGAATTACTACTGAGCCCAGAGGATAGTAAGTAGTTAACACATGTTATTTTATAATTATTATCCTACCTTAATTGGTGAATTTGTATCACTTCAAAACAGGTTGTTATATAAGCCAAAATTAGAGATCTTGTAGTTTTCTAAAAAGTCAGTTTTACAGTCAAATATTTTTATTTCAAGATAGTTTCCAACTCACTCTAAAATTCGCTTTTTCTTTGTTTTGTTTTTCGTTCAAGGACAGCTTCACTTTAGAGACTTCCCAAATGAATGCTTTCCTAATTACTCATTTCTATGAATATCCATGGCTCTGTAATATATTTTTCTCATTGCTATTAAACTTAAGTGTGATTAAACACTATGCAGCCACAAAACACTTAAATTGCATTTTCTGTGTCTTATTTATAGCCTGGATCTACACTGGGAATTTTGGAACTGCATCAGACCCTCAGCCTAAAAAGAAACAGAGTCTATGTCAACATAATTACTCTAAGGGAGTGATCTACAATGAAAAAAAAACAACTTTTTGAGTGAGTCTATCTAGAGTATATAGAATCCTATGATGAAATGACATTATACCTTAAGGCTCAGTTTCTCTTTTGTGTTTTGTTTTTTACCCTAGAAGTTTATAGTCTAGCTTAGATAGAGCAGACAAACTAATGAAAGATTAGATGGCTGCCCACTATATTAATATTTCAAATCAATTATTTTTCCTGTCTATGAGAAAGCAAAGATGCTGACTTACCATTGAAGGACCTGCATTGAATTGCTTTCCCTCACTAGGTGACAGATTCACAATTACTTATGCCTTTCTTTTCACCTGGTTCCTTGTAATGTCTAGTGAGGTACTTGTCCATATTTATGTACATAGCATGTTGCCATGGGACACAACTTTGCATTGATCCATCAAACAGTTCCTGGGAGGCTGCTGTGGGTCAGGAATTACTCAGTCATATCAATGACCCCATAGGGCCAACACCACCCTCTACTTTAGTGTGTATGTTAGTACACACCAATGATTGCATGACCACCTTTTAAAACTTGGCTGTCCTCTATTTAGCCATCTGCAATCCCAACCACCTGTGCTTCCTAACACCACTGGCTCTGTTTACATGCATACCTAAATGTGAAGACATGCCCTCATTTCCTCCTCTACTTTCATCCTCCACCTACTCAGGATTGACACACAACAGGGAGACACTGGGGCCTGGCCAGATGATTCTGAATAACTGCAGAGAGAAATGGCTTAGGCAAAAGGCCACAGCAGGAGAGGGGGAGAATTACAAGTGACATAAACAGGAATAAAGCAAGCACTAAAGAAAGCGGTGATGTTTTGGATGACAATTGTAAAAACTTTCATAGTCAGTTTTATTTGGGGGAACAGATGCTGAGGAGAGGGGGTATCTTATGAAAACTAATTCCTGATCCACTGAGGCGCTCCCTGACAGCAGCACTACATGGAGGTAACATTTAATTTAGAGAGTGTATGAGAAAATAACAGTGTCTGTAACGTAATAAAAAAGGGGAGTAAGAACTAGGGTGTTTCAATGATTATGGGGGCAGTGGGCTTTGAAGCCAAATCAACCTTAAGTACACTTGCCACTTGTTACACTGTGATCTTGTGAAGGTTACCTAATCTCTCTAGACATTATTTCCCACATTTATTAGATAGAGATAATATTTGAGAATATTTTTGTGAGAAACTAATATGATAAGCACAATGCCCAGAGCACAGTAAGCACTCCACAAAGATTAAAGCCAATGTTTTTCATATCAAACAGGGGGAGCCAACACTCAGGTAGATATTTACAAGGTATTTCATACATCTCTAACTGCCTCATTGTGGTATGCCAAATATCCTCATCCCCAGGACCTGTGAATATTTCCCACACACAAGAAAAGAGACTTTACAAATACGATTACATTAAGGATTTTAAGGTGAAGTGGTTATTCTGGGTTATCCAGGTGGGTCCAATGCAATCATAGGGGCTCATATAAGAAGGAGGCAGACGGGTTAAGAGTGGGAAGAGCTGATAGATGTAAGCGGAGGCCAGAGCAATGCAGGATCATGAGCTGAGGAATATGAGTGGCCTCTAGATGCTGAAAAAGGTAAGGAAAATTATTTCCTAGAACTTCCAGAAGGAGGAACATAAATGAAAATGTGTTGTTTTAAGAAAAATATGAAGAAATATAATTTAAAACTAAAAACAGAAGATCACAATACAACTTCAGATTTCTTTTTTTTTTTTTTTTTTTTGAGACGCAGTCTCTCTCAGTCGCCCAGGCTAGAGTGCAATGGCGTGATCTCGGCTCACTGCAAGCTCCGCCTCCCAGGTTCACGCCATTCTTCAGCCTCAGCCTCCCCAGTAGCTGGGACTACAGGCGCCCGCCACCATGCCCGGCTAATTTTTTTTGTATTTTTAGTAGAGATGGGGTGTCACCGTGTTGGCCAGGATGGTCTCGATCTCCTGACCTCGTGATCCGCCCATCTCGGCCTCCCAAAGTGCTGGGATTACAGGCGTGAGCCACCGTGCCCAGCCAAAACTTTAGATTTCTGATCTCCAGATGCATAAGATAATAAATTTGTGTTGTTTTAAACCACTGAGTTTTCGGTAATTTGTTACAGCAGCAGTAGGAAACTGCTACACTTACAAAGGTGAGAATCGAGTTTTTACAACAGTCTGCCTGACTGTTTAGAAAGAAAGTAGTAGTAGGGAGTGGCGGAGGCTGTGGCTCACACCTGTAATCCCAGCAGTTTGGGAGGCCTAGGTGGGCGGATCACTTGAGGTGAGGAGTTCCAGACCAGCCTGGCCAACGTGGTGAAACCCCGTCTCTGCTAAAAATACAAAAATTAGCCAGGCATGCTGTTGTGTACCTGTAATCCCAGCTACTGGGGAGGCTGAGGCAGGAGAATCCCCTGAACCGGGAGGCAGAGGTTGCAGTGAGGTGAGATCACGCCATTGCACTCCAGCCTGGGCAACAGAGCGAGACTCCGTCAAAAAAAAGAAAAGAGAAGTAGTAGTAGTAGGGAGTGATTAAAAAGTAGAAAAGGGCCGGGCGCGGTGCCTCACACCTGTAATCCTAGCACTTTGGGAGGCTGGGATGGGAGGATCACTTGAGTCCAGGAGTTTGAGAGTAGCCTGGGCAACATAGGGAGACCCTGTCTCTACAAGTGTGGTGGCGCATGCCTGTGGTCCCAGCTACTCTGGGCTGAGTTGGGAGGATCACCTAAGCTGGGAGGTGGACGCTGCAGTGAGCTGTGATTGTGTCACTACACTCCAGCCTGGACAACTAGAATGAGACAGGGCAACCCTGTCTCAAAGCAAACAAACAAAAACAGTAGAAAAGAATGTTTCCTTCTGGGACTTAAAATATAAATGAAAATGTGTTATTTTAAGAAATAATATACAGAAATGCAATTTTAAAACTAAAAACAGAAGATCACGATAAAACTTCATAGTGGTAGGATGCAATATTGCTAGAGGAAAAACAAGAATTAGAACAGGATAGATAAATTTGTCTATTCAACAAATGCATACCACCTGCTAACTCCGCCATGCATTTCGAAGCCTTTATTTTAAAGAATCTCTCTGATAGTCCTTAACTGTTGAGTTGGACTAGAACATTTCTAAGATTTCTTCCAGCTTTAAAGTTCTAGAGTAAACCACAAATGAGAAAACACAAGTAATTTACTCATCAATGCTTCTCAGGAAGGTTCAATTCCTAGTCATCCAGGGAAGAACTTGCCTGTTATCCATGTTGCTACCACTAGATGGCAAAATTAGCCTGGTGATGGCAAATCTAACGCAGGTATTTAAAATGTTTACACTTACTCAGCTGTGAAATAGATTTTATTTTAAAAGCATGTAAGATTCAGCAGGGGCAAAACTTTTAACTGGCTAATAATATACTAAATGGCTGTGACATAGGGAGACATATGAAATTTATTATATTTAGAAAACCCACCTACCTACAGGCCACAGAGCCCATCCTGATGAACTGAGGGCTGATAATGCTGTCTACAGTCAGACAATTTTCTGGCAGATAGTTTTTCAAAAACAGTTGTAGTGCCAGCACACTTCCAGCATGACCTACAGCACTGTTAACTAGTCCCCCAAATGTGCCACAATTTATTTCAATGCTAAGGAAAATCTTGAACCTGCCAAATATTTCACGTTTATCAAATACTTTATAATCCATTACTAAAGGATAAGCTCTCCACTGATTCTAGGCTGAGAATAAATGGCAAGAAAGTTCATTGACAGTGGGCCAATTTCTATTCAAAATATCATACCATAGCACTATTTTCAAGTTTAGTTTCATAAATGGAGACCAAAAAAATGTCTGCTTAAAAAGTTTGGCAGTACTTGAGGGAAAGGAAGATGGTAAAGTTACACAGTTGATTATTTTACAGTAACCCACAACTTCTGTTTCTCATCACAATAAAAAACAAAACCTCCCTTTGTTTGGGGGCTATTTTTCCATGACCTGTACATCTCAATTTGTGCAATCCTATGGATAAATCAAATTTTGGGTGAATGACATTAAAGGAACCCCAAGAGGACTCTTTCATATGCTGCCTTATGAAGTGCACAGCATATAGCTCTAGACTTATCTGTATTTTTCAAGTTGGCCTTTGAGAGCAAAGAATATCTATAAATAGGTATGCTACTTTTCAGGTTTTAAAGCATCTATGGTCACAATGTTTTTAGCTAACCCACATCAGTTTTACCTATACGAAGCTTAACGTTTTTTAGTTATAAAATAATAGCTTGCATACTACTAACTTAACTTTACTGTTTCCTAACCTCTCCATCTCAGATTTCTCATCTGCAAAGTTACCTCAGTGCTAAGGTAAAGTAGCTCTATCCTCCCAAATTCTGAGTCTGATCCTACTGTTAAAATGCAATATGCTTGTTTGATATTTGAGCATTGGGCAGAGGAAAATCATTTACCCAATGGAGAAAATTAACTCACACTAGCAATTGCTTATTTTAACATCTAATGAACACATACTGTATGCCAAGTATATGCTAAACAGTCTCACATTTTAAAACGTGAAAAAGCTTCTTAAAAGCATGCAGTTTTCCCAGCTATCTGGAAGAAAAATGGGGTACAGTATCCACATCTACCACTTCCCTCACTAAAGGAACTCCTCTAATATTTCCTAATAAAAATAAAATTCCATATGATACTTGGCCTCTACCTTCAAGCCTACATGTCTTATTTGGCAGGGATTTTAACATTCTCTCTTCTAAATTATAAACCAGATTCTAAGTATAATTCTCCAGCCAGCAAAATATGACTTTTATAATCCTCTGTGGAGACAAATGTACTTCGGATAAAATAAGAATGAATTTCAGAAGTCAGAAGGGTTAATAAGGGGTGAAAGCCCCCTAGACACAGCAAGCAGCTTCTTTTCAAATCAAGGACAGTGTAAAAATGTCAGAGCAATCAAGCGGGAGTGTTTCTACAACTTTTTAAAAAACCTTTTATTATAGAAAATTTCAAGACTACACAAAAGCACAGAGAAAAGTATTAAGTTGAGAGAAAAGTACAACCCCCATGTGCACATCACCAGCTTCAACTATTGTCAATATTTTGCCAATGTTTCATCCACCATCACCACCCCACACACTTTTTTTTTTCAGCTAGAGTATTTCAAAGCAAGTCAAAAGCTTTTCTACTTCATTTCGCCGCCTCATTTTCTAAACGTTTTCCTATGCTCCTTTTGCTGACCTCCGCAGCCAAGTTGATAAAAGGGTAGAGGGGAGAGGCTAGCTTTCATAGTAACCCCGCCAAAGAGACTTTTCAGGAATGCGTTTCATACCTTTCTCAATGGCATCTGTTAACAATCATAAAAATAAAGAGGGTCCCCTCTGGTACTGCTTAAGCAGAAAGAATTCCATTTATATTCCAATGCAAACATTGTTGTCGTTAATATTAAACTGTGCAGAGGCCGGCACACAGAATTGCCTATGGGAAGGGTGGTTAGTTTCTTTGAGGACTGAAAGAAAGTGTCAAGTTTGATCCCTTTCTTCAAAGTCCTTCAAAGAAGCTCTCCTCGGGTAGGTCCTGCCTTTCTCAGGGAAATTTCTAAGTTCTAAGGTTGTTGGGTTTGGGGAGCTTCATCTTTACCTGCCAGGCTTGTTTGGTCCCCGAGGGCACTGTCAGCTGAGATCAGAGCTCCCGAGGAGGCGGGCGGGGACGCTGCAGCTGGGAGCCTCTCAGCCAGCCTGAGCCGGAGGCCGCCCCGCCAAGGCCGGGCCACAGCACCCAGAGCTCGCCACTGAGACTGCGGAGGGGGAGAGAGCTGCGCCGCACCACGGCCGGGAGATGGGAGGGGAAAGGGGGCGATGACGAGGGGCGGGCGCGGTGGGATGGAGTGGGGGGAGGGGAGGAGGAGGAGGTGGGCAAGAGGAGACGGAGAGGGAGGGCGGAGAGGGGAGTTCCCTGGAGGAACGGGGCGGACCTGGCCGTGTCTCACCCCAGCATTTCTGCCCCCAAGCTGAATTAAGCATTAGGAAAAATTCATGAGTAGGTTCACAGGGGATGCCTGTCCCTGTAATAGTATGCACTCCTTTAACAGTCTCAGGAGTTGTTCAGTTAAGAGTCTCATTCCTCACTGCTTGCTGTTGAGACCCCAGGCATCTAGAAGAACGGAGGGCGTCTCCCCAACCTTATCCCAAGCTAGTCTCCACCGGGGACCTAGCTTCTCTGGATGCACAAGCCTCAGGGTTACCCCGACTTGTACCAGGCGCCCAGGCTGCACACGAGGATGGGGACCTCAGGCTGGGACGCCTGGACCCCCGGGAGCATCCTGCGCTGCCTCCAGGGGGAGCGCGTCAGTTTCCGTCTGCAGGGAAAAGGCTGGTTTTCCTCTTTGGGCGAGTAACCTTTAAGGTCCTTTCCCATCTCAGTCCCACCAGCATTCTAACCTCATCCGTTCTCTCGACCTTTTATTCTCCTTTAGGAGAGGGGTGGGGGCCACATGAGAAAGGAAGCTTCATTTGTTTAACAACAAATTCTAGTGGGTGACAGGTCTGGGGCAAGATGAACTGATACAACGAGAGAATACATAAACAAAAACAAAAACAAAAACAAAAAAACTCGGTCCTGGCCCTAAAGCAGGGAGATCGAGTAAGTGCACAAGTACTTACAACACAAGGTCTTAGCATGTCTTGTAACACTTGGTTCGTTAGTAGGTTATTGCGTATCTCAAGTTCTGTGTACTTTTAATGAGATTATAACATACTTAGCATTGTCCCTCGTTATACTCAACGGACTAGTTCCAGGCCCTCTTCCCCTCCGCCCCCCCATACTAAAATCATCCCATATTCAAGTCCAAGTCCAGCTGTGGGCCCTGGGGAACCCGCGTATAGGAAAAGTCTGCCCTCTGTTTAAGCATTTCTGCCTGAAAATACTGTTTTCTATCCGCTTTTGGGTGAAAAAAAAAATCTGTGTATAAGTGGACCTGTGCAGTTCAAATATGTGTCCAAGGGCCAACTATATATACAATTTCATTGCTGTTTTCTCATTTAGCATTGTTAACATAAGCATTTACCCATATATTAAAATCTATTGGTAATTTTTACCAGTTAGAATTAGTTCTGAAGCTCTCTGTCACCAATTAGATCATAATAGTCATATGCATCTTTGAATCACCACCATCTACCACAGGGCCTGGCATATAGTAGCTGCTGCATTAGACGTGGAACTAAAAAGTTTGCTAGTCAGATGGAGTGTGGAGAAGTCACAGAGAAAGTCCAGAACTCAGAATGGGAATTCCGCCTGACACTAAATAGCTGTGTGCCCTGGGCCTCCGCTTTTTCATCTGTAAATTGAGATGGTTGAGCTGGAGGAGTTCCAAGGCCTGCAGCTCTCAAACATTTTTGGGATTCTAACACTGTATAAATCCAGAAGGATTCACTGTGGACCCAGGTCTGCTTCCTTCACTTTATTCAGCATTCTCCACTAGCATCACAGAAAGCAAACTTCCAGGGCTCTTTCATTTTCATGCCCCCCTTCTTGAGCCTTTGACCCCAAGCCCTTTTGTACCCTATTTCTGGATCTATTCCAGGTTGTCTTATCATTAATTTGACTGTTTTCAAAATTTATCGCTTTACTTCATCTGGTCCTGATGCTTCGTATTTACTATTTCTCTAGTTCTAGGTTTCTGGCTTCTTATTTTTAAAAAATTTTAATTCATTAAATTTTTAGAGACAGGGTTTTTAAATTATCACTCTGTCACCCAGGCTGGAGTGCAGTGGCAGGATCATAGCTGACTGCAGCTTCAAATTCTGGGCTCAAGCAATCCTCCCACCTCCACCTCCCAGGTACACAGGCACATGCCATCTCACCCAGCTTTTTAAATAATTTCTTTTGTGGAAGCAGGGTCTTGCTATGGTGCCTAGGCTGGTCTTGATGTCCTGGCCTCAAGTGATCCTCCTGCCTCAGCCTCTCAAAGTGCTGTGATTACAGAAGTGAGCCGCCGTGACTGGCCAGAATTCTGGCTTCTCTTAAGCAGGATTTCCTCTCCTGGCCTAGTCCAGCCCCTCAGGTATTCTATAGCAAAGTATGAGCAGTTCAGAAACCATACCAAACTAGATTGTCAACCCATCAAATTCCTCATTCTGGACTTGTAATGATGGTCCTATAATTTTCCAATGCTTCTCAACCAGCTTTCCACATGGGAATGCAAACTTTGGATAATATAACTCTTACCATTTTAGGAAATAATGCATTATAGGAAATGTTATCAGTTAAAAAAAATAAACTCATAACAAAGTTTCCAGCCATGTCTCCCCAAGGTCCTAGACTTTATCTTCAATTATTGTGACTATTGTGACCAAAGACTTTATCAAATTACTTTTAATACAACCCAAATTCTTGGTTAATGCACCAACAAAACTGATAACTATCTGTCCTTTGTGAGGTCCCCAGCTTAATGGAGGCATTTGTATGCTTCTCCAGAAATGGAACCAAGAGGCCCAGAACACATCTTCTGTCACATTTCAGGTCACGAGGGGTGCAGTGGCCTCTCTAGAAGAGAAGCCATGACCACTGTCAGGCCTGGCTATGATTAAGGCTATACTACTTAGCTTTTTTTTCTGGACTTGCTTTCCCAAGAGGCTGAGACCAGAATAGAATAAATCTCTATCCAAGACTAAATCTTACTTATCATGGAAATGTACTTGGAAAGTTTTAGCTGTGGAAAGACAGGAAGAGGAGATGTTTCATGGTCCATGGTGAAGGTCTAACTGATGACTCAACCTTGTAAAGGGACCTGAATTGCTTTGGCTGTAATCTTCCTGTTAACTTTTAATCCCAAGGTTTTATCAAAACCCTCTTTATTATTTATTAGGTTGTATGGTTGTGCCTGTTTAAAAACCTAGGGGTCCCTTAGTTAAGGCAGACTGAGAAAATTAAGCAGATGTAATAAGAAAAAAAGATAAGGTAGCATTTGTCCTCAAAGTAGATATACTGTGATAGAAGCCACCTATGATCTGCTAATTTGAGGAACAGTTGCTGGTGCTCCACAAACCTGCAAAACCATTGGCTTTCTCTATCTTTCTGGGTGGCCCAAGGAAATGCAATGATGTGTTCCCCCAAAAATCTGAAAGTTGGGTCCCTCAGTGCAGCCCCTCCTCCATTGGGTCATGTTCTTTCTGATAGGCAGTGTTGATCTCTCTACTGCCTTTGCGCCAGCACTGGTCCTGGGTACTTGCCACACTGTTTCGGAATTATTTTTTTCCATGTCTGCCTCCCAAATAGGACAGCCTCAAGGACAGCAAAACTTTTATATATCCAGCACTAAGTACAGTACCTGCAACTTAGATGTTTAACAAATGTTAACTGAGAAAATCAAATGGACCAGAATCAAGACATTCTACCACTCTCATCTGTAGTTTAGACACAATAGAGTGAATTATGAGAGGAAACCAGAGTTCTTACAGAAACCAGAGACTTAACCTAGAAGCATCATAAATAAGTATAAATTAAAAATCTGAAGAGGACACGAACTCCGGGAAATGCAGCCAGGACTAAAGCACTGGGCCCCAACCACAAAGTCTCCCAGAGACAGGATTTCATGAGACATTGCCAGAGGAGAGAGACTCTTGTAAAGTTTAATTCATAGGCCTGTAAATTAAGGCTAATGGATCAGAGTCATTCATATTCCAAGTTTGAAAATTTATGATAGCTTTTTGTTTTATTTTTTATTATTACATGTTTTCTTGGCTCTGGAAATGATGATTAAATTACTAGATGACATGAATAAGCCTTCAATAAAGAGCTTTATCAAAGTCAAAATATCCTGGGCAAACTACCTATTTAATCACATACCCAGTCAAGAAGAATGAAGGCTATTCCTCCTCCTTCTACATGGCCTCTGAATATGGAACTGAACCCACTATGGATAAGAACAGTGTACTCAATGGAAATATATCTGGGATTAGGAAACTAAGGTTTAAACCTGAACACTGCCGCTTATTAGCCATGTGATTTGGGCCAAGCCACTTAACCTCTGGGAGTCCCTATTCCCTCATTTGAAAAGTTAGCATGATAAAAGTTGTCTGGAAGAGTGGTTATGAAGGGCAAATGTAAGAATGTATGTGGACACCCTTAGCTGTGACCGGGCACATAAGTGCTCAATAAGGAGAGCCAGGAATTGGCCCCAGGAGCAGAGTCTAGTACGTGACATATGACTGGTTTTTGTGCTTCCACGTGACTCCGAGGAAAGGCAAGAGACCACAGTACCTCTAATGTCAGCTTCTCTCTGTTATACTCTCCCTTCCCTTTTTTTTTTTCTTTTTTGACATGGAATCTTGCTCTATCACCCAGGCTGGAGTGCAGTGGTGTAGTCTTGGCTCACTGCAACCTCTGCCTCCCAGGCTCAAGCGATTCTCCCGCCCTGCCTCAGCCTCCCGAGTAGCTGGGACTACAGGTGTATGCCACCATGCCCAGCTTATTTTTGTATTTTTAGTAGAGATGGGGTTTCACCATATTGGCTAGGCTGGTCTCGAACTCCTGACCTCAAGTGATCTGCCTGCCTCGGCCTCCCAAAGTGCTGGGATTACAGGTGTGAGCCACTGCGCCCAGCTCCTTCTCTTTCTTATAATGCCCCAAGACTCTCACTAGATCCAGAGACGAAGTATCCATTAAATCAAATACACTTCATCACATTTAGGTAACCTCCTAGAGGATGAATAAACAGGACAGGATCATCAATGAAGAGATGATAGATGTGGAGAACAATGAGAGATGGGAATAACTCACAGGCTGAGTCACATTTTATCCTGAAGGACAAACATTTCAGATTGCAGATGTTTTGGTGTGGCCAGAAAATTTGAAGATTTTCATTAAAAATTTGATTTCTAGGTTTCTGTGTGTGTGAGAGAGAGAAATTAGACCATCGGGCAAGTCTGGTCCACATTCCCTCATGGCAGTAGTCAGCTGAAGCTAAGTAGGAGCTAACAGTTTAGATGGAACAGGCCCGCTTGAGGTCGGCAGGTGTCACCACTCGTTGTTGCCTCCATATGCTGTCAGTATTGGTTTCCATTTGCCATCTCCAATGCATGATTGTTTCTTTTACTCCTAGCCAACTGCACAAACTACATGTGTGGGGGCTACCAGAAAATATAAGGATCATTTGCATATCAAAAAGGGAATCCTGGAAGCAGAAGGAATTGTTGGGAGAGAGAGAGAAATTTTTTAAACTTAGAGTGGAAAGAACAGCTAAGACACTGTTACAGTAGTTCAAGCTAGATATTATGAAGCTTCAAACCAGGCAGTAGCCATGGAGGTGGAGATGGGGAGAGAGCAGATTCCAAAGATGTCACAGGATTCAAATTGAGTGAGCTGGTGACTGAACATAAGGAGTGAGGGAAAGGGAGGATTTCAGGGCTCAAAATAAATCAAGGCTATGTACAGGGATACTTATTGCAATCATTTTTGTGTAATAGCAGAAAAGAAGAAATAAAGTGAATGCTCATAAAAGGAAAATAGTTGAATACACTATGGTATATCCGTACTCTGGGATATTATGTTGCTATTATCAAGAATAAATCAGGACCAAACCAGCTGCATTGTAGGCATTTCCTTAGTGTAGTTAAGTGAAATGCACTGAGGAACATATATAAGATGGCCCCATTCATAGAAAAGCAACAACCAAAGAACTTACATATGTATCTATATGTAGATATGTATACATAAATGCATATGTGTGATTATGATTATATGAATAAAGGAGAAGGTATGGAAAATATACTGTATTTTAGAATGTGGGGGTAAGCGGAGGAGGAAAGAACTAAGGAGAAAGCAAAAAATCTGTATTAAAAAAAGTCATCTTGAGCTTTCAAAGAATGTATATGACCGTTTTATCAAATTGCATTATGTGTATATAACCATAAAAAACACGCATGAGATTGTCATACGGAGCTTGAGGGACTCCAACTTATTTTATTTTCTTATTATAGATTGTTTATAAAATTGGCATAAAACTCCTACAATATGTGAACCTAAAGAGGCTTTTAAAAATTAAGTTTAGGGTCAGGCGCAGTGGCTCACACCTGTAATCCCAGCACTTTGGGAGGCTGAGGTGGAAGGATCACTTGAGCCTAGGAGTTCGAGGCAACAGCTTGAGCAACAAAATGAACCCTTGTCTCTACAAATAATAAAACATTAGCTGAGCATGGTGGCATGTGGCTGTAGTCCCAGCTACTCAGGAGACTGAGGGAGGAAGATTGCTAGAGCTGGGGAGTTTGAGGCTGCAGAGAGCTAGGATCATACCACTGCAATCCAGCCCAGAGCAAGATGCTGTCTCAAAAAGAAAAAATTAAGCTTATTAATTTTTTAAAAACCACAATAAATTTATTTTAACATAGACAAACACAAATCAAGGTATATTTTTTTCAGCCATTTCAACATTCCTCTCACATTAGGTCTAAATCCTGCTTCGGCTATTTACCAGCTGGGTAAATTCAGGCAATTGGCTTAATCTCCCTCAGCCTGATTTTCCTTATTTGAAAAATTGGAATGATAATCTCAATCCTGAAAGGTGCTGTTAGGATCAAATAGAAGAATATCTAAAGTATTATAGCTCTTATTATGAGAGCCCATAGTAGGCTCTCAATAAATGGCAGCTACATTTCAAAATCACTCTCTACCCCTGCTCGTGGTGTCACAAGGGTGACGTGATTGATGATTTCAGCCATGGCCTACAGTCCCTCCCTAACATCCACTGAAACTTCTTGTTTCAGTTCCAGGGATAATGGTCCCTTCCCCTTTTGTCTCAACTTTGGTCAGTTACTTGAGGCCTGGGAATTAATTCTGGTCTGCTGCCCAGTGAGCAAGCAGCAGGGCTCACACAGCTTTTTCCTCATCCGATTTTAGCTGATCTCACTTCATAGTTTAAAACTTAACCATCGAATTCAAATTCAAACCTCCTAGCCACATTTAATTTGACAAATAAAAGCCCTTATTTCTGTAAGTTTTTTTGTTTTTATTTGTTGGTTTGTGTAGCAAGTTTTGCCCAAAATATAAAGGAAAGGATTAAATAAATGCAGGGTTTTGATGTGATAGCATTACTAAGAGCTAGCTAACTAGCTAATGTATTTACAGAGTCACTGCTCCCTCCCTGCCCCACAAATATAATGGAAACTACTTGAACTTTTGACACAAATATGGTCAAATCACTTCAACGGAACTAAAATCACCTTATATTTGCATATTTGTTTAGTGTCTGCACTCCCGAGAAAGAGATACTAAGACATTTCCGATAAAGCTGTACTATGTTGGCACTGAAATTGCCTAGAGTATTTTATTCTTAGCCAAGAAATTCCACATAGGACTAGATAAAACAGAATCATTTGATTTATTTCTAAATATATCACCGATACTGGGAAGATGTATAAATGCATTTACAAACGTAAATCCAAATCACTTGAAATTTTCCCTCAAAGACTGGCTCATGGAGCACAGAACATTAAAACTCTAGTCTGTCCTAGCCCAAAGCTTTTCAAAACAAGTATCAGAGAGCTGGACTTTGGGTATTTCTTGAATTGAATGGAATATTTTATTTGTGTAAGAGTTTCTGAATAGAGTTTGCTTTTTGTGTGTGTCTCTAAATTACACTTTAACCTTCTTCAAAAGGCAGAGCATTTTGAACACTGTAGAAAACAAACCTTCAGATGTGGCCACTTACAGGAAAAATTCTATTCAATTTGGTTTACCACGATTAGTAGACAGTAATCAACATTTACTGTGTATAATGCTTGAGGCATTGACATTTTGGATAATGCCAATTCTGCATAATTTTTTATTGTAAGTAGCTGTCCTGTGCAGTGTAGGATGTTTGGCAGCATCCCTTGCCTCTACACACTAGTTACCAATAGTTCATCTTTGCACCATGCCTCACTGCCCAGCTGTTTACAATAAAAAATGTCTCCAGACACCACCAACTATCCCTTGAGAGGTAAAATCGCCTCTGGTTGAGTACCACTCACTGTCCCAGACACTTTTACACGGGTCATTTTAATAACTCTTCATAACAGAGTCTATAAGAGTTTAGGTAATTTTCCCAAGGCCACATACTGGTGAGTGAGTGGGTTCCTGGGATTCAAATTCCAGTTGGTGTAATTCCACAGCTGTACTTCTTTTAGAAATCACGCTGGAAAAAAAAAAAAAAGAGAGAAGAAGGTGAGAAAGCCAACTTAGACTCAACATTTCTTAAAACAAATTTTATTCTGAGTGCCTGAGTGCTATTCCTTCCCAATACTTTTCCATATTCTCCAACACCATCCTTGTCCCCAACATGTGCTTATAGCTGCCACCAGCTCCCAGCCCTTCCCTCCAACAAATACGCTATTTTCCCAGAGACATCAAAGCTATCTGATGTGAATAGTTTAAGCATTTTTGCCTTCTTCTCACAATTATTCTGGCACCCAAGCCATCCTTTACTATCCTTCTTTCTAAGCCGAACCCCTCTCTGTGTGACCTTGATTATCCCCCTCTCCTTTCCCTCTGACTTTTCTTCATGAATTATCCCCATTGCAAAGTATCCCTATTACAAAGCTTCAATTCTTCCCTAAGCCTGAGAACATGCTTATCCCACTGCGATGGTTAATTTTATGTGTCAACTTGGCTAGGCAATAGTACCCAGCTATTTGGTCAAACATTATTCTAGATATTCCTGTGAAGGTATTTTTTATATGGAATTAACATTTAAATCAGCAGACTTTGAGTAAAGCAGGTAACCCTTCCTGATGTGGGTGGGCCTCATCAAATCAGTTGGATAACTTAATAGAAAAAAGGCTGACCTTCTGTAAGTAACAGAAATTCTGCCAGCAGACTGCCTTTGGACTTAAGCTGCTTCTCTTCCCTGAGTCTCCAGCCTGCTCGCCTAGCCTGCCGATTTTGGACTTGCCAGCCTCCACAATTGCATAAGTCAATTCCTAAAAATAAATTTCTCTATACTGTATCTACATCCTATTGGTTCATTTACTCTGCAGAGTCCTCACTAAGAAACCTTTCCCCTGAAGCTGCTTTGCATCTAAGCTCAAATGTTCTCCACAAAGTCAGTTCAAGTAACCTCACTCCTTCCTCTGCTGGTGTTGCTCTTATAGCCATCATAGGTGATGTTTGAAAAGTTGGGAATTCTGCACGGTGAGGACAGGTGTATTAGTCCGTTTTCATGCTGCTGATAAAGACATACCTGATAAAGACACTGGGTAATTTATAAAGAAAAAGAGGTTTAGTGGACTCACCGTTCCACGTGGCTGGGGAGGCCTCACAATCATGGCAGAAGGTGAAAGGCACATCTTACATGGCAGCAGGCAAGAGAGAGAATAAAAACCAAGGAAAGGGGAAACCCCTTATAAAAACATCAGGTCTCATGAGACTTGTTCACTACCACAAGAACAGGATGGGGGTAACCACCCCTATGATTCAATTATCTCCACCTAGTCTCTCCTACAACACATGGGAATTATGGAAACTACAATTCAAGATGAGATTTGGGTGGGGACACAGCCAAACTATAGCAACAAGACCTTCTTTATTTCATTTTTACATTTCCCACAGTAGCACAATAACTTGAGCATAGTAAATAATTAAAGTTACTCATTTGAAAAGTCAAATTATTCTTAAATGATGTTGAAAATAATTGAAACTGAGAAAAATGCAACAATAAACATTACCTTTGATATTTCTGGATGTAGATATTTATGAAATTTTCTTATTAAAAACATCTGTTCTGAGAAATGTAATCCTCTTTTCTCAAACATTTACAAAAAATGTTTTCTGGAGTTGCAGTAAAAGAATGATGCAAATGCAGAAACCTATAGCTTATGTTTACAGAACTTCAAGATCAGAGGAGGAATCATTTGCCAAATTCACATGGTGATGACCAGACAGGGTGAGTGGCAGATTTTTTTTTACTTGCCTTCCACTTCTCCCTATAATGCCAAGTATGTTCATAAAAAATTAGAACATTAGGGGGAAAATTGAATTAATTATGTATTTAACTAGGTTTTTTTTTTTAAGTAAATAAGAAAGAAAAAGCAATAGGGTTCAGAGAAGGAGAATTTCTGATGTTAGAGAAAAACAGTTATATTGGGTGGAATTTTGAGCATTAGCCTCTTAACCAGAAAGTGAGTTTTAAAATAGAAACATATTCATAGAGAATTATAGGCGCTTTTAAAAAATTCAGTGGGATTTACCACTCTTTTTTTTTTTAAGATAGCATCTTGCTCTGTCACCCCAACTGTAGAGCAGTGGTGCAATCATGGCTCACTGCAATCTTGACTTCCTGGATTCAAAAAATCCTCCGACCTCAGCCTCCCAAGTAGCTGGAACCACAAGCAGGCACCATTGTGCCTGGCTAACTTTTTAGTTTGTGTAGAGATGAGGTCTCACTATGTGGCTCAGGTTAGTATCAAACCCTGGTCTCAAATAATCTCCCTACCTCGGCCTCCCAAAGTGCTGGAATTCAGACATGATCCACTGTGCTTGGCCTTGCTGATTTATTTTATTTATTTATTTATTTTTATTATACTTTAATTTCGAGGGTACATGTGTACAATGTGGAGGTTTGTTACATAAGTATACATGTGCCATGTTAGTGTACTGCACCCATTACCTCGTCATTTACATTAGGTATATCTCCTAATGCTTTCCCTCCCCCGTCCCCCCACCCCACAACAAGCCCTGGTGTGTGATGTTCCCCTTCCTGTGTCCAAGTGTTCTCATTGTTCAATTCCCACCTATGAGTGAGAACTTGCAGTGTTTGGTTTTTTCTCCTTGCGATAGTTTGTTGAGAATGATGGTTTCTAGCTTCATCCATGTCCCTACAAAGGACATAAACTCATCCTTTTTTATCGCTGCATAGTATTCCATGGTATATATGTGCCACATTTTCTTAATCCAGTCTATCATTGATGGACATTGGGGTTGGTTCCAAGTCTTTGCTATTGTGAATAGTGCCGCAATAAACATACATGTGCGTGTGCCTTTATAGCAGCATGATTTACAATCCTTTGGGTATATACCCAGTAATTGGATATAAATGGCTGGGTCAAATGGTATTTCTAGTTCTAGATCCTTGAGGAATCACCACACTGTCTTCCACAATGGTTGAACTAATTTACAGTCCCACCAACAGTGTAAAAGTGTTCCTATTTCTCCACATCCTCTCCAGCACCTGTTGTTTCCTGACTTTTTAATGATCGCCATTCTAACTGGTATGAGGTGGTATCTCATTGTGGTTTTGATTTGCATTTCTCTGAGGCCAGTGATGATGAGCATTTTTTCATGTGTCTGTTGGCTGCATAAATGTCTTCTTTTGAGAAGTGTCTGTTCATATCCTTTGCCCATTTTTTGATGGGGTTGTTTTTTTCTTGTAAATTTGAGTTCTTTGTAGATTCTGGATATTAGCCCTTTGTCAGACGAGTAGATTGCAAAAATTTTCTCCCATTCTGTAGGTTGCCTGTTCACTCTGATGGTAGTTTCTTTTGCTGTGCAGAAGCTCTTTAGTTTAATTAGATCCCATTTGTCAATTCTGGCTTTTGTTGCCATTGCTTTTGGTGTTTTAGACATGAAGTCCTTGCCCATGCTTATGTCCTGAATGGTATTCCCTAGGTTTTCTTCTAGGATTTTTATGATTTTAGGTCTAACATTTAAGTCTTTAATCCATCTTGAATTAATTTTTGTATAAGGTGTAAGGAAGGGATCCAGTTTCAGCTTTCTGCATATGGCTAGCCAGTTTTCCCAGCACCATTTATTAAATAAGGAATCCTTTCCCCATTTCTTGTTTTTGTCAGGTTTGTCAAAGATCAGATAGTAGTAGATGTGTGGTATTATTTCTGAGGGCTCTGTTCTGTTCCATTGGTCTATATCTCTGTTTTGGTACCAGTACCATGCTGTTTTGGTTACTGTAGCCTTGTAGTATAGTTTGAAGTCAGGTAGCGTGATGCCTCCAGCTTCGTTCTTTTGGCTTAGGGTTGTCTTGGCAATGCAGGCTCTTTTTTTGGTTCCATAGGAACTTTAAAGTAGTTTTTTCCAATTCTGTGAAGAAAGTCATTGGTAGCTTGATGGATATGGCATTGAATCTATAAATTACCTTGGGCAGTATGGCCATTTTCACGATATTGATTCTTCCTATCCATGAGCATGGAATGTTCTTCCATTTGTTTGTATCCTCTTTTATTTCATTGAGCAGTGGTTTGTAGTTCTCCTTGAAGAGGTCCTTCACATCCCTTGTAAGTTGGATTCCTAGGTATTTTATTCTCTTTGAAGCAATTGTGAATGCTAGTTCACTCATGATTTGGCACTCTATTTGTCTGTTTTTGGTGTATAAGAATGCATGTGATTTTTTTGCACATTGATTTTGTATCCTGAGAGTTTGCTGAAGTTGCTTATCAGCTTAAGGAGATTTTGGGCTGAGATGATGGGGTTTTCTAAATATACAATCATGTCATCTGCAAACAGGGACAATTTGACTTCCACTTTTCCTAACTGAATACCCTTGTTTCTTTCTGCTGCCTGATTACCCTAGCCCGAATTTCCAACAGTATGTTGAATAGGAGTGGTGAGAGAGGGCCTCCCTGTCCTTTGCCAGTTTTCAAAGGGAATGCTTCCAGTTTTTGCCCATTCAGTGTGATATTGGCTGTGGGTTTGTCATAAATAGATCTTATTATTTTGAGATACGTCCCATCAATACCTAATTTATTTAGAGATTTTAGCATGAAGGGCTGTTGAATTTTGTCAAAGGCCTTTTCTGCATCTATTGAGATAATCATGTGGTTTTTGTCTTTGGTTCTGTGTATATGCTGGATTATGTTTATTGATTTGCATATGTTGAACCAGCCTTGCATCCCAGGGATGAAGCCCACTTGATCATGGTGGATAAGCTTTTTGATGTGCTGCTGGATTCGGTTTGCCAGTATTTTATTGAGGATTTTTGCATCAATGGGATAGTTATCTAAAATTCTCTTTGTTTGTTGTGTCTCTGCCAGGCTTCAGTATCAGGATGATGCTGGCCTCATAAAATGAGTTAGGGAGGATTCCCTCTTTTTCTATTGATTGGAATAGTTTCAGAAGGAATGGTACCAGCTCTTCGTTGTACCTCTTGTATAATTCGGCCGTGAATCCGTCTGGTCCTGGACTTTTTTTGGTTGGTAGGCTATTAATTATTGCCTCAATTTCAGAGACTGTTGTTTGTCTATTCAGGGATTCAACTTCTTCCTGATTTAGTCTTGGGAAGGTGTATGTGTCCAGGAATTTATCCATTTCTTCTAGATTTTCTAGTTTATTTGTGTAGTGGTGTTTATAGTATTCTCTGATGGTAGTTTGTATTTCTGTGGGATCGGTGGTGATATCCCCTTTATCATTTTTTATTGCATCTATTTGATTCTTCTCTCTTTTCTTCTTTATTAGTCTTGCTAGTGGTCTATCAATTTTGTTGGTCTTTTCAAAAAACCAGCTCCTGGATTCATTGATTTTTTGAAGGGTTTTTTATATCTCTATCTCCTTCAGTTCTTCTCTGATCTTAGTTATTTCTTGCCTTCTGCTAGCTTTTGAATGTGTTTGCTCTTGCTTCTCTAGTTCTTTTAATTGTGATGTTAGAGTGTCAATTTTAGATCTTTCCTGCTTTCTCTTGTGGGTATTTAGTGCTATAAATTTCCCTCTACACACTGTTTTAAATATGTCCCAGAGATTTTGGTATGTTGTGTCTTTGTTCTCGTTGGTTTCAAAGAACATCTTTATTTCTGCCTTCATTTCGTTCTGTACCCAGTAGTCATTCAGGAGCAGGTTGTTCAGTTTCCATGTAGTTGAGCAGTTTTGAGTGAGATTCTTAATCCTGAGTTCTAGTTTGATTGCACTGTGGTCTGAGAGACAGTTTGTTATAATTTCTGTTCTTTTACATTTGCTGACGAGTGCTTTACTTCCAAATGTGTGGTCAATTTTGGAATAAGTGCGATGTGGTGCTGAGAGGAATGTATATTCTGTTGATTTGGGGTGGAGAGTTCTGTAGATGTCTATTAGGTCTGCTTGGTGCAGAGCTGAATTCAATTCCTGAATATCCTTGTTAACTTTCTGTCTTGTTGATCTGTCTAATGTTGACAGTGGGGTGTTAAAGTCTTCCATTCTTATTGTGTGGGAGTCTAAGTCTCTTTGTAGATCTCTAAGGACTTGTTTTATGAATCTGGGTGCTCCTGTATTGGGTGCATATATATTTAGGATAGTTAGCTCTTCTTGTTGAATTGATCCTTTTACCATTATGTAATGGCCTTCTTTGTCTCTTTCGATCTTTGTTGGTTTAAAGTCTGTTTCATCCGAGACTAGGATTGCAACCCCTGCCTTTTTTCTTTTCCATTTGCTTGGTAGATCTTGCTGCATCCCTTTATTTTGAGCCTATGTGTCTCTCTGCATGTGAGATGGGTCTCCTGAATACAGCACACTGATGGGTCTTGACTGTTTATCCAATTTACCAGTCTGTGTCTTTTAATTGGAGCATTTAGCCCATTTACATTTAAGATTAATATTGTTATGTGTGAATTTGATCCTGTCATTATGATGTTAGCTGGTCATTTTGCTCATTAGTTAATGCAGTTTCTTCCTAGCCTCGATGGTCTTTACAATTTGGCATGTTTTTGCAGTGGCTGGTAGCTGTTGTTCCTTTCCATGTTCAGAGCCCTTCAGGAGCTCTTGTAGGGGAGGCCTGGTGGTGACAAATCTCTCAGCATTTGCTTGTCTGTAAAGGATTTTATTTCTCCTTCACTTATGAATCTTAGTTTGGCTGGATGTGAAATTCTGGGTTGAAAATTCTTTTCTTTAAGAATGTTGAATATTTGTCCCCACTCTTCTGGCTTGTAGAGTTTCTGCCAAGAGATCATCTGTTAGTCTGATGGGCTTCCCTTTGTGGGTAACCCAACCTTTCTCTCTGTCTGCCCTTAACATTTTTTCCTTCATTTCAACTTTGGTGAATCTGACAATTATGTGTCTTGGAGTTGCTCTTCTCAAGGAGTATCTTTGTGGTCTTCTCTGTATTTCCTGAATTTGAATGTTGGCCAGCCTTGCTAGGTTGGTGAAGTTCTCCTGGATAATCTACTGAAGAGTGTTTTCCAACTTGGTTCCATTCTCCCCGTCACTTTCAGGTACACCAATCAGATGCAGATTTGGTCTTTTCACACAGTCCCATATTTCTTGGAGGCTTTGTTCATTTCTTTCTATTCTTTTTTCTCTAAACTTCTCTTCTGACTTCATTTCATTGATTTGACCTTCAATCACTGATACCCTTTCTTCCAGTTGATCGAATTGGCTACTGAAGCTTGTGCATGCATCACGTAGTTCTTGTGCCGTGGTTTTCAGCTCCATCAGGTCATTTAAGGACTTCTCTACACTGGTTATTCTAGTTAGCCATTCGTCTAATCTTTTTTCAAGGTTTTTAGCTTCTTTGCGATGGGTTCAAACTTCCTCCTTTACCTCGGAGATGTTTGATCGTCTGAAGCCTTCTTCTCTCAACTTGTCAAAGTCCTTCTCCATCCAGCTTTGTTCCCTTGCTGGTGAGGAGCTGCATTCCTTTGGAGGGGGAGAGATGCTCTGATTTTTAGAATTTTCAGCTTTTCTGCTCTGTTTTTTCCCCATCTTTGTGGTTTTATCTACCTTTGGTCTTTGATGATGGTGACGTACAGATGGGGTTTTAGTGTGGATGTCCTTTGTGTTTGTTAGTTTTCCTTCTAACAGTCAGGATCCTCAGCTGCAGGTCTGTTGGAGTTTGCTGGAGGTCCACTCCAGACCCTGTTTGCCTGGCTATCAGCAGTGGAGGCTGCAGAACAGCGAATATTGCTGAACAGCAAATGTTGCTGCCTGATCATTCCTCTGGAAGCTTTGTCTCAGAGGGTTACCTGGCCATGTGAGGTGTCAATCTGCCACTACTGGGGGGTGCCTCCCAGTTAGGCTACTCGGGGGTCAGGGACCCACTTGAGGAGGCAGTCTGTCTATTCTCAGATCTCAAACTACGTGCTGGGAGAACCGCTACTCTCTTCAAAGCTGTCAGACGGGGACATTTAAGCCTGCAGAGGTTTCTGCTGCCTTTTGTTTTGGCTATGCCCTGTCCCCAGAGGTGGAGTCTACAGAGGCAGGCAGGCCTCCTTGAGCTGCAGTGGGCTCCACCAAGTTCGAGCTTCCCGGCCACTTCGTTTACCTACTCAAGCCTCAGCAATGGTGGGCACCCCTCCCCCAGCCCCACTGCTGCCTTGCAGTTCGATCTCAGACTGCTATGCTAGCAATGAGCAAGGTTTCGTGGGCGTGGGACCCTCTGAGCCAGGCGTTGGATATAATCTCCTTGTGTGCTGTTTGCTAAGACCGTTGGAAAAGTGCAGTATTAGGGTGGGAGTGACCCAATTTTCCAGGTGCCATCTGTCACCCCTTCCCTTGGCTAGAAAAGGAAATTCCCTGACCCCTTGCATCTCCTGGGTGAGGCGATGCCTTGCCCTGCTTCAGCTCATGCTCGGTGGGCTGCACCCACTGTCCTGCCCCCACTGTCCGACGAACCCCAGTGAGATGAACCTGGTACCTCAGTTGGAAATACAGAAATCACCCGTCTTCTGAGTCGCTCACATTGGGAGCTGTAGACTGGAGCTGTTCCTATTTGGCCATCTTGGAACCGCCTCGCTGTTTTTTTTAAAAAAGCTTTTAGAAATACTCAAAGTGCTGTAAATTGAGGAAAGAAAAAAGTACTCACAATAACAAAATGACTACATATCGAATCATTTTTGTTTTTATATTTGTCTCTGGCTTTACAGTCCTTACCCATATAGATTTATAATTTTTCCAACATTTTATTACAAAATCTCTTAAACATACATTCTTTTATCCATGTTATTTTGAAAATACCCTTCAGGCCAGGCACAGTGGCTCATGCCTGTAATCCCAGCACTTTGGGAGGCTGATGTGGGTGGATCATGAGGTCGGGAGTTCAAGACCAGCCTGGCCAAGATGGTGAAATCCCCGTCTCTACTAAAAATACAAAAAAAATTAGCCAGGTGTTGTGGCGGGCACCTGTAATCCCAGCTACTCGGGAGGCTGAGGCAGAGAAGTACCTGAACCCAGGAGGCGGAGGTTGCAGTGAGCCAAGATTGCACCACTGCACTCCAGCCTGGGCGACAGAGTCAGACTCTGTTTCAAAAAAAAAAAAAAATTTCAAAGTAAGTTGCAGACATATACTTCACCACAACCAAGCAGGACTAATTCCTGGTATATAGGCTCGTTCAACGTTCAAAAATCAACTAATGTTTCTAAGATAAATATTGCAGAAGAAAAAAATCAACATTATTAATCACATCAACAGGCTAAAAAAGAAAAATCATATTGATCACATCAATAGATGTAGAAAAAGCATTTACAAAATCCCACAGCCATTCATGATAAAAACTCTAAGCAAACTAGGAATAGAGAGGAACTTCATTAACTTGATAAAGAATACCTATAGCTAAGATCATACTTAACGGTGAGAAACTAGACTCTTTCCTCCTAAAATTGGGAACAAGACAAATATTTACCCTCTTATCTCTCTTCTCTATTCAACTTCATATGGGAAGTCCTAGCTATAGGACTTGCAGTAAGACAAGACAAGAAGTGAAAAAGTATATCAACTGGGAAAGAGGAAATAAAACCATTTTTGTTCAAAGATGGCATGAAAGTCTATGTAAAAAATACCAAATAATAACAAAACTCCTGGAACAAATAAGCAATTACAGCAAGGTTTCAGGATAAAAAGTCAACGCGCAAAAGTCAATTACTTTCCTACCATGCTGTCAATAAGCAATTGGAATTTTCTTTTTTTAGAGATGGGTCTTGCTATGTTGCCCAGGCTGGACTTTGAACTCCCACACTCAAGCCATTTTCTCACCTCAGCTCAGCCTCCCAGAAAGCTGGGACTACAGGCACATACCCTGCTCAGCAATTGAAATTTGCAGTTTAAAAGACAGCAACATATACAATAGCACCAAAAACACAAGAATGGAAAAAAGAAATTGCTCAGGCATGAATCTAACAAAATTTCTATAAGATCTATATGAGGAAAACTATAAAATGCTGGTGAAGGAAATTAAAGACTATCTAAATAAATGGAGAGATTTCATCTTCATGGATAGGAAGACTTAATATTGTTAAGATGTCAGTTCTTCCCTACCTAATTTATGGATTCCATACATTCCCAATAACAACCCCAGAAAACGGTTTTGTGAATATTAACAAATTTAAAAGATTATGTGGAAAGGCAAAAATACCCAGAATAGCCAACACAATATTAAAGAAGAATAAAGCGGCTCATGCCTGTAATCCCAGCACTTTGGGAGGCTGAGGTGGATGGGTCACTTGAGGTCAGGAGTTCAAGACTAGCCAGGCCAACATGGTAAAACCTCATCTCTATTAAAAATACAAAATAATTAGCCAGGTATGGTGGTGCATGCCTGTGGTCCCAGGTACTCAGGAGGCTGAGGCAGGAGAATCACTTGAATCTGGGAGGCAGAGGTTGCAGTGAGTTGAGATTGTGCCACTACACTCCAGCCTGGGTGACAGAACGAGACTCCATCTCAAAACAACAATAAAGCCACGGTGATCAAGATGGTATGGTATTGGTGAAAGAATAGACAAATGAAACAATAGAACAGAATAGAGAGCCCAGAAATAAACCCATACAAATATAGTCAGCTGATCTTTAACAAGGGAACAAAAAATATTCAGTGGATAAAGGACAGTCTTTTCAACTGGTGGTGCTGAAACAACTGGGTATCCATATGCAAAAAAATAAATTTACACAGATCTTTCACCATGCACAAAAATGAGCTCAAAATGGATTATAGGCCTAAATATAGGCAAAACTATAAAACCTCTAGAAGATAACATAGGAAAAAATCAAGGTGTCCTGGATTTGGTGATGAATTTTAGATAGAGCATCAAAAGCATGATCCACAGAAGAAAAAATTGGTAAATTGGACTCCATTAAAATGTAAAATCCTGGCCAGGCATGGTGGCTCACTACTTTGGTAGGCTGAGGCAGAAGGATTGCTTGAGGCCAGGAGTTTGAGATCAGCTGGGGCAACATAGTGAGACCCCATCTCTATAAAAACTAGAAAAAAAAATAGCCAGGCATGGTGGTGGATGCCTATAGTCCTAGCTACTCAAGGATTGCTTGAGCCCAGGAACTCAGGGTTAAAGTGAGCCATGATTATGCTACTGCACTCCAGCCTAGGTAACAGAGTGAGACCCTGTCTCAGAAAATTAAAAAAAAAATTAAACTGCTCTGTGAAAGATGTTGTTAAGAGAATAAAAAGACAAATCACAAACTGGGAGAATACATATGCAAAACACATATCTGATAAGAACTGGTATTCAAAGTATACAAAGAACTCAACACTCGATAATAAGAAAACAACTAATAAAACATAGGCAAAGTGTATGAATCTGCACCTTACCAAAGAATATATACGGATGGAAAATTAGTATATGAAAAAAGTCCCACATCATATGTTATTAGAAAATTGCCAATTAAAACAACATTGAGATACCACACACCTATCAGAATGGCTAAAATTCAGAACACTGATAACGTCAATTGCTGGTGAGGATGTAGAGCAATGGAAACTCTCATTCATTGATGGTAGCAATACAAAATGGTACAGACACTTTGGGAAATAGTTTAGTAATTTCCTGCAAGGATAAACATAGGCTCCATATAATCTAGTAATTGTGCTCCCATGTATTTACCCAAAAGAGTTGAAAATGTACATCCACACAAAAACCTGCACAGGAATGTTTATAGCTACTTTATTCATAATTGGTAAAAATTGAAAGCAATCCAGATATCCTCAAATTGATGAATGGATAAACAAACATATATACCTATACAATGGCACATTATTCAGTGATAAAAAGAAATGAGCAGCTGGGCGCAGTGGCTTTATGTCTGTAATCCCATCACTTTGAGAGGCTGAGGCAGGTGGATCACCTGAGGTCAGGCATTCAAGACCAGGCTGGCTAACATGGTGAAAAGCTGTCTCTACTAAAAATACAGAAATTAGCCAGGCATGGTAGTGTGTACCTGTAGTTCCAGCTACTCAGGAAGCTGAGGCAGGAAAATCGCTTGAACCCAGGAGGCTGAGGTTGCAGTGAGCCAAGATTGTGCCACTGCACTCCAGCCTGGGCGACAGAGCAAGACTTCATCTCGAAAAAAAAAGAAAGAAATGAGCTGTCAAGCCATGACAAGACATGAAGAAATCTTAAGTGCATTTTTCTTCATGAAAGAAACCAGTTTGAAAGGCTACACATAGTATGTTATAGACTGAATTGTGTCTTCCCAAATTTATATGTTGAAACCTTAACTCACAATGTGACTGTATTTGGAGACAGGACTTTTACGAGGTAAAGTTAGATTAGGTCACAGTGTGGTCCAATGAAACTGTTGTCCTTTCAAGAAGACAAAGGGGCCAGGGGCAGTGGCTCATGCCTGTAATCCCAGCACTTTGGGAGGACGAGGCAGGAGGATCCCTTGAGCCTAGCAGTTCAAGACTAGCCTGGGCAACATAGTGAGACCCCATCTCTACAAAAGATAAATTTTTAAAAAATTAGCCAGGCATGTTGTCATGTGCCTGTAGCCCCCAGGTACTCAGGAAGTTGAGGTAGGAAGATTGCTTGAGCTCAGGAGATTGTGACTCAATGAGCTGTGATCACAACACTGCACTCAGCCTGGGTGACAGGGCAAGACCCTATCTCAAAAAAAAAAAAAGACAAAGAGACAGGAGAGCTCCCCCTCTCCCCTGTTTTCTCTTCTCCCATTTTCCTTCCTCTCCCTCTCCCTCCTCTCTCTCCCACTCTCTCTGCAAAGAAGAGGCCATGTGAGGACACAGCAAGAAGGCAGCCGTGTACAAGCCAGGAAGAGAGGCCTCACCAGAAACCAACCCTGATGGAGCCTATATCTTGGATTTCTAGCCTCCAGATCTGTGAGAAAATAAATTTCTTTGTTTAAGCCACCCAGCATGTAGTATTTTGTTATGGCAGCCCAAGCAGATGAATACAGATTTTAGTATGGCAGCCCAAGCAGATGAATACAGATTTTAGTACTAAGAAGTAAGATGCTGCTGTAACAAATACCTAAAAATGTGTGTCTTTGGAACTGGGTAATGGGTAGAGGCTGCAAGAATTTTGAGAAGCATGTTAGAGAGAGCCTAGTTTGCCTTGAAGGGACCTTTGGTAGGAATATAGGTGTTAAAGGTGCTTCTGGTGAGGTATCAAGACTGAAACAAGGAACAGGCTGTTGGAAACTAGAAGAAAGACAAACTTTGTAATAAAGTGGCAGGGAACTTGATTGAATCGTGGTTAGTGTTTTGTGGAAGGTAGAACTTACGAGCAATGAAATTGGAAATTTAGCTGAGGAGATTTTTAGGCAAGATCTTGCAGGTGCAAGCTGGCTTCTCCTTACTGCTTATAGTAAAATGCAAGAGGTGAAATACACTGAAAGAACTGTTAAGCAAAAAGGAACTAGAAATTGATGATTTGGAAAATTCTTAGCCTATCCATATTTCCAAAAAATGAGAAGCATGTTCTGGAGAGAATACCAAGGGTGTGGTGGGACTATCGGTCCATAAGGAGATTACTCATGGAGTTAATCAGCCATCTCAGCAGCACCACAATAGAGAGGGGATTATACCCACAGAGACACTGCCAGTTTGCACCAGAAAAAACAGGAACACGATGGAATAAAGGAAGGCTTTTGGATGTCTGGGATTCTACAGGAGTAGATAATAGAGCTATTTGACTGTAAAAATGCTTTATCCTTCAGAGAAAAAGAAAAATGACTCTGAAGGCAATTCAGAGATCATCAGTTTTGCCACTCCCACCTCAGGTCCAGGGAGCAAGGCTGTTTCTTCCTCAGTTTCAGAGGGGAGGCTCCCCTTCATGGTTTCAGCAGGCCAGGCTGCTCCTATCCAGTGCCTCAGGGGCAAGACCATAGCAAAGAGATATGTGGCTGGGGCCTCCACCAAGAGCCAAGGTGGAAGGCTCACTACCTAGGGCTATGGGGGTGTTGCTGCCACCCCAGTGGCCACAAAAGGCCAAAGAGGATTATTTTTGAGCCTTAAGGCCAAAAAGGATTATTCTTTTTTTTTTTTTGAGATGGAGTTTCACTCCTGTTGACCAGGCTGGAGAGTACAATAGCAAGATCTCGGCTCACCGCAACCTCTGCCTCCTGGGTTCAAGTGATTCTCCTGCCTCAGCCTCCCAAGTAGCTGGGATTACAGGCATGTGCCACGACACCCAGCTAATTATTTTTATTTTTATTAGAGATGGGGTTTCTCCATGTTGGTCAGGCTGGTTTTGAACTCCTGACCTCAGGTGATTTGCCCACCTTGGCCTCCCTAAGTGCTGGTATTATAGGCGTGAGCCACCGCGCCCAGCCAAGAAGATTATTCTTGAGCCTTAAGATCTAATGGAATTTGACTTGCTAGGTTTTGGACTTGCCTGGGGACTATCACCCCCTTCTTCTTTCCAATTTCTCCCGTCTTTTTTTTTAGGTAGAGTCTCACTATGTCGCCCAGGCTGGAATACAGTGGCACAATCTCTGCTCATTGCAACCTCTGCCTCCTGGGTTAAAGCAATTCTCCTGCCTCAGCCTTCCAAGTAGCTGGGATTACAGGCATATGCCACCATGACTGGCTAATTTATGTATTTTTAGTAGAGACTGATGGGGTTTTGCCATGTTGGCCAGGCTGATCTCAAACTCCTGACCTCAGGTGATCTGCCCGCCTCAGTCTCCCAAAGTGCTGGGATTACAGGCGTGAGCCACCAAGCCTGGCCTAATTTCTCCCTTTATGAGTGAGAGTGTGTATCCCTTGCCTGTCCCACCGTTGTATTTTGGTTTTGGGGTTTCTGGGTTTTTGTTTTTGAGACAGAGTCTAGCTCTCTCACCCAGGTTGGAGTGCAGTGGCACAATCTCAGCTCACTGCAACCTCTGCTTCCTGAGTTCAAGCAATTCTCCTGTCTCAGCCTCCCAAGTAGCCAGGAGTACAAGTGCCTGCCACCCCGTTCACTAATTTTTGTATTTTTAGTAGAGGCAGGGTTTCACCATATTGGTCAGGGTGGTCTTGAACTCCTGACCTCAGGGGATCCACCTGCCTTGGACTCCCAAAGTGCTGGTATTACAGGTGTGAGCCACCACGCCCAGCCCCACCATTGTATTTTGTAAGCACATAACTTACCTGGTTTTATAGGTTCATAACCGGAGAGGAATTTTGCCTTCAGGTGATTCATACTTAAGATACCTAACTCAGATAATATTTAGGATGAGTTAAGTTAAGACTTTTGGGGCTGTGGGATGGAGTGAATGCATTTTGCATATACAAAGGACATGAATTTTAGGGGGGTAGAGGGTAGCGTGTTATGGATTGAATTATGTATTCTCAAAATTCATGTTGAAGCCCTAACCCACAATCTAACTGTATTTGTAGATAAGGGCCTTTAGAGACGTAATTAAGGTTAAATGAGGTCTTGGGGTGGGACCTTAAGTCAAGAGGACTGGTATTCTTATAAGAAGAGTAAGAGACGCTGGAGTTCTCTCTCTTTGTGTATGTGCACAGAGAAGAAGCCACATGAACATGCAGAGACAGTCAGGAAGTGTGGTCTCACAAGAAACCAACCCTGATAGCACCTTGACCTTGGATTTCTAACCTCTAGAACTGTGAACAAATAAATTTCTGTTATTTAACCACTCACTCAGTGGTATCTTGTGACAGCCTGAGTAGACTAATACACAATATGATTCCAACTATCTGACATTCTGGAAAAGGCAAAACTATAGAGACAATTTAAAAGATGAGTGGTTATTGGGAGTTCAGGGAAGAGAGAGAAGATGAGTAGATAGAGCACAAGGCACTTTTAGGGTGATGAAACTATTCTATATGATACTATAGCGGTAGCTACATGGCCTTATGCATTTGTCGAAACCCATGAAACTACAACACAGAGTGAGCCCTAATAGAAACTGTGGATTTTAGTGTATAATAACATATAAATTTTGGTTCACCAATTTTAGCAAATGTATCACACTGATGCAGGATGTTAATAACAGGTAAATGTGTGTGTCGGGGTGTACTTTCTCTGCAATTATTTTGTAATCCTAAAACTACTCTAAAAATAAAGTCTATAAAAAAAATTTTTTTAAGAGACAAGGTCTCACTCTGCTGCCCGGCTGAGTGCAGTGGTATAATCATAGCTCACAGCAGCCTCAAACTCCTGGGTACTTGTGATCCTCCTGCCTCAGACTCCTGAGTAGCTGGGACTACAGGCATGTGCCACCATGCCTGGTTAAAATTTTTTTAAAATAATGTTCTTATCACAGACAAGTGCCAGTTTTTTCTTGCCAACTTATGTGTACTTTTAATATAACACCTGCATTATGCAGTTTTCTATCATATTTTCTGGAAAAATATTTTTCTCTTACTATTGATATTTTATTTATTTTCTCTTTTAGAGACGAGTCCTTGCTTTGTTGTTCAGGCTGGAGTGCAGTGGCACAATTACAGCTCATTGCAACCTTTAACTCCTGGGCTCAAGTGATCCTCTCACCTTAGCTGCTCAAGAGGCTGGGACTACAGGTGAGCACCACCATACCCAGCTTTTCCTTTTAATTTTATTATTCTTTGTAGAGACATGGTCTTGTTATGTTGCCCAGGCTGGTGTTATCGATATTTTGAAGTTTCATTAAAATTTCACAGACTTGCCCAAATCAGCTGAAATCATAGCATATTTGTGACATAATGGTGATAGCAATGGTTGGTTCACTTTTCAAAGAAAAGTGATATTCACCTGGGACATCTAAAAATATTGCATATTTAATTGTTTTTCTATGTGCTATTAGTCCACCACACAGAGGAGTTGAAAGTAGGGAAAGAAGTCAGAGTTGTCCAGATCCACTTCACAAGTAGTTGCCTTCACTAAGATGGGGCAAGCCTTCCTGCCACCTAGGACTTGCTAGAGGTAATGGTAGTTGCCAGGGAACCATATATACCCAAAATTATATACGCCCCAAATCACATATTTCCCTTTCTTTAGGGATAATTCAGGAAGGAATCTGAATTTGTTCATACTGAGTATTTGTACAAGCAAAAACCAAAAACATATACCATCTCTTCTAGGGACATTCAAGGGCCACTGACCTTTGCTGTCCCCTTCCCTGACCTTGTTCCTTCCAGTTCTCCCTGTTTTTATTCTTGGTCCTCTGCTCCACTTTTAATACCTGTTCTACTCTCTAGACTTCCTTTATTTCCCTCTCTCTACTATATTCTGTTTATTTTTCCTCCACAATATCTTCCAGTTTATTTTGTGTCATTTATGGTTAAATCCATCTACTGAAGATATTTTTTAAATATTTTATTCTGTATGACTTTCAAACATATGCAAAAGTAGACAGTAGAATATAATGAATGCCCATGTTCCCACTGGCCAACTTCAACAATTGTTTTTTTTCACCTATTTTTCTACCCACTTTCTCCCAGCCCAGTATCATTTTGAAGCAAATCCAATAATCTTCCAAGATTGCTTTTGCACATCACTCTCTCTCCTTGATAGCCATTCCTTGGCCTCTGCTTACCTTTTCATCCTGTAGGAGGTTCTGTCAGAGCTTTTGGGCATAGTGGGAAAAGAACAGGAAAGCATAACATACTGTGGTAGAGAGACTGACATTAGAGGTCTCAGGGGCTATTTCTCTCCTGGGAGTCAGTGTAGGTAGTGATCAGCTTCGCTTTTCTTTTTTTCTTTCTTTCTTTTTTTTTTTTTTTGAGACAGAGTCTCGCTCTGTCACCCAGGCTGGAGTGCAGTGGTGCGATCTCAGCTCACTGCAACTTCCTCCTACCTGGGTTCGAGCGATTCTCATGCCTCAGCCTCCCATATAGCTGGGACTACATGCATACGCCACCACGCCCGACTAATTTTTGTATTTTTAGTCGAGATGGGGTTTCACCACATTGGCCAGGCTGGTCTTGAACTCCTGACTTCAAGAAATCCACCCGCCTTGGCCTCTCAAAGTGCCAGGATTACAGGTGTGAGGCACCGTGCCCGGCCAGTGATTAGTTTCTGATGAGTGTAGTAGTAACCTTTGATGTCTGTCACCTACCTTACTCTGCTCCAGGGGCCACTCCTCTGGATCAATGGCTTGTGCCTCAAGAAATTGGAGTTCTAGGTCTGTTTATTGTACTTATCTTGAACTGCCTTTAAGACAGACCTCAAATAATTCCTTCAGAAAAATTTCTGAGGTATATAAGCTCCCAGGAAACAAGACACATGAGTAAGATCCAAGAGAATAAGACACACAGAGACTGCACATATTGGAATTATTAGACATATTTTATTTTTTAAATTTAATTTTATTTAACTTTCCAGGATACATATACAGGACGTGCAGGTTTGTCACATAAGTAAACGTGTGCCGTGGTGGCTTGCCACACCTGTCAACCCATCACCTAGGTATTAAGCCCACCATGCATTAGCTATTTATCCTGATGCTCTCCCTCCCATTGCCCCCCAGCCCCCTGAAAAGGCCCCAGTGTGTGTTGTTCCCCTCCCTGTGTCCATGTGCCTTCATCGTTCAGCTCTCCCCTATAAGTGAGAATATGCCGTGTTTGGTTTTCTGTTCCTGTGTTAGTTTGCAGAGGATAATGGCTTCCAGCTCCATTCATGTCCCTGCAAAGGATATGATCTCATTCCTATTTATGGCTGCATAGTATTCCATGGTGTATATGTACCACATCTCCTTTATCCAGTCTATCATTGATGGGCATTTGGGTGGATTCCATAGACATAATATTTTAAATAAGTCTGTTTAAACAGTTTAAAGCAATAAAAGAAGGTATTGAAAATATGTGTAAGGGTCAAGAGATTCATTTCTAAAAGACCAAACAGATCTGAAAAAAGAACTAAATAAAATTTTTCAAGATGAGATTATAAATAAAATTGAAAACAGTGAGTATTTTCATAAATGAGATAGTCATATAATTGAACCTGAATGTGATTAAACCTCAAAATCCAAATATCAATTGGTAGAATATATAGGAGCTAGAGGAATATGTTAAACTAAACTGCAGATAAGCAATTGTCAAAATCCAAACTGTAGAAATTTCCTTAAAACAACTCATTTTTCTTAAAAATAGATTACAAGGAAAATATAAAAATATGGAAGGGAACCTATTGATTGAAAGGACATATTCACCAATTGCAATATATTTATCTTATTCAGATTCTGATTCAAACAACTTATAAAAATACAACATTTATGACACAGAAATTTGAACAGCCACTGGATGTTGATGCTATTCAGTGGATATAATCCTATGGATATTAAATAATTATTGTTAATTTGGGCTGTAATAATGGTATGGTGATTTGTGTGAAAACAAGAGTTCTTTTACATATATGTACTGAAATATTTATGGGTTTCTATTTTAATAAATGATTAATCATCTTGGTTTGCTAAGGACTGTCCCAATTTTAGCACTCAAAGTCCCTAATCAAAAAAAAAAAACCTCAGTCTTGAGCAAACCATGATGGTTGGTCACTCTGGTACGGTGTTGATTCTGTGAAATTGGTTGAATTATTGTGCATTAAAATCACTCGTTAAATATTTTTCTATTTGATTTGTTTCCTTTTTCTTTCTTCTTCTTTTTTTTTTTTTTTTTTTTTGCCAATGGGGCGATTTCGGCTCACTGCAACCTCTGCCCACCCCAACTCTCCCAACACCTAAGCCTCGGCTCAAGCCGTCCTCCCACCTCAGCCACCTGAGTAGCTGGGACTACAGGCATGCATCACTATGCCTGGCTAATTTTTGTATTTGTAGTAGAGACGGGGTTTCACCATATTGCCCAGGCTGGATTGCTTGCCTTATTATTGAGTTGTAAGGTCCTAATCTATAATATATAGATTTTAAAAAATATATCACATATATGTAAAAGTTACTTACTAAGGTATAATTTATAAACAATTATATATACAAATCCTAAAAATACAACTTGTAAACTTTTACATAGTTATGTAAAATATATAATATTCTGGATAGAAGTGCTGTGTCAGATATATGTATTGCAGGTATGTTCTTCTAGGCCAGGCTTGTCCAACCCACAGCCCATGGGCCACACACAGTCTAGGATGGCTTTGAATTCAAACCGACACAAATTCATAAACTTCCTTAAAACATTGAGTTTTTTTGCAAATTCCTTTTTTAGCTTATCAGCTGTCATTAGTGTTAGTGTATTTTATGTGTGGTCCAAGAAAATTCTTCTTCTTCCAACGTGACCCAGGGAAGCCAAAAGATTGAACACCCTCATTCTAGGCTATGGAGTTCCTTTCTCTTCGTAAATAGTACCTTTGGATGAGCAGATTTTAAAATTTTGATGAAGACCAATTTATCAATTAAAAAATGTTATGGTTAGTGCTGTTTGTGTCCTGTTAAAAAAAACCTTTCCCTATCTCAAGGTAGTTTAAGCTTTCAAGTGTATATTTGATCTACCCAGAATTGACTTAGTGCATAGGTGTGAGATAAGGGTCAAATTTTATTTCTTATACGTACGAATATCCAGTTGCTCTAGCACCATCCATTGATATGACCATCCTTTTTTTTCTTGGATATAAATTATTGTTTTTGTTGTAAAGCCAGTGACCAAATATCCATGGGCTTATTTCTGGACCCTTTCTTCAGTTCTATTGATCTATTTATCTATCTTTGTGCCAATGCCACACTGTCTTAATTGCCTAAGCTTTATAGCAAGTTTTAAATCTGTTTAAGTAGGTCTTCTAGCTTAGTGTTGGATTTTTGGTTTTTTTTTTTTTTCTTTAGGATTGTTTTGGCTAGTCTAGGTCTTTTGCATTTTCATATGAACTACAGATTCATATTATCAGTTTCTACATACAAATAATTAAGCCTGCTGGGATTTTGATTGGGATTCTGTTAAATCTATAGATCAATTTTAGGGGGAAATGATATCTCAAAAACACCACGCTGGTGGTTTATCTCTACACTTATTTAGGTCTTTAATTTTTTTTTTTGTTTTGAGTCTCACTCTGTTGCCCAGGCTAGAGTGCAGTGGCACAAACACTGGCTCACTGTCGCCCCGATTCCCCTGGGCTCAAGCCTCCTGAGTAGCTGGGACTACAGGTGTGCCACCATGCCCAGCTAATTTTTTTTTTTACTAGAGAAGAGATCTCACTATGTTGCCCAGGCTTGTCTCAAATTCCTGGGCTCAAGTAATTCACCTGCCTCAGGCTCCCAAAATGCTGGAATTACAGGCGTGAGCCACTGCACCCAGCCAGGTCTTTAATTTTTTGAGCAATGTTTGATTACTTTTAGCTTATAGATCTTCCACACTTTTTTAGAATGTACTTTTCTCTTCTAGCTCCTTGAAGTGGAAGCTTAGATCATTGATTTTAAAACTTTCATCCTTTCTAATATATGCATTTAATACACATTTTCTACTAAGTATTGCTTTGGTTGTATCTCATAGAATTAATTTGTATTGTTTTTCAATTCAAAATACTCTCTAACTTTTCTTGTGATTTCTTCTTTGACCAATAGATAATTTAGAAATGTATTTCTTAATTTCTGAACATATCTTTTTGCTTTTGATTTCTAATTTAATTCCATTGTGATAAGAAAATATATTCTGTATGATTTCAGTCATTCAAAATGTATTGAGACTAGCTTTATAGCCCAGAATATTGTCTATTTTGGTGAGTGATCTATGTGCATATAAATAGTATGTGTTTTTTTCTTTTTTGTAGTTGTTGAGTATAATATTCTATAAACTCTATAAATGTTCAATTAGTCAGATTGGTTAATGGTATTGTTCATATCTTCTATATTATTAATATTACTGATATATTGTCTGCCTGTTCTATCAATTACAGAAAGAAGTATTTTTAAATCTCCAATTCTAATTGTGGATTTATCTGTTGATCCTTTTATTTTTGTCAATTTTTACTTCCTTTTTGAAGGTATGTTATAAGGCAAATATACATTAAGGATTTTTGTGACTTCCTATTGAATTGACCCTTTTATCATTAGGAAATGTCCCTTTATATCTAGTAATATTTTTTGCCTGAAAGTCTATTTTTGATATTAATGTAGTCATATCAACTTTCTTATGATTAGTGTTTACACGGTATATGGTATTTATGTTTTCATCATTTTACCTTCAACTGTTCTGTGTCCTCATATGGGATTTTTTTGTCTTTTTATTTTTTGAGACAGAGTCTTGCTCTGTTGCCCAAGCTGGAGTGCAGTGACACAATCTCAGCTCACTGCAACCTCTGCCTCCCAGGTTCAAGCTATTCTCATGCCTCAGCCTCCTGAGTAGCTGGAATTTACAGGCACATGCCACCATGCCTGACTAATTTTTGTATTTTTAGTAGAGACAGGATTTCGCCATGTTGGCCAGGCTGGTCTCAAACTCCTGGCCTCAAGTGATCTGCCCACCTGGGTCTCCCAAACTGCTGGGAGCCCCTGCACCCAGCCTTAAATTTTGTGTCTTATACGTTGGTTCCATTTTTTAAATTTAGTCTAACTATCTGCCTTTTAGTTGGAGTGTTTAGTCCTTTTGTACTTAAAGTAATTACTGATATGCTTTTGGGTCTACCCTCTCAGTACTCACTTTCTATTTCTTCATGTGTTTTTTATTTCCGTGCTCCTCCTTTACTGCCTTCTTCTGGATGTGCGCTTCACATGTGTCTGCACGTGTAGTATGTGACTATGCCGTGAGAAT
This sequence comes from Homo sapiens, assembly GCF_000001405.40. Taxonomy (NCBI): domain Eukaryota; kingdom Metazoa; phylum Chordata; class Mammalia; order Primates; family Hominidae; genus Homo; species Homo sapiens. Next base: position 83,481,534 of record NC_000006.12, on the reverse strand, counting down.
GTTGCCTTTAATTTATAAATTAAAATGTGATGAAGTTAAGAGCATAGTTAATTTAATTCTATTACTTCATTAATTTCTTTTTTAAATTTTAGATTCAGAGGGTACACACGTAGGTTTGTTACATGGATATGTTGCATGATGCTGAGGTTTAGGCTTCTATTGAACCTGTCACTAAATAGTGGACATAGTACCCAATAGGTGTTTCTTCAACCATTGCCTCCTTTGCTACCTCCTCCCTTAGGGAGTTTCCAGTGTCTCTGGTTTCTATCTTTATGGCCGTGTGTACCCAATGTTTAGCTCCCACTTATAAGTGAAAACATGTAGTATTTGATTTTCTGTTTCTGTGTTAATTCACTTAGGATAATAGCCTCCAGCTGCATCCATGTTGCCTCGAAGGACATGGTTTTGTTCTTTTTTATGGCTGCTACTTCATTCATCTCTGAGTGCACTGAAGTGATTGGTTAAATGACAACATATCTGTCCTGTCAAGCTCTTTAACTTGTAAGCCAGAATTTAACTCAAGTCTTTAAAGAGAAAAATTGTATGCTCATAAAACTTCTTGTGAAACAGATATGAATGATGTCTAAATTTAATTCAGTATATATTTCCATAAAATCTTACAACAAAACTCATGGAAACTATAGGAAGATGTCATGTCAGCCATTTCTATCATAGAACAAATATATACTCTCTCAGTTTCATGTCACCTTTTTTAAAAAAATGATTTCTTGAGGAAATACCTTTCTCTCCCTCTGGTAAATTGATTGAACTCTGGAAAGCTGTAACAGAAGAGAGGTTTGGGTCAGGCTGCCTAGAGGAACTTACCTCCCTTGGCAATTGATGCGATCCTGGCTTGTGTCACACAGGTATGATGCAAGTCTGTGCATGTGTGAAGATTATGCTTAACCAAGGGTTTACTTAGTGCAATGATGAAACTGAACTTTGGGGAGTTTTGAGACATAATTCTGTGAAATATAATTGTAACTAAGGTCTCTTTGAGGTAGTTAAGGTCTTTCCCTAGCCATAATAATATTGACTTATTTTGCCTTGCTTTTGGCATTAAGATAAAGACAAAGAGAAACAGTCATTCAAAAGATTGATTCACAATTTTTAAGCACTTTTAGTGCTGGGTATTCTGCCCGGCGCCATAGGTAATCTGAAATAAAAAAAGTCTGAGTTACTGCTCAAGGAAGACCTTGTCAAGTAGGAGGAGCTATGTCATAAATACAGATAACCATAGTATAAGGTAGAAAGTGGCATGCACTATACATTTGAACAAAATGCTAAGGGAGTTCAAGTGGGAAAGACTATTTACAATGGGAGCTGAGAAAGATTTAAAAAAATTCTTTATAAAGGAGGGGACATTTAATTTGGGCCCTAAAGGCTAGGTAGAAACAATAGCTACTGATGAAGTGGAGAATATTAGAGGTAAACACTTAACAAAGGTGTAGCAATAGGTTTGGAGGAAAAATGAGCCATTCTGTTTTGTTGGTATACAAAGTAAAAGTAGGAAAGAAATAATAGATAATTCTGGAAAGATAAGATGAACCGTACCAAGGAGGGTTTTAAATGTCCAGCTGTCATTATTACTCATTAAACATTAACAATGATTTATTCCTTTTACCATGTATTACAAAATAAGGCTAGCTGCTGTATAGACATATAAAATAAGGAAACATGGTCTATATGTGTACTGGATATAAAATATAGTTCTCTCAAATATAAATGGTCTCTGCCTTATTCTACTTTATAAATATTCTGGTTTTTTAAAATGCTTATTTATATTTATGTTTAGTTATGTTTACATTTGTCTTTATATAAGATTTGTACTTACCTATCACTTACAATGGCATGGATAACTCAGATAACTGGTTCCAATAGCAAACTAGTTTTCCTCTGACCTGCTTGTAGCTATCTTTAGCAGTACCTAGACTATTACTTAATGAGCTTCAGTCTGCCAAGGTCATAGAGATTTTCATGACCTTTGTTCTCTTCCCTTAATTTTTAAGCATGCAGAACATCATGAGCCAGTTATACTAGCCAATCTTTAACATTAAACATATGTGGACGCCACTTAATAATTCCCCTGACATTGACCTTCTATTCTATACCCTCCCTAGTCCTAGTCTGTGGTAGGCACCATTTGGCCTTCCAAATTTCTGGGTCCTGGTGTACATACACTTTCTTCCACTTATTCAAACATCAATCTATGTGTTGCTATGAATAAATTTTGAACATGCAATTAAGGTCCCAAATCAGTTGACCCTAACATAGGAAAGCTTACACCTGGATGGGCACACAGTGGCTTACACCTGTAATCCCAGCACTTTCGGAGGCTGAGGTGGGAGGATCGCTTGAGCCCAGGAGTTTGAAACCAGCCTGGGCAACATAGGGAGATCTTGTCTCTACAGAAAAAATTAAAAATTAGCCAACATTGGTGGCACCTGTGGTCCCGGCTGCTCAGGAGGTTGAGATGGGAGAATCACTTGAGCCCAGGAGGTCGAGACTGCAGTGAGCTGTGTTTCTGCCACTGCACTCCAGCCTGGGTGACACAGTGAGACCCTATCTCAAAGAAAGAAAGAAAAGAAAGTATTCCTGACTCATATGAAACCCCTGTGTACTCTGCCCCAATCCTGTTGTTCCCCTCACTTTTTCACCAGAGGTAATCACTGTCTTGAATTTGATGTTTCTCATTCACATGTGCTTTTATACTTTCTCTAATGTGTATATATCTATAAATAAAGATAAAATATTGTGTTGCATGTTTATAAAACTTTTCATAAATGGCATCATGGTGTTTGCAACTTTCTGAAAGATGTTTCTTCCCCTATCTTTCATTGTTATGGTTTTGAGAATAGCATCGTTTTATTTGGGCATATGGTGTCCCTGGCTGAACACTAGCAGTCCCCACTCCAGAATTTATAGGGATGTTGGAAGGAATGACACATAGGCACCAATAGATATAAAATAAGGTTTATTACTCACAGAATAAAGGGTAAAAAGATTCCTCAAGGAGAAGAGGTCAGGTTCAGACAGCGTTACTCTGTCTTAAACCACATTGTTCTAATTACTATATCTTTTGGATGCAAGATTCCTGATATCTTAAAGAATGAGTCCCCTATTCTTCTTCAGAATTATTTTGGCAATTCCTGGCCTTTTGCTCATTTATATGGATAACTTTAGGATAAACTCAGTAACTTTTATCAAAAAAGCCTGTTGGATTTTGGATGAACTAATGTCTTTGTTATTGAGACTTCCCATTCATGGGCATTTGTTTCTTTAATGTCTCTCAAAATTTTTATTTTTCTTTATAAAAGTCTTAAAGATTTATTTCTGGATACCTTATATGCATTATTGCTATAATACATATCTTCAAAAATTATATTTTGAACCATTTGTTGCTGGTTTTTAGGAATACATTTGATTTGCAGGACCATTATCTATTGATTCATTGAATATTTTATTATAGAAAAGCATATAAATAGAAAAGAATGACATTTTATGACTTTCCTTTTAATCCTTGTATTTCCTTATTTTCCTTGTGACTTATATCAGAAGGGCTTTTAATAAAAAGTAATTGGATGTTGTATAGAAAAGATATATATACGTAAAAAACCTGCACGTTGTGCACATGTACCCTAAAACTTAAAGCATAATAAAAAAGAAAGAAAGAAAGAAAAGAGATAGCAGGTATTTTCATCCTGTTCCTGTTTTGTATTTCCTCATTTTAGTGTATGGCTATATTAGTACCATGAGCCTCTCATTAATAGTACTACAAGAGGAAAGCTGTAACCTATAAAGAGATATCTGTGATTATATTTTAGTGGTAAGACCAGAAGCTGATTTAAGTAGCTATATTCAATAATTCATTACTAGAAGTAGACTTAAAAATACATTTTAGCTCACACCTGTAATCTGAGCACTTTGGGAGGTGGAGGTGGGTGGATCACTTGAGTTCATGAGTTCAAGACCAGCCTGGGCAACATGGTGAAACCCTGTCTCTACAAAAAACACAAAAATTTAGCTGGGCATAGTGGCTCATGCCTGTAATCCTAACTACTTAGAGGCTGAGGTGGGAGAATGGCTTGAGCCTGGGAGGCAGAGGTTGCAGTGAGCTGAGATTGCAACACTGCACTCCAGCCTGGGCAACAGAGTGAGACCCCACATAAACAAAACCAAACCAGACATTTCAGTATTTGCCCTCCCAAAAATTGAAATGTGCTATTTATCAAGATCCATTAGCTTAGGTGCCACACTTTAAGTCAGTTTTTCAGAAATAGTAATAAGTTTGCATTGACACAATTGGACTTTGCTGTTAACTGTTCCTCAGGGCCAGCGGCATGGTACTAAATATTAACTATGAACTGATAGTGTATTATTAATCTGTTTGGGCTGCCATAAAAAATATCATAAACTGGTGGTTTATACAGCAGAAATCCATTTTCTCACAGTTCCATATGCTAGATGTTTCAGATCAAAGCCTGGCAGGGTTGGTTTCTGGTAAGGCCTTTCTTTCTGGTTTGTGGATGGCTACCTTCCAGATGTGTTCTCACTTGGCACTTGGCAGAGGGAGATTGAGCAGCTCCCTGGTGTCTCTCTCTCTCTTTTTTTTTTTTTTTTTTTTTTTTTTTTTTGGCTTTTTAGAGATAGGGTCTAACTCTGTCACCCAGGCTGGAGTGCAGTGGTACAATCGTTGGTCACAGCATCATAGCAGCCTAGAACTCCTAGGCTCTACTACTTCCAGCTAATTTAATTTTTTGTACAGATGGGGTCTCGGTTTGTTGCCCAGGCTGGAGGTGTCTTTTCTTATAAGGCTGCTAATCCTACCCACAAGGGCCCCACCCTTATGATCTTGTTTGACACTAATTACTTCCTCACTCCAAAAACAGCCACACTGGAAGTTAGGACTTCAACATATGAATTTTGTGTGACACATCATGCAGTCCATAACAGATAGCTATTTAAATACCTCCACTTAGCTGATTTTCCAGGTTAACAGGTAATCTCCATTTTCCTTGTAAAAGACATATATACCTATGACTTGACAAATGCTTATGATTAGAAGGCTACTCACTAACAGGCCCCATGCTGCTATTCTCACAAGACAAGTATTAAGCTTGAGTCAGTCATGTTGATTACTACACTTGTTCATGGAAGTTGAACTTATTATTGTAATTATATAACTGAAATTAATTTAATGCAAACTAACAAATAAGAATGTGAAAAAAAGGAGTTGTTTTGATGAAAACTAAATTGAATCCTTTAGAAAGATTCAATAGAGTTTTAGGCTGGGCGCAGTGGCTCACGCCTGTAATCCCAGCAGTTTGGAAGGCCAAGACAAGCGGATCACCTGAGGTCAGGAGATTGAGACCAGCCTGGCCAACATGGTCAAACCCCATCTCTACTAAACATACAAAAATAGCCAGGCGTGGTGGCGGGCAGCTGTAATCCCAGCTACTCAGGAGGTTGAGGCAGGAGAATTGCTTGAACTAGGGAGGCAGAGGTTGCAGTGAGCCGAGACCGTGCCATTGTACTCCAGCCTGAGTGACAAGATCGAGACTCCATCTCAAAAAAAAAAAACAAAAACTACAACAACAAAAAGAAAGATTCAATAGTTGTCAAAATAGTTGACAAGGCAACTATAAAAGATTAGTGAACAGTAAGTACAAATCTAGGACTCTGCATAAAGATTATTTCATAAATATGTTTAGTTTTTATTCCACTTTAAAGAAACTGAAATGAGGCTGGGAGCAGTGACTCAGGCCAGTAATCACAGCACTTTGGGAGGCTGAGGAGGGTGGATCATTTGAGGTCAGGAGTTGGAGACCAGCCTGGCCAACATGGTGGAACCCTGACTCTACTTTAAAAAAAAAAAAATAGCTGGGCATGGTGGCACACACCTGTCATCCCAGTTACTCAGGAGGCTGAGACAGGAGAATTGCGGGCAGAGGTTGCAATGAGCATGCCACTGCACTACAGCCTAGGTGACAGAGCGACATTCCATCTCAAAAAAAAAAAAAAAAAATAGAAAAGAAACTGAAGTGATATAATAGCAAGTGCATTACAGACATCATTTGTGCAAAAATGTGATCATAGAAAAATCAGAAGATTCAAATAAAAGACTTTAACAAAGGCTGACAAATCATGTACATTTATGCACTTTATGTTACAGTAAAATGCTAAGGCATGTTTTTATCATTCGTAACTACTTTTATCAGTCCACTGCTTTCCTCGTCACCTCAAAAAAGGCTTCTCTTATACTGCTGACCAGGACCATATTGGGGCCATAATTAGTACACTATTGGTTGACTTAGAATAAGCCCCAGACAGAACTCATCCTGAACATTGTCTCTCCTATTTGCTTAGCTCAGTAACCAGTCACCAACATGTAGCAACAGAGGAAGCATGTGCAAACTATCAAAAGCCTATGCTTTTCATCCACGCCATTAATTTTTTTCATTTTTAATTTTTGTGGGTACATAGTAGGTGTCACGTCATTAATTTTTGAAGCTAGAAGATGATAGGGCTAGTGCACTGACGCAGTGCTACACAGAATCCCAGGACAAATACTCCAAGGAAAAATAATCTCCTCTAGGATACTGCTTTTTCCTTTAGCTGTGGTGATTAAAAGTACTTTCTATGTGACTTAATTTCTTAACATTTGCACCTGTACTGTGTGTCAAGTATCGCACAATGGTAAATTCTAGTAGCACTTTACAGGTGGACACTACTTTTCACCTAAGAAGTTCACATTTTCAGTAGAGGCTTTCCTTTTTCCTGATGGTACTACAGTGGGAGTAAACAGCAATTAACTCATGTTTTCATTTTCAAATGGGGACATCCCGCCCAAGAGGAGCCCGATGGTTAACTCTGATTCTCCAATGGGTCTACCAGTTCCAGCCTTACTTCATCTGCTCTGCTAGCCCCACACATTCGGAAAGTTCTCAGTGCAGTCAGGCTCAACAGCCCTGCTTATGACTCTCCACGTGTTTGCTGCCTGTTGCTTTCTCTTTTGAGGCAAGGTTAAACAGCTGTTGGAGAATTGCCATCTCTTCCAGTGTCCCTACTGCCATGCTATTCCAGCAAGATCTTCAGCTAGATCCAAATAGGACAGAGGTGGTGTGAGTGGAAAGAGAGCCACTCCAGCTAAACTCTGACAGGGAAATGATTGCCTTTAATTGCTAACTAACAAAGGACTTGTTGACTGTATTTTCAGACTACTTTGTGTTATTAGCATTGTAATGACAAATACATTTAATTAACTAAAAGCGCTCTTTGACTTTTAACCAGAAAGGGCAAGTTATATTTAACAGGGAGTGGTAATGAATTTACATTCATTAAGGTTAATCTCTGTAACTTGTTCCATTGGATTATCTAAATGAAAATGACTTAGGGTTACAGCAGCCTGAATTAGAGGGAAGGAAAGACAGCCCTGATAACTTTCTATTATAAATCAGTGTGAAAACAGGGATAGAATGAAAGATTCTTAGAGCTGAGAGAAACACTGGAGTCCATGTAGCCCAAATGCTTATTTTACAGATGAAGAAATTGTCAACATGTTTCTCACTAGGAACACCAGGGGCATTTGTCTGGGACAATTCTTTGCTCTATGGGGACTCACCCACACTTTGCAGAATATTTAGCAACCCTGACACCTGCCCACTAAGTGTTAGTAATCTCCACAGTCATTATGACAAAAATGCTCCCCCTCCCTACTTCCTAATGTTTCTGGGGCAGTTGTACCTTTCTCTCCCTATTGAAAACCTGTGAGCCAAAATGCTCATAAAAAACCAGAAAACATATACTACCACAATCGACCCATCGATACTTCTCAAACTTTAGTAAAGTGGGAATGAGCAACAATCAGGGATTTTGTTAAAAATGCATTATCTGATTCAAGATTCAGCAGGTTTGGGATGGAGCTGAGATTCTGCATTCTTTTATTTCATTTTTTAGAGCAGGGCCTCGCTCTCTTGCCCAGGCTGGAATACAGTGGTGCAATCATAGCTCACTGTAACATCGATTCTCTGGGCTCCAGGGATCCTCCCATCTCGGCCCCCTGAGTAGCTAGGGCTGGCTACAGGTGCATGCCATCACGCCCAATTAAAGATTCTGCATGTCTAACCAACTCGTAGGTGATGCTGAGACTGTTATTTCATGAATCCCACTTTGAGTAACAAGGGACCAGAGATTAAATTGAGAGGATGTCTGAACTGTCTTATTGTCTTTACCAGTTCATCTCCCATCCAGGGTTGTGGCTGAGGATACACCATAAAAGTTACTCTCTATGTATGGGCTTCTCAGGAGATCTGTTCTGGCTTTGCCTTGGGGACTCTGCCTAAATCTCCTTCTCCTGGGTGACCTGGTGGCAGACTCTGTCTTTGCCTCTGCACAGCAACCTTCAGACTGTTTGTTTGTATCCAGAGTCCAACTTTATGGAAGACCATCTCTCATGCCCTCAGACCATCCAGCTGCAGCTTCTGGAAGCCCAGCTCAAATCAAACCCAAAGCGCCTGCTTGCTAAGTGAGCTGGCAAAGGCAGATGGAGTTTGGGAGAGCCTGTGAGCTATTATTGTCTTGATGACAGAGGTAACCAGAGACTGTGTTTCCTGACTACCCAGCTCAGAGATTCTCTCCAGAGCCCCGTGCACTTATTTCTCTTCTATTTCTACCATTAAGTGAAATTCTGTGTCACTCAGTACATCTGTTTAACTTACCAGGAAACTGCCACCCACTCTGCTTCAGCAAGAAGGTTCTTTATGGATCAGCTTTCTGATTGATGCACAATGTAGAGAAGTCTTGCAGCACAAAATTAATGACGTACTGAGAAATGAGTTCCTGCAGACACTGTTGTCAAACTTGTTTTCCATTTTGCCATTCGGAAGTGGCTGGTGGGAAGATCTGGAGATGGGTCCATTTCCTGAAGTGATAAAACAATGAGATATAAAGGAATTCTATTACTGTGTATACACAATCTGCTCTAGATTCTCCACTATCTTTTCTCATCTCCTCCATCCTGTTTCAGCCAAGGAAACAAACCAGAAGGGCATTCATGTGGGTAGGTAGGCCCTGTATCAGGAAGGAAGTACTTCGTAACTCCATAATGTCTGTCTTAGCCTGGATTCCCCAGAAAGCAAAACCTGAGACAATGGTTTGTGTAGCTGGAGTTTATTTGAGAATGGGGTACCATCGAGCAACAGGGCAGGGCAGGGGGAGTCAAACAGAGAATGAAGGGAAGCAAACAAGGATATAGTATCACATTGGCCACAGCTACAGTTGACTGGTACTTGATTCTGCCTGGACTATCTGAGAAGCTTTATGTAGTGCATGTGAAGACTAACTAGAGAGTGAAAGGGGGAAGCATTTATCCGTCAGCTCCCATAGCCTATTAGTTAAGAGCAGGCCCACAGGTGTTGACCTCCCTGAACTTCCAGGTTGTGCAGGTATGAGTGCCCAGAGTTTCTGAAGGAACCCACTGCATCAGAGCCAGTCAAAACCTGTGAGGAAGTGCTAGAGCAAGAAGTGAAATTGAGTGGAATTTTAAGTGATGTATAAAAGGCAACAATCCTTAATACAATGGAGAATGTTTGGGACAGCTTTGGGAGTCCTGGGAGTTGAGACATCCCACCTGAAGTATCCTTTGTGTGACTAGCACAGGTTTTTGTCTGTATAGGAGCTGTGTTTTCTGAAAGACATACTTTGAACCAGCATTCTGGACCCCTGCTTTGTCATAGAAAGGGTTAAGGTGGGGAATCTGGAAACTGCTTTTAGGGAATCAGGAACTCAGTTTAGATCCTGTCCCAAATGTTGATTTCCCATACTCAACTTTGAGTATAGGAAGATTGGCTATAAAAATAGCTTTGGAAAATTGGATATCTACATGTAAAAGAATAAAGTTGGGCCCTTACCTTATACCACATATAGAAATTAACTCAAAATCAATCAAAGATCTAAACACAAGGGCTAAAACTGTTAAACTCTTAGAAAAAAAAAAGAGGAAAAGCTGCATGACACTGAATTTGGCAGTAATTTTTTTAGATATGTCATCAAAAACACAGGCAACAAAAGTAAAAATAGATAAATTGGACCACATCAAACTTTAAAACTGCTGTGTATCAAACAATACAATCCACAGTGTGAAAAGGCAATCCACAGTGTGAAAAGGCAACCCACAGAATAGGATAAAATATTTTCAAATCATATACCTGATAAAGGATTGGCATCCAGAATATATAAAGAACTCCTATAACTCAACAACAAAAAAATCAAACAACCCAATTAAAAACTGGGCAAACAGCCTGGGCAACATAGCGAGACCCCATCTCTACACAAATTAAAACAATTATCCAGAGGTGGTGGCACATGCCTGTAGTCCTAGCTTACTTGGGAGGCTGAGATGTGCAGCTCACTTAGTCTAGGCTAGAGTGAGCAATGATCATGTCACTGTACCCCAGCCTGGGTGACAGAGTAAGACCTTGTCTCTAAAAACAAACAAAACTGGGTAAAGAACTTGAACAGACATTCCTTCAAAGAAGGCATACAAATGGCTAACAAGCACATGAAAAGATGCTCAACATCACTAATCATTAGAAAAATGCCAATCAAAACCACAATGAGATACTAGGTCCCACCCATTAGGATGGCTACTGATTAGTTTTCTAGGGCCACCATAACAGAATACCACAGACTGGGTGGCTTAAACAACACAAACTTATTTTCTCACAGTTTTGGAAGCTGGAGGTCCAGGATCAAGGTGCCGGCAGGTTTGGTTTCTTCTGACGTCTCTGTCCTTCACTTTCAGATGGCTGTCTTCTTGCTGTGTCCTGGCATGGCCTGTTCTTTGTGTGTGCACATCCTTGCTTTCTCTCTGTATATTCTAATCTCCTCTTCTTGTAAGGTCATCAATCGGATTGGATTCTGGCCCACCCTAAATGCCTCATTTTAGCTCAATTACCCCCCGAAGGTCCTATCCCCAAATATGGTTACATTCAGAGGCACTGGGGATTGGGACTGCAACATAGAAATTTGGAAAGGACACAATTCTGACCATAAAAACTACTGTAAAAACAAAAAATAAGTGCTGGCAAGGATGTGAAAAAATTGGAATCCTTGCCTATTATTGATGGGAATGTAAAATGATGCAGCTGCTATGTAAAACAGTACAGCAGTTCTTCAAAAAATTAAAAACATAATAACCATATGATCCATCAGTTCCGCTTTTGTCCATATACCCAAAAGAACTGAAAACAATCCTCAGAGATAACTGTGCACCCAAGTTCACAGCAATATTATTCACAATAGCCAAAAGAAGGAAGCAACCCAAGTGTCCGCCGATGGGTGAATGGATAAACAAAATGTGGCAAGTCAGCTTTTTAAAAAGGAAGAAAATTCTGACATGTGCTATAATGTGGATAACCTTGAGGACTTTATGCTGACTGAAATAAGCCAGGCATAAAACGACAAATATTCCATGATTCCATTTATATGAGGTACTTAGAGTAGTGGAATTTATAGAGACACAAAGTAGAATAAAGGTTTCAAAGGACTGCGGTGCAGGGATGAGGATGATAGGGAGTTGTTTAATGTGTATAGGAGTTTCAGTTTTCCAAGATGAAAAGAGTTCTGGAGATTGGCTACACAACAGTGTAAATGGACTTAACACTACTCAACTATATACTTAAAAATGGTTAAAGTGATAAATTTCATGTATATGTTACCAGAATTCAAAACAAAACAAAAAGAGCTTTGGGGGTGATAGAGGGAGGCCAACAAAATATGGGTGGGGAAATAGACAAAATGGATAAAAATTGAGAATAAGCAAGTGCAAAATTTAAACCCTTATAAAATGGTTTCATGTTACTAAACAGGAAAGTTTTACTCCACTAAGTTTTGCTGATACAGACATATCTGTTATGTGTTCCTTTTTTGGTTTCCCAGAAATCTGCTCCAGGGGCAGGAATAAACCTTGTAAATCTTGATCTATTCCCCAGCTGTACCCATGAGGCCATGCTGTATAATGCTTAGAAAGAGACAATGCATTTCAAGAGCAGTGACAAAACATCCCTGGGGCATAGTGGCTCCCTAGCTACTGCAGGACATTGCAGGATTCTCATTGGGAACCACTGGTATAAGATCCTAATAAGCTTTTTCCAGCTGTACTTAAATTGCTAATGAGAGCAGCATAATTATGTCAGCTTGCAAGCTACTCATGCAATTTGAGAAATCTGGAAAGATGGTGGCAGTTGTCGATGCACAAAGTAATACCTTTAATGCTAGAATTACGTTGTCTAACATGCAATCATCTTCGACATCACCAGAAACCAAGTCATTGCTGGCGTAACATAACAGAAAAGTGAGAAATACAAAATCCTTACAAAATTGTTTTATTTTCTGAATAGGTTGATATTTCATTTGGATTTTACTGATGTTTATGCCATCTGCCATTTTCTCACATTTTAAAAACATCCGTAATGTTCTCCACATTTTCTATCTTATTTTATAAATAAGATAGTATGCAATCATTCTAATTACATAATATTTACTTTTAAACTAATTAATTACATTTTATAAGTAGATGCTATCAGTAATGATTTCTTACTGACAATAATTATTATCTTTATAAAAATCACAATAATTGTTAGCATTTATGAAGAGTCTAAAAGAGGTGACAAAGCTCAAATTCCTACTACATCCTCAGAGTTGTTGCTATAGTATGTTGTTTTTCTTAGAATGTTATTCCCATTGTTTTAAAAGTTCTTTATCATTATACCAACAAGAGAAATATAATCCCATTTAGCAGAAATTAGATAATTCTAGATAAAATTTTTTATATAAAACACAAAACCTAGTTTTAGGCACTTGTCTTTAAAAGAGACAAATATATTTGGGCATGTAGAGATAGTAGCAACTACTTTGGAAAAATCTAGAAAACTTTTGTGTGATACATGATTAACAAGCCTAAGAATACTAACTTAGAGGAATTTTCAGACACAGTGTATCCTTGTTAAAATATTTGAAGGGTTATCAGGTAAAAGATAAATTATATTTCTATGGCACCAACAGGTAGAAATATGACCACGAGATAGAAATTAGAGTGGAGGCACATTTGCTAATATAAAGTCAGTAGTTCCTATGGCTAGGTAGAAATTTTAAAATTACATATTAAGGTCTGCAAAATGTAATTTTATTTCTTATAAGTCTATCAGATTTTATCTCAAGTGCCCAATTGTAGGAAAAAAGCTATTCGGTGTAAACTAGGTCAGTTCAAGATTCTCCCCCTCCACATTCTCCCAGGTTTGATTCTGAAAACAATAACTGTGCCCTGTGTTACAGAAGGAATCTTAAGGTGGCCCCTATAATCCCTGCCTCCTGATATTCATGCCTTCTGTGGTCGCTTCCCATTGAGTGTGGGCAGAACCTATGACTTGCTTTGAACCAATAGGTTATGGCAAAAGTGATGGGATTTTAATGATTCCATGTATTCAATTGTATGTGTGTGATTATGTTACATAAGACTGTGGTGCCGACTTCTTCCTCTCTTGTTGGTTTGAGGAAGCAAGCAGCCATGTTGGGGAACTGCACATGGTGAGTGGGCAGCCCTCTGGCTGAGGATGGCTTCCAGCCAACAGTCAGCCAGCAAAAGAGGCTACTACCACAAAAGAGAAGTTCTACAGCTGCAAAAGAAATAAAATTTACCAACAACCTGAGTGAACTTGGAAGTGGGTCCTCCCCAAGTCAGGCTTCAGATGAGATCATAGCCTCAGCAGTCTTTTTGTTTTGTTTTTGAGATAAGGTCTTGCTCTGTCACCAAGGCTAGAGTGCAGTGGCACAATCACGGCTCACTTGCAGCCTCAATGTCCTGGACTCAAGTGATCTTCCCACCTTAGCCTCCCGAGTAGCTGGGACTACATGTGCAAACCACCATGCATGACTGATTTTTAAAATTGTTTTGTAGAGACGAGGTCTTGCTATGTTGCCATGGCTGATCTTCAACTCCTGGCCTCAAGTGATCCTCCCACCTCAGCCTCCCAAAGTGCTGGGACTATAGGCACAGCCACTATGCCTGGCCTGGCTGCAGTCTTATAAGACTCTAAGCAGAGGTACTTAGCTAAGCCTACCTGGCATTCCCTACCCATAGAAACTATGAGATTAATAAATGTGTGTTATTTTAAATGGCAAAGTTTGTAATAATATTATTATGCAGAAGTTGTTAACTAATTCACCTTGACATCAGTGGAAAGGGAGCACATAATCCTTGGTCCTCATCTGTCTTATTCCTTCCTTTGTTCCTCCATTCTTTAAACAAGTATTTATTGAGTGCCTATATGTCAGACATACATCACAGAACAAAGTTGGCAAAAATCCTTGCCCTCCTAAGGCTTTCCACTCTTGTTATATGGTGTTGAGGTCTTCAGTTTTCAGGCCAATCCAGTCCTCAAGGATAGTCAGCCTTCCACACTGTCATCGCTGAGGTTTCCACACCAAACCCTTATATCCCAGCCTGAGGATCCCTCAGGTCCTCATGCTGTCAGGGTTGTACCTGGACTATTCTCAGCCAAAGAAGATATCTGGCAATTCCCAGAGCTCCTTGGGCTGTGTAAAACTCTGGAACTGCCTAAGATCTTTGGCCTAACAGTTTGCCCTTTCACAGTCTCTGCTTCATGTTTCCCAGAGTATAACAGCCTGGGAAATGCTTCAGAGAATCTGTTGACTCTCAAGGCTGTGGGAAAACAGCGCAGTGCAATGCCCACAAATTTATCCATCTAATGCCTCCACTATCTTCCTGCGAATTAGATGAAGCCTCACCTCTGAGTCAATGCGGTTATATACAGTATGGCTTGGTGCTTTTGTGGGAAGAAAAAGGGTCTCCTTCCCCCAGCCCAGCAACAGAGTATGGGACTTAGTTAAGGAGGCACAAGTGAGACTCCACCTCTCACTTCCTTCTTGGGCGGGTACATCTGCATGTATGCAAACCATATATGATATATGATGGCTCCTCCTGAGTTCCTCCTACAGCTCCTGAGTTCCTGCTTCAGCCTCTCGAGTAGCTGGGATTACGGGCACGTGCCATTACACCCGGCTAATTTTTGTGTTTTTACTACAGATGGGGTTTCACCATGTTGGGTAAGGGGTAGGGAGCACCAAGGTGAATAGTGTCTGGAGAACAGTTAAAGTCTCACATTCTTTCTTCTCTAATTCCTCCTCAGCTCAGAGGAGGAGAGTAATTTATCCCTTTTATTTGGAATTGCACCAATTTTTTGGCTCTTAGGGCCAATGGATTACTTCAGAATCTTCATGTAGTCAGAGAATGGGAGGAACCAGGGTAGGGAGGAATTGGGTCATTAATTCATCCAGATCCTTCTTGAAGAATTTGACAACCTGAAGTCTTGTGTCACTTGAAGTCACCCTTTTAAAGCACTGGAAGCTTTAGACTGCAATTCTAATGGCCCAAATGGGTGAGAGTCATGGAGTGAGAGGTACAAGGGAGAACTCATCACAGGGTGGCAATAATGTTGTATCTCACTACCATTTATTGATGCCCAGTATTGCCAAATGTTGTTCTAAGCACTTCACATTTAGTACTTACAAAAAGCCCTATAAGGTAAATATTCAGCCACATTTCATAGATGATGAAAGTGTGGCTTACAAGATTAATGTCTCCAATATCACAGCCTTAAAGAAGTAGAAATGAGATCTGAAGCTATAACTACCTAATCCAAAGCTTGTGAGTTAATATTTTTAGCTCTGTTATGTGCCAACCACTGCTGAATATACCAGAACTACATCAGTATTAAAACTACTCTACTACCTTAGAACAGAATATGTCAGAGAGGTAAAAATTCTTGATCACTGGAAGCATTTAGGCAAGACTAGAAGACTGCTTGATTGAATAGTTTCTATTAGACAGTAATGTATGGCATTCATTAAAAAAATAGAAAATTAAAGCTTGAAATAATCATTTAACATAATGATTGGGCTGTGTAAAACTCAGCCCAAGATTCAGAAGTATAATTTTCCTTGGTAATTCTACAAACTCATTATTAAACTTTGGGTGCCCAGTAATAGTTATGAAATGACAATAATGTTAAGACTTCATTATTATTAATAATGCTCAGACTGGGGGTGTGGTTGCACTGTGGCTAAGCACAGAGCCAATGAAAAACATACTTTTCCAAATGAACACCTCTAATATCTGAATAGTGTTGACCAAATTCTAGAATTGTTTGACCTGCTGCAGGATAATATACAATCTCATAAAAAGGACAATTTATTTGATGCTTGAGAAATAGAGATTAGGCATAAGTACACTATGGTCAGATTGCCTGCTGGTTGCTACAGGGCCAGTGTGACACTCTTTGGGGATGTGCCATGAAAGACTTGCTGCAATTATCCGGTAATCATACATGACACAATGTGCCATAGCCTCAGATGGGCCATGGAAGCAGTTCTGTTTAAAGCTCTTCTGCTCCAACCTCTTGTATCCAGAAGTGAGTGACAGCTAAGCGTCACTGAATTTATTACAGTTGTTGAGCAAAAAGGTAGGAATGCACCAGGAGATAATGACTGATACTTCCGCCCTCTGCCTTTTTACTACACAGTGAGTGTACTGTTCTTATGAGCAGGTAGAGCCTGTTGACTTGAGAAACTGATATGTATTTTGAGGATTACAACACTATAAAACTTAATGGCAAGGCCTTTCTCTCACTCTCTTCCCCCTTGATATTTCCGAGTATGCCTAAGGGCACATTTAACATATAGCATATAAAATGCCTATGTGCAATAATAACTACCATAAAATGTAATAAATAACACAGACAAACTACATTTGCCTCCTCTGCCCATTTGGCTAGAATGTTTCTGTTTTGTGTTTCCCAAACGCTAAAGCTGGTGTGTTTAAGAAGTGTCCATATGTTGATGACTCCCAAATAGACATCTTGAGCTTTTACCATTCCTGAATTCTATATTCATATATGCAGTGCCTGATTGGCATTTCCTTTTACACTTAAGTCTTTTCCACCTCTCCAAACCCATTTTCCTCCAGTATTTCCCTCAAGTCAATACATCTAGCTTGATTCTCCTTTTCATTTACTTAATCCACTCACAAGTCAGTTACGCTTTCAAATATAACTTGAATTCATTCATATCTCTCCATCTTTACTACTACCACTTGAGAACAAGCCATCATCACAATTCCTCCAGAATTTTTGAATACCCTCAAAACTACTCTCCTACTTCCAATCTGGCCCCTTATCAATCTTTTTTCACAGAAAACCAAAATGATTTTTGAAAAGATTTATCTATAAGTCTGATGTTCTCACTCCTCTGCTTAACAACCTTCACGAGTTTCCATTGCAGCTAGAATAAAGTACAAACTCCTCACAACTGCCTATAAGGCCCTGTATTACCAGGCTTTCCTCTCTGGCCACATTTCAGACCACTCCCTGCTTATTCATTATGCTTCAGCTGTTCCTTTCTGTTCTGTAAACTCATCAAAACTATTTCCACATCGAGGCATTTGCACATGTTCCCTTGGCCTGAATGCTCTTCCCCCAGATCTTTGTTATGCCCATAGGATCATTCAAATGCCTGCTCAGAGAGGTTCTCTGACCTCTGCATCTAAAGCAGATCCCTCCCACTCCATCACTCTATCACATCACAATTATTATAAAATAATCCTGTTTGGATTATTATTATTATTATTATTTTAGAGATGGAGCCTTGCTCTATTGCCCAGGCTGGAACGCTGTGGCACAATCTCAGTTCATGTAACCTCTGCCTCCTGGGTTCAAGCAATTCACCTGCCTCAGCCTCCCGAGTAGTTGGGATTATAGGTGTGCGCCATTACACCTGGCTAATTTTTGTATTTTTAGTAGAGACAGGTTTTCACCATGTTGGCCAGGCAGGTCTCAAACTCCTGACCTCAGGTGATCTGCCCGCCTTGGCCTCCCAAACTGCTGGGATTACAGGTGTGAGCCACTACACCCGGCCCTGTTTGGATTATTTTATAGTAATTTTATATAAAATTTTCTATCTGAAGTGGTCTTATGTATTTACCTATTGTCTGTCTCCCACCATTAGAATGTGAGCCTCCTCAAGACAGACATCTGTTGGTCTTGTTTACTGCTGTGGCCCCAATGCCTAGAAAAGTTCCTAATTTATAGTAGGTACTTAATAAATATCTGTTCAATGATTTGGGTTTTTCCCTCAAGAAAAAAGCATGTTTCAAGGTAAGATATCTAAGAAGGGTACAGAGTCCACTTGCTTACTTATAATGAAAGATGCAAACCAAAGACAGAGATATCAGAAGGCTCATCATTAGCTTTTCTAAAACATTCTATTCTCACCCCACTAATATGAATTAAATTTCTGCCTCTTGGACATTGATGTTAATAGACATCTCAAGTTCATCTAGTCTGACCCACGCTTTTCACAAAATATTTAAAATATAGTGAAAACTTAACAGCTTTAAGAACACTAGTGTGATGGGAGGAAATTTATATTGATTCCTACAGTCGTTGACAAAGACTCTTCTTGACCAAACTTTGGTTAGGCTCCTCTAAGCCCTTTTCTTGACTAGGCCTCAATCCTGGCCTATAAGAGCAGCGACTGAAAGCACAAACTATTTCTCCCAACTCCTCCTGCCCTCCCAACTAAGAGACATGGGCAAACACTAGTATAGTTTCTGTAAGCTCGAGGCTGTGTTCCCAGGATGACAAACCCAGATCCCTTAAAATGCCTGCCTGAGAAAGCTCAACACTGCCAAAAGAATTTACTGTTCATTCCAGCCCAAAACCTGAGTATAGGCCCCTGATCTCTCTTTTCTTAGAGCATTTACTTTAGAAAACTTGCTATTGTAAATCTTTTCTCTCTTTGAGGTGTATCCTCTACATTCCAGGAATGTCTTTCTCAAGGACCTGGGAGCCATCCCTTTGAAGTGTAATCACCAAGAAAGATAAGGCCCTGTTGTGCAGTCTCCCTGGGAGTGTAGGTGCCTAACTTTGATAAGTTCCAATTGACAGACAAAGACAGACTAATAATCATTTTGAGCCAACCCCCACTAATGTCCTGTCCTTCAGTACTTTTTCTTTAGTACACCCAGATGTTTAAAAAGCCTCCCACCTTTTATTTCTGCAAAATTGGGTTTAGTTCTGTACTGAAGTATTTCTCTTCTATTGCAGTAGCTCAAACAAATTCTGTCTTGTCATTTTCAACAAATGTCCAGTGAATAATTTCTCTTTAACACCATGAGCTAGGTAGCTATTATATGTGGCATGTTTGGCTCTATCTTAGGGTGAATGAATTTTCATAGATTGTGTACTACATTTAGCCAGAATTTGAGATTCCTCAACATGATGATATTTTCCAGGAATGGTTCTTCACACTGTCTTCACTTTGATGGGAGATGAACTCAAGAAAGGTCCTAGGGATGGATCTCTGGCTAAAACAAACAAACAAAAATAATAGAGCTATATCCTGAAGCAATACCCAAACATCTACATCTCCAAGCCCCTCTTGATAATCTAAATTTAGGCCACCTGGAGTTTTGTTTTGTTTTTTTAATTGTCCCAATTGGATTTTGCAGTCTCAGTGACTGTAGGACCTCCAAGTGTCATGGATAGTTGGGTATAGAACCTGGGACTCAAGAGAGACATCTGGGCTTAAAGACACCTGGGCTTGGGGACACAGATTTGAAATAATTAACATTCAGGTGAAAACTGAGTTGGTAAAATTACCCAGCAAGAATGGGTTAACTATGAGAGGAAAAGAGGATCAAGGACAAATCCTCCTAGGAAATGCCAGTGTTTTCAGAAATGGTGGTGGACTGTGCTTCCCAACTGTTTACATGTCATAGCAGACATGGAAAATAGCATTTGTATGACACACTGGGTAAACTGTGAGACATCTAGGAGTATTTATATAAGGCTGCATGACATTTTTCTTTACTTTCTGTGTTAGTTTCCTAGGGCTACTACAACAAAGTACCACAAACTGGATGGCTTGAAACAACAAATATTTATCATCTTACGTTTATGGAGACTAAAAGTCCAAAATCAAGATGTCAGCAGAGCCATGTTCCTTCTGAAGCCTGTATGGCAATCCTTCCTTGCCTCTTCCTTGCTTCTGGTGATTTGCCATCAATCTTTGGTGTTCCTCGACTTGCAGCAATTCAGTATCTGCCTTCATCTTAACATGGTGTTCTCCTTGTGTGTCTCTCTGTCTTCACATGGCTATCTTCTTATAAGAACACATATTGGATTAGAGGTCCACTCCACATTAGTATGACTTCATCTTAACTAATTACATCTGTAATGACCCTGTATTAGGCTGTTTTTACATTGCTATATAGGAATACCTGAGGCTGGGTAATTTGTAAAGAAAAGAGGTTTATTTAGCTCACAGTTCTGCAAGCTATGTAAGAAGTGTGGCACGGGCATCTGCTTCTTGTGAGGACCTCAAGAAGTTCACAATGACTGGGGAAGGCAAAAGGGAGCAGGAAGTGTCACATGGCAAGAGAAGGAGTGAGGAGGGAGAGGTGCCACATTCTTTTAAACAACCAGATCCTGCATGTATAGAACAAGAACTCACTCATTATTTCGAGGATGGCACCAAGTCATTCATGAGGGATCTGTCCCCTTGAGACAAACACTTCCCACCAGGCCCCACCTCTAACACTGAGGATCATATTTCAACATGAGATTTGGATGGGACAAACATACAAACCATATCAGAACCTATTTTGAAATGAGGTCTTATTTTGAGGTACTGGGAGTTAGGATTTTAACCCATCTTTTTTGGGTAGGGACACAATTCTTAATACTTTCTTTATATTCTATAACTATAATAAGAAAAATTTTAAAAAGTAGTAGGGGTGCTAAATATTGAATTGATATAATATTTAACCTAACTTTTTAATATCAGATTTTATGTTTGAAATTGGTATACTTTCTTTCTAATTATATGTGATCATTACCATTGGTGGGAAATGTTCATATGAGTAGGTAGTTTAAAAAGTGAGAATATTTTTTATAACTACTTAACAATTTATGACAGTTGGAATTATATCTAAAGAATCTATCATCCCTTTTTTTCAGTGACAAATGTAATAGTAAATTTCTTGCAAAGATGATGATTTTGAATACAATCAAATTTTCTCTTGATGAACAAACACATTATTAGGATAGTCATACTATAGCTAGAAAGAACACTACTAAAATTGTAGTCAGCACAAATTTTATATATTTCTTTATTTCTAAACATTGTGCCATAAGAAATAAACACTAATATATTTGAAGACAGAATTTTATCCTGCTTGCAGCTCCAATAGGAAAGAACCCCTACCTGGCTTCCCCTGCACAGGCAGTTGTATCTTGAGCTGTGCACTCTCCTCTTTGGGCTACCAAAGTTGATGTCCAACTTGGCCTCTCCCAGATCTACTCAATAGAACAGTGAGTGCCATATGATGCTGGGACGGAGGGAGGCACACTTTCAGATCCACTTTTCTTGGATGACCATCACAGGAACACAAAATAAAAATGCTTCTAATGATAGCAATCAGCTATAAGGTTCTGTACTTCCAGGTCCCACATGGGTGAAACAATATCTCTTTGTTTCCTGTTTGTTGGGAAGCTCTGAGATAGAGGAAGTGGAGTCCTTAAAAGAGAAACAGATTAAGCAAGAGAAAAAAAAAAATAAATGAGTGTAGTGTCCCAGAAACTAAGCAAGGGTGTGGTCCACAAAGTCAAGTGCTGATGATAGTCTGGGTAGATAAGGACTGAAAGGGTCCCACAAAGAGGTTACTGGAGACCTTGTTGAGAGTAGTTTTAGTCAAGTGGTAGGAGCCCAAGCACAAGTTTCCATGGGTTGGAACTGGAAATCAGAATGGCAGTGAGAAGTGGGGACAGTGGAGGCAAACAACTGTTCTGTAAGCTTGGATTGCTACTCCGTGTCTCTAAGTTTCCTAGTTTTTTGTTTTGTTTTCTTTTGGTAAAATAGGGCATATATGAACACCAACCTCATAGGATTTTTGGGAGGATTAAAAGAATTAACATGAAAGCTTTCTGAAAATTATAAATCACCAGAAATGTATAAATACAGCCAATTATTATCAGGGATTTTAATGAAAATTTGTGATTCTTCTTGTACCATCCCCTCTCCCCAAAGAACCATCTCTTTTAAGTCTGGTTAAAAAAAAAAAAAAAAGTAGTTAAACCAGGAAATAGAGCTAAACGGTGGCCAAAATTTTTGATCCTCTTTTGTGCTCAGATGATAATGGAAGTAAATCCCCCGGGATGCCACTAAGAAAGAGAAGAAAATCACCCTGAAGAGCTGTCTCTCTACAAACTGTTGGATTTACTCTCTGTGAAGAACGTATGTTTTATTAACAGTGATTTAACTTTGGGAAAATTCTGAGAAAAAGCTGAAAGACACTATGATTAATTCCTTGAATTTGCAGAGAATATAAATTCTAGGAAGACCTGAGAGTATAGATTTGGAATGTGTGTGGCCTTGGCTGGGCCTGAGAATCATAATGGAAATAGATTGCTATTATAGAAAGACCCATCAGTGAACCTAGCTGGGGTCTTCTGCTATATTCAGCTAGAGGAAGGCCATGTTCCAGAAGAAAGTATTCCTAGACCAAAAAACTTGGCTACCTTTTCCATAATGCATTCACAGCAGAACAGCTAAACCGGGTGATAAATATGTGTGATGCTGAAGTGGTGTCAGGTATAGCTTATGTAATTGCAACTCTACATCCTTAAATCCTGGAATTAGATTTATTTCTGTAATCAAATCATTTCACTTTGCCACATTATTACCTGTATATGATTACTTATGTAGATCATTCAGCTTAAGAAAACATTAAAACTATTTTCAGTATGAATTAAGACTTACACTTTTTTTTTGAGATGGGGTTTAACTCTGTTACCCAGGTTACATTTGATCTCCTAGGCTCAAGTGATCCTCCCACCTCATCCTCCCAAGTAGCTGTGACTACTGCACTCCAGCATGTGCCACTGCACTCGGCTTACACTATTTTGAATTACTATTTTCATTTTCTGAAAACTGGTGTTAAAGCAAAAATTGTACCAGGTGGCTGGGCATGGTGGCTCACGCCTGTAATCCCAGCACTTTGGGAGGCCGAGGCGGGCGGATCACGAGGTCAGGAGATCAAGACCATCCTGACTAACACGGTGAAACCCCGTGTCTACTAAAAATACAAAAAATTAGCCGGGCGTGCTGGCGGGCACCTGTAGTCCCAGCTACACGGGAGGCTGAGGTAGGAGAATGGCGTGAACCTGGGAGGCAGATCTTGCAGTGAGCCGAGATCTGTTGCCCAACCTGGGCAACAGAGCGAGACTCCGTCTCAAAAAACAAACAACAAAACAAAACAAAACAAACAAACAAACAAACAAAAAACAATTGTACCAGGCAAAGTAAAATAGGCCAGGATGACATTACTCTATTCAAGGCTATTGCAGTAGGGGAGAGAGGCCAGAACAAACTCTGAACTTGACTCCACTGAGGCAGAGGGGGTAGGGTTTTTTAAGGGCTCGGTTGAACTGGTGGACAGTACTGGAGGACATTAGGGGAAAGTCTTAGGCCATCTGTGTTTGCTAATTGGCTTTATCCAAAGTAAAAATAAACTTCTCATATGTTTATGTTAGAAGGTAGTTTTGCAACTTGGAGCAGATGCCCACTAAAGTTAGGCTCCTACTATCCCACAGGAACTAGGAGATAGGAGTACTATATCCTTTGATAACTATATTTCAAAGAAATTGCTCTCAGGTCCTTGAGACAAGATATTCCTGGGTTGTAAAAGTGGCAAGAACTGCTCACTAGTAAAACTACTCACTAGCCACATGTGGCTATTGAGCACTTGAAATGTGGCAAGTGAGACTGTGAAACTGAATTTTTCATTTTTATTGATTGAAATTTAAATAGCCACGTGACTGGTGCCTGCCACACTGGACAATGTAGGCTCAAATTACCTCATCATCATTTGATCTGCAGAAAAACTGCTGCTATTAAATGTAATGTCTATAATCTGGATCATTCTCCAAAGAGAAATTATCACTGGCGATTAGAGACGCTTGTACTCACTTTGGATGGTGGCAGTGAGAATTAAGTTAGATAATGTATATGAAAGTGCCTAGTAAAATGCCTAGTATAAAACAGGCACCAATGATTTTAGTTTAGTTTTCAGTCTCCTTCAGGGGACACAAAATGAATTGTGGAAGAGTGTTCAAAGTCAAGAACATGACAAATAATTGCTGGTATGGGTGTTGCAGGGGCAGAAGTGTTAATATTCCTCATGGTTACATGGTTACAAGATACTCTGGCTGTTTTGTAATCTACATGAAGTTATTTAATCTTGGAAATAAGCACCTTCTTTATGCTTACTCAAATAAAAATGCCAAATTGTAAAACCATAAACATTTGGGTTACTCTCAATACATTTAATAATAATCTATTATTGCATGATGTTATTGATGCATTCTTTTCCTTAGAGGAGTTAAAATAAAAACCTTTATAAAGACTAAGTCAGAACATCTTCTAAAGATTCTTGTGATGTAAAGGCATGATTTTATATATTACATGTGTTCAAAAGAAATTATATCTTCTTCTGACAGTGAATTATATATTTAAAAATGTGGGATATACAGAAGAGAAAAGGAAAAGTAACATATATAATGAAGGAAAGAACAATTTTGGCAAATGTGTTTCAGCAGAATATGAGGATGTTGGCATACTACAATTGGCCTTAGTCTGAAAATAAGCTACTGTAGCTCCAGCCATCAGAAATTCCACATTTTTTAGCTGTGGGTATACAGCTGTGGGCTGGTTTCTCCCAGACACTATATTCTCTCCTATGTCTGACTTGTCTTTTTCTCCACTGTTGGTCACCATCATCTATTTTCAGTTGTTTTCAAAAGTTTTAATTTTCTCCTGGGAATTGCATAGTGATAAGTTTCTCCAAGAGATGCTTAAATTTTTATAACATGATGAGGATGTTTATATGAAAGAATCATTTTGAATGAATTATACTTACTCTCTGATAAGGAGTTTGGGGTGCTGCATTCAACCAAAGGCAGAATAATGGAACTCCTGGTCCTGGATCCCACCATGCTGACACATAAGAATAAATAGATTTTAGTAGTTTATTTCATAATTGGCCTATAATAGGGAGGTATTACATACTGACTTTTTATTCTGAATCTTATGCCAAGGAGATAGGACCCATTACATAATAGCTAGAAAGGTTTTTTTGTTTTGTTTTGTTTCGTTGTTGTTGAAGCAAAATTAAGCAAATTGATTTAAAATTGTTGAGGTTTACACAATGAAGAAGTCATAAGATTATAATTTACTAACAAAGACCATTAAAGCAAATTCCAATAGTCCATTTAAGATACTTATTTTACAAAATTTCAACTCATACTTCTAAGGAACATGTCTATAGTGTAAAATAAGACAAAACTACATAACTGTGTTTCCTTTTGCCAACTATTGAATATATAACAAATAGTAAAGAAGAAAACTGACATTTGCCAGACAATTTCTGTATGCTGGATGAGCACCCAGAAAAGACCCTTTTCCTCCAGTTTTGTAAATACGTTTTTAGTTATCATCTACCTTGCCCTGAATTCACTTGACTTTTTCACTTTCAGTGATTTTATGATTCCTTTGGTTACCACAAGTCACTTTCATGTTGTAATGATTGATTAAACATGCTAATTTTTAATATTCTACAGATACAGTATGTTACTTTTACTCTTAATTTTTATGTGAATCTTAAAGCATATTAATTTCATATGAATAGCTGACAAACATCATAGACTTTTAAGACTATTATGTAGGAATATTCTTATTTATAAGCATTAAAGAGCTAAACCAGGCCAGACACGGTGGCTCGCACTTGTAATCTCAGCACTTTGGAAGGCAGAGGTGGGAGGACTATTTGAGCCTAGGAGATGGAGACTAGCCTGGGCAACATAGTGAGACCCTGGCTCTACGAAACAAAAACAAAAATTAGCCTGGCATGGTACACCTGTAGTACCAGCTACTTGTGAGGCTGGGATGGGAGGATAGCTTGAGCCCAGGAGGTTGAGGCTACAGTAAGCTGATATCACCACAGCACTCCAGCTTGGGTGACAAGAGTGAGGCATTGTCTGGGGGGAAAAAGCTAAACCAAAAATAATTAGCAAAATTGGGAAGTTGGAACATGCTTAAAATTTTGGAAATGCTCTCTCACAAAGTTAGTCCCTTATGATCATCTAGAAGCCATGGTTTATTATTTTATCTATATATCATAAAACAATCTTTTTGCAGAATATTTTTTGTTCACAAGTCCAAATGTAATGACTTTCAGATACCCGAGGTGAGCATTTCTAATTAAGGAATTGTGTTGATTTACACTGGCCCCTCACCAAAAAAATTCAGTATTTGATGAAAAAAAAATCGGCCAGACATCATGGCCCACGCTTGTAATCCCAGTGCTTTGGAAGGCAGAGGTAGGTGGACTGTTTGAGCTCAGGAGTTCAGGACCAGCCTGGGCAACATGGGGAAACTCCATCTCTACAAAAAATACAAAAATTAGCTGGGTGTGGTGGTGCACACCTGTAGTCCCAGCTACTCCAGAGGCTGAGGTGAGAGGATGGCTGCAGCACAGGAGGTGGAGGTTGCAGTGAGCCAAGAGGGCACCACTGTACTCCAACCTGGGTGACAGAGTGAGACCATGTCTCAGAAACAAAACAAAGCAAAACAACCCAACCCCCCACCATGTTTTTGAATATATTCAAGGTATAATGTAATAAATAGCTTGAATACAACACAGTTTCATTTTCAAGAGATTTGTATCAGCTAATCCTATAAACACTAATACTGACATAGGTAGACTAATTCCTTTGAAGAATGACTCTTGGGACATTGCCAGTATCTGCATCTATTTTTTATTCTTTGATTCCTATAAGAGTTCATTATGTGGCCAAGTGAAGTGGCTCACGCCTGTAATCCCAGCACTTTGGGGCGCCGAGATGGGAGATCACGAGGTCAGGAGATTGAGACCATCCTGGCTAACACGGTGAAACCTCGTCTCTACTAAAAATACAAAAAATTAGTCAGGCATGGTGGCGGGCGCCTGTAGTCCCAGCTACTTGGGAGGCTGAGGCAGGAGAATTGCTTGAACCTGGAAGGTGGAGCTTGCAGTGAGCTGAGATTGCACCACTGCACTCCAGCCTGGGCGACAGAGTGAGACTCTGTCTCAAAAAAAAAAAAAGACTTCATTATGTGAGCTTTGCTTAGACACCCAGAACAATTATGAAATTATTGTACAATTTGCTTACTTCATTGAAAACTTTCCATTTTATCGTTTCAAAGTTTTGGTTTTCATTTTTTATTTGTGGACTGTAGGAGCTATTGTATTTGAAATGCAAGTATATTTCTGAGCCCACTTTCAGTCCACCATCCAGCTAGGATTAAGGGATAACATTTTGGCAATTGTGTAAGTTCACATTCTTGGGTTCCAAGCAACAATTTCAAAAAAGGTTTCTTTTCTTCTTTGTTATTTCCAACATAAAGAAATCCTGTCATAGAATTTCTATCATGAATGGACAGCTTCTATCACAGAATCACAGAATCTTAGAATTGGATCTAGTCCACCATCCCACTCAATTCAAGAATCCATTAGTTAGCATAGTTTAGTATCCCAATGAATGATCATCTAGTCTTTGCCTAAAGTCCACCAGTGATGGGAAAATTCATCATCATAAACCCCTATTCTATTTATGGTATAGTAGAAAGCCCAGTGGTTTTGGAAACAGACAAGATGGATTACAATTTTCAGTTCCAACGACATGAGCTAGGGCAAAGTTACTTACTGTCTCTGAGCCGTGTCTTCCATGCCTATGTCTAGCATATAAGTGCTCAAAAAGTGGCTGATGACAAACTGTATGAAGATAAAACTAGTTAACATAAAACATCCTCAGTGGTTGAAAGCTCTTGCCCCTTCCCCACAGAAAGAAAATTCTTTCTCTATTAAGCCAAAATCTGCTTTCCCATAAATTAGTTCATTCAATAAATATTTATAGTAGTACTGTTCAAGGTACTGTATATAACTGTGAACAAGACAGAGGGGAACTTACTTTCAGGAAAATTATGTTCTAGTGAGAAGAAACAGACCAACAGACAATAAATTAATGAATTAAGTTTACAGAAAAAAAATTAAGTGAATAGATAATGATACCTATTATACAGAAGGCTAAAACAGTTATATACTAATTACTGGGTGGCTACTTCAAGGCAAGACACTGCTGAGGCAGTGTCACTTAAGCTGAAATCTGAATGACAATTCTTCTACCCCTTGTTTCTAGATATGGTTTCTGAACAGGTCAGAAAAATTCTTTCCAATTGTTGAAGGCAGCTATCATATTTCTCTTTAGTTCTTTCGCTTCATCTTTCTTATATAACATGATTTCAACACAAATTTTCAGCTGGGAAGGCTCATGTTTTATTAACGCCGTCTTTAAATGTGTCCTAAAATTGAAAACAATACTCCAGGTGTAGCTTGAACCATGTGGAAATGGTAAGAACACCTCTTCCCTTCCCTCTGGATTCTGTACTTCACTGATGATACCTAAGCTTACACTATCTTTTTTGGCAGCCCAATTCTAAATCAAAGCCCAATTCTGGCTAAGTTTTCATCAACTAGAAATACCCAGTCTTTTCCACAGGAACTCCTATTTTGATGCATTGCCTTCTTCCTATGCAGGGACAGTTGTTTCTATACCAGGACTTTACATTTACATTTTTTTTTTTTTTTGAGACGGAGTCTTGCTTTGTTGCCCAGGGTGGAGTGAGGTGGCATGATCTCTGTGTTCACTGGAACCTCCACTTCCTGGGTTCAAACAATTCTCCTGCCTCAGCCAGCCAAGTGGCTGGGATTAAAGGCACATGCCACCACACCCAGCTGATTTTTTTATTTTTTAGTAGAGACGGGTTTCACCATGTTGCCCAGGCTAGTCTCAAACTCCTGACCTCAGGTGATCTGCCCCTTGGCCTCCCAAAGTGCTGGGATTACAGGCATGAGCCACTGTGCCTGGCCTACATTTACTCTTGCTACAGTTTATCTTGTGTTTCAACTAATTCTTCCAGCCTATGGAGGGTTTTGAATCCTAATTCTTTCCTCTACCATACTAGCTATTCCTTTCATCTCCATGTCATTCACAAATTTAGCTAATATGTTGCTAGGTCTATGAAATGGACATTCTGACAAATATAAAAATATTTCAGAGCCTTGGTAAATTATTCAAGAAATACAATTTGCTAATGAAAAAGAAAAGCCACACTACTATGGATGATTCCCCACCACCACCATCCCGTGTTTCCTAAATCATCTGTATTAAGCATTAATTAATTTTATAATTAGGAAGAAAATTATAAGAAATACATATCACAATATATCATCTATATTTTCATCTAAAAAGTTGGTAAATGTTAAAGAGTAAAGACAATGAAACAGCTGTGTGTCATTCTACTAGAGACTTCCCCATAGGCTGATGCAGGGCTGTTAATTTAAATCCAACTCAACCTGGGCAATAATAATATATTAATAAGTGTATTAACATTATGGTAGCAAAATAATGGTCCAGAAGGATGCAGGCCTTTGATTCAATATCCTCATATTTGTTATAATCTCATCAAAATGAGATTTTCTGGTGAAATTTCTTCTATTTCTTAGTTTAAAAGTAATTTTCTCAAGAATCCCTAGAAATAGTGATTATTTGAGTCAGTCAAACCTTTAAAAAAGCAAAATTTTCTGCCATAGTGTATGCTTAAAAAACTAAACAAAAGTGTTTAGAATTTAAACTTTGAATCTTGGCATACAACTAATACTCAGAGGACAAAGAATGCATTTCTGAGTGTGGGAAAGCATTTGCCTTTGAGAGAAATTTAGAACAAAAAATAACATTTTGCTGGGTGTGGGCAGAGAATTAGTTCTTATTCAGAGAGAAATGCTTACATGATATAATTGTCTTAATACAATTTATAGATAGAACACATTGACCTTGAGAAGTTCAGGTCAACTTGAATATTTATCCTTTTATTTCCCTGGAGATCTGACATTGGAATTTGGTTCTTTTTGTTTTTTTGGTAAAACTTAGCCTAAAACCTAATCTGTGTCTTTTTTTAAAACTTGACAGTAAAGCAGGCAAAAGCAGGGGTCATCACCTTAATAACATCGTCCTCCTCTCCCTGCTTCCCAGCTCTCTGTTGCTAATCTCAAGGCAAGAGTGAGCTGGAACATGGCAGGTAAAGCTGTTGCATAGGCTCAGTTGAGGAAAGAGGGAGACATCTGAGATTAAGAATCATTTTTGGTTGTTAAAACAATGACCAGTTTTCCTTTAAAAGCATGGGCATGGTCTTGATGAACACATTTCTTCTTTCATCGTATCAGATTTCATATCAATGACATTCACTGATTTTTCTTGTCACCTAAGAGAGTTAGTCAGTCGGGATCTTACTGCTTAAGATGGAAATTAGAGAATGTCCTAGGGCATGTACACACCTTCCATAAACTGTCTCTTCAAGTACAGGGCAACACACCTCTTGAACTCCTACTATGCCTCAAGCACCAGGGATTCAAAGATGAACGAAATGTAGGTCTTACTCTTGAAGAACTCACAATTAAGTAGGAAAGATACAGGCAACCTGGATATAAATGCAACTAGAGGAAAACACAATAAAGGTATGCCCATCTTATTGTGTGATCACCAAGAGGGGACACCCAAACCCAAGCCAGAGGGATTCCTAGAGGAAGCAACACACTCTAAGCTCAGCCAATAAAATTCTTAGACCACCATGTTCATCACTGCCTCTCCCCAGCATCTACCATAGTGCCTAACCCATACTAGGTGCTTAATAAATATCTGCTGGACAAACTGAGTTTGCTTTACTCTTGTTAAAAGATTTTATGCAAGATCAGAAGAGCTGCATATTCTCATTAAAGCTTCAAAGAATTCAGATATGTCATACTTATTATCTCCACAAGACTTATCACACTTTATATTGTACACATACTTAACTGTGCTTCTTCTTCTTCTTCTTCTTATTATTATTATTATTATTATTATTATTATTATTATTATTTTGCAGTTGCAAGATTTAATAGATTGAAAACAGCTCCCACACAAAAGGAGGGGACCCAAAGGGGGTAGCCGTTGCCGGCTCGAATGCCTGGGTTTATATCCCGATCATTGTCCCTCCCCCTGTGCTCTCATGCGATAGATTTGATTGGCTATTGTTTTTGCCTAGTTAGCATTTTAGTGAGCTCTCTTTACTACCTGACTGGTCAGGTGTGAGCTAAGTTGCAAGCCTGGTGTTTAAAGGTGGATGTGGTCACCTTCCCAGCTAGGCTTAGGGATTCTTAGTTGGCCTAGGAAATCCAGCTAGTCCTGTCTCTCAGTCCCCGCTCTCAACAGGAAAACCTAAGTGCTGTTGGGGAGATTGGCTGATAACCACTGTAACTGTTTCCTGCTGAATTGGGGTGTAGTAGGGGTCGTGCAGTTGAGATTTCCTCGGGAGGGGTGCCATTGATGTCATCAACATTGGAGCATGGGCTAGTAGGCGGTCCAGGGGTCTGCAGTAGATCTTAGTCAGGGACTGCATCTGGGGCTCCATTTGAAGAACAATGTGTAGTTTTACAGCTTCAATTCTGGAAGAGACAAACTTAACAAGGAAGTTAAAGATACAGGGATTGAAATGTATGGACTGCAGTGTAGGGGATTATTTCTTTGGCACACTTCACCGGCCCTGACTATCTGCTTGATAGTTTTGAAAAGGCCTGGTCCAGTAAATAATAATTTGGCCATCTGATGGGTGCTATCAATGCCTAAGTGAAAGGTTGGGTGAAGGGTTTTAAGTAATTTCCATTGGTTAGCTGCAGGCAAAAGTATTTTTCCTTCTTTGGTGGCTAGCCATTCTGAGGGGAGGAAACTATTTCCTTGTGAGGTCCCCATTCTATTTCTCCTGGTAAGTACTGGGGCTTTGATTCTCGGAGGGGATTACCCCATACTAGGGGTCCTTCTGTAAGCATTTTGAATGGAGGGTCCTGCCTTGTGGCTCTTTTGGCTTCAATATCCATTTGGCCGTTCCTTTCCTTTCCCTTTCCTTTCTTTTCCGATGACCCCAGCAGTGTAAGACTGCCACCTCTTTAGGTTTCTGTACAGCCAATAATAATCTCCTAATGGCTTCCTGATGTTTGATAGGTGTTCCCTCAGAAGTTAGGAAATTCCCTTTCCCTCCATATTGCTTTGTGGGCATGGAGGACTAGGTAAGCATACTTAGAGTCTGTATATATATTTACCCTTTTTCCTTCTCCTAATTCTAGTGCCTGAGTGAGGGCTATTAGTTCTGCCAGCTGAGCGCTAGTTCCTGGAGTGAGGGGATTACTTTCAAGTATTCCATTATCACTGACCACTGCATACCCTGTTTTTTGAAGTCCTTTTTCTACAAAGGAACTTCTGTCAGTATACAAGCTGAGGTCGGGATCAGTCAAGGGAACCTCTAGAAGGTCCCTTTGAGCGGTGTAGGTTTGAGCAATCACCTGTTGACAGTTATGTTCTATCTTTTCTTCATTGTCTGGAAGAAATGTGGCTGGGTTAAGAGTTGCACAAGTGCGCAGTCACAGCACTGGCCCTTCAATTAACAGAGTCTGATATTTAAGCAAATGGTTGTCTGACTGCCACAAGTCTCCTTTAGCAGTCAGTATGCCGTTCACATCATGAGATGTCCACACAGTAAGATCTCTTCCCTGTATTATTTTAACTGCTTCAGATACTAAGACTGCTACTGCTGCCACTACCCGTAAACAATGAGGCCAACCCTTTGCCACTACATCAATTTCCTTACTCAAGTATGCCACGGGTTGCAAGCTGGTCCCTCAAACCTGTGTAAGGACTCCTAGAGCTATTCCTGTTTTTTCTGTGACATATAAAGAAAAGTCTTGCCCCATTGGCAAGCTTAACACTGGGGCTTGTGTTAGGGCCTTCTTTAGGGCCTGGAAAGCCACTTTGGCTTCAGTTGTCCATCTTACTAAATGGGTATTGGCTTTCTGAGTTTCCTTAATTAGTGTATATAATGGCCTGGCTATTTCACTGTACCTGGGAATCCATATTCAGCAGAAGCCTGTTATGCCAAGGAACCCTCTTAGTTGCTTTTAGGGTTTGGGGATGAGGATAAGCCAGTATAGGCTGGATGCGTTCCTCACTGAGGACCCTAGTGTCTTTGGATAATTTTAGCCCCAAGTATTTAACCTGCTGTAAGCAGAGCTGAGCCTTTCGTTTGGAAACCTTGTAGCCACAAGTGGTGAGGAAGTTTAAAAGCACTTGGGTGGGTTGATGGCACAAGGTTTCTGAACAGGGAGCTAGATGTAAATTATCCATGTACCGAAGGACTAGAGTGTCCAGTATGAGAACTGGCACTCAAGTCTTGGGCAATGCCTGGCCAAAGAGATGGGGGCTATCCTTGAACCCTTGGGGTAAAACAGTCCAGGTGAGTTGAGACGTTGGTTTCAAAGGATCTTCAAAGGCAAACAAGAATTGAGAGTCAGGATGTACAGGGATGCAGAAAAAGGCATCCTTAAGGTCCAGGACTGTAAACCACTCTGCTTCCTCTGGTATTTGGGAAAGCAGAGTATAAGGGTTAGGTACAGCTGGGTATAGAGGGACAACGGCCTCATTGATAATCCTGAGATCTTGCACTAACCTCTACTGTCCGTTGGGTTTCTGTACTCCTAAAATTGGAGTATTGCAGGGGCTATTGCATGGTTTTACTAGGCCTTGGGCTTTTAGGTCCTTAACAATCTTTTGGAGTCCTTGTTGGGCCTTGGGTCTAAGGGGGTACTGCCTTTGGTAGGGAAAGGAGGTGGAATCCTTTAGTTTAACTTGAACAGGATGGGCTTTCTTTGCTCGTCCATATTGTCCGTCTGTTGCCCAGACTTCAGGATTCCTTCCTTCCTCAAGCAGGGGACAAAAAACGTGTGTTCCTTCTCCTGTGTTCAGGTGTATAATGGCCCCTGCTTTTGCTAGAATGTCTCTCCCTAACAAAGGAGTGGGGCTTTCAGGCATAATTAGAAAGGCATGTGAAAAGAGTAAAGTTCCCCAGTCACAACTTAGTGGCTGGAAGAAGTATCTAGTGACTGGCTGCCCTAGGACCCCTGGGATAGTGACAGATCCGGAAGACAGTTGTCTGGGACAGGAGAGTAAGACTCAGAAGGCCATGCCAGTGTCCAGGAGAGTTAACCTTCTGGCCCTCAATGGTCAATCATACCCGGGGCTCTGTGAGGGTGATGGCATGGGCTGGCACTTGCCCTGGGCACCCTCAGTCCTGCTGCTGGATCATCTGGTTAGTGGCTTCTGACTCAGAGGACCTTCATCCCCTGGGGCTGTGGGCCTTCCAGTGATTCCCTTGACATAAGGGGCATGGACGAGGGGGCGGCTTATTTCTATTTGGACAATCTTTTTAAAAGTGTCCTTGTAGACCGCACTGGAAGCAAGCCCTATTAGGCATTCGATTTGCCCAACCTTTCCATGTTCCAGAGCCTCCAAAATCTGCTTGCCTGAGGGTCATGACTAAAGCGGTGCCCTTTTTTTAAAAATCTCGTTTGTCCCATTCTGCCTGCTCCTCCTGATCTCTATTATAAAAACTGAGGTTGCCAAGTTCAGTAGGGTTTCTAAGTTTTGCTCTGGGCCTAAGGTGGACTTTTGAAGTGTTTTTTAATGTCTGCAACTGACTGAGTGATAAACTTATCCTTTAAAATTAGTTGGCCTTTAATAGAATCAGGTGCAATGCCTCCCTTAGTCTCTCCAGAAAGGCAGTAGGATTTTCTTCCTTTCCCTGTGTCATAGTGGTCATCATTGAATAATTCATAGGTTTCTTCCTATTTTCCTTAGTCCTTCTTGCATGTAAGTTAGCAAATGTCTGCAGCACCAATCTACATGTTCTGATTCTGCATCCCAATGATGGTCTACACTGGGAACTGCCTGCTGACCTGTGGGGAATTGTCTCTTTCCTCTGTTGTCATCCTATCATTGACCTGACTGAGATACCAGAGATTGCCAAACTCTCGGGCAGCAGTTATTGCGGCACATCTCTCATTTGGGGTTAGTGTCTGATCTAGCATTAAAGTATCTCTCCATGTTAGATCAAAGGATTGTCCTAACCCTTGTAAAACATCAATATAGCCATCAGGGTTATCTGAGAATTTACCTAGGTTTATTTCAATTTGCTTCAAGTCTGACAGTACAAAAGGTACATACACTCTGACTAGGCCGAATTCTCTAGAATACATCTTAGGGGCGTTTTTGCCTTGGGGGAAATGTTTTCCATCTGAAAAAATAACATAGGGTTGCCAGCACCCCTAGTCATTTTCCAGTATTCATTGGTCCTAGAGTGTCCTCTATGGTCTTAATGCTTATTCTTTTCCAGAGTGCATAACCATCCATGGACCTCTGCTTATTGGATTAGTTACTCTCAGTGATGTAGCAGTCCTGCACCTGTTTTCCTGCCCTTCTTGACCACAAAGAAAGGGGTCCGGGCTGCTGGATTCTAGTGGTCCTTTACCAGCGGGCCCAATATTGCCTTTGCACTCAGAGGTGAGTTCTAGACCTGGGCTGGGTTCCTATTTCATAACAACCCAGCTGCCTCATCAAGATGCATTCCTATAAACAACAGTTCTTATACAAATTCGTTTCAGAGAGGGTGTAGGTAACCTTTTGAGTCAGGATTGAGGTAGTCTTTTTGATTCTGTAAGTACTTTAAGGCTTGGCTGAGTGCAAACAGCTCACACGTTTGAGCAGACCAATTATTTGGCAATTTTCCTAACTCTGCTTCCACAAGAGTCTCCCTATCAATTACTGAATACCCATTGTGTTTTTTTTTCCCCTCAATCACCTGGGAGGAACCATCTGTCGTCCTGTCCTGAAGGGAGTTCTTCCTAGGTCTGGTCGTACTTTTGTATGGTCATTAAGATTTAAATCCCCTGTTACGAAATCTGCTAGGTTAAGGGAATTTTCAGTGGTTAATGTTAAATCACTTTTTTCTAAGAGAATAGCCCCATACTTTTAAGATTTTTGAGTTAGTAAGCTACCTTTTTGCTTTTTTGACTTAGAATAATTCTGAACTGGTGAGGTGTGCTCACAATGAGGTTTCCTCTAAAAGTTACTTTTCTTCTTTCTTCTGTTAGCAAAGCAGTTGCTGCTGCAGATTGAATGCATTTGGGCCATCCGTGGGTTCCTGAGATAAGAATTTTTGATAGGAAGGCTACAGGTTGTCAGTGGTCTCCGAGTTTTCAGGCTACGTCCTTGTTTACACTGACAACAAGGTAGTATTGGAGTGTTATAGGGTCATGGAGAAGACCTTCAATTATCAATTACAGGTTTTAAATTTACCCTGGCTTTTAAAGGAATAGGGCACACTGCTTTTTTCTTTACTACTTCTTTCTCTTTCTTTCTTTGACTCCCTTTTTGTCTCTCTCTCTCTCCGCTCTCTGTCTCTCTCTCTTTCTCTTTTCTCCTAGCCCTTTACAAACTTGGGGCCCTGGCAAGGGTGGTGGGGAACAGGTCCCACATAACTGCCCATGTCAAGAGTTGTATGCCTAAATTGGGAGGGACACCAGGGACAAGACTCTCTGAGTTCATAGCCTAGGGGCCTAAGGATGCAGTGTAGAGCTTCCTTAGATCCCTTTGGAGATACAACTTGCAGAGTAAATGAAAGTCTGAACCATTAGTACCTAGGAGGCAGGGATCAGAGGAAGTAGATTCAGAGGTAAGGAGAATTTTGGGGCTACACTTTCAAGAAAGTCATGGTCAGGACCCAGGAGGTATGGGTCAGAAGGAAAGGTAGGGGCACCCGCATGGGCGATTGTTGAGTAGAAACTTCTGGCTGTGCCATGATCTCAACCGGCTAACAGCAGGAGTTCAGGATGACAGCTTTCTGCCTCTAGTCAGCCCTCGGCTTACCCAGATAAACCGAAAGTGGAAGCTGGTTCCAGGCAGACCAACGCTCCCCACCCAGAAGGGTTGGGGGTTGTTAGAAAGCCCTTTCCCAGACAGCCTCACACCTGAGTCTTAAGTCTGGTGGCCACGCTAATAGTTTTTAACCAGCCAACAGGTGCCCAGTATTTTCCTCCAATTCTAAGGAACTATAGGACAGAATAGCAAGTGAAAGCGGTCCAATATTACTCACCACTTTGGAAGTCCCTTTGTGGTCACCAAAATGTTACCAGGGGATCCTTGCTCCTAGACAGCCCAAGATGGTGGCAGGGTGCTTCCAAGATGGTGGCAAGCCTCTTGTTCTCTGACCTGGGGTTCTTGGCCTCACGGATTCCAAGGAATGGAATCTTGGGCCATGTGGTGGGTGTTATAGCTCTATTAGAAGCCCTGGGTCACAGAAGAAAACCATGGAACCCAGCGACTAGTGTTCAGCTTGATTAGGACAAACCCAGGCACTTAGCCATGCACGAACAATGGTGAGCCTTTAGCCCAATCAGGAGCAGTAATGGGCATCTCACTGGATCAGGAGCACAGTGGACACCCTGCTGGAGCCGGAGGGGTGAAAGTCAGTGGCAGGTCTGCAACGGCAGCAAACAGCACTGGTGGATGTCCAGTGAAAGCTCACCTTGAGCCATAACAAACATGGACCAGAAGAGTGTGCAGTTGCAAGATTTAATAGAGTGAAAACAGAGCTCCCATACAAAGGTAGGGGACCCAAAGGGGGTAGCCCAACTGTGCTTATTATTTGCCACGCCACCTCCTCCAGGAATGTGAGCTTTTGATGATGGAATTTGCATTTCTATAGCCTAGAACTGTGGCTGGCATCTAGTAGAAACTCAATAAATATTTGTTGAATGAATGTGGAGTTCAACACTAGTGACACTGATGAAATGAACAATCTAAAAGGAAATTCAATACACTTGGCTTTACTTATTTTGCGGTGGGGGTTACACGAAGCAAATTCATGAGAATCTATATGAGAATTCAGTGACTAAATTCTTGTTGCCTAGGGCAATGGTCCTGGGTTTTCTGAGACTCTCATGAAGCTATTAACTCTCTCTATAGAAAAATTTACACATACATCAAGTTTTGACATTAACAAATATACAAAAATATTTGGTTGAGACCTCTTGACCTAGTGGAGAAGTGGGAAAATTTGAAAAGAATTGATTAGGCTTTTTTGTGAGTTTGCTTTTTATTGGCAGGGGGGCAATTTTAATGTCCATCTTTAAGTGTCCTTTATCTTACTTTATTTGTAAAATGAGAGCTATTGTATGATACATGTGTCAATCTGTATTCTATGATATTATCTAGCTCAATACTGAAACATTTTGAAAAGATTTGATTTTTCTTCCTTCTGACTCCCTTTATATGCTTAGGATGATCTTTTCACTGCTTGCTGCTTGTTTTTTTCCATTGCATCAAATGGCTTAGTAAAGCATGAAGAAAGGAAAGGGAAGGGATGAAGCAAGAGTGTGGGGATTATTCATCTTCCCTTTGTGCAGTTCTGGTTTGCCTGATAAAACTTAATTCCTGCCTTGCCCTGATACTCTACCACACTAAAACCACAGTGGGGGCATAATGGTCTCAGATCTCTCCACAGCCCAATTTAACTGCATGACAGAGCAGTTTCCACAGCAATCAGAGAGGAAAGTACGCTGAGGAGCCTCCTTTTCTGCTCCATTAGCCCCAGAGGATGAACAGCCAGTGGAGGTGGAACGAGCAGGGAGGAAGCTCAGAATTACTTACTCCACATTTTTCTGCATATGGTTCTAGCAAAGAATACTCAAAAGTTTTCTAGTATTCCAGCAAAGAATATCTCCAAATCTAAATATGAATGGCCTGGAAATTTAAAAAATTACACATAAAGGTTTTTGTGTCAATATAAGTTCCACTCTTTTTTTTATTTATTTATTATTATTATACTTTAAGTTTTAGGGTACATGTGCACAATGTGCAGGTTAGTTACATATGTATACATGTGCCATGCTGGTGCGCTGCACCCACTAACTCATCATCTAGCATTAGGTATATCTCCCAGTGCTTTCCCTCCCCCCTCCCCCCATCCCACAACAGTCCCCAGAGTGTGATGTTCCCCTTCCTATGTCCATGTGATCTCATTGTTCAATTCCCACCTATGAGTGAGAATATGTGGTGTTTGGTTTTTTGTTCTTGCTATAGTTTACTGAGAATGATGATTTCCAATTTCATCCATGTCCCTACAAAGGACATGAACTCATCATTTTTTATGGCTGCATAGTATTCCATGGTGTATATGTGCCACATTTTCTTAATCCAGTCTATCATTGTTGGACATTTGGGTTGGTTCCAAGTCTTTGCTATTGTGAATAATGCCACAATAAACATACGTGTGCATGTGTCTTTATAGCAGCATGATTTATAGTCCTTTGGGTATATACCCCATAATGGGATTGCTGGGTCAAATGGTATTTCTAGTTCTAGATCCCTGAGGAATCGCCACACTGACTTCCACAATGGTTGAACTAGTTTACAGTCCCACCAACAGTGTAAAAGTGTTCCTATTTCTCCACATCCTCTCCAGCACCTGTTGTTTCCTGACTTTTTAATGATTGCCATTCTAACTGGTGTGAGATGGTATCTCATTGTGGTTTTGATTTGCATTTCTCTGATGGCCAGTGACGGTGAGCATTTTTTCATGTGTTTTTTGGCTGCATAAATGTCTTCTTTTGAGAAGTGTCTGTTCATGTCCTTTGCCCACTTTTTGATGGGGTTGTTTTTTTCTTGTAAATTTGTTTGAGTTCATTGTAGATTCTGGATATTAGCCCTTTGTCAGATGAGTAGTTTGCGAAAAAAAATAAAAGGATGGAGGAAGATCTACCAAGCAAATGGAAAACAAAAAAAGGCAGGGGTTGCAATCCTAGTCTCTGATAAAACAGACTTTAAACCAGCAAAGATCAAAAGAGACAAAGAAGGCCATTACTTAATGGTAAAAGGATCAATTCAACAAGAAGAGCTAACTATCCTAAATATATATGCACCCAATACAGGAGCACCCAGATTCATAAAGCAAGTCCTGAGTGACCTACAAAGAGACTTAGACTCCCACACATTAATAATGGGAGACTTTAACACCCCACTGTCAACATTAGACAGATCAACGAGACAGAAAGTCAACAAGGATACCCAGGAATTAAACTCAGCTCTGCACCAAGCGGACCTAATACACATCTACAGAAATCTCCACCCCAAATCAACAGAATATACATTTTTTTCAGCACCACACCACACCTATTCCAAAATTGACCACATACTGGGAAGTAAAGCTCTCCTCAGCAAATGTACAAGAACAGAAATTATAACAAACTATCTCTCAGACCACAGTGCAATCAAACTAGAACTCAGGATTAAGAATCTCACTCAAAACCGCTCAACTACATGGAAACTGAACAACCTGCTCCTGAATGACTACTGGGTACATAACGAAATGAAGGCAGAAATAAAAATGTTCTTTGAAACCAACGAGAACAAAGACACAACATACCAGAATCTCTGGGACACATTCAAAGCAGTGTGTAGAGGGAAATTTATAGCACTAAATGCCCACAAGAGAAAGCAGGAAAGATCCAAAATTGACACCCTAACATCACAATTAAAAGAACTAGAAAAGCAAGAGCAAATACATTCAAAAGCTAGCAGAAGGCAAGAAATAACTAAAATCAGAGCAGAACTGAAGGAAATAGAGACACAAAAAACCCTTCAAAAAATTAACGAATCCAGGAGCTGGTTTTTTGAAAGGATCAACAAAATTGATAGACCGCTAGCAAGACTAATAAAGAAAAAAAGAGAGAAGAATCAAATAGACACAATAAAAAATGATAAAGGGGATATCACCACCGATCCCACAGAAATACAAACTACCATCAGAGAATACTACAAACACCTCTACGCAAATAAACTAGAAAATCTAGAAGAAATGGATAAATTCCTCGACACATACACTCTCCCAAGACTAAACCAGGAAGAAGTTGAATCTCTGAGTAGACCAATAACAGGAGCTGAAATTGTGGCAATAATCAATAGCTTACCAACGAAAAAGAGTCCAGGACCAGATGGATTCACAGCCGAATTCTACCAGAGGTACAAGGAGGAACTGGTACCATTCCCTCTGAAACTATTCCAATCAATAGAAAAAGAGAGAATCCTCCCTAACTCATTTTATGAGGCCAGCATCATCCTGATACCAAAACCGGGCAGAGACACAACCAAAAAAGAGAATTTTAGATCAATATCCTTGATGAACATTGATGCAAAAATCCTCAATAAAATACTGGCAAACCGAATCCAGCAGCACATCAAAAAGCTTATGCACCATGATCAAGTGGGCTTCATCCCTGGGATGCAAGGCTGTTTCAATATATGCAAATCAATAAATGTAATCCAGCATATAAACAGAACCAAAGACAGAAACCACATGATTATCTCAATAGATGCAGAAAAGGCCTTTGACAAAATTCAACAATCCTTCATGCTAAAAACTCTCAATAAATTAGGTATTGATGGGACGTATCTTAAAATAATAAGAGCTATCTATGACAAACCCACAGCCGATATCATACTGAATGGGCAAAAACTGGAAGCATTCCCTTTGAAAACTGGTACAAGACAGGGCTGCCATCTCTCACCACTCCTATTCAACATAGTGTTGGAAGTTCTGGCCAGGGCAATTAGGCAGGAGAAGGAAATAAAGGGTATTCAATTAGGAAAAGAGGAAGTCAAATTGTCCCAGTTTGCAGACGACATGATTATATATCTAAGTTCCACTCTTATTTGGAAGTCTTGAATGGATTTGTGTGGATAACAAGTACAAAAACCTTGGATATTGTCAAAACCCCAAAGTGACTTAATAACTTTCCTTCCAAATCCACATGATTTTTTTCCCTCCTGCCCAAAGATTCCCCAGTTTCTCTTCAGGAATTGGACCATGTCTTCAAAATGCATTTTAACACTCTAAATTTCCTCTGGCCTACGTGCTTTCATTCAGGTCTCTCCCTCTATCATGAATGAATCTCTTGTATAACTCTCCTGAGTACAACCTTTCATGCACACATTCTCCCTCTTCCAAGAACCAGAAAATGTGGAGCTTTGTCATTAAATTAGGAGCTTCAGCTTAGAACTAGATTAGAAATGCCAAGTGTCTGGTGACATTACAGATTGATAGTTTGTGCTTAACGCTGGCTTCATTCTTTTTCTGGCAGGTCATTGGATGTTAACCACTAGTTAGAGTGGTTAACAAAGTTAACAAATTAAAAAAGTTTGTGTTTTGACCTGATCTCCAAAACAAAGAATATTCTGTCTAGATTATTCAAATTAAATGAAGCAATTTGATAAGGCTCTTTTGTCTGTGTGATTTTTTTTATTCATTTAAAAAAATATATCTGTTTGAGATAAGAAGCCAAATAATTTAACACGGTACCAGAAACTAATGCCAATTTTAAAGCAAGAATTAGCTAGGCATTCCAAAGAGAAGTTTTAATAGTTTTTGAACCACTATATTTTTGTGTTTGTAAAACTTTACTCAAAAATAAATATTAAATGTTTATTTTCTCTAACTCTAGCATCAAATTTCTCAAAATATGTAGAAAAATACTGAGAAGTAAAAAGCCACGTAATACTGTTGCCTAGCGAATTACTATTAGCATCATGTTGTATTTGAAAGTCAATTATTTATTAAATAAGTTATATGACAATCTGTTCTTTAGGTAGGTCTGGGTTAAATAAATTCAATCTATATTGTTACAAAAAAAGTTAAACTTTCTATAAAGTTTTTAAAAATTTTACTTTTTAATTTTTAAGATCATTTTGGTTTATTTTTAGTCTGGCTTTTTCAAAGTAAGGATAGCAGGGTGGATCCACACAGGTGGAATAAGGTATTCTGAAACTTACCCTCCCTAATTCAGAGTTGCATTATGTGGCTGGCTTCAGTGCCTACTGGCAAGCAG
This sequence comes from Homo sapiens, assembly GCF_000001405.40. NCBI lineage: Eukaryota > Metazoa > Chordata > Mammalia > Primates > Hominidae > Homo > Homo sapiens. The sequence continues at coordinate 83,438,507 of NC_000006.12, read as the reverse complement.
TCAGAGATTTTAAGGTATCCACACTGCAGGAAGGTAGTAAAGTATGATGCCAGATCATCATCTCAAATTAACTTTGGAACAAAAGAAAAAATAGTGTGATTCCTAAAGTTTTATAATATATTGCTTTCATTATATCCTCCCCTGGGGTATGTTCCAACTGTTAAGTGATCTTTTTTTTTTTTCCTGAATGTAAAAGTAATAGATACCTTTTTTTTTTTTTTTTTTTTGAAAACTTCAAACATTACAGAACTACAAAAGGAAACAAACCATCAACAGTTTGGAAGCAGATTTTTCCAAATTGAAAAAATTTTCAGGCCACTTGTGGTGGCCCAGCACTTTGGGAGGCTAAGGTAGGAGGATCGCTTAAAGCCAGAAGTTCAAGTCCAGCCTGGGCAACATTGCAACACACTGTCTCTCTATAAAGAAAATTCTCCATCCATTCAATATTCAGTGTCCAGTATTATTTTTAATATGGTATTCTTTTTTTTTTTTTTTTTTGAGACAGAGTCTCGTTCTGCCACCCAGGCTGGAGTGCAGTGGCATGGTCTTGGCTCACTGCAACCTCCGCCTCCCGGGTTCATGCAATTCTCCTGCCTCAGCCTCCCGAGTAGCTGGGACTACAGGCGCCCGCCGCCACACCTGGCTAATTTTTTGTATTTTAGTAGAGATGGGGTTTCACCATGTTGCCCAGGCTGGTAGCAAACTCCTGAGCTCAGGCGATCTGCCCGCCTCTGCCTCCCAAAATGCTGGGATTACAGGTGTGAGCCACCATGCCCGGCTAAGTTTTTCTCAACTTATTTATTTATGCACATTTTATATTGGTGTCAAGAATTTGTCCGTATCAAGTGCACCACCCTCTCCTTATTTCAGATGAGTTAAAAAAGTGACATAAAAAAGTGTTGGGAACAAACAGTTAAACAGGTTTCTTTATACATCCATGTGTGTGACTGTATTTTCCAAATGGCTGCAACATTTATCCTATCATACAAGCTCTTCTTACACGTAACTTTGACACTCCTCCAATTGGGACAGGCTTTTATGACTGTTTGGATCAAGAGAGTAAGAAAAAAGTGACAATATGTGACCTCTAAGGCTAGGTCACCCAAAGGAAAGGCACATTCTGTCCTTTTCCCTGGAATGGTTGCTCTGAAAGCCTTCGAGCTCCCGGTAAGCACTTTGACTGTCCTGAGGCTGCCATGCTGTGAAGAACTCAAACTGGCCCATAATAAAAGATCATATATGTAGAGAGCCTGAGACTACTTGAGAGATAGAAATAGAGATGAGGGTGGAGATAAGAGAGAGAGAGAGAGACAGAGAGAGCATGCATGGCCACCCCTCACCCCCTTTTACCAGCCACTGTTTAACTGCAACGACATGAGAAACCCTGGGCCAGAACTAACAATCTAAGACCTTCTCAAATTCCAAATGCACAGAAACCATGAGAGATAATGTAATGATTGTTACTGTTTTAAGCTATTAAATGTTGCAGTAATGTGTTACATACTGATAAATAGCTGAAATATCCCATAAGCTTTTCCTAATTTGGGAGTGACATAATTTCCTTTCTTCTTGTAGAATCTGAACAGCTCTACCATTTTCAACCTAGAGAACAGGTTTGGACTGGCACAGGCACTAGTGGCAAGCTTTAGCATGACATACATAGATAGCTGACCCCTGACCTAGATAGAGAAATGATGTTTTGTAGAAGGTATACTGTGGTGATAGCTGGGAAAACATGAAAATTAGAAACAAGCAGTTTCAGAAAATTTTTACTTTGTTATATGAGAGTAAAAAACACAAACAGAAAAATCCAATACAATATTAATTAATTCTACAAGATTAATACTTAACCTTGTCTAGTCACTTAATTCTACTTTCTAAAGCCAAAACCTGTAATTGCTAAAATTGTAAGTAAAATTTATATTCTTAGAATATTTTAATTTCTTTCTTTATTTTCTTTTTTCTTTTTTTTCTTTTTTTTTGAGATGGTGTCTTGCTCTGTTGCCTAGGCTGGAGTGCAGCGGTGCAATCCTGGCTCACTGCAATCTCCGCCTACCAGGTTCAGCGATTCTCCTGCCTCAGCTTCCCGAGTAGCTGTGATTACAGGAGAGTGCCATCATGCCCAGCTAATTTTTGTATTTTTAGTAGAAACAGGGTTTCTCCATGTTGATCAGGCTGGTCTTGAACTCCTGACATGAGGTGATCTGCCACCTCGGCCTCCCAAAGTGCTGGGATTACAGGCATGAGCCACCGTGCCTGGTCAATATTTGAATTTCTTTTAGTGATTGATAGCGTTTTCTTTTTAAAAGATGTAAGTAAGTATACAGAGAAATGCACCTGATTTATTTTTGTCTTTGTTTTCATTTGACAAATACCCATGTAGGGCTTACTATGATGAGGATAAATCATTGGAGGAGACAAAGGGAGGTAAGTAACTTGACAAAGTTGGCAAAATTGGAACAGGAGCCCAGGAACTCTTAGTCCAAAGTCTATATTCTAGATTACTAACTTTAATGCCTTGTTGACAAGTACACCAGCTATTATCTGTCTAAATGAGTATTTTCCCCCTTCAAAATTGAAGTATTTCTGGGAATATCCCCAGTGGGGGCAAATTTATTATGAACATAGAAGCGAAGTGTTACTGAAGCTATCTTTTATTTACATTTGAAAGAATACTTCTACCATTCAGAGAGATTTTCAAGTACTTAAACACAAGACATCCCAAATACCAATAAAAATACAATTTAAAACATTATGAATATTCAAAAATATCAGTCTTCATGTTGCTAATTGCTGAAGTGCACACTCATTTCTTTTACAGTTCGGATTTCATAATTACCTACTTCTTTACTTGTGTATTGGCTGTTTCTCCCCATAAGCTTATGTTTGCATACCAGTGCCTAGTCTAAGGCTTGGCATAGAGGAAGTGTTCAAGAAACATTTTGAATAAATTAAGGGGGAAATAATGTGAGGGAATGGGGAATGGCTTCATAAGATGAACCAGATCTGGAAGGAAAGGAATAACATTTGTTGAATGCTTACTATGGGACAGGCACTGTTCTAAGTGCTTTACATGTCTATCTGTATTATATGATATGACATAGTATAGCTTGTTTATTATCTCAGTAGGATGTAATTTCTAGATGACAGAGAATTTGTATTATTCACTATAAATCTTCCAGGGCGTATATCAGGGGCTGACACATAGTAGGTTAATCTGTAAATATTTATTGAATAAATACACAAAAATCACCTCTTTTAATCCCCATAACAACTTTAAAAGGCAGGTACTTTTAATATCCTCATTTTTCTGATGAGGAAGCTGAGGCCCCGAGGTAATAAGATTTTCAAAGACACAGGGCTGGAAAGATTCAAACCCAGTCAGTCTGATTCTAGACTTCATTCTTGTTATGGATTGAACTGTGTCCCCTGAAAAGATATTTTGAAGTTCTAATCCCTGGTACCTGTGGACGTAAAACTAATATAATCTTTTTTTTTTTTTTTTGAGACAGAGCCTTGCTCTGTTGCTTAGGCTGGAGTACAGTGGCACAATCGTGGCTCACTGTAGGCTTGACCTCCTGGGCTCAAGCAATTCTTCTGCTTCAGCCTCCTGAATAGCTGGGACTATAGGTGCATGCCACCGCACCGGGATAATTTTTTTTTTTTTCAAGTTTTTTGTAGAGACAGGGTCTCACTTTGTTGCCCAGGCTGGTCTTGAACTCCTGGCTTCAAGTGATCCTCCTGCCTTGACCTCCCCGAATGCTGAGATTACAGGTGTGAGCCACAATGCCTGGCCTGAAACTAATAAAATGCTCTTAAAAGAATGTGGTATAGTGTTTACCCAGAGTAAATAAGAAATAATTCCAAAAGAGGAACTGAGAAACATTTCAAATAATGGCAGCTGGCCAGATGCTGTGGCTCACGCCTGTAATCCCAGCACTTTGGGAGGCTGAGGCGGGCAGATCACTTGAGGTCAGAAATTTGAGATCAGCCTTGCCAACATGGTGAAACCCTGTCTCTACTAAAAATACAAAAATTAGCCAGATGTGTGGTGCATTCCTGTAACCCCAGCTACTAGGGAGGCTGAGGCAGGGGAATCACTTGAACCTAGGAGGCGGAGGTCGCAGTGAGCCAAGATTACGCCACTGCACTCCAGCCTGGGCAACAGCGTGAGACTCTGTTGGGGGGAAAATAATGGCAGCAATGTTGAGAGTATGTGCAAAATTTCTCCAGCAGTTTGCTGTCTTGAAGTACAATAGTTATGTGGACATCTGAATTTCAGAAGGTTTATTTAAATGCAGTTTTACTAATTTAGAATTTTATTCCATATGCCATGTTATCAACTGGGATGTGAACTTTTAACAAAATGGTTTGAGGAATGAAACAACTGGGTTGACTATCTGAGAAGAAGGAAAAGAATCAGTGCTTTGTAAAGAAAATCAGTATGTTGCATGCATTTACGGTTATAAATAGCTATATATGTGAAACTAATAAGGTAGTATAACTTGAGTTACTCTGCGATTCATGTAACAACATCTGTATGAACATTACAATAACACAGGTATGTATATTTGATCTTTATTTATTTAAAACATTTAATTAAGGGCCCAAATGCATTGGATTAGACTTGTGCTCTCTAATTCGATGGTCACTGGCATGTTACTAAGCATTTGAAATGTGGCCAGTGCAAATGAGATACTCAGTTTAAATTGTATTTGATTTTAATTTAAATATAAAACAGATACTCAATTTAGTCATTGGAAAACTTTAAGGTATATTTGCAACAAGTTAGGTATGAGAGTCTACTATTGCAAATGTAAGTTTTATAAAATTGAAATACAGATCAAATTTCTGATAAAAATTTGGTGTCTAAATTGAGATGTGTTATAAAATGCACACTAGATTTTGAAGACATAGTAGTAGTGTGCTTTTTGTGTGAAGAAATACAGAATCATTTAGTTAATATTATAAATCCTCACCTAGATATGTATTTTTTCTATTAATCTTTTTTATCTCATGAAAGTAAAATATTAGAATTGCTGTATGTACTAAGAGTTATTTCCTGAATTTTCTATACTTGCAATCTCAACTGACATTACATCAGAGTATCTATTACAATCATATTTTATGTTGTAAAAGCTCTTTGTGTGCTAAACTATAACTTGGGAAAGAAAAATCTGATTTTGACTGATGGCATTCTCACCTGTGTATAACAGAAATCTATGTTTTAGTCTCTTAATTTGTGAATGATACCCATTCTTAACATTACCAATTGCTTTCAGAGTGACAGTGCAACCACAGTTTGTTACAAGGCAAATTAAAGCAGTTTTTTTCTCTGCATCTGTTTTCCTACGTTTTTGGAAATAAAACCTAACCTTATGAGATTATTATTTAAAAAAGACTGAAAATTTTGATATTCTAGCTAACATTTATGTAGAAAAATAGGTTCTTTCTAGTATTCTTGGAACTACATATGAATGTACTAAATGGCTTCTTCAGCTAGGCCTTATCCTGTTTCATTCAAGATGACGGCGGTTATTTTAATAATTAAAATAAACATACAGATGAAAGATGTGAACTTTACCTACTACTGGCAGGATATTGTAATCCCCTTGTAATGTTGCCTTTGAGGGAGAGGCCATATACTCTTTGTGGGTTACTCCCTGTACTTATAACACTTTTCCTATCTGTAGATATTAAATCTCAGAAACAGGAACAGGTAGGTAGTATATCTAAATTCATGTAATAAGTACTTTATTATAATAAGGGTCTGTTGTACTAACATTTTTGTTTCTTCTTAAGCAGCTTGAATTGGCTCCCATGCCAGCTGTTAAACTGTTTCCTCTCACATAAAACACCCTAACTGTAATGTGTCTCAGTTAATTCAGGAGAGTGAGTTGTGTAAAGTACACCTTTTTCTTAGATGTTGTAGGATTGAGTATTTATGGAGTATAGAATTAACAATGAAAGGTGTCATTTAACTTCAAGGATTTTTTTCAAAAAGAACTTTGTGATGCCTAGAAAATATTCTCTATAAAAACAACGAATTCTAGATAATTCAGGCGAGGTCAAAGAAGCTTCTAAATGTAAATACGGACAAAATACAATTACTGTAAGAAATCTTTCTGATAAGGCAAAGTTAACATAACTAGAAATGAAAACACTGTGATTGGATGTGTGTCTAGTATATGGAGATATAAAATCAGCAAATAATCTCAAACACTATCCTTTGTAATATCAGTATGCAGAGACAAATGGGACAGAAACTAGCAATCCTATTTAACTGAAAAGGAAACTGGGGCACAGAAGGCTTTAGTGTCTGTTGCTATTAATTTATTTTTATCAGACAGGCACTCCTTTTGGCTATGATCTGACTATTCCTCCAGTCCATGAACCTCCAAGCATAAATATCAATAAAACAATAAAAAAATGGCCCGGCGCGGTGGCTCACACCTATAATCCCAGCACTTTGGAAGGCGGAGGCGGGCGGATCACCTGAGGTTGGGAGGAAGGCCTGAAAGACTGCTTACTCATCATTATTCAGAGAGAGCAGTGGTTCTTGAACATCAGGTTTCTAGAACTCCCAGAGAAATAATATACAAGATAAACAGGACTGTTCATTGGGCCTTTGCACCCTAACACCTTGACTCTTATCTTATTGACATTCAAATACAATTCCGGTGGAAAATCTGTAGAAACTGACAGGTGTGGCGCCTGAGCTCTCCTCTCTGGGCTTCCTCCCAGTTCCCTTGGGCCTCGGCATTCTGGGTCAAGGTTGGTTCCCTCCGGCCTCAGGGCCCCGGGCATGGCCGGCATCCTGGATGGCACGGCGAAGGTTGTGGATCTGTAGAAAGAGGGCTTCCAAGACGCTAACAAGACAGGAGAGACGAGTCTGATTCTCCTCAGCCTGTCGAGGTGTTCTGTCAACAGTTCTGGGGACCCCTCACGAGTCCTTCCGTCCTGTAATCCCCCTAGGTGTCTGAGCGACCGCCGGCTCTGCCTGAACCGCTCAGGTTCGCACCTTCTGGCATCTTCTCGCACTTTCTCCAGCCTTCCCGGGCAGGGGGATCCTGGCCTGACGCTCCCCGCTCCCTGCCCCCGCCCTGGGTCTCTGGGGTCAGCAGAGCCACCCAGTGCACTGCGTTTAGGCATGCCCACATGGAGAGAGGCGACCACAGCGGTGATCATAAGCCCATGGTGGGCAGAGGCCCTATGGAGCCAAGGGCTCCGGCCGCCACCCCCGCTCCGCCACCAGCAGCGCTGCCAGGACTCGCTCTTCCTCCTCCTCCTCACACGCCGGCTCGGATGATCTCCTGCCATGACTCAGCGCTTCTCGCAGGCTGCCCTGCTGGGGACACCGGCTTCGCTCGGGCCCCTCCCGACGCGTCCACCCCCTCTCGCCACCCACGCCCGCCCCCAGCCGCTGGGCCTTTCCCAGTGCGGCCGCCGCCGCCACAGCTGCAGTCAGCACCGTCACCCCAGCAGCATCCGCCGCCTGCACCGCGCGTGCGGCCCGCCCCGGCCTGACCCCGCCGCCGAACCCGGCGCCAGCCATGGAGCCCGAAGCCCCCCGTCGCCGCCACACCCATCAGCGCGGCTACCTGCTGACACGGAACCCTCACCTCAACAAGGTAAACCCGCAGGCCCACCTGGCCGCCCATCGGCCCCTCTCTATCAGGGTCAGGGCCCTCTTGCAGGTCCCCGCACCATGGCCTCGCCCCTCCGCCGCTCCCCTGGGAAGGTTCCCGGTGAGCGGCCGCGGCCTGGGGGGCCTTGGTGTGGGCAGAAGGAAGAAGGACGCCTAATCGGGTCCGTATCCACTAGAGTGATGGCAGGGCAGTGCTGGTGCCTCTGCACCTCGGCATCCCATGTTAGGGATAGAGGTAAAGGTAAAGGTTAGTGATAGAGGAAAAGGTGATACTTTTCGGCAGCTCTTCTCCAAAAACAAGAGCCCAGACAATGAAAGTAGTATCAGACAAAGTGTGTGAATGGAGTGCCAGGTCAGACTCCATGTGCCACTCACTTACTGGTTGCACACACAGTGTGGCAATTATTGGAAGTTGATAAGGCGAGAAGTGGCTCAACTGGTCCTGCCCAGACAGAAACGTGTACTGAGTGCCTTCAGATCACGTTAGCAATCTGGAAATCCAAGTCCTCTCGGTTTCTGGAGTGACACGGTTAAGAGTCTGGGAATGCGTGGTGGGTGGCCTCTGTCTTGGACACTTTGCATGGCTTGGTAGAAGAACTCTGTCCCAGACATGGGACTGTGGGTAAAGCCATTTCTTTTCTTTCTTTCTTTTGTTTTGTTTTGTTTTGTTTTGTTTTTAATTTGGCTTTCTGGAAGTTAAAAAAAAATTTTGTTTAGAGCTGCTCTCTTTTTATTAAAGGGGAATTCAGTGTACACCCTGTTCAGAGACTCCTTTTCGGATCCTGGTAACATTTCATTTTCCTTCACTGGTGATGCAATATAAGCACTCGGGATGTCTCTCAAATAAAAAATACCTCCGAATTTATCATTTTGCTTCCACACTTATTTTACAGCCAGGTTTGTCTCGGGATTGTTCCTTTTGTGTGTGTGTGTGCGTGCGCTTTGGACATTTCCTATTTATTCAGGAGTCTGAAAATGCCATCAGTCAGCACAGAGGTTTGTTTAGTTATTTTGGTTGTCTCTTTGGTGGACTGCATTTCACATTAAGAACAGAAGCTCAGCTTTTTCCTTGTCGTGTTCCTGATGATTTGTTGATCATATTAATGACTTAAAGACATGATTTATTTAACAAGTTATAGTCAGTGTGAGTGATTTTTTTTGTGTGTGTGGTGACAGGCACCTTTTACAAATCTATGACTGTGTGCTATCTGCCGTCATGTAGCATTATTAAATTGTAAATAATTCCAACTTATTTCTTTCTTTAAAATAAATTTAATTGCTAGTTTGATTGTTTTTTCTTTTCTTTTATTATTCTGCAGGTTTGCCACCTATTTTCAGTAGAACAAAAGTAAAATTTGATGTGACAAAACTATTTGTGACTTGTATGTGTCACCTGCCTACTGTAATTTATGACCAAGTTGTGGGTTGACACTTAAGAAGGACCACATGAGTTGTATAACCTGTTTGATTTTCCTCAAGTTGGGGGCAAGAGTGTCTATTAAGAGTATGTAGATGGCATGAGCAATCCCTGAGCAAGAGTAATTATTGCCTTTACTATGCTTACATCAAGAATTTATTATTATTATTATTATTATTTGAGACGGAGTCGCGCTCTGTCGCCCAGGTTGGAGTGCAGTGGCGCGATCTCCGCTCACTGCAAGCTCCACCTCCTGGGTTCACGCCATTCTCCTGCCTCAGCCTCCCGAGTAGCTGAGACTACAAGCGCCCGCCACCATGCCCGGCAAATTTTTTGTACTTTTAGTACAGACTGGGTTTCACCGTGTTAGTCAGGATTGTCTCGATCTCCTGGCTTCGTGATCCACCCGCCTCAGCCTCCCAAAGTGCTGGGATTACAGGCATGAGCCACCGCGCCCAGCCAAGAATTTATGATATAACAATCCTTGTGACTCCTGTTCACAAGGTTACTAGGAATTAAGGATTAATTCCTACTTCAGAATAATAGTATCACAAAGATCTTCTATCAAAGATAAGATGTAACATTAATATGTTAAAAGCACATTTTCAAATTTGTAATACTTGAACTTTTTATCTGCATTATGTCAAATTGGATCCACAATCCAGTGTACCAACTTGGAGGCAATCGATGGAATAATCTTTTACTCAGTTCTAGGATGGTTATCTGGTACCTTATGGGAGTAACAGAGTTTCCTATGTACCATTGAAACTACAGCTATGGGACTTTCTTCATCTGTCATACATTCAAGACCTCTAGGCCTTTAATTTTGCTAGTAGCTCAGGAATGTTTTGGCTTATTTTTATTCTTATTATTTTGTAATAACCTTGGCTCCAAAGAGACAAGAGTAGATTTTACTTCCCTCAACAACCCAGCCTGTCACATGTCTTCTTCAACCACACTAACACAGAACTTCATCATTTACCTTTGGGTAGCTGCAACAACAGTTTTGCTGGTTTTATTTCCATTGATATAGTTCATTCTACATATATATATGAAAGAGACACCTTCATTAATTAACATTTTCTTCACTTTTCTATTATCCAAGCATTTATAGTATGTTATTATTTCCTATTATGTTTAATGTAAAATCAGTCTGTCAATTGGGTTTACAGTCTTCTCCAAATTTATCTTATTCGTTCCCCAATGTAGGCTTCCACTTAAAATATATTTGCTGAATCTCTTAATTCTTTCCTTTTTGTGTGTAATTTCTACTATGAAAATGTCTTAGTTGATTTAATAATGATCTTTCTAGGGAAGCATTTCTTAGTTATGTTAGTCTTATTATTTAACACCTCTGTTTTTATGTATTCAGTTGTACTATATAATTTTGTATTTACTAACTTGTCTTTTTATTTTCCTTTTTTTTTTTTTGAGACAGAGCCTTGTTCTGTTGCCCAGGCTGGAGTGCAGTGGTGTGATCTAGGTTCACTGCAAACTCTACCTCCTGGGTTCAAGTGACTCTTGTGCCTCAGCCTCCTGAGTAGCTGAGATTACAGGCATGTGCCACTATGCCCAGCTAATTTCTATATTTTAATAGAGACAGGGTTTGGTCATGTTGGCCACGCTGGTCTCAAACTCCTGACCTTAAGTGATCTGCCCGCCTCGGCCTCCCAAAAGTGTTGGGATTACAGGCGTGAGCTACTGCACCCGGCCATAAGTTGTATTTTTTTTTCTTATTTCTTTGATTGTCATAGGGCAGGAGTCACAATATTTAGTACAGTATTTTGCTCAGTAGACATTAAATAAATGTTTACTTAATGAATGAGCCATGTCTTTATTTTTGTCTTTAAACAGAACTCAGCTTTTAAAGTGATAGTTTAGGCATTGTCCTCTTTAAAGTAATTTTGTGAAAATAAATTCACATTGAAGTCTAAAGTTTAGTTCACTTCCTATGCCATTATATAGTATGCTGAAATGTAGTCAGAAAAGTTGAAATGTGGTTTAAGCTTGATAATCTCATGAAATTTTAATTACTTGCTGGATAACCTAAGGGAGGTGCTTCATCTTGGTAAAATCAAAGTTAACAGTAGATATGGTATGAATTCAAAAATTTTCAAAAAACTTAAGAGAATTAGGATCTTCATTTGTTATGATTCATGTATGAGTCTAAGCCTTACTATTTGTTTGTATTAAAATATGCATCATTCAAGGTAGGATTTCATCAAAACAATTGGGGAAGTAAATCTGCCTCATGTTTATGAGATTTAATATTTTTCTGTGCATAGCCCTAACTATTTTTGAGATGCTTATCTTTGCCGGTTTTATATAAATGTGTCTAATTTAATGTTTAATGTTTTTTATTTTCAGGGATATGGTCTAATATAGATGAGTTGTGTTTTAAATTTTTTTCTCAATAATTTTCATGTGACTAATAATATTTCATAAATTGCCCTTCAAAATTAAAATTCTACACATAATAAAATAATCATGCCTATTTTTTATTCTCAATTAGTTTATTTCCCTTTGCAATGGTAGAAAACACTAATTGATAGTTCTATCATAATTGTGCTTACATGGTTTCTATATCTTAAGAGTAAATAATAACATGACCCATAAGTAAATCTCCAAACAACACCACTCTTCCATATTTTAGGCAGTTTGGTTCAGTATAAGTCATGTTTAAGAGTTACGTTCCAGTAGAAGATAGTGTTTTATCGAAGTTAATTTGGGTCATCATTACTAACTTTTACATCTAAAAAATCAGCTTTTGTAGCTGTTTGTTTCCTGGCATGACAAGACCTAGTTGGGTGTGTTGTAAGAAAGAGAGAGAAATAAGATTCATGGCAATGAAGGAAAAGTACCCTAAACCTCTTTTTCTTCAATGTAAACTAGACCTGAATGAATTATTCAGAAAATTTCATCCAACCACATTCTCTAGAGTTGCCTCTGCAACGTGAGAAACTGATTTATTATTTAACATAGAATCCCACTTATGTGAAAGTCATATACAGCCAGGTACCTCTGTATATGTTTGTTACCTTGCTGCAGTGGAAACAACAGTAGTAGTATAGAATATCACAATAACAAAATGTGTGCTGTAATAAGAAAGGTGAGTTTGATATGGTAACTCTTGAGACAGGTGATATGGAGTATAAAAAATATTGAAGAAAGGAATGGATTTGAGATTTTGCCTTTTTCAGCTCTGATTTCCCTCTAACTTTTGGACAGGTAGGGGAGAATGTGATGTAAAGGAATGGACATTCTAAAACTTTGTGCCTAGAAGAAATGAGCCCAAGTCCCAAGCCTCCCAATTAGCTGTGTGATATAGCATCTGGGAAGGTCCTCCTTGCTACATCATCCCATGGCGGAAGGCAAGATGGTAGAGGGTGAGAAGGAGCAAGAGAGGGCTGAACTTGCTTTTATAAAGGAACCCACTCTTGCTTGCAATAACGAACCCACTCCTGCATTAACAATACTAGTCACCTCATAAAAATCCCACCTCTTAACACAGTTGCATTGGGGATTAACAACACATGGACTTTTGGGGACAGATTGAAACCATAGTAGGAAGTCAGGTAATATAATAATGAATAATGTTCTCTAAAAACATGAGAATATAACTGCTAGAGCTTTTCTACTAATATACAGACCCTGGATTTAAAAACACTGGTATTATTTTTTCAATAATCAGGTAATGGTTGAGTAAGAACATCGGCAAAAATACTTGTGTGTTTGATATGGTTTGTCTGTGTTCCTACCCAAATCTCATCTTGAATTGTAGTTCCCATAATCCCCATGTGTTGTGGGAGGGACCCAGTGGGAGGTAATTGAATGATGGGGGTGGTTACCCCCATGCTGCTGTTCTCCTGGTAGTGAGTGAGTTCTCACGAGATCTGATGGTTTTATAAGGGGCTTTCCCCCCTTTTGCTCATTCTTTTTCCTGCCGCCATGTGAAGAAGGATGTGTTTGTTTCCCCTCCCGCCATGATTGTATGTTTCCTGAGGCCTACCCAGCCATGCTGAACTGTGAGTCAATTAAGCATCTTTCTTTATAAATTTCCCAGTCTTGGATATGTCTTTATTAGTAGCATGAGAACAGACTAATACAGTATTCATACCAATGTTAGTAATTATGTTATCAGGCTAGTTGTGATGGCTCACACCTGTAATGCCAGATGTGAGCCACCTGGGAGGCCGAGGTAGGAGGATCACTTGAGCCCAGGAGTTCAAGACCAGACTGGGAAACATAGCAAAATCCCATCTTTACAAAAAAGAAAAAAAAATACAAAAAGCTGGGCATGGTGGTGTGCACCTGTAGTCTCAGCTACTTGAGTGGCTGAGGTGGGAGGCCACAGTGAGCCATGATCACACCCACTGCACTCCAGCCTGTATGACAGATTGAGACCTTGTCTCAGAAAAACAAAACAAAGCAAAACAAAACAAAAGAATAAAACCTTAGAGATCCAGAGGCTGAAGGAGTTCTAAGACTTCCATTGTACTATTAGGCATTGGCCCTTTAAGCTTAGAATATATTTAAATACATTTAAATTGTCTATTCAGAGTCTTAAGATGGCCATCTAGTAAGTCCAGGAGAGAAGCCATAGAATAAAATCAGCCCTCCAGACACCTTGATTTTGGACTTCTATCCTTCAGAACTTTGATAAAATAAATTTATGTTTAAGCCACCCAGTGTGTGACGCTTTGTTGTGGCAGCCCTAGCAAACTAATGATATACTTCTGTAATTGAAGCAAAATTTCATAATACAGCACTTTCCCTTGCTTTGTTTAGTAGACATTTTCTGGACTTTGACAGGAACATGTAGGTGAGAAGCAGTAATGATCTAATCAGTCAGGTTTGCTTGTAGCCATTGCCAATTTTTGACAATCTCTGTCTTTTGATTTTTGTGTTTAGGCCATTTACATTTAATGTAATTGTTGATACACAGAGAGATAAACAGATTTCTATCATATCATAGGTGTCTGTTCCCTTATTTTTCATTCCTCTATTTCTCCTTTCCAACCTAATTTTTAATTACTTAAATATTTTTATTATTCCATTTTGATTTATTCTGTGAGTTTTTGACAATATTTCTTTGTATAGCTTGTTTTTAGTACTTGGTCTGGTGATTATGATACACATACCGAACTTTTCACAGTCAACTTAAAGTTAAAATTTCACCACTTCAATTGAAATATAGAGATCTTACCATTATATAGATCTCATTACCTTCCTCTATTTATGTTGTAGTTATATGTATTATATCCTCTTATATCTCTATATATGTATTACACAAATATTTTTAAAATAGTAATTTAATGTAATGTTTATACCTTTTTTTTTTTTTTTGAGACAGGGTCTTGCTCTGTTATCCAGGCTGGAGTGCAATGGCGTGATCACAGCTCACTGCAGCCTTGACCTCCCAGACTCAGTCCGTCCTCTTGAGTAGCTGGAACTTCAGGTGCACACCATCATGCCTAGCTAATTTTTGTATTTTTTTGTAGAGATGGCATTTTGCCATGTTCCCCAGACTGGTCTGAAACTCCTGGGCTCAAGAAATCCTCCCACTGTGGCCTTCCAAAGTGCTGGTATTATAGGTGTGGCCTGTAACTTTTATTTATTTTTATTTTATTTATTTTTCATTTTTTTTTGAGACAGAATCTTGCTTTGTCATCCAGGCAGGAGGGCAGTGGTAACATGGCTCACTGCAGCCTTGACCTCAAGGCTCAAGCAATCCTCCCACCTTAGCTTCCTGAGCATCTGGGACTACAGGCATGTGCTACCACTCCTGGCTAATTTTCATATTTTTTGTAGAAACACAATTTCATCATGTTACCCCATCTAGTGTCAAACTCCTGAGCTCAAGGTGTCTGCCTACCTCAGCCTCCCAAAGTGCTGGGATTACAGATTTGAGCCACTGTGCCTGGCCCTAACTTTTGTTTTTAACTGTCACACATATTTTAAAGAGTTTAAGAGGGAAAGGATAATCTATTAGAGTTATCCAGGTAGATACTATTTCTGTTACTCTGTTTCATTCCCCATGTTCTGTGTTTGTTTTGGGGTATCATTTCTCTTCCATTTAAAGAATGTCCTCTAACATTTTTTTAAAGCAGGTTTGCTGGAAACTAATTGTCTTAGTTTTTCTTCCTCTGAGAATGTCTATTTTATCTTCATTTGTGAAGGATATTTTCAATAGTTATATAATAATGAGTTGACAGTTCTTTCCCTTTAAGACCTAAAAAAAAAAAAGCCATTTCTCTTCCTCCCGCCCTTTCTTTTTCCTGATGAGAAATCTGCAGTCATTCAAGTTGATATATGTTTGTAATACATCAGTTTTCTCTGGATGTTTTAATGGTATTTTATTTTTCACTTTCAGAATCTTAAATATAATGTTTCTGGGTTTGGAGGTTTTGGGGTTTATCTTCTTGGGGTTTTCTGAGCTTCCTGATTCTGTAAGTATATGTCTTTTATCAAATTTGATATGTTTTCAGCCATTATTTTCTCCAAATATTTTTTTCTTTCTCCTCTCTTTCTGGGACTCTGATGATACAAATGTTAGGCCTTTTGATATTGTCCTGAGGCTCTGAGCCTCAGGTGACTATATGATAGTATCAAAAGGCCTACTTTTTTAAGGACTTGTTTTCTCTTTATTTTCCAAACTGATTTGTTTCTAATGATTCAGCTTTAAGTTCACTGATGCTTTCTACTCTCATCTCAATTCTGTTCTTCAGCCCATCCAATGAATATTTTATTATAATTATTGTATTTTTAAGTTCTAAAATTTCCATTTGGTATAGCTTTTATTTCTTGTCCAATACTTTCTTTCCATTTATTTAGAAAGACTTTGCCCTTATGTTCTTAGGCATGGTTATAATAACTGATTGTAAGTCTTTGTACATTGTACAGAAATTTCAAGGTCTGACACCTCAGGATTGGTGTTTGCTTATTAGTCTTTTATTTTCCAAGTTAACGTTTTCCTGTTTCTATGTTGAGTGATTTTTTAATCTATTCTGGACATTTGCATATTATGAGATTCTAGCTGTCAGTTGTATCTTAAGGGGAATACTGTTCTTCTTTGCTTTAGTGGTCACTCAACCTGGTTAGGTGATTTTGCAAGTTGGACCCACCTGTGGCCTGCGGTTCCGATATCAATTTGGTTTTCAAAGTCTACTCAGTAGTACTGTTTGTATTTGTCCATTATGTGTACCGCCCAGTGGATAGTGTGGGATCTGTGCAGTAGTCTATGCTATAGTTTACTTCTCAAAGCCTTTGGTATGCTGTTTAAGGTCAAATCTATGCACGTTTAGCTCAAAAGTGAGTGTAGAAGTTAATATACAACTTTATGGGATTGCTCTCATGAGTTCCCTTCTTTCTGTGATCTCTGATATTTTTTGTTTCCATGAGGACCCCCTTTCCAGTCCTCATGGCCGGAAAACTGGGCTTTTGTTTTCCTGCCCTGCTGTGTACTTCCTCCAGATTTATTTGCATCTGATGCCATACGATTGGAAGACAGAGAGAAAGTTGCAACAGGCATTTGACCTACGATCTTGAGACCAGCTCTATATCCTCTGGTAAAAAGAATGATTCCCTTACCTTAGAATTTTAGGCATCTGTCGTGGTTATTGCTTCTGCCATCCCCGTGGGATTACCTGGGAGTTGGGACTAGAGAGGTGGAAAAGAATATTGGATGTTCTTCCTTCTCTGACCTTTAAGCACCCCCTTTCTGATTCTTGGACCAGAAAGATAAGGCTTCTCTTGGCAGTCTTTGTACACAATCAATTGCACTTCCAGCTTTTCTGCTGCTTTTGAGTCAAGGCCAGTTGATTACAGCAGAGAGAAAAAAAAGCCAGGCCATATTGGAGGAAAAAATGCCAGGAAACTTAATCTGGTTTTGTCGTACTTTAGATTCTAATCTTCTTCCTTAGTTCTTCTGCTATCATGTATTTTTCAGTCTTCAAATAGCTGCTCAACGCATTCTATACAAGGATTATTGTTGGATTTAGTGGGAGAGACAAGGTATACTATAGCTACCACTTTGCACAGAACCAGACCCTCAGGTTGTTATTTTTAAGGTATGAATGTGTGAAACTCAGTCTAACTTGATTTTAAGTTCGGAGAAGAAAAATACCAGGCAATTGGTTCCCAAATGTA
Source organism: Homo sapiens (assembly GCF_000001405.40). Lineage (NCBI taxonomy): Eukaryota > Metazoa > Chordata > Mammalia > Primates > Hominidae > Homo > Homo sapiens. The sequence continues at coordinate 83,421,294 of NC_000006.12, read as the reverse complement.
CACTCAACATTTTTTCCCTTTTTACTGGGTACATAGTTGCTATACCAATCAATATTAATAATAAAGATTATTGTGTGGAAATGGTTCATGTAAGACAAAAACTCTATACATAATTTATAAAATGTCTGTGTTCTAAGGATTTAGAAAGAAGTTTTGCCTTTTTGATATCTACATACTTCATTTGTGCCCCTTTTTGTGCTGTGAAGGAGAAGAGCAAGTTCGACGTTCAGAATTTCTTTGGGGTTCCCTCTCTTGGCTTTGGGCCCCCCCTCCCTGTCTGCATACAGGGAAGCTTCTTTCTTTCTTTCCCCTTCTTTTGTGCCTATTAAACTGTCCACTACTTAAAACCAAAAAAACAAAAAACTAAAAACAAAAAAACAAAAAACAAAAACAAAAACAACAACAACAAAAAAACCCAACAACAACAACAAAAATTTCTCTGTGGATGTGGGAAGGAGTGTTATACTGTTTTGCATCATAGATTTATCTTTCAACATAGTTGCTCTTAGGGCCTGGAATGTAGTAGGTATTCTGTAATAATTTGTTGAATGAATGAATCAGGGATTATTCTTGAAGTAACACTGTTTTACCTTGCAGATATTGCTATAACCTCTCAGGAGTTCACATCCTACCTTGTGGGATAAATGCACAATAACCTCTTTTATATGCTGTTGAATGTGTGTTGGAGAATCTCTTTTCCTTAATGGGTATAAGGATGACCACTATATCATTTAGGATTAGGTTTTGCTACATATAACAAAAAAGCAAAATAAAAGTGAGTTAACTAAGATACAGCTTAATTAAGATAAACTGTTCTGTGGGTCCACAAAGTCATCAGGAACGTAGGCTTCTCTTTTGCTGCTCTGTCATCTTCAGGATCACTTCATGGTCCTAACTGAGTATGTAGGTCTAAAGATACCACCTACAGACTGGGCGCAGTGGCTTATGCCTGTAATCCAAGCACTTTGGGAGGCTGAGGCAGGCGGATCACTTCAGGTCAGGAGTTCGAGGCCAGCCTGGCCAACATGGTGAAATTCCATCTCTACTAAAAATATAAAAATTAGCTGGGCATGGCGGTGGGCGCCTGTAGTCCCAGCTACTTGGGAGGCTGAGACAGGAGAATCACTTGAACCCAGGAGGTGAAGGTTGCAGTGAACCAAGATCGCACCACTGCACTCCAGCCTCGGTGACAGTGCAAGGCTCCGTCTCAAAAGAAAAAAAAAAGATACCACCTACACATTCCAAGATGGCTGCTGGAAGAAATGAGAGAATTACAAGAAGGCCTGCTTTTCAGTGAAGTCCCCTCTTTTAAAGTAGCCTTCCCCACATTTCACATGATACTTCCACTTAGGACTCATTGTTCAGTACTCTGTCATATGGTCACATATAACTACAGGGGAGTCAGGAAATGTCTTTTATTTAATGCATTGCCACCCCAAATAATATTAGGATTCTGTTCCTGGAAAGGAAGAGGGAAATAGATGTTGTCGTAGGCAATTAGCAGTCTCTACCATAGCCAGAGCTGCCAGAAGCAAAAGGAATGAGATTTAATAAATGAAAATATTAAATATGAATGTAATATTCTTGAAAATTGAGGTGAATGGTTCTTAATATTTTAAAAATAGTCTTATAGATTCGCTTTATAAAAATAAGATATAATAATGTGAAAAGTATGTCTGCCACTTCTGTGTCTGGGCTAGCTGGTTCCCCTCCCTAAAGGCAACCACTGTTGCCAGTGACCAGTGTTTTCATTATATACTAGAGATATTGTATGAAGTATTTTTTAAAGTTAATTTTCATAAGTTAAAATGTTATTGATACAGGACATGAATCAGATATGCCCTTAGTGTGGTAGATAGGAGATAATGTTATAAAGAAAAATGTTTCAGGTGGGAGTATGTATGTGAATTTTATAGAGACACCGAAAACAGATTAAGAATCATGATATCAGGTTGAGCCATCTATGATTTGCCTGGTAGTCTGAAACTAGTTCTGAAGCATTGTTCTACCCACCACCTTTTGTTTTTTTAAAATCTGAGCTAGCCTTAGTATGTGGATTCCTTAATACGGTGAGTGATAAACATGCGGGTTGGCTATTGCTAAACTCACAACATTTTTATGAAATGGAATAACTAGTCAGGAAAGGTACTGGGGCTTCCCATACTTAGGATAATGTTTGAAACTTCTTACCTGGTTAACTAGGACTTGCCCACTCAGGTTCGTACCTTTCTTTCTAGTGCTCATCTTTTATCATTTCTCACAGTTGGTGCAGTTTCCTTCCCTACGCTTTCCCTGAGAAGCCAAGCTTTTCTGCATTAGGGGTTATATACATGCTGTTTCTTCTCTACCTACCCCCAACTTTTCACCTGGTCAACTGCTACTCTTTCTAGTCATCCTTCAGATTGCATTTTGACATTACTCCTCAGTGAACTATTTCTCTAACTGTCTAAATTAAGTTCTTCCTTTTCTTTTCCCTGTACTTATCACAATTGTTATAGTTATTTGTGTAGCTTTTCATATAATATCCTGTTAAGCTCTTTATATTGTAAGCCTAATGAGACTATGGATCATACCTGACAAGCCACTGTTTCGTTGGGGTAGTTCCTGTATGCATTGTAAGCATTCACTCAATGATATCTGTGAGTGTGATGATTAATTTTATCTGTCAACTTGCTTAAGCCACAGGGTGCACAGACATTTGTTCAAACATTACTCTTGTAACTCTTGTAGTGTCAGTGAGAGTGTTTCTGGATAAGATGAACATTTGAACTGAGTAAAGCAGATTGCCCTCCCTAATGTGGGTGGGCCTCATCCAATCAGTTAAAGGACGAAAAAGCTGAGTAAGAGGGAACTTCTCCTGCCTGACTGTCCTGAAGCTGGGACATCAAATTTTTCCTGCCCTTGGACTCAAACTAAAATGTGGGCTCTTCCTGGGTCTTGAACCTCCTGGCTTTCAGACTGGATCTACACCATTACCATTGGCTCTCTTGGGTCTCTAGCTTGCTGGCAGCAGGTCTTTGGACTTGTCAGCCTCCATAATCATGTGAGCCAATTATACTATTTCTCTCATAATAAATCTCTTCATATATATAAAGGTTCAGTTTCTTAGGAAAACTGACCAATACAGCGAGCTTCACAACCGCCCATAAAGTAACTGTAAAAGCAGAGAGAAAACATTTCTGCAAATCTCCACAGTGGATCTGAAGCAAGAAAGCCATCTTGTGGTGTTTCTGGGAATATCATGTCTGAGGTATATATCCCTTAAGAAACTGAAACAGTCCTCTGCAACAGTTTTCAACATATTTTGTGCCAAAGGCACAAAAGTTGGAAAGTTGATGAAGTCTGTGGTCTCCTTAAATCAATGATTTTAAATAAACAGTATACATAATATTACAAAGGAAACCACTTGTAATTAAATATAGGTATCAAAATATTAACAAATATATTTACAAGTGTGTATTGTAAGATATATTCCTCTTTATTGAAGACTCATATAGCAAGATAATATATTTAAATATGGGCAATTTAAAGTAAAGTTTTATTTTTTAAAGAGATCAATATCAAGGTTGTCTGCATGACTGGCCTGTGTGCCTGTTCATGTTATTAAAAAAAGTTGGGCCTGGCGTTGTAGCTCATGCCTGTAATCCCAGTACTTTGGGAGGCCAAGGCGGGTGGATCACAAGGTCAAGAGATCGAGACCATCCTGGCCAACATGGTGAAACCCCGTCTCTACTAAAAATACAAAAATTAGCTGTGCATGGTGGCACGCGCCTGTAGTCCCACCTGCTTAGGAGGCTGAGGCAGGAGAATGGCTTGAACCTGGGTGGCGGAGGTTGCAATGATCCGAGATCACGCCACTTCACTCTAGCCTGGGCGACAAAGTGAGACTCCGTCTCAAAACAACAACAACAACAACAACAACAAAAAACAACAAAAAAAACATGTTAGTTAGGCACAGTGGCTCCTGTAATCCCAGCACTTTGGGAGGCCAAGGGAGGAAGACTGCTTGAGGACAAAGGACAGGAATTTGAGATCAATCAGGGCAACATAGTGAGACCCTGTCTCAAAAAAAAATTTTTTTTCCAGATGTGGTGGTGTATGCGTATAGTTCCAGCTACTCAAGAAGCTAAGGCAAGAGGATTGCTTGAGCCCAGGAATTCGAGGCTGCAGTGAGCTATGATTATACTACCGCACTCTATCCTGGGCAACAGACTGTCTCTAAACAAAGCAAAACAAAGCAAAACAAAACCTTATTGCAGATCTAAAGCTACAGTAATTTCAAAGTAATGAAGAACATGAATGTTATTTCCAGATACATGCCACAGATGTAACATGGCATAAAAATAATTGTTATTTCTATTATGACAAAGACACAGAAACTACTTTTTTTTTTTTTTTTTTAGACAAATCTCACTCTGTCACCCAGCCTGGAGTGCAGTGGCATGATCTTGACTCACTGCAGCTTTGACTTCCCGGGCCAAAGACATCCTACCACCTCTGCCTCCCAAGTAGCTGGGACTACAGGTGCATGCCACCACACCCAGCTAATTTTTTTCTACTTTTTTTTTGTAGAGATGGGGATCTCACTATGTTGCCCAGGCTGGTCTCGCACTCCTGAGCTCAAGCGATCCTCCTGCCTTGGCCTCCCAAACTGCTGGGATTAGAGGCGTGAGTCACTGTGCCTGGCCAGGAACTACTATTATGTCTCTTGTTTATTTCATTTAAAATGGAAGGAAATACTAAATCTCATAGAGTTTGTGAAAAAGATGTCCAAGTTCAGGCCTCCTTAATTACTCATCCATACCTTGAGGATCTGTGATTAGGTCTGTGAATTTTAAGTTAAAAGCCTCTGATAGGGGGCTAAATTGGTTCTTCACCAGAAGCACTGACCTTGGTCTCTGAAAACTGATTCTTAAACTCAGAGGCTTTCAGACAATACTGAAATGTGAAGAATAAAAGTCAATATTCATGTAGCATGTGCATATTAGTGACTTTATTTTAAAACTTTGTACCATAAGCATTTATATAACACTTTATAATTTACGTAGGATGCAAAAACACCTGGTCTCATTTTTTTCTTCCCAACAACCCAGTGAAACACACATAACATGTACTATGTGTTCAGTAAATAGTTGATTAGTCTTATTTAGCAGATGCAATAATTGAGGCAAATCTCCATTTAACCCTTAACACCTTAAATATTTGCTCAAAATCAAGTGTTAAATAATATCTACTTGTGACTCAAACTTGACAAATGGTATACCCTTTAGTCTTATGTTGCTATTCAGTCATATTTGTTGGTGAAGTGTGCATCTAAATTTCTAGTGTATGGCTTATTACAATCTATTAAATACCAAAAATGTACTGAATAGCTGCCTACAACAAATAATTGTCTGTCCTAAAATGTCACTAGTACCAAGATTGAGAAACCTGGTCAAGATGAAAGTACTTTAAAAAATCCCCATAAACTCTGGCACTTATGCTGATATGTAGATATATATTTTGGTCAAACCAAAGTTGATCTTGAATGCCTGGTTTAAAGTCAATGAAAAAACTTGTTAATAGTGGATTAGTTTAATTAAATGATTTCCTAAGGTATATGTGGAAAGCTTAATTATTATTTGGGAGATTTTTAAATCATGAGCACTCTTTGTACTATTGCATAAATAAATCTTTGTTTGAAATTTGAATTCGGTGATTTGGTTATTCAAAATAGAACTACACAGAACCGAACTACAGAGTACTGAAAATTTGTTTCACATTAATGTATTTATACATCCATTTGCTTATTTAAAATTTATTAAGGCCCTGCTCCATCCCGACATTGTACTAGGTGCTGTCATACAAATATGAATAGTATAGTGCCTGTCTTCCAGACCTGGGTAAAATGGCAGGTAAGCAGAAACAATGAACTATGGGACATTCTATGATAGAATTATCCCTTGAAGGAGATCATTATTCAGGAATAGGCAAAGGACACAGGAAGAAACAGACATTTGCAACTTCGTGTGTAAATTAATTGGTAATTAAATGTGTTGGAATTGCTGTCTAATGTTCATAGTCTGCAGATTCTTCTATTAGCTTGAAGAGTTAAGAAATCAAGACACAATAGAGGATTATTTTATAATTCTGATCTTTCTGGTTCATTATATGAGTAATCACTATACACACTATCATAGGCATAGAGGATTTTGTCACATATATAAGATTTTAAAAAATAGTATAAAGGTACGTATGATAACTAGGAAGTCTATTGGCAACCAGTGGTTTATTTGGATTATTCATACACGTTTCAATTGAAGATCTTAAATTTTGATTTTTCATCATTTGTGTCCATTGCTAGTTTCAGGTATTTACTGAGAAGTCTCAATCTGCTTATTTAACAGATACTTTTCTCTATTGGTTTAGTGACAGTGAAATTTGCCTTACAACTTGTTATGATAAAATAGTGCTCCATCTTGCTGAAAAGCTTTTGAAATTTTTCAAATGATTTCAATGATTTCAAGAGATATATTTGGGAAAATTTAGTGTTGACATTGTTGGCTAACAATTTTTCAGCCTTACAAAGAATCTATAACGATCAGTAATAAGACTTTTAAGTGAGAAATACTTAAACCTCTCATCCAATGTTTTAAAAACCCATTTGCTCTCTTAGGTAGAGGTGTTCTTTCTTTTTTTAAAAAAAAATTTAAGCAAACATGTCATTTAAATCACAAAATTGTTACACTTGCTTATATCCTATATTCATACCTCAATGAAATAATTTTGGGGTACTATAAAGTGATATTTTGCTGTAAATTTTAGGGTATCAAAGGCCAAGACTTAGCTGAATATATTTTAGATATATTGTTATAATCATTAACAGGTTAAAATTACTTTATATCAGATATGAGTAAAAATTAATTACTATGGAATGAAAGCAAATGATCTTTTGTGTAAAGAAGCTGTGTTTAATATATTGTTGGCCTTAAATAATTGGTTTTCTGTCCTTTAAAGGAGACTAATAAAGAATTTGTTTGTATAGTTAAATGCATTCAAAGTAATTATTTTTATATGATTATTTTCTGATGTAAACTTTACCGTGTAAATACATATGTCATCTGGCTGATTTTTTTTGGGGGGGAAATGAGGTTGGATACCACCATAAAAATAAATTTTTTTAGTTTTTTTTTTTTTTTTTTTTCAAGATGGGGTCTTGCTCTGTCACCCAGGCTGGAGTGCAATGGTGTGATCTCAGCTCATTGCAACCTTAACCTCCCAGGATCAAATGATCTTCCCACCTCAGCCTCTTGAGTAGCTGGGACCACAGGCATGCACCACCATACCTGGCTAATTTATTTTCAATTTTTGTGGAGGTAGTATCTCCCTGTGTTTCCCAGGTTGGTGTTGCACTCCTGGGCTCAAGCCATCCTTCTGCTTTACCCTCCCAATGTGCTGGGATTACAGGTGTGAGGCATCATGCCCAGCCAATTCTAGAAATTGTTATCTATATTATCAATTAGAATTTAAAAATAATCATTTCCAAAGAACAATTTTTGGCACTATAGAAGCCTTGGAGGAAGGAACCCTTCAGTAGAATGTGTTCAGGGCAAATTAGTATCAATTCTCTTAATGTAGATGTAAAATATGCACATAAACTATGTTAATAAATTGAAAATATGACACTTAAAACAAGCTCAATTTTATCTCTTTCAGAATAATAAATAATAAAAATATAAAGGGTCCTCTTTCTGTACTCTTTATATATAAATAATTTTCTCCCCCAAATTAGCATTAAAATTAATTCTAAAACTTTTTTGATATGAAGAAATAATTTTAAGATAGATCTACTATATTATTTGCAAGGTCACATTAATAAAATATATATAATTCATTTGAAATAAAAAATTAAGAAAAAATTTTCATAAAGGATTCAAAGACAATCATATTAGATAAAGAATATTTTAGGCTGGATGTGCGAGCCACTGTGCCTGGCCTAAAATATTCTTTGTTTAATTTGATTGTGTAATAATCCTAGGACTTTGGGAGGCCAAGGCAGGCAGATCGCTTGAGCTCAGGAGTTCAAGCCTAGTCTGGAGCAACATGGTGAAACCCAGTCTCTACCAAAAAATACAAACACAATTAGCTGAGCATGGTGGCATGTGCCTGTTGTCTTAGCTACTTGGGAGACTGAGGCAGGAGGATCACTTGAGCCTAGGAGGTGGAATATGAAATATATCAATAATTTGCTAAACAAATTTTTAGTCATTGTAATTATATTTCTTTTTAAGTAAAGAGAATATTAGTTACTGAATTGACTCTATAGAGTCTAATAAAATTCAATATAATGAAATTTACTTTTGGATGTACAGTTCTATTAGTTTTGACAAATATGCAATGTTGTGTAATCAACACCACAATAAGGAATGGTTCTATCACTGAAAAACATTTTCTTTTTGCTCCCTCTTTGAAGTCAAACCCTTTTTTCCACTCCCAGTCCCTGGCAACTACTGATCTTTTTCTATTCATATAACTTTGCTTTTTCAGAATGTCATATAAATGGAATCATACAGTATGTAGCCTTTTGAGTCTGGCTTCTTTCACTTAACATGATTCATCTATGTTTTGTGTATCAATAGTTTTGTTTTTTTACTGTTGGGTAATATTTCAGTGTATGGATATACCTTAGTTTTATCCATTTACTAGTTGAAGGACTTTTGTTGTTTCAAATTATTTGCAATTATTACTTTCCATTTGCCTTTCTACCATTTTTAACCTTCCTTATTCTCTTTTCTGCTTTGTCTTCTCCAAAATGTACTATAACAAGTATAATTAATTAATCATTAGTTAGTTAATCCGACACATTTTTTTGATTGCCTATGAAGTGCCACACAAGTATTATTCTAGACACTAGAGATTACACTAGTTAAACAGAACACACAAACCATCTCTGCCGTAATATAATCATAGCCTCAAATATTTAAATTATAAGTTCTGTTACCATAATGAATTTTCATACATGTATAGATTAATTGTCTTAAAGATCTTTATGAATAAGATAAATGTTTCCTTTTTTTTTGCAATTCAGCTTGATTTAGTAATTTTTCAGGGAAAAAAAGTCATTCATTGGAAATATTAAGGATTGTTAGTGCGGAATACAGAATATATTTGTTCTGTTTTTATGGCAATAGTTTCTGATAAATTACTCAGGACAAAGTTTCTTTCTCAGTTATGCTTGCTCCCTGCAAATATCATTTCTAATATAAGTCCTTCGTCATGTCAGGAATTTTCTTTTCATTTCTGCTTGACAGTCTCAGTTTTGTCAAGAAGATATACATAGGTTAATTAGCACAGTCCAGAAGAATAGTTGCCCTGTTTGCTGCCCTTAGCAGTGAAACAACGTACCATTCTGCTGTCTAGGGATCTAGTCCAAAGGTTTTATAAGGAATAGGGAAAGCAAAGAAAAGACAAAAAAGGAGAAAAACCAGGATCAAACTTAGCATATATGAGGATGTCTTTAGAGAATTAGATGTACAGGTGGTCTGGAAACCTAATATATCTATATAGACGTCTGATATCTTCAACTACATGAAAGACTTGGTAGAAATCAAATGACAGTTAGAACCTGCATGTATAATTTGGGTTAATTATCCTTTGTTGGATAGGCCCTGCAGGATAATGCTAAGGTAAAAATTCTTTGAACTATTTTACTTCAAACTTTACACATAACTGACCTGTTTATAAATTTCTACAAAATATATCTCTAATGAATATGTCTCTGTTAGTATGAAAAATAGAAACTGTGGCTTTAAAGAAATAATACAATATCCATTTTAAATTTTTTCAGGGATTTTAAGATTTAAGTTTACTTATTTGTTGATGTTCTTTTAACTTGTAAAGGGTGGTAATAGAATGTAAACCCAGTCATGGGACTAGTTTTTTTTTTTTTCTTGAGACGGAGTCTTGCTCTGTCACCTAGGCTGGAGTGCAGTGGCGCAATCTCGGCTCACTGCAACCTCCGCCTCCCAGGTTCAAGCGATTCTTCTGCCTCAGCCTCCCAAGTAGCTGGGAGTACAGGTACATGCCACCACGCCCGGCTAACTTTTGTATTTTTAGTAGAGATGGGGTTTCACCATATTGGCCAGGCTGGTCTCAAACTCCCGCCTGCCCTGGCCTCCCAAAGTGCTGGGATTACAGGCGTGAGCCACCACGCCCGGCCCATAGGAGTATTTTTCTCCACAATCCTAGGATTTTAACTTGGCCCAGTTCCCTAGATTTCTAAGCCCTAGGTTTTGTTGCTGTTGTTTTTAAAAGGATTGAATTGGCACTTTAGTGTGTTTTGGAAAATTTGGCTAATGGTATATGGGAGTTTGTAGTTGCTAAACATCAAAGAATATAAAAAGATTTCCAGATGGCATTATCATTTACATGGCATAAGATATGGAGAATCGTTAGATTTAGGAATCAGTTTCAGAACATGCCATTGGAAAATTTATGTTAAAAGACTGGCTAACTATAACAATAAATGTTGTTAAGTGCCATTATTAAGGGAATGAAAGGGCATATGTTAGTACATCTCACAAGACTTATCAAAATATTGATATTTTGATTATTATGTTTTTGGGCAGATTTTCAAGGCATAACACTCAGAAGTTTACTGCTTCTTCACATATATTTATATATTTTTGAGACTTTAGCCAGCTTTCCTTTCCCCTTTTCATTTTCTAGTTAGATAAAAATCTATTGAGTTTTCTCTTCTTTCTTTTTCAAATATATTACTGTCCATAATTTTGTTTCATTCCAAGGAGTTATTTCATGACATTTTGGTTTAAATGTTGTCTTCCCAGTTATATCTTCAACAAGTGAAGTTTGTCTTCCATTTTATAAATTACTTTTTCATACAAATATCTCTTGTTGCTTTGAATTTTAAAAGTAATTTGATCAGAATGAATATGCTAATCAGGTTTTTGAGCAGCAATTTAATAGATTTTATAAATTTTAATATCTCTAAAATTGAATGTTTGAAAATTTCTATGAATTCTAAATTTTCTCATAATAAATTCTAATGAATTATAAATATTCTATTGACTATGTTAAAATTTTATTGCAACAAATTTCTGAGTTCTATTTATGTCAGGCACTGTTGTAAGCACTAGGGAGAAAGCAGTGAAGAAAACAAAATTCTGTGGCCCCGTGGAGTTTTCATTCTGTTGTGGGGGTGCAAACCAAAAGTAAAAAAGTAAATGGCAAGCAAAGACTTCAGGCGATACCACGGATGTCTCCTGGTGCCAGCTGGAACTGCTGGGTAAAGGACTGACAGATTGTACCATCTGCCATTTAGGTCCAGGAGAGGATGATTGGTCCAGACACAATTGAACATACTGGATTATCCTCTTGGAAAGAGACCATTCTGCTGCTGTCCACACAAATTGAACTTCAGAGGACGCCCAACTGTAACAATGGGGGCTTTTGCAGCTATGAGAATGGCTGCTAATGAAAAATATCTTGCAACTAGACACCAGCTGTGGTGATAGCACTTAGAGACCTTATGAGAATTGAAGGTTGTGCACTGCTTCTTGCGCTGAAGATTCTGAAACCATTGGTCCCAGCCCGCTCTTGCAGTTATCTCAGAGAGCTCTATCATGGCGTCATTCAGTGGACCAATTTGTCTCTCTTCAGTCTGGCCCTCAACCCAGGAGGCTAATTAAACACAAACCTTTCCATCAGTGACATGAATTAATGGGTATATCTATATGAAAAATTAGAAGAAAGAGAGGATTGTTCATTCATTGACCTCTTTCACAAACTTCCTGGGTTTGGACGTGTTTATTCCTAACCAATCAGGGTTTGTCACCTCCCTGTGGGATGAACCGAATTGTCTCTCCTTTCCCTCTAGTAATACACTTTATAAGTACTCAAGAGCCACTATTCTGTCATTGCAAGAAGCTTTCAGGGACAGAGGAATGATTGTAGAATCACTCAGTGCAAAGTTAATGAACACATTCTTACCTATCCAGGTTGATTAGAGATAGCAGTAGTGACAATGAGCAAAACTAACTATCTTAGTCCCTTCAGGCTGCCATAACGGAATACCATGTACTGGCTGGCTTATAAGCAAAATAAATTTATTTCTTACAGCTCTGGAGGCTGGGAAGTCCAACATCAAGGTACTGCAAATTTGGTGTTTGGTGAGGGGTCTGCTTCCTTATTTGTAGACAGTGGTCTTCTTGCTGTGTCCTCACATGGCAGAAGGGGTGAAAAGCTCTCTGAGGTACCTTTTATAAGGGTAATAATCCTATACATGAGGGGTCTGCTCTCATGACCTAATCACCTCCCAAAGGCCCTTCTTCCTATGCCATCGCCTTGGGGGTGAGGATTTCAATGTGAATTTTGGGGGACTCAAATGTTCAGACCATAACACCAACTATCATATCATATTGGTGTACTTATCCTGGACCCAGAGGAACAGCAGTCATAGTCTAGATAAAGAAGTCTCTTGGGCTTCAGTGTCTCCAATCAGATGCCTCTCCAGAGGGACTCCTTATCCCAATCTACCACATCATTTTCTTAATGACTACGGGAGCTGCTCTGATATTACTTTGTCTTGTATTAATGCCAGCAAATATCTTAGGTCCATTATGGTTTATGCATCAATGCATAATTTCTATTTAGTTTTCATGTTTTTGAGCTTCATAGCTTGTTATTATCATTTGTTTTATACAATCAATGTTCATGTAAACAGGTAACATAGGTATAATAATAGGGTTGTAATGGATATACTGAGGCTTTAGACAGGAGGAAGCATTTGAGGTAAGACATAAAGGGCAGAGAAACAGGGAAGAATATCTTGACCATGTGCCATGGAAGAATAAAAGGGTGTGGTATGTATGGACAATGGTGAGAAGTTTTGTATGCCTAGGAGTACATAAGAATCAAAGGCTACAACTTGGGAGAGGAATGTTGAAACAGGTAACTCAGAATCATATAAGGCATTTCCTGACCTATTTTAAAGGTGGAATCACAGCAGGTCACAGGTGACTTACTCACATTCATAATTTTAAAATCTCTTCTAATAATGACTTTTTATTTTTATATGTACTGACATTGATAATAATGATTATATCTTCTTTCATTTTTGTGTCTTTAAGTAGTTTCCTTCCATTCATCATCTGATTTTATCCTAATTATCTCTGAGTGGCACAGCTCTGAAATATTATAGTATTCTAATTTCTACAGATAGGGAAACTGAGATATGGAGAGCTTACATGGTTTACTCACAGCCACATGGCCATGCTTCCAGTGACGCAGACTTCGGATTTTTAATTGCATATACTTGTCAGATTTTATATGTATGCTTTTTGTCTATTTTCCTCTCAAATACTGTTGTGTGTGTGTGTGTGTTTTTTCTCTATAGGACTTGGCCTTTACCCTGGAAGAGAGACAGCAATTGAACATTCATGGATTGTTGCCACCTTCCTTCAACAGTCAGGAGATCCAGGTTCTTAGAGTAGTAAAAAATTTCGAGCATCTGAACTCTGACTTTGACAGGTAACACATTGCTGAAGGTGGTTTTTATATTTCTCTTATGCAGTTGTCTAGTTTATTTTTTATTGGGTGAGAAAATGAAAACATTTAATGATTTGGAAAGGGTAGCCAACTTTGAGAAGAATTTTCCTGTAAACACAATGATGTTTTTAAAAAATTTACTCTCTTTAGGAACATTTGAATGAAATAAAATTTTGCTTTCTAAACTGCGTGCTCAGACAGACCATGTTTATCATATGATACTGCAAAAGCAAATGATCAGGAAATGCCATCCTGAACAGAATAAAACAGGTTAGAGTGGCTTTTAGTCACACTTTAAGTATATTGTAGTTGAAAGCACACTTTTCTAGCCTCCAGTCTCTGTTCCAACACAGTTGCAAGTTTAGGTCACTTACTTTGGATAGTGTATTCAGTTTCTGTATTTGCACAAAGATAAATATAATATTTTTCCCTACCTTTGGGTTTAGATAACCTTAGATTGAAATTCAGGCTCTATCTCACTAGCAGTAGATCCTTGAGCAACCACTACAGGCCCTGCCATGGCGACTGTAACTGCTTTGCTGTCTGTTTTTGACTCCACTCTTTCTTACTAAGGTACTAAGCCTTTGTAGACCTTAGTTTTTTTCATCCATGGATTAGAGAGAACAACAGCTATTTGAAAAGATTGTTGTGAGGGTTAAAAGAGGTAGCCAACTCAATATCAAATAAGTGTTGGTGTTAATCAGGGTGTTACTCAGGGTTCTCCGAAGAAGCAGAGCTGATAGGATGTGTGTGTGTGTGTGTGTGTGTGTGTGTGTGTATGAATGAAAATATAAATATAAATGGATAGAGGGAGAAAGAAGGAGAGGGAGAAGGCTTGTTAAATCCAAAATCTTCAGGTAGGTTGTCAGGCTGAAGACTGAAGGAAGAGTTGCAGTTGAGTCCAAAGGCAGTGTGCTGGCAAAATTTATTTTTGCTAGACAGGAGGTCTGTCTGTGCTATTAAGGCCTTCAGCCATTTGGAGGAGGCCCACCCATATTTTGGAGGGTAATCTGATTTATTTAAGTCCACCAATTTAGATGTTAATCTCATCCAAAAACACCTGTGCAGAAACATCCAGAATAGTGTTTGACCAAATGTTGATACACCATGTTTGCTATGGATTGAATGTTTGTGTCCCCCTGCAAATTCGTACGTTGAAATCTAATCCCCAGTGTGATGTTATTTGGAGGTGAGGACTTTGGGTGATGATTAGGTCGTAAAAATGGCACCCTCATGAAATGGGATTAGTACTCTAAAAAGAAGAGGCCAGAGTACCAACGAAAAAAACCCAGGATCAGATGGATTCACAGCTGAATTCTACCAGAAATATAAAGAGGAGCTGGTACCATTCCTTCTGAAACTATTCCAAACAATCGAAAAGGAGGGACTCCTCCCTAACTCATTTTATGAAGCCAGCATCATCCTGATAGCAAAATTGGGAAGAGACACAACAAAAAAAGAAAACATCAGGCTAATATCCCTGATGAACATCGATGTGAAAATCCTCAATAAAATACTTGCAAACCGAATCCAGCAGCACATCAAAAAACTTATCCACCGCAATCAAGTTGGCTTCATCCCTGGGATGCAAGGCTGGTTCGACATATGCAAATCAATAAACGTAATCCATCACATAAAAAGAACCAATGACAAAACTCACATGATTATTTCAATAGATGCAGAAAAGGCCTTTGACAAAATTAAACATCGCTTCATGTTAAAAACTCTTGGCCGGGTGCGGTGGCTCACGCCTGTAATCCCAGCACTTTGGGAGGCCGAGGTGGGCGGATCACGAGTTCAGGAGATCGAGACCATCCCGGCTAAAACGGTGAAACCCCGTCTCTACTAAAAATACAAAAAATTAGCCGGGCATAGTGGCGGGCGCCTGTAGTCCCAGCTACTTGGGAGGCTGAGGCAGGAGAATGGCGTGAACCCGGGAGGCGGAGCTTGCAGTGAGCCGAGATCCCGCCACTGCACTCCAGCCTGGGCGACAGAGCGAGACTCCGTCTCAAAAAAAAAAAAAAAAACAACAACAACAACAAAAAAAACTCTCAATAAACTAGGTACTGATGGGACATATCTCAAAATAGTAAGAGCTGTTTATGACAAACCCACAGCCAATATCATACTGAGTGGGCGAAAGCTGGAAGCACTCCCTTTGAAAACCGGTACAAGACAAGGATGCCCTCTCTCACTACTCCTATTCAGCATGGTATTGGAAGTTCTGGCTAGGTCAATCAGGCAAGAGAAAGAAATAAAGCATATTCAAATAGGAAGAGAGGAAGTCAAATAGTCTGTTTGCAGATGACATGATTTTATATTTAGAAAACCCCATCCTCTCATCCCCAAAACTCCTTGAACTGATAAGCAACTTCAGCAAAGTCTCAGGATATCAAATCAATGTGCAAAAGTCACAAGTATTCCTTCACACCAAAGATAGACAAGCAGAGAGCCAAATCATGAATGAACTCGCATTCACAATTGCTACAAAGAGAATAAAATACCCGGGAATACAACTAACAAGGGATGTGAAGGACCTCTTCAAGGAGAACTACAAACCATTGCTCAAGGAAATAAGAGAGGACACAAACAAATGGAAGAACATTTCATGCTCATGGATAGGAAGAATCAATATTGTGAAAATGGCCATACTGCCCAAAGTAATTTATAATTCAATGTTATACCCATCAAGCTACCATTGACTTTTTTCACAGAATTAGAAAAAACTACTTTAAATTTCATATGGAACCAAAGAAGAGCCTGCATAGCCAAGAAAATTGTAAGCAAAAAGAACAAAGCTGGAAGCATCATGCTACCTGACTTCAAACTATACTACAAGGCAACAGTAAGCAAAACAACATGGTACTGGTACCAAAACAGGTATATAGACCAATGGAACAGAACAGAGGCCTCAGAAATAACACCACACATCTACAACCATCTGATCTTTGATAAACCTGACAAAAACAAGCAATGGAGAAAGGATTCCCTATTTAATATATGGTGTTGGGAAAACTGGCTAGTCATATGCAGAAAACTGAAACTGGACCCCTTCCTTACAGCTTATACAAAAATTAACTCAAGATGGATTAACGATTTAAACGTAAGACCTAAAACCATAAAAACCCTGGAAGAAAACCTAGGCAATACATTCAGGACATAGGCATGGGCAAAGACTTCATGACTAAAACACCAAAAGCAGTGGCAACAAAAGCCAAAATTCACAAATGGGATCTAATTGAACCAAAGAGCTTAGAGCTTCTGCACAGCAAAAGAAACTATCATCGGAGTGAACAGGCACCCTATAGAATTGGAGAAAATTTTTGCAATCTGTCAATCTGACAAAAGGCTAATATCCAGAATCTACAAAGAACTTAAACAAATTTACAAGAAAAAAACAACTCCATCAAAAAGTGGGCAAAGGATATGAACGGACACTTCTCAAAAGAAGACATTTATGCGGCCAAAAATCATGAAAAAAAACTCATCATCACTGGTCATTAGAGAAATGCAAATCAAAACCGCAATGAAATACCATCTGACACCACTTAGAATGGCGATCATTAAAAAAATCAGGAAACAACAGATGCTGGTGAGGCTGTAGAGAAATAGGAATGCTTTTACATTGTTGGTGGGAGTGTAAATTAGTTCAACCATTGTGGAAGACAGTGTGGCGATTCCTCAAGGATCTAGAACCAGAAACACCATTTGACCCCACAATACCATTACTGGTTATATACCCAAAGAATTATAGATCATTCTACTATAAAGACACATGCACACGTATGTTTACTGCGGCACTATTCACAATAGCAAAGACATGGAACCAACCCAAATGCCCATCAATGATAGACTGACTGGATGAAGGAAATGTGGCACATATACACCATAGAATGCTATGCAGCCATTAAAAAGAATGAGTTAATGTCCTTTGCAGGGACATCGATAAGCTGGAAACCATCATCCTCAGCAAACTGACATAGGAACAGAAAACTAAACACCACATGTTCTCACTCATAAGTGGGAATTGAACAATGAGAACACATGGACACGGGGAGGGGAACATCACACACCAGGGCCTGTCGTGGGGTGGAGGAAAGGAGAGGGAGAGCATTCGGATAAATACCTAATGCATGCAGGGCTTAAAACCTAGATGACAGTCTATAGGTGCAGCAAACCACCATGGCACATGTATACCTATGTAACAAACCTCACATTCTGCACATGTATCCCAGAACTTAAAGTAAAATAAAAAATAAAAAAATAAAAGAGGCCTAAGAAAGCTGCCTTTCCCTTTCCCTCATGTGAGGATGCAGCGAGAATGTGCTGTCTATGTGGAATGTGTCCTTATCAGGCTCAGAATCTGCTGGCAGCTTGACCTTGAACTTCCTGGCCTACAAAACTATGAGAAATCAATTTCTGTTGTTCATAAGCTACCTAGTCTATGGTATTTTTGTCATAGCAAACTGAATGGACTATGACACCACCCATATGAATCTCCTCAAATCATACTTAATCTTTGAATAAAGGCAATAACAAGATCCATACTTCCACCTAACACAATAAACTATCTTGCATACAACCAAAAATGCACCAACCCTATCCTCAAAAGAAGATGCCAAATCCTTGGGTGATGTTTACTCTCGTCGATATTCCTTAACTTAAACACTATGATGTAATGTTAGCAGTACTTAAATACTATGATGCAGAGTCAGTATATCTTATGTTATCAGATAAGGTGATAAGAGAAGGAAGAAAATGATATTTTCTGAAATTTGCATATGGATTGTTGCTTTTATATGTATACACACATATTAATAGCAAAACAAGGAAGAAATACTTATGGCAATTACAGTCTTCTTTTTCTTTAATTGATCACATGGTCATAGCTGGTGTTTATAACTACCTTTTTCCATGACCCAATCCATATCCCCTTTGCCCTCAGCAAGTATCTCAGCTGATTGTGGTTCTTTACCTGGTGAGGGTGACTCAAACCTTCAATCCTCAATGGTCTGGGCCACTAGTAATCCTGCTTGAATTGGATTGTTGTTTTCATTAGCTTTAATCACAGGGCATGGTAATACTAAGAGCTACCCTAAGGGGTCTCCTGTATTTCAGACATACTCTTTCCCGCCTCCACTGTAGTGTAACAGTTTAGTTTCCTCTTGGTAGTCAGGATCAATTTTTCCCAGTCAGCACAGTAACTCCTTTCTTGGCCTGTTAATTCAGAGGCATGTGGTGCTCAAAGTGGTCAGGTGGCAGTCTTAATTTCCTGTTCAATGGGTTTATTATTGTGTTTCTTGATGGAAACATTCTTCCGTTTGGAATGAAGACCTCTAGACCAGCAGAGCATAAAGTCACAGGGGTAGAAAGGAGAAATTTTGCTAGTGTGACACTAGGGTTGTTAGTGAGAGGTGCCATTTCCATTTCCACCCCTTGATTCCTAGACCTATGAATCCTGGCTATGAGAAAAACAGCACCATTTTTTTGGACACTGATTGAGAGCACATACAGCCTCCTGGAGAACCTTGCCTCAGCTTTGCAAGGTATTGGCACTTTGCTGGTAACTGAGTCTTCAAAAGTACATTCCACTGTTCTGTCAAGCCAGTTGCTTCAGATTGTTGGGAAACATTGTAAAACTAGTGAGTTTCATGAGCATGTGCTCATTCCCCACACTTCGTTTGCTCTAAAGTGAGTTCCTTGATCAGAAGCAATGCTGTGTGGAATACCATGAGGGTAGGTAAGGCATTTTGTAAGTCCATGAATAGTAGCTTTGGCAGGAGCATTGCATGCAGGGAAAGCATATCTAGATCCAAACTAAGGGTCTATGCCAGAAAAAAAAGTTGTCCTTCCCATAATGGAAGCTGTTGAGTGTAATGAACTTGCCACCAGGTAGCTAGCTGGCTAATTACCCTGGAGAATGGTGCCACATCAGGGAATCAGTGTTAGTCTCTGCTGCAGATTGAACACTCAGAAGTGGCTATAATAGCCAGGTTGGCCTTGGTGAGTGAAAGTCCATATTGCTGAGCCTATGCATAACCTCTATCCCTGCCACCATGGCCACTTTGTTCATGAGCCCAGTGGATGTGATGGGGTGGCTGGGCAAAAAGGCTGACTCAGTTTGTCCGACGTGTATACAGTTGCTTCTTTTTAAACTCCTTCGCAACCTTCTCTTTCATTTGTTCCATAACATCTTCCTTTAGCTGCTTGTGTCCTTACTTTATATTCTTTTCCTGGGCCATTTTATCAGCTACCTGCTAAGAGCTGGTGACCTTCATATATTTGCTACAGACTGTTCCTCGATATATATTGAACATCAATTCAGTGTCAGGTACTCTTTTAGATATTGGGGTTATAGACAATGATCTCTGACCTCATGAAATTTACATAAATTATTAAAAATTATTATTATTTTGAGAAAGGGTCTCACTCTATTGCCCAGGCTGCAGTGCACTGACGTGACCATAGCTCACTGTAGTCTCAACATCCTGGGCTCAAACAGTTCTCCTGCCTCACCCTTCCAAGTAGCTAGGACTACAGGCATGCTCCACCATGCCTGGCTTATTTTTAAATACAAATTATTAAATTTTGTAAATAGTAATACAAATTGGTAAATTATAAAATATGCTAGAAAATGGCTAGTGTCTTGGGATGGGGGAAATAAAGGTAGAGCAGGGTAAAGAGGAGCTGAGAATGCTGAGGGGAGTTATGGCCAGTTTGCATTGTTGAGTTGGGTGATAAGGGTAATCTCCATTGAGAAGGTGAGTTTTGAGCAAATAATCAAAGGTGGTGGAGCAGTTAGCCATGAAGAAATCTGAGGAACAGCGTTTTGTAGCTGGCATGTTCAAGAATCAGCAGGGAGACTTGTGTCTAGAGCAGAATGAGTTAGGGAAAGAATGGTAAATTGGGAAAGGAAGTTAGCGAGGTAATGGGCGGTTGATTAGGTATGGCTTTGTAGCCTATTAAAGACTTCTGCTATACTATGAATGGAAAGGGTAGCCTCTTGAGGTTTTTGACCAGAAGAGCCACATGATCTAAGCTATAATTTCAGAAAGACTGGCTGCAATGTTGAGAATAGAATGTAGGCTGGGATGGCTTTTAGGAGACCATTAGAATAATCCAGTCAAGAGATGATGGTGATTTAGATCTAGGGTGGTAGCAATAAAGGTGGTCAGATTTTGGATATATTTTGAAAGTAAAGCCAACACAATTTATTCATGTATTTCACATGAGTGTTAGAAAGCTTTCAGAGAAGAGGAGTATGTTAGTCTGTTCTTGCATTGCTATAAAGAAATACCTGAGGCTGGGTAATTTATAAAGAAAGGAGATTTAAATGGCTCATGGTTCAGCAGGTTGTACAAACATGGCACCAATTATCTGCTGCCTTGGTGAGGGCCTCAGGAAGCTTACAATCATGGTGGAAACAGGAGCAAGATAGGAAGGAAGTGCCAACCAAATCTCACATCAACTCAGAGCAAGAACTCATCACAAAGGGATTGGTGCTAAGCCATTCATGAGGGATCCACCCCCATGATCCAAATACCCACCAGGACCCAACTCCAGCACTGGGGATTACATTTCAACATGAGATTTGGAAGGGACAAACACCCAAACCATATCAAGGAGAAAACAGCAAGGAAACAGAAAAGGAATGACCAGAGAGATAGGAGGAAAACCATGAGAATATGATAGATTGGAAGTCAATGAAAGAAAGTGTATTGAGCCCTGAGGAATATCTCCTGTGTCAAATATTCTGATAGGTAAGATGAGGTCTGAGAATGGACCATTGATTTAGCAATGCTAATTTCCACATTGCCAAATTAATTTTATCATGTCTAAAGTTAAACTCTTTGTCTTCCACATGTTTATTTTCTGGGTTATGTCTATCTAATTGCCCAAACATTGGAATCCATGCATCTCTTACTCAGAATTCTGTGCATTTTCAACTATTCTAGGGAATGAAAATCAATTCAAAATGGCTGGTAAGATTGTTGAGTAGTTTTGCAAGATTCTTTTAAGTTGAACTGAGCAGTTTACGTTTTATTCTATAAACTATTGAAGGTTACAGATATCATGAAGAGGTTTATATTTACAAAGATAACTCTGGGTCAGAAATGCTTCTAGAAAGAAAAAGGCCATAAGATACAGATACAAAGAAAAGTTTCTTGAACTTCCCTACCTTAGTTATTTTTAGGATGAGTGTTACATTCTCTTACTTATTTCCTGTATGTCATTTCCCTTGGTTATTCAATACTGCAAGTCAAAGGATGAAATCTTTCTATTAACTTAGTTAATACTAAATCTATAGTTATATTTTCATCTCTTTTAAAATAGGGATAAAGTCTCTTCAAGTATTAAATAAAACTGTGCTATTTCAGCAGTGATTTTAATGTTTGCATGATATTAGTTAAGTTTATGGTTCTTTATTCTTTGCAATATTTAAGAGTATTTCTTGTCTGGGTGCGGTGGCTCATGCCTGTAATCCCAGCACTTTGGGAGGCCAAGGCAGGCAGAGCACTTGAGGTCAGGAGTTCAAGACCAGCCTGGCCAACATGGTGAAACTGTCTCTACTAAAAATACAAAAAAAATTAGCCGGGCTTGTTGGTGCACGCCTGTAGTCCCAGCTACTTGGGAGGCTGAGGCAGGAGAAAACGCTTGAACCCAGGAGACAGAGGTTGCAGTGAGCCAAGATCATGCCACTGCACTCCAGCCTGGGCGACAGAGCGAGACTCTGTCTCAAAATAAATAAATAAATAAATAAAATAAAAAATAAGCCGGGTGTGGTGGCATGCCCTCGTAATCCTAGCTACTCAGGAGATGGGGTTTCACCATGTTGGCCAGGCTGGTCTTGAACTCCTGACCTCGTGATCCACCCGCCTCTGCCTCCCAAAGTGCTGGGATTACAGGCGTGAGCCACCATGCCCGGCCACTTTTGTATTTTTAGTAGAGACGGAGTTTCACCATGTTGGCCAGGCTGGTCTTGAACTCCTGATCTTGTGATCCGCCCACCTCAGCCTCCCAAGGTGCTGGGATTACAGGCATGAACCACTGTGCCCGGCCAAGACTCTGTCGTAAAGAAAAAGAAAAGAATATTTCTTAAGTCTTTTTTAATCAGATGTTTTCTATGTAACCTAAATGTACTTTATACTTGGTTGAAAATATTTAATTAGATTTCTAAGTAGCTATTTCATGACTTTATGGGATGTAGATCTAATTATGTCCAATTTTTACAGGTATCTTCTCTTAATGGATCTCCAAGATAGAAATGAAAAACTCTTTTATAGAGTGCTGACATCTGACATTGAGAAATTCATGCCTATTGTTTATACTCCCACTGTGGGTCTGGCTTGCCAACAATATAGTTTGGTGTTTCGGAAGCCAAGGTATGTCAACTTTTATTTTATATGCAACTTGTGTCTTTATTTATTTTTGTAAGTTTTTTAACGAATTTAAAATTTATTATTATTATTTTAAATTTGACAATAAAATTGCATATATTTATGATGTACAGAGGATGTTCTGAAACATGTATACATTGTGAAATGGTAGAATCAAGCTAATTAGCATATGCATTATTTCACATTCATATCATTTATTTGTGGTGAGTATGCTAAAATCTACTTTTAGCAGTTTTCACGTATATAATAAATTATCCTTAGCAATAGTCACTATGTGGTACAATAGATGTCTTGAACTCATTCCTCCTGTTTAACTGAAATTTTGTATCCTTTTAACCAGCATTTCCCTAATCCCGCAACCCGCTCCCCCTACCTTTCTCCTATCCTCTGGTAACTACCGTTCTTCTCTTTGCTACTATGAGTTTGACTATTTTTAGGTTCCACATGTAAGATCATGTGGTATTTGTCTTTCTGTGTCTGGCTTATTTCACTTAACGTAATATCCTAAAGGTTCATCTGTATTGTTGCAAATGACAGAATTTCTTTCTTCTTTAAGGCTGAGTGGTATCCTAGTGTGTATGTGTACCACATTTTCTTTATCCATTCATCTGTTAATGGACTCTTACCTTGATCCCATATCTTGGCCATTGTGAATAATGCTGTAGTGAACATGGGAGTGAGTGCAGATATCTCCTAGACATACTGATTTCATTTCCTTTGGATATGTACCCAGTAGTGTTATTACTAGATCATTTGGTAGTTCTATTCTTAATTTTTTGAGAAGCTTCCATACTGTTTTCCATAATAGATTTACTAGTTTACATTCCCACTGAACAGTGAATAAGAGTTTCCTTTCCTCAGGTTCCTCGCCAATACTTATTGTTCATCTTTTTGGTATAGCCGTTCTAACAAGTGTGAGGTGATATCTCACTGTGCTTTTAATTTCGATTTCTGTGATGATTAGTGATGTTGAGCAATTTTTCATAAACCTGTAGGTCATTTATATGTCCTCTTTTGAGAACTGTGTATTCTGGTATTTTGCTCATTTTAAGAACAGGTTATTTGTTTTCTTGTTACTGAGTTATTTGAGTTCCTTATATATTTTGAATTAATCCCTTATGAGATGTATGGTTCACAGATATTCTCTCCTATTCCATAGGTTGTCTCTTCACTCTGTTGACTGACTGCTGTGCTGAGCTTTTTAGTTTATTATAATTCCATTTGTCTATTTTTGCTTTTGCCTATGCCACTGGGGTCATATCTAAAAACATCATTGCCCAAACTACTATCATGAGGCTTTTCCCCTAAATTTTCTTGTAGAAGTTTTATAGTTTCAAGTCTTACATTTTTCTTTACCTATTGAGTTGATTTTTTTTAATATGGTGTGAAATAAGGGTCTAATTTCATTCTTCTGGCATTTGGAAAACCAGTTTTCCCGTCACCATTTAATGAAGAGACTGTTCTTTCTCCATTTCACTTTTGTAAAAAATCAGTTGACTGCAAATGCATGGATTTATTTCTGGGCTGTCTATTCTGTTTCATTCTGGGCTGTCTATTCTCTTTCTTTGGTCTCTGTGTTTGTTTTTATACTGGTACCATGCCGTTGTGATTACCATAACTTAACAGTATATTTTGAAATCAGGTAGTATGATACCTCTAGCTTTGTTCTTTTTGCCTAAGATTGCTTTGGACATTTGGGGCCTTTTGTGGTTCATATGAATTTTTTAATCTTTATTTTTATATTTCTGTGAAAAAATGTCATTGGAACTCTGATAGGGATTGTACTGAATCTGTAGATCTCTTTGGGTAGTGTGGTCATTTTAACAATATTAATTCTTCCAATCCATGAAATGGAACATCTTTCCATTTATTTGTGTCTTAAATTTTTTTCATCAATGTTTTGTAGTTTTCCACATACAGATATTTCACCTCTTTGGTTAAATTTATTCCTAAGTATTTTGTTGTTTTGGTGGCTATCATTATTATTATTATTGTTTTGAGACAATCTTACTTTGTCTGGAGTGTAGTGGCATGATCTTGGCACACTGCAACCTTTGCCTCCTGGGTTCAAGTGATTCTCATGGCTCAGCCTCCTGAGTAGCTGGGATTACAGGTGCGCACCACCATACCTGGCTAATTTTTGTATTTTTGGTAGAGATGGGGTTTCACCACATTGGCTAGGCTGGTCTCAAACTGTTGGCCTCATGTGATCCACCCGCCTCAGCCTCCCAAAATGCCTCCCAAAGTACAGGCATGAGCCACCACACCCACCCTTTGTAGCTATTATTAATGGGATTGCTTTTTTGATATTTTTGGATAGTTTATAGTTAGTGTATTAGAAACACTGCTGACTTTTATATGTTGATTTTGTATCATGGAACTTTCCTGAATTTATTAGTTGTAACAGTTTTTTGTTGGAGTTTATAGGGTTTTCTATGTATATGATGATATTGTCTGCAAACAGAGACCATTTAACTTCTTCCTTTCTAATATGGATGCCTTTTTTTTTTTCTTTTGCTTGCCTAATTGTTTTGGCTAGGACTTCCAGTCTCTAGATTTCTCTCTAGATTTAAGATTTGGCCAGGCACAGTGGCTCATACCTGTAATCCCAGCACTTTGGGAGGCTGAGGCGGGCAGATCACGAGGTCAAGAGGTTGAGACCATCCTGACCAACATGGTGAAACCCCATCTCTACTAAAAATACAAAAATTAGCTGGGCATGGTGGCATGTGCCTGTAGTCCCAGCTACTCAGGAGGCTGAGGAAGGAGAATCGCTTGAATCTGGGAAGTGGAGGTTGCAGTGAGCCGAGATCACGCCACTGCACTCTAGCCTGGTAACAGAGCGAGACTCTGTCTCAAAAAAAAAAAAAAGAAAAGATTTAAGATAATAGAAAGTATTTCCAAATCAATTTGGGTTCCCTTTTACAGATAGCAAATTAATTTCCTTTTTGTTTTGAAAGAGATTGGCTGGGCATGGTAGCTCACACCTGTAATTCCAGGACTTTGGGAGGCTGAGGCAGGCAGATCACCTGAGGTCAGGAGTACGAGACCAGCCTGGCCAACATGGTGAAACCCTATCTCTACTAAAAATACAAAAATTGCTGAGCGTGGTGGTAGTTGCCTGTAATCCCAGCTACTAGGGAGGCTGAGGTAGGAGAATTGCTGGAATCCAGGAGGCAGAAGCTTCAGTGAGCTGAGATTGCTACTGCACTCCAGCCTGGGTGACAGAGTGAGACTCCATCTCAAAAAAAAAAACCAAAAAAACAAAAAAGTAATACTGATCATAATTAAGCTTGCCTTTGATATGTTAATTACCACTATTACATGTATATTTTTACAAGTTAAAACAAAGATTCCAAATTTTTCTGAAATGAGAATATTACTTTCTAAATTGAGTCAAAATTAAATGATCTTAAAGTAGCTCTTTTGTTCTTTCCCTTAAATGAAATAGTAGTCACCTTTGAGATGCATAAAATATAGAACACAATTTTTCTAGCACTACTTATTCATTATATTAGTTTCAATACTTTTTGAAAGAAGAAACAATCGAAATAAATACATATTAATACTTTTAACAACAGCAATAACAAAAGTTCAAGTTGCATATGTCTTTCTACTTTTGGCTCTGAATTTAAAGATAAAAAAGAAATGTTTAAAGTATCTACCACAAACACAAAAGCCTACTGAAAGTACTGTCCTTAAAAGGAATATTTCAGAGGTATTATCGGAAAGCAATATTGAATGTGGATTTCCATGTAGCTGTATTGATATAGTGGTAATATTTATCATACTGCGCTGCATTACCCTTTGTATAAAGAAAAGAGTTGGCCGCATCATCCCTTTGTATAAAGAGAATAATTAGATAAGTAACTATAGTTGATCTAAACTACATTAAAATTTTTTTATTGATACATATTAGATATACATATTTTGGGGATATGTGTGATAATTTAATACATTCATATAATTTGTAAAGATCAAATCAGTGTAATTGAGATATCTATCACCTTAAATATTTATCTTTTCTTTATGCTAGAAACATTCGGATTATCTTCTTCTAGCTGTTCTGAAATATACAATAGGTCTTATTTGTTCCATCAAACTTCATACTAAACTACATTAATAGCACATATCCATGTTACATTTATGTAATAGTTACATTAACAATGACTAAATTTTTTTTCATTGAAGAAAAGGAGTTAGAATTTACTGTTAATTGTATTGCAAAGTAATTGTTTTCTGGGTATATAAGAATATTATTTTAACTATACAAATAATTATATATTCATTATTGAAAAAATAATAAATATTCAGAAGGAAGAAACTTAAAAATGCCTAATGTCATCGTACCAAAAAACGCCAACAGACACAATACATACTATTTTCCTTGTAGATGAAGGAATCATACTACATAAACTATTTCTTGCCTTACTAAAGGCAAGAAACCTACAGTATTTTCCTTATAGATGAAGGGTCATACTGTATGAACTATTTCTTGCCTTACTGTCTTCTCTGGGTAATGTATTATAAACATCTGTGCATGTCCAAAAAATATATTTCTATATAAAGAATCTTAATACAAGCATAATAAAAAGCTGTTTTAAATTCAAGGATGTTTATTGAAATTTTGTTTCTGAGAGATACTAAGTACTAACAATGATAAATGTAGAAGGGCTTGAATCAAACGAAGTATTTGAGTTGAAGTCGATAGAAATCTCAATAGCAACAAGTTTTTTTTTTTTTGGCAAGCACAGGGGATTTTATTGATGGTACATGAAAAGGTGGGGCTCCCTCGGCTCCTCCCTTTTAGGGGGTCTGCATGGAAACTATGAGGAGGGGAGATTCTCAGTGTGGTGGGAGACTGAGTGTGGCAGGGACTCTCCAGCAGTGAGGGCCGCTCTCTTCCCGTCGTGCTGTCGCTGGGGCTGGTGGTCTGGGGGTCTTACTCCTTGGAAGCCACACTGTGGGCAGAGGTCCACCACCCTGTTGCTGCAGCCAAATTCATTGTCATACCAGGAAATGAGCTTGACAAAGTGGTCGTTGAGGGCAATGCCAGCCCCAGCATCGAAGGTGGAAGAGTGGGTGTCTGTTGAAGTTGGAGGAGACCACCTGGTGCTCAGAGTAGCCCAGGATGCCTTTGAGGGGGTCCTCTGACGCCTGCTTCACCACCTTCTTGGTGTCATCATATTTGGTAGGTTTTTCCAGACGGCAGGTCAGGTCCACCACTGACATGTTGGCAGTGGGGACACGGAAGGCCATGCCAGTGAGCTTCCCGTTTAGCTCAGGGATGACCTTCCTCACAGCCTTGGCAGCACCAGTAGAGGCAGAGAGGATGTTCTGGAGAGCCCCATGGCCGTCACCCCACAGTTTCCCATAGGAGCCATCCATAGTCTTCTGGGTGGCAGCGATGGTCATGAGTCCTTCCACGGTACCAAAGTTGTCATGGATGACCTTGGCCAGGGGCGTTAAGCAGCTGGTGGTGCAGGAGGCATTGCTGATAATCTTGAGCTGTTGTCATATTTCTCATGGTTCACACCCATCACGAACATGGGGGCATCAGCAGAGGGTGCAGAGATGATGACCGTTTTGGCTCCTCCCTCCAAGTGAGCCCCAGCCTTCTCCATGGTGGTGAAGATGCTGGTGAACTCCATGATGTACTCAGTGCCAGCATTGCCCCATTTGATTTTGGTGAGATCTTGCCCCTGGAAAATAGTGATGAGATTTCCATTGATAACAAGCTTCCCGTTCTCAGCCTTGACGGTGCCGTGGAATTTGCCATGGGCGGAATTATACTGGAACATGTAGACAGTGTTGTTGAGGTCAATGAAGGGGTCATTGATGGCGACAATATCGACTTAACCAGAGTTTAAAGCAGCCCTGGTGACCAGGCAGCCAATACAACCAAATCTGTTGACTCCAGCCTTCACCTTCACCATGGTGTCTCAGGGATGCAGCTGGCAATGCACGAGAAGATGCAGCTGTTGTTCTCAGCCTTGACGGTGCCATGGAATTTGCCATGGGCAGAATTATACTGGAACATGTAGACAGTGTTGTTGAGGTCAATGAAGGGGTCATTGATGGCGACAATATCGACTTAACCAGAGTTTAAAGCAGCCCTGGTGACCAGGCAGCCAATACAACCAAATCTGTTGACTCCAGCCTTCACCTTCACCATGGTGTCTCAGGGATGCAGCTGGCAATGCACGAGAAGATGCAGCTGTCTGTTGAATGGGAGGAGCAGAGAGCTGCAACAATTATTTTTTGAGAGCTTTTACTATATTAGATGGTTTTCTCAGGCTTAGGACACTTTGGTGTGCATATATTCCAAAAGAAGAAGAGACAAACATATAAAATAAATAAATTGTCTAGAATGTTTGAAGGTGATAAGTGTTATGGAGAAAGAGAACAGGAAAAGGGGGATCAGGAGTGTCAGTTGCTTTGCAGGAGGCAGTTGTAATTTTAAACAGAGTGGACACTGTGGGTCTCATTGGAAGATGATATTGGAGGAGTTGGGGAGGAAGTCATGTAGATATGAGTGGAAACATGCCAGACAGAAGGAACAGCCAATGCCAAGGCCCTCAGTGGGAACATGCCTGGAGACCAGAAGCAGGATGGAGACCACTGTGTCTGGAGTGGAGTGAGAGAGAGGGAGAGTAGGGGATGAGTTCACAGAGGTGGGTCAATGAGTGGGTATATGTCTTAGGGCTTCCTGTAGGCTGTTTGGAAGAACATTGGCTTTTACTCTTAGCTAAATGAAAAGCCCTAAATGGTCTTACGCAGTTACATGACATGATCTAGTATTTTTAAAAAGAGCATTCTGGTTGCTGTGTTGAGAATAGACTAAAGCAAAAGAAGAATCAGGGACCCTTGTTAGGAGACTATTAAAATAAACCCAGTGAGAGATGATAGTGGTTCAGATTAGGAGGGTAATAATGGAGTTAGGGGTAAGTTTTAAAATCCAGATTCTGGATAAAAATGAAGACAGCCACAAAGACCTTCTGCTGGACTGAAAGCTTCCTAGAGTAGTGATTGAAAGTATGGGCTCTGGAGTAGGTAGCCTATTTTTACTTACTGGTTTTGCCACTTGTTGTAGTCTGGTATAAGGTATTTAACTTTTCTGTGCTTCGGTTTCCTCATCTGTAAATTGGGAGTAATACTACAGCCTGCCGCATCTTATCCATACTTTTGAATTCCAAAACTTTGAAAATCAAGACTGTAAAAAAATCTCATTTGGGACAAAACCTGATCTTATCTGAAATCATTGGCAGCAGTACCAAAGACTATATATAGTCTTATAAGTCCAGCAGTAAACTGGATTTATAAGACTATAATAGTCTATTTATTTCACTTACTGTCATTTGTTTTTCTGTAGAAGTACTAATGTATTTGATTATGGGAACTTTCTTAGAAATAAATATGTTTACATATATATAAACTTATATAAGTATGTGTTTTTATGTATGTATATATGTATATATATAGAGAGAGATGGGTGGCTGGGGAGGGGGAGAGGAAGAAATGGGGAAGAGGGTAGAGGTAGGAAAGCATTTGTGGCAAAATGCTTACAAATGTTGAATCTAGGTGGAGGTATTTGTTGTATTATTCTTTCAACTTTTCTGTAATATTTGAAATTTAAGTAAGGAATGCTTTACTGCTAGAGAAAGCAAAGTTTCTAAATCCATTTCTGTATGATCTCTTCATGACAGTTTTCTGTCATATTGCAATTTAGTGTGTATATTTTCTTGAACTTTTGATGATTTTGAAGTTTTCCAGTAAAATAATTATGGCTTCTCCTATAATTATAAAAAAATCCTGTTTGAAATTGTGTTATGTGGCTTAAATTTAGGTGTTGTATTTAATTAGAAAGGGAATTGTGGATGCGTGAATGATGTGAATGATGGATCTTCCATTAGCATATAGATGAATTTTATTTTTAAGCCAAAATGGAAAAGTGTCTAGTAAACCTTATCTACTACAACAGCAGGTATTTTAAGACATTCAGAAAGTGAAGAGGAGAATTATACCCCTTATTCTATTAATACTTACTGTGTATGGTTTTGGTGGTAGCACTTAGGAACATAGTGAAAATTAAGGGTTAAAAGTACTTCAAGTACTGAGCTTAACATAGTTACAAACAAATATATCTTTTGATCATACTTTTAAGTATGTATCTTAATGCTGTGATACTTTTCTGTGGCTAGATTTTTTTATTTTGAATATGGCATTAAAATCTGGCTAGGTATCCCAAAATAAATTCTTGTATGAATAACCGTATTTCTAATTTTTTTCTAAATGACTGCTGGGATACTCCTTTATTGGTTTTGTGTGGAATTTCTTTTCTTTTTGGCATAGATACTTTATGTGGGTTTTTCAGATGTCATAGATAATCATTTTTAAGAATATTTTTGGGCTCGCTTGGATTGTCTTATTCCCATGTGCCGAAATCATTTTAATTCTTGCAGAATTTCCAGTATTTGGTAGTGCAATCTGCTTATGTCAGTGTGCCTAATTGTGGTTAGTTTGTACATAGAGGTGTGATTTTTGGAAGCTAGAGACAATTTTTTTTTTTATTTTTGCAGACTGCTGAGCTTCCTGTGTTACTTAAGTTACCTGTATTTTGTGAAACTTTTTTTTAAAGAAAAGTTTTCTGCAAATTGATAATGCAGGTATATGTAATGGATAGCTGAAGCAGATTCATATAACTTCTTTGGAAATATTTCTACCTACTGTATTTTTACACTGCATTTTCTAAGATTTATCTCCCTCTCTTTTGAGTTCTGATTAGCTACATATTATTATACCATGTATTTGGCAATTATTCATGTTCCTACTTTTGATATTTCTAATGTTCTATCAAAATATGCTTGATCTGTTTTTTTGGTATTTTACCATTCATTTTGTCTCAACTATATTGTAAGTAAAATTCTAGAGAAAAGGGATCATATTTTATAAATTATTCTTGTATTTCTCATGCTATTTAGATTTAATGCCTGGTTGGTGTTCAATTAGTATATGTTGTTTGCTATCTCAGAGAAATTGTAACTTAGAATTACTTTATTCATTCACTCACACAGAAAAAATATAAAGTATTCATATAATCTTTATTTCTCCTACTGTTTAAGTGTATTATGCTAACAGGCAAATTCTCATAAATAATAGATATTAAAGAAATTGGACACACTAAGGAATCAGACTGTGAGGACATGAAATATTATTATTATTATTTTACTTTTGAGACAGAGTCTCACTCTGTCACCCAGGCTAGAGTGTAGTGGCATAATCTCTGCTCACTGCAACCTCTGTCTCCCGGATTCAAGTGATTCTCCTGCCTCAGCCTCCCAAGTAGCTAGGATTACAGGCATGCACCACCATGCCCAGCTATTTTTTTGTATTTTTTTAGTAGAGCTGGGGTTTCACCATGTTGCCCAGGCTGGTCTCAAACTTCTGGGCTCAAGAGATCCATCCATCTTGGCCTCCCAAAGTGCTGGGATTACCACCGCATCTGGCCTCATTCACTCATCCTTATACAGGGCACCACTGATTTGATTTTGGCAAACAGAATGAGCTAATACAACAGTTTGCTGGTGATAGTCTTTTTAAAAGAAGCATTTTCCAAAGTTTGATTAGATAGTACTTTTGGTTCACCAAAAAGTTATGATGAAAAAAGTATTCAGTGCTCGAATTAACTGGAGAAAAACAGAATTAAATGAAATCAAAAAAGATTCTTTACAGCCAAGTTTCTTAGAATAATAACCTATTTTGTGAGTCTTTTGAATGGTGAGAATTAGATTTAATAAAGTAGTATACATAGCCTAATTCTTGGCACAAAGTAGATATTCTCAAATGGTGGTTATTGTTACTGGTATAATTTTAACTCTCAGGTTTCTTGATCAAATAGATTGTGGTATCATGTACCAAATTTCAGAATATTGGAATATTTGAGAGAGATAGAAAGTTCATTTGGGGGGCCAGATGTGGTGGTGCATGCCTGTAATCCCAGTACTTTGGGGGGCCAAGGCAGACGGATCAGTTTAGTTTAAGAGTTCAAGACCAGCCTGGGCAACATGGTGAAACCCCGTCTTTACAGAAAATACAAAAATCAACTGGTGTGGTGGTGCGTGCTATAGTCCCACCTACTCAGGGGGCTGAGGTGGGAGGATTGCTTGAGCCTGGGATGTTGAGGATGCAGTGAGCTGTAATTACACCACTGCACTCTTTCTAGCCTGTGGGACAGAGTGAGATCCTGTCCAAAAAAAAAAAGGAAGGAAGGAAGGAAAGAAGGAAGAAAGGAAAGAAAAAGAAAAGAAAGTTTATTTTTGGGACATGCTAAATTTTAAATGTGTTTCGGACTTCCAAGTAGAAGGGTCTAATAGTCAATTAAATATATGGATCTGGAACTTGGTAGATGATGTAGTTAAAATGTCCTAACATTTTAACTTGCATATTAATATTATATGTGCTGCACGAATGGTATCTGTTTTGATTTTGGCAATGTCACAGATTATCAACAAAAGTAATTGTTAAAAAGAATTAGTCAATAAGTTGTTCCATTATGTTGCTTTATGTCTTCCTAGAAAATTCTTTGAAAAATGCATAAAAGGAAATATTAAAATCAGCCAAAACAAAATATTAAAATATTTTTCCTACATTTAATAATGCATTTTTATACTTATTTCCTTTAGAATCCCAAAAGGATTTGAAGTAGAGTATTCATTATTTAAATTGTGGGGACTAAGCTTTCTTTATTACTTAATATGTAATTTCATGTGAGGAAGTATGTCTAGTATGCCATCATGACCACGATTAGAAATGGAGATGTATACAAACATGAGGGTCTAAATAATGTTTACTTATATGGAAACATATAGTTTCTGCAGATGTATAGCCCATAGTGTTGTCTTATATGATGAGGGTGTCAGTTTTAATTGATGTTTAATTTGTGAAATAGCAGCAAGAAAAGAAGCTTAAAAAGAATAAATGTAAAAAGAAACCTTCCCAAAGCTAATACTCCTTTAACCAAAAATGTTCTCGTTGTATAGTACAGATTATAATTATACTATCAAAGGAGAGGTTAATATAATGAAACTTTCATATTGTTCTTGCTTTATAAATTTTCTCTAGTTTTAAATCTACCTGGCTTTTTTCATGTATCTATTTTAATTATATACTGTATGGTATGGTAATTTTGCTTGATTAAGCTATAAGTACTTCAATAACTCAGTGATTGTAAAATGAGCCTAAGTTGTTTATGGAAAAGAAACATGGTTTCACAGCCAGTTTTAATAACTGCAAATTAAATTTTTAATGCTTGAAATAAGACTGTGGCACTGTCTTAGTCAATTTGGGCTGCTATGATAAACTACCATAAACTGGGTACTTTATCAGTGACAGAAATTCATTTCTCACAGTTCTGGGGAGGCTGGGAAGTCTGAGAGCAGGGTGTCAGCGTGGTTGCTTTCCAGTAAGGACCCTCTTCTGGGTTGTAGACTGCCAGCTTCCTGTTATTTCCTCACGTTGCAGAAAGCAGAGAGCTCTCTGGGGTCCCTTTTATAAAGGGCACTAATCATATGGCCTAAATCACCTCCCAAAGGCCCCATCTCCTAATACCATCATATTGGGGGTCAGGATTTCAAAATACATGAATTTTGGGGGACACATTCAGTCTGTTGCAGGAACTTTCAATAGTTTAATGCTATTCTACTTGTTATTTGACAATTATAATGTAAACTGTCAGTTGATTCAGTGCCCAGAGGTTAGTAGACATGCCTTGCTGTCCTAGGTCCTCTCACTCTGAGATGTGTGGAGCTAGCCTTTTTTCATGGACCAGAATGGGAGTTTCTGGGAAGGGGTGAGAGGCAGTCCTAAACCTTTAGGTAGTCCTGGATACTAGAGCTGCCCAGGTGAACCAGAACTATTTTTAATTGGATTTGCCTTTTTTAAATTAAACTACTTTAGAATCCTTAGGAATATCTAGGAAACTTTTGAAAACCAGGGAATATTTTTGGCTTATAGTTCTGGTTTAGCATGTGACTTTTATTTTTTATTTTGTTATAATTGTCTGTATTTCTAGAAATTCTCTTAAACATCAAATAGTTGATGTTTAAGAGGGCAACTAGCTTTTAATGCTTCCAGAAAAGTGATCATTTTAATGTTAAATATTAAAAACATTTTCACTATTTATCTATGGTAATAAGCCTTTGATTTTGATTTATACTTATTCTGTAATATTATTTGGTCCATTTATTTCATTTCCCTTGAAACTGGCTTACCCCTACTTTAAGGTATGAGAAAAAGAAATACATGGTGTAATTTTTTTCAAAGATATGAAACAAGTCAGATGGAATGTCTGGACTAATTCAAGTCTTAACTGTTACCTCAGTTGATTTTGTAGTTAAAGATAATTATTTATTAAAAGTGGATTTTTATTTATTATAGAGATATAGATGATGATTTCTTAAATTATGAATTTAAACTAATTATTTTTTCCAAGCAGAATAAAAGTTATTTTTATGAAAATGTATATATGACTTGTGCTAAATAGGAGTGAGGTAGAGTATTCTATATCTTAAGTACTGGAAATTCAGTGAGTGCCCAGAAGTAGTTTAAAATACCAAACTGTCTTCTTTCCTAAGCATTGCCTTAATGAGGAAAAATTTGGAGAATGGAAAAAATGTAGACATGTTTCTAACATCAGTTCTTTACATCAAGATCTAAGGGTTGTCTAAATTTGTGCGTAGACGTATAAATCTTCAAGGCAGTGAAACTTATCTTTTACTGTAAAATGCCATTAAAAATATAAAGTAACAGTTCATCGGCTCTCCATATTCATCTAGAGATTTTAAATGTGGAAAACTTGAATGGAAATTTAGTTTAGGATCCAAAAATAACTTTTGTACAATCTGTGTGGTACGTTCAGGTGTTTTGACTTAAGTTTACACATAGCATATGGAGAATTAAGAAAAATTGCCAAGTTTTATCTCAGGTGGTATTTATGGCAGTCTATTAATTTGGGCATTATTTCCTCATCTTTAAAAAGAGTATTTGTTTTTAAGGAAGATTATAAATCTCACTGTTCTTTACTAAAAATAAAGAATTTTTAAAAAGGAGGCATAGTTCTTATATCACTTTGCATCCTCTACCCAAATCACATCTCGAATATTGTATTTAGTTTTGCATACCATGGTTTTGAAGTGTCATTGATATCCAGAGAAAGTGACAATAACAGTGACAGTTACTGAAAACTTGTCATGTGAGAAACAGTTGGTGGAAATAGGAATGTTTAGCTTAAAAGGAAAGACTTGATAGTTAAGCCTTCAATTATTTGAAAGATGTTCATATAGAAGAAAGTGTATGCTTGCATGGCATAGCCTCAGAATGTAGAACTTAATCACTAGATGAGGTGTAAAGCCACATACCCACAACCAGGTCATCTTTGACAAAGTCAACAATAACAAACAATGGAGAAAGGACTCCCTATTCAATAAATGGTGCTAGGATAACTGGCTAGCAACATGTAGAATATTGAAACAGAATCCCTTCCTTTCACAATTAACTCAAGATAGATTAAAGGCTTAAATGTAAAACCTAAAACTATAAAACACTAGAAGAAAACTTAAGAAATACCATTCTGGACATTGGCCTTGGCAAATAATTTATGACTAAGTTCCCAAAAGCAACTGCAACAAAAACGAAAAAAGGACCCTAATTAAAGAGCTTCTGCACAGCAAAAGAAACTATTAAAAGAATAAACAGACAACCTACAGATTGGGAGAAAATATTCACAAACTATGCATCTGACAAAGCTCTAATATCCAGAATCTATTAATATAAGGAACTTAAATTTACAAGCAAAAACCAAACAATCCCATTAAAAAGTGGGCAAAAAACAGACACTTCTCAAAAGAAGACATGAAAAACTGTTCAACATCAGTAATCATCAGAGAAGTGCAAATCAAAACCACAGTGAGATACCATCTCACACCAGTCACAATGACTATTATTAAAAAGTTAAAAAAAATCAGATGTTGGTGAGGTTACAAAGAAAAGAAATGCTCGTACACTGCTGGTGGGAATGTAAATTATTTTAGCCACTGTAGAAAGCAGTTTGGAGATTTCTCAAATAACTGAAAACTGAACTACCATTCAACCCAGCAATCCCATTATTGGGTATATACCCAAAGGAAAATAAACCATTCGACCAAAAAGACACATGCACTGGTATGTTCGTTGTAGCATTATTCACAATAGCAAAGACATGGAATCAACCTAGATGCCCACCAGCAGTGGATTGGATAAAGAAAATGTGGTGCGTATACACATAGAATACTACACAGCCATAAAAAGAATGAAATCATGTACTTTGCAGCAACATGGGTGCAGCAAATTGTCAATTTTAACTCAATACTATATGTTTTATTGTATATTTTGTAATAATATTTTATCTTTGCTATGGTAAAATTTATAAAATAGTTGATAGAAGGATTCCAAATTAAATGTTATCTACTTAAATCCTTAAGGATATCAAATTTTATTTTTTTCTAAGCAAAGAAGTTTCTCATTTAACAGTATAAACCCTGATCTTAATATGATTGGTGGCTGAATTAATGGCATTTATAATAATTTGGAGAATATCATATTTTACAAAAATAGTGCTGCCTTGTGAAATAAAACATTTTCACTATGAAATGAGGTAATTTATTTTAAAAGCTGAAAATGTGCAAGTATATTATTTCCCTCTTTAAATAAGTTCATTTTTATTGTCAACGTGCCAAATAAATGCCATCTGCCTGATGAGATCAGTGTTACCTTAGGATTCTTTCCAGTGCTTTTTACCATGAAAAGTACTTTGGAGTTTATCAGAACAACAGTCTATTTATACTTAATTAATTGGGTGCTTGTACTAGTTTTAAAGTGAATAAATGAAGAAGAGGTTATATAAAATTATTTTCTGTACATTTTGAGTCCACATTTATTTGGAAACAATAGTTGAGCTGTGATATGTAGAGATTGAGTCAGTAACATTTGCTATTTGTTGATTTTTAAAACCTGCTCATTTTATAATGTAAAACAATCATTCAGAGGAAAGTATCACCAGATAGTAAGTGCCAGAGTTGGGGCTTGAACTTGTTTTCTTCCTCCTAATACTTTGCATTAGTAAGAGTCCTCCAGAGAAAAAAAACCAATAGTATATATGTGTGTGTGTATGTATGTATGTATATGTGTGTATATGTATGTGTGTATACATTTTAAGGAGTTGTCCCATGAGGCTCGCAAGTCTAAAATCTGCAGTTTGAGTCTGAAGACAGTCTGCTGGCAGAATTTCCTCTTTTTCGGGGGAGGTCAGTCTTTTTTAATAAGATTTCAGCTGACTGGATGAGGCCCATACACATTGTGGAAGGTAATCTGTTTTATTCAGAATCTACTGATTTAAATATTAGTATCATCTAAAAACTACCTTCATGGAAACATTTAGAATGTTTGACCAAACATCTGGGTACTATGCCTAGCTAGGTTGACACATGAAAATAGCCAATACATATTCCTAGACCAATCTTGAGTCTTCTTATCTTAGATTGATTATGTTTTCCAACTCTACTCTGAGTTGCTCAGAGAAGCAGCACTCTTATCATGTAGCTCCTTGGACCTTTCCCTATTGATTAATATGTGTTCTGATTTTCAAAAGGTAAAATGATGTATTATGTTTGTTAATTAAGATTATTTTCTCAAATACTGGAGTGTTTACTTGTGAAGAGTTTCATATATTGCTTTTCAGAGGAGCTTAATTCTAGCAGATATTTCTTAGGAATATTGCTCTACTATGGTTTCACTTTTAAAAGTTCCTAATACTGACTGGATTAATTATAGTAATTTAACATTTAAACCTAATTTTAGAAATTGTCAGATAATATTATTGACCATTCAATTCTTCCGGAAGATTCTTGCTTTTTCTTCCCAACCTTGCCATTTCTTTACAGTCTTTTAAATTATTGACTATGCTTATTATTTCCCTTCTCCTTCCTTCCTTTACCAGAAATTTATTGAGCGTCCACTGCATGCCAGGCACTTTACCAAGCATTGAGAATAGGTAAATAAAGACTTAATTTCTGCATTTGTGGAATTTACAGGTAATATTCAAGTGAACAAAGAAATACATGAGTACTGTTTGTGTTATGAAGGAAATGAACAGAGGACAATGATAAACAATAACAGGGGATTTCCTTTCACAGTATAGTTAGGGAAGTGCCTGTAAGGAGATAGTTTAGGCTGCCGCTTGAAGGATAAGGAAGCAGCTTGTGAAAATCAGGGAAAAAAAAAAGGAAAAAATAAAAACCTTTGAGCCTGAGGGGATAGCTTGTTCAAAAGATCTGGGACTGGGGAGGTGGCATGAGATGAAGTTTGAGGTAGACAGCAGTCTCATGCAGGGTGTGTGGGTCATGATAGAGTTTCATTATAAAGCTTAATCCATTTAAAAAGCCATTGAATATTCAAAGTAGACAGCATCTAACTAAAGTTTTAAAAGATTACTCTGGCTGCCATGTGGATAAAATATTAGAAATGAGAGCTAGAATGGAATGGAAAGGGCACTAAGAAGACTTGCAGTATTGGATCCCTTTCCAATTCTTAATTGCTTTGAATGCACTTGATCCTCTTAAGATATGGAGCAAGGAAATCAAGAAAAGCTGTAAGCTAACAGAGTTGCCAATAGCAGCAACCAGTTCACATGGGAATAATTCCACAGTCTTGTAGTCCTGTACTGATGGCTATAGGTAGGTGAGGTGATAGGGATATGGACACACAGCATGTAGGTATATACACAGACTCTAAATACATCAGCTGGAGATAAGAAGGTCTCCTGTACATAAGACTTTCTCAAGCTTGCAGTAAGCTGAGATTGCACCACTGCACTCCAGCCTGGGCAACAGAGCGAGACTCCGTCTCAAAAAAAAAAAAAAAGAATTTCTTAAGCTTGCAGGCTTAATATAGTTCATTTTATTTATAGCCCAAGTCAATCACCTCACTATCTTGTCCTTTACTCACTGTACAAATCCATCCTGAACCAATCCTTTCTTGCCCTCCCAGAAGAGCCAATTAGATCATGTTCTATGAAGCCAGTAAGTATTGTTCATTTCATTTCTGTGCACCTATTTTTTAATTAAAATATTATTAATGTGGGGGTGGAGTGCTATAATTCTGCCTGCACAGTTCAATTTCGGCTGGGCCTTCTGCTCCTCAGTGTTTCATTCCAGCTGTGTTTTTGGCTCATCTCACTCTTGCAGTTACAAGAATGTAAACACTCTGCAGCCTTATCCTCCTTATCTCAGATATTTCTCTCCATGTTCCCCATGAATTCATTGGTTCAGCTTTTTATTTCCATGAACTATATCTAATACATTTCCTTTCTTCAATTATTTCCTTCTTAATCTGTTCAGCTAACTGCAGTGATCCATTCCACCCACTAAAATGTTGGTTCTTGCCAAGGTTTTATTCTGGGTTCTATTTTCTTTTTATTCTATATATTCTCTTAGTCACATGTAATTGGAGAATTTCCAAGTCAATATTTGTAGCCTAGATTTCTTTTCCTAAGATTATTACTCGTATTTTCAACTACTAAGTAGCTCATCTTAATATGGCAAACAACTACTTCCACTTACCCACTCCCCAGCCTAACATCCCAGGCTCCCAGGTTTTCTAACATTGTAAGGTGCAACATCATTCATTCAGTTACTAAAGCAAACACCTCAGAGATAATCAGGATTTTTTCCCCTTCCTTTCCCTTTTTGAGCATTAGAAATTGTATCCCTTAATTATCTATTGAGTCTCTTTTGTCCTTTCAATCCCCATTGCCACTTTTTTTTAGCTAGGTTCTTCTTGTTTCTTTCCTGGACTACTACTGCATATTTACCCTTGAAGACTGTCAAAAGGGAGTGGATTTTCAAAAAGATATATCTAATTATGTCATTCTCCTGACTAAAATAACTGAATGGCTCCCCATTTCCCCCATGATAAAATTCAAACTCTTTAGCATGATATTCAAGGATTTTTGTAATTTGACTTCTTTGCCTGCTTCTCTGTCATCTCTTTCCTATTCCTCCCACTCATGTCCCTACCCCAAGTTGAATGCCCTCGAAATCCCCTGGGCATTTTCACAATCTATTTCATATTGATGGTGTAGTAACTGACTTTCTTTTCTATCTACTGACTGATTTTTTTCTTGAGGGTAGCAACTCTGTATCTTTCAGCTATACCCCTGAACTTAGTAGAATTAGCAATTTTTGTTAAGTGAATAAATGGGCAATAAACTATGACAAACATTGCCAGCCTTGTATGTGCTTTGGACCTGAAGAGGGTTGGTTTGAATCCCTCCATTTCTTCTTACTAAATGTCTCATCTGAACTTTAGTTTCCTCTTCTGTAAAATGAGTATTGTTACTTTGTTTAAGTAAAATGTTCCCTCTTAAACCTTTCTTTTGACAAGAGGTATATAGAACTTAAAAACTGATTTATCTACAATTCAAATGTACGTACAGTTCTCAAATATCAAATTCTTTCTTATAAAGCAGAAGTTTCTACGTATTGAAACTTAGTTTGAAACGTGATTACAGAAATTATCATTGGAACATAATTGGTTTAATGTTATAACATGTATTTAGTAATATATAATAATGGAAAAGGATGGATGTCATCTGACTCATCAACTAAAAAAATAATTTTAAGAACTGGATTTCAAAAAACCAAGCAAATGTAAATTATGTATTATAAATATCATTAATGAAGATATTT
Organism: Homo sapiens; assembly: GCF_000001405.40. Taxonomy (NCBI): domain Eukaryota; kingdom Metazoa; phylum Chordata; class Mammalia; order Primates; family Hominidae; genus Homo; species Homo sapiens. Next base: position 83,379,572 of record NC_000006.12, on the reverse strand, counting down.
CTAAGACACTAACAAATCAAGATTCATATAAAAATTACTGAAAACGGTGTTTACAAGCATTCATAGAATGCAAAGGAAGCTATTATGTTATTCTGTCTCACGACTAGTATATCATATTTAGTACCTTAAAGGAAATACAAGTATTTCTGAAGACAGGTGGAAAGTGTTAAATCTAAGTGATAATTTAAACTATATAAAGTTTCTCAAGAAAGTCCTCACCCAGAAAACAATCTATTTTATATTGGGGAGTTCTTTCTTTTTCACATGAGCAGATGAGGTCACTAATTTTTCTAGTAAGATAAATAAGATACTGATGTTGTAGATTTCTTTTTGCAAAGATTATTTCTTTACCAAATTTAGCTTGTGACTTATCTTGCAGTTATAAGACATTCCTAACATGTGACTGTTAAAGTCTTGGAGATGGTAGTATGGTTTCTTTATTACTTTTCATTATTTCTCATGCAACAAAATAGAGCAGAGTTTATTTTAAAATGTGAAAAGTTACACTAATGAAATTCATTTTATTAGTGTTGAAAATAAGGAAGTAATTAGAGCATTTCTATAATAAATAAGTAACCATCATGAGCAATGCCAAAGAATATATTGAACTGTTTTCTTCTTGCTTTTATTTGGAAATGAGGTACATGCTAGAAAACAATACAAAACAAAAACCTCAAGCAATCCCAGAGGGCAGTCTTCTTTAGTTTGTACCCAGAGAAAACCACTAATGACTATGGTAGGAAGAATTCCTTGTGGTTGGAAAACAGATGAACAAGTTGCTGAAAGTCTCATTTATGTATTAAGCCAGTTCAGTCAGTTTGAGAGTTACATGAAGGATTTCTGTTGTCCAAGTATCTGCTAACTGCCACATTGAATTGGTTAAAAAAAAAAAAAAAAGAGGAAGAAAGAAAAAACCTTCCCTCTCATGTCTTCTCCAATCAATGGACAAATATAAATATCTGAATAAAGAAGATACCTTCTAGTTTGATACTTTAACAATATAGCAAACTGTCTTCGGCAAAGATTATTTCTGACTCATTCAACCTGATTTACAGGCATATGTAACTTTCATTGTATCTAGTTTTTGTCAGGGTCTATATGAGAAAAAAATACCAAGTAGAGAAAATTCTTTTATATCTTTCATTGAAACTGTGGTTAGAAACAATGTCTACAATGTTGTTCAATGTGCTTTATATAAAGACCCATTTGATAAATTCCTCTCAAAATCAAAGAAATGCCTTTTTTTCTTCTTTCTCTCTTGCTAGAATTGAGAACTAATTCAGTTTTTCCTATTGAGCTTTGCCTATATACTATTTTATGCTCAATTATAGTAGTTTTCTTTAGAACATCTTTTTCCTGTCTTTTCCCCACCCCCCCATTGTATTAATTATTTTTAATGAATGAGTCTTGCAAACACACATTTTAGATAGTTGTTAGCCCTTGAGTTCCTCCTAGGCTCAGTGGAGGGCTCGTGTCCTTTAAAAAAAATAATCTGACCCACTTTAGCAGAGTCTCACACTTTCTTCCTCCCCTGGGTATGGGGCACCTTACTGCAGCTCAGAGAAAACAGAGTAAATCTTGCCTGTCTTCTGGATCTCTGTGGTTCCTCTCATTTTTCTATGGTTTGAATAATTTCATGATTTTACTGAATCTGTGACTTTATTAATTATTGCCTCAAACCTTTTTAAATTTATTTGAATCCACTAGCAATTTATTTTAGTTTAAATGGAAAAAAAAGATCACAAACTAAAACCATAATTTGAGTCTTTGTTTTTTAAAAATACTTTCTAAACACCAATCCCTTTGCCTTCCCAGCTATGAACATAGTTAATTAGCAAGATCTTGGGGAAATCTGAAGGCTGAGATCCCAAAGGCTTCATATACATTTTTTTTCAAATAATTATTTACCAACCTAGTACCTCTCCCTTTTAAATTAAATTATTATATTATATATTTGGGAGTTTAAAAGTTTAAGTTATTTTGATTGCCAGTATGCTGCCAAATATTGGGTTAAATTTAAGTATTTCCAAAAACTATGCTCTCAAGTCTGCAATTGCATGTTTGAGAGTGACTGGTAATTTCATCAATGCCAGATGATTATCATTCCTCTTTCTGAAAAGACATTTTTGATAGAAAGTTGTTTTTTTCTTTCTTATTACTAAATGTCAAAGAGTTTTGTTTAGCAGTGTCACTTAATTCTTAGAACTGTTTCCAAGTCATGTGCCAAAAAACATGTAGAGATATATTATGGAAACTTATTTTTAATTGATGTGCCAGTTGACAACTAGATTATATTCTCCTTCAAAATTGTTGAAAGCAAAGAATTAGAAGCCACTTGAATTTCAAAAGGATTTGTTACCCCATCATCATAATCATCACTTTTTAAATTTCTGAAAACTGTCTCCAAAAGTCTTTACCAAGATTTTTCAAATGGTCTAATATCTGTTATTTTTTCACTTAAAGTCATTTAATCTGAGATACTTATAAAGGGTTGGGAAAATTAAAATATTAGTTTTGATACATTTCCACAGTATAAACTTTTTCAGTATGAAATGTGTGTATCTTACACTTTTGTCATAAACTTGAAGTTACAGATTTCATTCCTTGATGTATTGGAAAATACTTGCCATGTAACCTCATTGGCCCAAACAGTCCTCTTTATCAAATCTTACAGGTGAATTAGACTTACTTTCTGCCAGAAAAATTCTGACTTCATTTTTCAATCAAAATGTGTTAATATTTCTTTTTTGAATTTTTTTTTTTTTTTTGTGAGACAGGGTCTGGTTCTGTCGCCTGGGCTGGAGTTCAGTGGTGCATTCTCAGGGCACTGCAGCCTCTGCCTCCCATGTTCAGGTGATTCTCCTGCCTCAGTCTCCCAAGAAGCTGGGATTATAGGCGTCCGCCACCACACCCAGCTAATTTTTTTTTTTTTTTGACAGAGATGGAGTTTCGCCACGTTGGCCAGGTTGGTCTCGGATTCCTGGCCTTGGGGGATCAGCCCGCCTTGGCCTCCCAAAGTGCTGGGATTACAGGTGTGAGCTACTGCACCCGGCCTCTTTTTTTCTTTTTTTTTTTTTTTGACAGAGTTTCACTCTTGTTGCCCAGGCTGGAGTGCAATGGCACAATCTTGGCTCACCACAACCTCCAGCTCCCAGGTTCAAGTGATTCTCCTGCCTCAGTCTCCTAAGTAGCTGGAATCACAGGCATGCGCCACCACACCTAGCTAATTTTGCATTTTAGTAGAGATGGGGTTTCACCATGTTGCCCAGGCTGGTCTTGAACTCCTGACCTCAGGCGATTCACCTACCTCAGGCTCCCAAAGTGTTGGCATGAGCCATCGTGCTCAGCCCTGGCCTCTTTTTTTAAATATTATAAACACCACTGAGAAATAATTTATAGAACACAGCTTATATGATTAATAAAAATCATAATGTCAAGATTAACATGATGCAGATATAATTAAATGATTTATCTATTTAAAAATTATAAAACAAGATAATTGTTTCTCATTTGTTAATTTGTAATAAAGCAGTATAATATATAGCAGAAACTACAAGTTATTTATGAACTAGAGAGTATGAAACACTTCCAAGTATGATATTACTTGGAAGTACGTATGTATGCATATATTAAGTTCTGGTGTTGGGCATTTAGAAATAACATACACAATTCAATTAATGTAATCCATTACATAAACAGAAACAATGACAAAAACCACATGATTATTTCAATAGATGCAGAAAAGGCCTTTGATAAAATGCAACATCTCTTCCTGTTAAAAACTCTCAACAAACTAAGTATTGATGGAACATATCTCAAAATAATAAGAGCCATTTATGACACACCCACAGCCATTATCATACTGAATGCACAAAAGCTGGAAGCATTCCCTTTGAAAACTGGCATGAGACAAGGATGCCCACTGTAACCACTCCTATTCAACATAGTATTGGAAGTTCTGGCCAGGGCAATCAGGAAAGAGAAAGAAATAAAAGGTATTCAGATAAGAAGAGAGGAAGTCAAACTGTCTCTGTTTGCAGATGACATGATCCTATATCTAGAAAACCCCAAGGTCTCAGCCCAAAAGTTCCTTAAGCTGGTAAGCAACTGCAGCAAAGTCTCAGGATACCAAATCAATGTGCAAAAATCACAAGCATTCCTATACACCAACAATAGACAAGCAGAGAGCCAAATCATGAATTAACTCCCATTCACAATTGCTACAAAGAATAAAATACCCGGGAATACAGCTAACAAGGGATGCGAAGGACCTCTTCAAGGAGAACTACAAACCACTGCTCGAGGAGATAAGAGAGGACACAAACAAATGGAAAAACATTCCATCCTCATGGATAGGAAGAATCAATATTGTGAAAATGGCCATACTGCCCAAAGTAATTTATAGATTCAATGCTATTCCCATCAAACTACCATTGACATTCTTCACAGAATTAGAAAAACTACTTTAAATTTCATATGGAATCAAAGAAGACCCCATATAGCCAAGGCAATCCCAAGCAAAAAGAATGAAGCCAGAGGCCTCATGCTACCTGACTTCAAACTATGCTACAAGGCTATGGTAACAACAACAGCATAGTGCTAGTACCAAAACAGACACATAGACCAATGGAACAGAATAGAGACCTCAGAAATAAGACCACACATCTCTAACTATCTGATCTTTGACAAACCTGACAAAAACAAGCAATGGGGAAAGGAATTCCTATTTAATAAATGGTGCTGGGAAAACTGGGTACCCATATGCAGAAAACTGAAACTGGACCCCTTCCTTATACCTTACACAAAAATTATCTCAAGATGGCTGAAATACTTAAATGTAAAACCAAAAACCATGAAAACTCTAGAAGAAAATCTAGGTAATACCATTCAGGACATAGGCATGTGCAAAGATTTTATGATGAAATTGCCAAAAGCAATTGCAACATTGCTAAAATTGACAAATGGGATCTACTTAAACTAAAGAGCTTCTGCACAGCAAAAGAAACTGTCATCAGAATGAACAGGCAACCTCCAGAATGGGAGAAAATTTTTGCAATCTACCATCTGACAAAGGTCTAATATCCAGAATTTACAAGAAACTTAAATTTACAAGAAAAAAACAAACAACCCCATCAAAAAGTGGGCAAAGGACGTGAACAGACACTTCTCAAAGGAAGACATTTATGTGGCCAACAAACATATGAAAAAAGCTCAACATCACTGATTGTTAGAGAAATGCAAATCAAAACCACAATAAGAAACTACCTCACACCTGTCAGAATGGTGATTATTAAAAAGTCAAGAAACAAGAGATGCTGGTGAGGCTGTGGAGAAATAGGAATGCTTTTACATTGTTCGTGGGAATGTAAATTAGTTCAACCATTATGGAAGACAGTGTGGTGATTCCTCCAAGGTCTAGAACCAGAAATACCATTTGACCCAGCAATCCCTTTTCTGGATATATACCTAAAGGAATATAAATCATTCTATTATAAAGATACATGCACACATATGTTTATTGCAGCACTATGGTCATCAATGACCCAACCCAAATGGTCATCAATGATAGACTGGATAATGAAAATGTGGTACATATTACACCATGGAATAGTATGCAGCCATAAAAACGAATGAGATAATGGCCTTTTCAGGGACATGGATGAAGCTGGAAGCCATCATCCTCAGCAAACTAACACAGGAACAGAAAACCAAACACCGCATATTCTCATTTATAAGTAGGAGTTGAACAATGAGAACACATGGACACAGGGAGGGGAACAACACACACCAGGGCCTGTGGGGGGTGAGGGGAAGGAGATCAGGACAAATAGCTAGTGCATGCAGGGCTTAATACCTAGATGACAGGTCGATAGATGCAGCAAGCCACCGTGGCACACATTTACCTATGTAACAAACCTGCATGTTCTGTACACATGTATCCCAGATCCTAAAGTAAAATAAAATTTAAATTAAAATAAATTTAACAAATTAATTTTGTTAAATATAATGATCAAACTTTCTATGTATTTAATGAAAGATAAAAATACACATTGCTGGCTGGGTGCGGTGGCTCACGCCTGTAATCCCAGCACTTTTGGAGGCTGAGGTGGGCGGAGTTCGAGACCAGCCTGGCCAGCAGGTGAAACCCCATCTCTACTAAAAATACAAAATTAGCTGGGCTTGTTGGCACCTACCTGTAGTCCCAGCTACTGGGGAGGCTGAGGCAGGAGCATCGCTTAAACCCGGGAGGTACGGGTTGCAGTGAGCTGAGATCGCACCACTGCACTCCAGCCTGGGCGATGAAGTGAGACTCTTCAGAAGAAAAAAAAACAAATACATGTTACTAAAAATGCTTGGTTTGGTGGTCTGTCAATAATTTGGCCTTTGGACAAAGATACAGGAAATATGAAACATTTGATAAAATAAATTAATATGAGGGTTATTTAACAGGAATAAATGCTCGAATTTAATAAAGTGTTATCTAATATCTAACTGAAGGATGGAACTTTTATTTGAATGAAAATAACATGAAATTTTTATCTGCAGGTTTTAGCCAGTATATCTGGGAATATTTAGTAGTTTTGGAAAGTATTCTATTTATGTTAAAACATTCAACATCACTAAACATTTACTTATTTCAGCTGTTTGAATATTTCTTTCTTTCCGGTGGACATAGCATAACCATTGTGAATAGCTGGAAATGTATGCTTTTTGTCAAATATGTGAGGGAAAAAGCCATTTTCAACATATGGTTCTTTTGCCTTACTTTCATGAGTGTCTCCCTCAACAGTGAAGCCATCTCCCACTGGTCTACTCTACATTGTCTGAATTCAGAACTAAAAATACCCTCATTCTAGTGTTAGAGTTTACCTGTAACAGGAATATGTGAAAAACCAGATAAAGCACACGTTAGCAGGCCTTACCTGGTCGTGTAAGTTACCTCACCAAATCCAGTAAAATCCCAAAGGTTTTTACACCTCGGGACAATGCCAATAGCAACTTGAGATAGATAATTTGGTGTCTTTCTTTTGTAAGAGAGAAGAAAGTCTAGTATTAAAGCAGCTAGGGAATGGAGAATCCACATGAGTGGATCAATCTTGGAGAACCACACTAGGTCTTGGCAGATCAAATTTAGGAAAGAGAGATATGAAAGGTAAATATCTAGAAATTGATTAAATTAAAACTGTTGATGCTTTTGTTGTCCTAGGAAAGTCTCTCAAACCATACCCCAGTCAGTCTTGGGGTTCCAAGAGTAAATGTTTGAAGAGAGAGGAAGTGGAAGCTGATAGTTCTTAAGAATTGGTTGGAAACTGGCACAGCCTTACTTCTGTCATATTTTATGGGTCAAAGCAGTTACAGAGGCTGTCTGAAATTAAGGAGAAGACATCGACCCCACTTCTCTACGGGAGAAGTGTCAAAGGATTTGTGATCATCTTTAATATGCCTCAGCTACTATTTGCTAGACACTGTATTAGGTCATTGGAATAAAATAATGAATACAATAGACATAATGGTTTGTTGCATGAAGCATATGATCTAACAGAGGAGACAAACAAGCAATTATAATATTGCGTGATAAACACTATGATAAGAGAATATAGGGTGCCATGGAATCATACAGGAGGGGCCCCTAAACCAGAGAGAACTGGAATTCAGGCACAACACCCCAAAGGAAGTACCCTGAGAACTCTATTCTGAACCAAGTCTTATTGATATGATAATAGTACAGCTATAATTTTTGAAAACATATTTCTCACTCGTGCTAGACTTGAAGGAAACTAGTGACAGATTTTCAGTAGTAGCATAAATTTGAATTTGTGCAGAGGTGATCTAGATCTGAGGGAAAATGGGCATTATTTGGTTTATAGAGTAGAATTGAAGGGATCGTTTTCTTAGTACCCAGCAGTAGCAACCTCCCCTGGAAAATTCTTTGGAAAACTGCCTCATATCAGAAGAATTTGCTTGAACTGTATTTGGCAGTATACCAAGTCTGTCTGTATGGCTTATATTTTTCTGTTGATACATTTTCTTTTCTCTGAAAAGGAAAAACCCGGCAACAAGGCCTGTGAACAAACAGCAGTTTTTCTGTTTAGGTTTATATAGGCCTATTCCTACAGTTTTCAGCATATGCATGTGAGTCTCTGTCAGTTTTCCAAAACATTAGAATAGGAAATGAGACTGATTGATTGAATAGTTTGATCAGTTAGTTTTGGGTTTAGATACACTAATCTGCAAGAATGTAGACTTCCAATGTAAAGATCAGCAAAGGGAAAGACTTCTGGATAAAGGCTAAGTCAAGGCTGTAGGATTTACTTTAGTAGCAGTTTGAAAGGAACTTGAAAATAAAACTTCAACTAAGAAGCTATTGCTCTTCAAGAATGCTGTTTTATCAGAGAAACAATAATAAAATTCTTAGAATAAATTATAAATGAAATTATTAGAAAGTTTATAGCAACAACAATATGATTAATGAAAGTTGTATTAATGATAGAGATTACCTAAAGATTTGGGACATGAGATCTTGAGCCAGCACAGGTAAATTTCATGTGAACATTGGGGCAAATCTTAATGGTCTAAGTAAAGTGTTATATGTTTAGAGGTAATTGAATTCTACCGTATCCTCTTTTTCTTCATTAATGTTTTTTGTGCTTTATGCCTTTGACTTCTTGCATAAAAGCATGGAGTCATTCTGGTGCACTTCCATCATAGAATGTCTCTCCTATTTCCGCTCTTGGATCCCATTGCATAGTCAGTTTATATTGGCCCTGGATATAACTGTCATTCCCTAGACATTAAGTAATGGAAATATTTTTTCTTTGCGTTGCCAGTAAATGCTGGATAGGATGTATATATTTTCATTTAACAGTGAGAAGTGCTTTTTTCCCCTTTACTTCATTGCTGTTATTTGTAATGTTTGGAAAGAAACCTGAGATACCAGTCTAAATGTGAGACTAAGTAATTATTCTATTTGATAGAATTTGCTAACTCAAGCAGGATGAGTAGGATGGATATTTGGCAAGCCTTTGGTACTTATGCAGTTGCTTTTTATGCATAGGAGTTTATCATTCTATGGATATTTCTATGTTTTTCAATCCTCATTTCAAATTGTCTCGTTTTCCTCTCTATTATGTCATATTCAAACAATTGTCATCTGTCCCATTAAATATGGTACCTTTGCCACCTTCTTTACTGAAAGGGAGTTTAGAAAAAGCAAGCAAGTTATCACATACGGGATTGAACACAGTGTAAGTAAAGTTGACTGTTTTTCCTGCAAAGTTAAGCTGTAGAATTTATTATGCCTTTTCCTCTCACCATATAGTATCTTGAAATAATTACAGTACAGACTGAGAAAGACAGGGATTTGTCAGCTACTTCATTTCTTTAATTCTAATGTCACAGAAAAGTATGAACATATCTTCCTAACTTTATCCATTTTAGTATGTAACGGTCTTTACAAATTTTAGCCTGAATCACTTGTATTTAACCTAAGTTTTTATTTTTGATTGAGATGTAGATTCTTAAACTCTTTGCAATAATTCTATAAATATTTAAGAACTATTATCTTTTTCTCTTCATATCTTCTCCGCTGCATCCTTTTAAAACCTTTCCTAAAGGAACCCCTAAAGGGTTGTCTTTTAAAACATTGAATCATCTTTACTGTTCTTTCATGACCCTTTAAGAATTCTCTGTAATCAGTTTAAATCTTATTATACCAAAGTTAATTTGATTGGAAATATATAGGACTTTGATATAGTTGACTGTCAAGTTTTGAACCGAGAAAGAATATATTCCTTCCTCTCAAGTTGTTATAAAAAAATCGTTTTCTATGGATTGGATTTCATTTATTTCCTTCCTTCCTTCCTTCCTTCCTTCCTTCCTTCCTTCCTTCCTTCCTTCCTTCGTTCCTTCCTTCCTTCCTCTCTCTGTCTCTCTTTTCTTTTCTTTTTCTGACAAGGTCACTGTCTGTTGCCCAGGCTGGAGTGCAGTGGCATGATCATGGCTCACTCCAATCTCAACCTCTCTGGGTCTTAGAAGATAGAAGGATCATTTTTCTACCAGTCATTTGAAAATGGAAGGTGTTATATCCATCTTAGTAAGGATAGTATTTTTATTATATGGTGGGAGATTTTGCACTTAGGTAAAGGGAGAAAATAAGGTCATTGACTTGGAAAAACTAGAGAGTTACTTTAATCTGTTAGGCCAAAACCCTCTTAAATAAAGTATATTTTAAAAATTATGGAACAAATACCTCAGTTCACTTCAGTAGACATTTAGAGTGCCTACAGTAAGTTCAGTGTCAGTAATAGAAAAGAAATTTCCAATGAAATGTCCTCTTTGGGCTACCAACAGTTAGTTAGGTCTTTGATCTCCCATTCATCACCCTATTCTTCATGTAATGACCCACATGACCTGACACTTAACTGTGTGCCTGGAAGTACAAGGAAGAGTGGGAAAAAATTACAGGAGAAAATTCTTTAAAGCATATATATCTATTTTTATTTTAAAAGTCACATTCTGCACATGTATCCCAGAACTTAAAGTATATTAATAATAATAAAGTCTATTTTCTTTGGAAGGAGGATTTCTTCATTCAACTTTCCTGCAGTTCTCTGGTTGCTAGCAAATATTGCAGAGGGAAATGAAAATAAAATGGGAAAATTTTCTATGGCAAGTTCAGGATTGGGAAAGACAATATCATAGACCCAGAGAATATTGAGTCTCAGCTTACTGAATATTCTAGGTCCAGCTCTTCTTATCTCTAAATTACTGAGTCTGGAGAAGATAACTGACTGTTCTAAGGATTCATAGCCATGACTAAAACTCCTATTTTTATCCAGTGCCTTTCTTAATAAGAAGCCAAAAAATATGATAGGGTCTACTCAGTAAATTGTAATGTGTTAGTTTTGTAAATCCATGTTGTAAATGGTGAGATCAATGCATGTAGTTATATGGCATTTTAATTTATTATATGATAACATTTGACTCCTTTGAAGTTAGTGGACTAAATGCAACAAAAATTAGAAATGTGGCCATAAAAGTGACCATAAAAGTAATGTAATTTATAGTTAATATTTAAATCACATGCAAAACATGTGGAAATATTTAATAGGAAACTAAAACCAAGCTTATTAGTACAAGCATGCCTCGTTTAATTTTTGTTCATGTTATTGTGCTTTGCAGATAATTTTTTTTTGTTTTTTATAAATTGAAGGTTTGTGGCAATCCTCCATTGGGCAAGTCTATCAGTGCCATTTTCCAATAGCATGTGTTCACTTGTATCTAGTATCTTTGTGTCACATTTTGATAATTCTCACAATATTTCAAATAATTTTGTTATTATTATAACTTTTATAGTGATCTTATATCTGTAATCAGATCTTTGATGTTAGTATTGTAATTATTCTGGGGTACCATGAACCGCTCCCATATAAGACTGCAAACTTAACCCATAAATATGTGTTTTCCAACTGCCCCACTGACAGCAGTTCTCATCTCACTTTTCTCGGGCCTATTCCCAGACACACAACAGTGTTGAAATTAACCCAGTTAATAACCCTGCAATGGCCTTTAAGTGTTCAGGTGAAAGGAAGAGTCACACATCTCTCAGTTTAAAACAAAATCTGGAAATGATTAAGCTTAGTGAGGAAGGCAAGCTGCAAGCTAGGCCTCTTGTGCCAAACTGTTATCCAAGTTGTGAATGCAAAGGAAAACTTCTTGAATGAAATTAAAAGTGCTATTCCAATGAACATACCAACGATAAGAAAGTAAAGCGGCCATATTGCTGATATGGAGAAAGTTTGAATGGTCTGGATAGAAGATCAAACCAGCCACAACATTCCCTTTAAGCCAAAGCCTAATCCAGAGCAAGCCCTAACTCTCTTCATTTCTGGGAAGGCTGAGAGAAGTCAGGAAGCTGCAGAAGAAAATGGTGAAGCTAGTAGAGGTTGGTTCATGAGGTTTAAGGAAAGAAGCCATCTTTATAACATAAAAGTACAAGATGAAGAAGCAAGTGCTAAGGGAGAAGCTACAGCAAGTTATCCAGATCTAGCTAAGATCATTGATGAAGGTGGCCACACTAAACAACAGATTTTCAATGGAGACACCGCAGCCTTCTATTGGAAGAAGATGCCATAGGACTTTCATAGCTAGAGAGGAGAATTCAATGCCTGGCTTCATAGCTCCAAAGGACAGACTGATTCTTTTGTTAAGGCCAAATGCAGCTGGTGACTCTAAGTTGAAGCCAATACCTACTTAGCATTTTGAATATCCTAGAGCCCTTAAAAATTATGCTAAATCTACCTTGCCTATAAATGGAACAAGAGTCTGGATGACAGCACATCTGTTTACAGCATGATTTACTGTTTTAAGCCCACTGTTAAGACATACTGCTCAGAAAAAAAAAGATTATTTTCAAAATATTACAAATATTACTGCTCATTGACAATGCACCTTGTCACATAAGAGCTCTGATGGAGATGTACAAGGAGGTGAATGTTGTTTTCATGACTGCTAACATCATCCATTCTGCAGCCTGTGGATTAAGGAGTAATTTTGACTCTCAAGTCTTATTATATAAGAAATACATTTTGTAATACTATAGCTGCCATAGACAGTGATTCGTTTGATGGATCTGGGCAAAGTAAATTGAAAACCTTCTGGAAAGGATTCACTAGTCTAGATGGCATTGAGAACTTTTGTGATTCATGGGAGGAGATCAGAATATCAATATTAACAGGAGTTTGGAAGAAGTTGATTTAATCCCTCATAAGTGACTTTGAGGGATCCAAGACTTCGGTGGAAGTCTTTTGATTTCTGGAAACTGCAGCCATCTATGTGTGCTATTTAGATCTGAACTATCAATGCAATGCATTGGTAATTTGGTCACAGAAGTGGCAAGAGAGGTATACAGCAACAACTGGATAGTCCTCTTGTATTGATCGTATAGCTCCTCAGTGTTCTTCATCCTAGGATTTTTGCCATAGTGTTTCACCCACTTTTGAGCCAGCCAGAGCCCCAGTCTGATCTGAACTATCTTTCTTTCTTCTTACCTTTATCCTTTCTGTTTCTCCCTGTTTCCTTCTTTTTTGAAGGCAAATTCCTTCTTCACACAAAATTCCTGACTTCAAGAGTTGGTAATCTAGTAGGACAGACATATAAGAAAGTGAAAAATAATATGATAAGCATCATAGTAGAGAAAGACAGCAGGGTTCTATGGGATTTCTGAGGGATTCCAAACTCAGATTGAGAATGTGGGTCAGGAAATATTTCCAAGAGGAGCTAACACTTGAACTGCCTCTGGTAAGCAATTAGGAGCTAGCCTAGCAGTGAAAAGGAGCTGGAGGTATTGGACAGATGCCTAAATGAATCCTTAAAACATCACTCAGAGTTGGAAACCAGATAGTTCTCAGGCTTAGTTGATCAAATGCCAAGAACAGGGTGGGAACCTTAATGGGAGATGAAGCCAAATTATCTGATGTAGCAGAAGCTGAGACAAAGTGGACTTTGAAAATGAGTCCAAGGATTGGAGCAAAGCAAGGATTCCCTAGGCGGTCACTGTTCATTAGAGTAAAAAAGAGAAGAGTTGAACATTGGAGCCTGGAGAATGCCAGCATTTAAGGGGTAAGCAGAAACAAAGAGACTATGAAGACTGAGGAGTAGCCAGAGACTGACAGTGTCAGGGTAAACTGGACTGGAGGACAGAGACACTGACCCTTATTTACTAATACTGTAATGAAGGAAATAACTGGGATACAGATGGAAGGAAGTTTATAGGTAGATAGCTAGAAGCTGAATCTCTGTTTATCTTTGGAGCAAATGAAAGTGTACTAATCTATTGAGAGTATAGAGGGGTGGGAGTGAGGGACAGGGGAAATATGAAGTAGCTCTTGTGAAGAATCGAAGTATAGCTAGTAAGGAACTCCTGGCCTCAAGTGATCCTCCCATTTTGCCCTCCTAAAGTGCTGGGCTTACAGGCACATGCCACTGCACCCAGCCAACAGTAAATAATTACAGCTTGTTTTTGTATACCTTACACTAGTTTCTCTGTGTTCCTTGGAGATAACAGCAACAGTCAAGCTGCACCCCTCTCTGCATCATGCTCTTTCATTTTCTCATTGAAAGGGCTGGGAACCCTGCATGAAATGTTGAAGACTGGGCAGGGTTAAGAACACCCACATAGGGCCAGGCACAGTGGCTCATGCCTGTAATCCCAGCACTTTGGGAGGCCGAGAAAGGTGGATCACCTGAGCTCAGGAGTTCAAGACCAGCCTGGCCAACAGGGTGAAACCCTATCTCTACTAAAAATACAAAAAATTAGCTGGGCGTGGTGGCAGAAGCCTATAATCCCAGCTACTCAGGAGGCTGAGGCAGGAGAATTGGTTGAACCCGGGAGGTGGAGGTTGCAGTGAGCCAACATCGTGCCGCTGCACTCCAGCCTGGGCAACAAGAGCGATACTTTGTCTCAAAAAAAAGAACACCCACATAGGTTGGTGGCCTGCCTCAGGGTGTGAGGACAAGTGAGGTGAGAGGAGAATCTGTGTAGGAGGGCAGTCCAGTGCCAGGTGACAGAGCCCCAGTGGGACGAGGAGGACTTCCAGGTAGGAGAGCTACTTACTTCAGAGATTGGTGTCTGAGTGAGGTGAGTGGGGCATCAACTTGGGGAGGGGAGGCAGTTGGTTTCATTCAGGAGGACTGATCAAATTAGTATTAAACATAATGGAAGCTAGGTTTCTCACTATAAGAAAAAGTGAAAACTGAAGGGAGACAACCAGAATGAACCCTGTTGGAAGTATTGCTGCAAATTTATGTTTTTGATAGATAGATAGATAGATAGATGACAGATAGATAGATAGATAGATATGTATATACCCACATATTCACATACATATGCATGAAGTGTATATGTACCTATATATAGTCTCTAGCTCTGTCCATTGGGTTGGCCTGGAAGCAGCAACACACCTGGATCAGTGAGCACATGGAACACTCACATCTAAATAGCATTCTCTACCAAAAGGAACCAGAACTGCTTAGAAAAATTGCTGACTCCAGGGCTGTGCCAGAGTAAGTAAAAGATGAGTTTGGGATATGTACCAAAAAGTAAGAATGTACTTGAAAAATGATCAGTGTATTTAGTCAGGGTTCTCTAGAGGGACAGAACTAATGGAATATATATATATAGGGGAGTTTATTAAGTATTAACTCACACAATCACAAGGTCCTACAATAGGCTGTCTGCAGGCTGAGGAGAAAGGAGAGCCAGTCTGAGTTCCAAAGCTGAAGAACTTGGAGTTCAATGTTTAGGGCAGGAAGTATCCAGCACAGCAGAAAGATGTAGGGTAGGGGAGGCTAGGCCAGTCTCTCTTTTGACATTTTTCTGCCTGCTTATATTCTAGCCATGCTGGCAGCTGATTAGATGGTGCCCACCAAGATTAAGGGTGGGTATGCCTTTCCCAGCCCACTGACTCAAATGTTAATTTCCTTTGGCAACACCCTCACAGACACACCCAGGATCAATACTATGTATCTTTCAATCCTATCAAGTTGACACTCAGTATTAATCATCACAAGTCCACCCCTTGTCAACTTGAACCCATATGCATCTCCTGAGATCATACATAATCTTCAAATAAAGACAATAATAAGGTCATAATTATGCTTAACATAATACAACTATCCTTCCTACAACTAGAAATGCACCAATCCCCAACCCAAATACTGTTACATAAAGTTAACAATACTTAAATGCTGATGCGCAGTTAATCTTATGTCACATGATAAAGGAGGAAGGAAATAAAATGAAGATATTTTCTTAGTACAAGTGTATAAATACACAAACATGTTTTTAACAAAAGAAGGAGGAAATACCCATGACAATTACAGTCCTCCTTTCTGCAACTGGTCATGTGGTTGTAGTTGGTATTGATGAGTACCTTCTACTACCCATTCTGTATTCCCTTTGCCTTCAGCAAACACCTCAGCAGGTTGTAGTTTTTTTCCTGGTGGAGTGACCCAAACCTCCATTCCTGAAGGGTCTAGGTCATGTGTAATCCTGCCTGGATTGGGCTGTTGTAGTTTCTCATTGACCTTAATCACAGGGCATGGCAGTACTAAGACAAGCCCTAATGGATCTCTTGTATTCCATGAATACTCTTCCTTACCGCCATTGTGGAGTAGTAAACTGATTTCATCTTGATCGTCCAGGTCAATCATCCCAGCAAACACTGTTACTCCATTCTTAGCCTGTTGACTTAAAGGTATGAGGAGCCCAAAGTATCTAGGTGGCAATCTTAACTTCCAGTTTAATGGAATCGTTGTTGTGTCTCCTGGTGGCAGCGTTCCTCCCTCTGGAACTAAGACCTCTAGGCCAGCAGAACGTAATCTTGTGGGAACAGGAAGCAAAAATTTTGCTAGTGGATCACTAGAGATGATGGTGAGTGGTGCCACTTCCACCCCTTGATTCCTGGACTGGTTAATCCTGGCTGTGGGTGAGACAGTGCCATATATTGGACGCTGATTCAGAGTATCCGTGGCCTTCTGGAGAACTTTGCCTCAGCGCTGCAAAGTATTGTCACCTAGTTGGCATTGTAACTGTGACTTCAAAAGGCCGTTTCACCATTCTATCAATCCAGCTGCTTCAGGATGATAGGAAACATGGTAAGACCAGTGAATTCCATGAGCATGAGCCCACTGCCACACTTCTTTGGCCATAAAGTGAGTGCCTTTGTTAGAGGCAATGCTGTGTGTAATACCATGATGATGCATAAGGCATTCTGTGAGTCCACAGATGGTAGTCTTGGCAGAAGCATTGCATGCAGGATAGGCAAACTCATATCCAAAGTAAGTGTCTATTCCAGTGAGGACAAACCTCTGTCCTTTACATGATGGAAGAGGTCCAATATAATCAACCTGCCACTAGGTAGCTGGCTGATCACCCCAAGGAATGGCACCATATCGAGGGCTCAGTGTTGGTCTCTGCTGCTGGCAAATTGGGCGCTTAGCAGTGGCCATAGCCAGGTCAGCCTTGGTGAGCGGAAGTACATGTTGCTGAGCCCATACGTAACCTCCGCCCCTGCCACCATGGGTACTTTGTTCATGGGCCCATTGGGTGATGACAGGGGTGGCTGGGGAAAGAGGCTGAGTGGTGTCCACAGAACGGGTCATGTCCTGTCACTTGATTATTAAAATCCTCTTCTGCTGAGATCACCCATTAGTGAGCACTCACATGGGATACAAATATCTTCACAGTTTTTGACCGGAGAGGTCGATCCACATACCTCTTCCCCAAATTTCTTTGTCACCAATTTTCCAATCATGCTTCTTCCAAGTCCCTGACCATCCAGCCAAACCTACAGCCCATGAATCCGTGTATAATCGCACATCTGACCATGTCTCCTTTGATGCAAAGTGCACAACCAGTTGCACTGCTTGAGGTTCTGCCCACTGGGAAGATTTCCCTTCACTGCTGTCCTTCAGGGATGTCCTAAAAAGGGGCTGTAGTGCTGTAGCTGTCCACTTTCGGGTGTTATCTGCATATTGTGCAGAACCATCTGTGAACCAGCCCCTTCTCTTCCTTTGTCAGCTGATCATAGGGAACTCCTCATGAGGCCATCGGTGCAGGCTGGGGAAGAGAAGTCAGGGTGGCAGGAGTGGAGACCATGGACACGTGAGCCACTTCCTCATGTAACTTACTTGTGCCTTCAGGACCTGTTTGAGCCCAGTCACCTATATACCACTTCCATTTGATGATGGAATGCTGCTGTGCATGGCCCACTTTATGGCTACATGGGTCAGAAAGCACCCAGTTCATGACAGGCAGTTCAGGTCACATGGAGACTTGATGACCCATAGTCAAATGTTCAGTTTCCACCAAAGCCCAGTAACAGGCCAGGAGCTGTCTCTCAAAAGGAGCTTATTTATCTGCAGAAGATGGCAGGGCCTTGCCCTAAAACCCTAGAGGCCACCACTGTGATTCACCTATGGCGGCTTGCCAAAGGCTCCAAACAGCATCCCTATCTGCCACTGACACTTCAAGCACCATTGGGTCTGCTGGGTCATATGGCCCAAGTGGCAGAGGAGCTGGCACAGCAGCCTGGACCTGTTGCAGAGCCTTTTCCTGTTTTGGACCCCACTCAAAACTGGCAGTCTTTCAGGTCACTCGATAAATGGGCTGGAGTAATACACCCAAATGAGGAATGTGTTGCCTCTCAAATCAAATCGGCCTACTAGGCATTGTGCCTTTTTCTTGGTTGTAGGAGGGGCCAAATGCAGCAACTTATCCTTTACCTTAGAAGGAATATCTTGACAGTCCCCACACCACTGGACCACTAGAAATTTTACTGAGGTAGGTGATCACTGAATTTTAGTTGGATTTATTTCCCATCCTCTGGCACGCAAATGTCTCACCAATACATTCGGTGTGTTTGCTACTTCTTACTCACTGGATGCAATCAGCATAATGTCATCAATGTAATGGACCAGTGTCATATCTTGCAGGAGCGAAAAGTGATCAAGGTCTCTCTGAATAAGATTATGATACAAAGCTGGAGAGTTGATAACCCCTGAGGTAGAACAGTAAAGGCATATTGCTGGCCTTGCTAGCTGAAGGCAAATTTCTTCTGGTGGGCCTTATGGACAGCAATGGAGAAAAAGGCATTTGCCAAGTCAATGGCTGCATACCAGGAACCAGGAGATGTGTTAATTTGCTCAAGCAATGAAACCACATCTGGTACAGGTACAGCAGCTGCAATTGGAGTCACCACTTGGTTAAGCTTACAATAATCTACTGTCATTCTCTATGATCTGTCTGTCTTCTGCACAGGACAAATGGAAGAGTTGAACGGGGATGTGGTAGGAAACACCACCCCTGCGTCTTTCAAGTCCTTGATGGTGGCACTAATCTCTGCAATCCCTCCAGGGATGCGATATAGTTTTTGATTTACTATTTAGGTAGAGGCAGCTCTAATGGTTTCCATTTGGGCTTTCCTACCATAATAGCCCTCACCCTACCAGTCAGGGAGCTAATGTGGGGGTTCTGCCAGCTGCTAAGTATGTCTATGCCAATTATGCATTTCTGGCAATGGGGAAATGACCATAGGATGAGTCCAGGGACTCACTGTAAGTTGGACCTGAGCTAAAACTCCATTAATTACCTGACCTCCATAAGCCCCTACTTTAACTGGAGGACCACAATAATGTTTGGGGTCCCCTGGAATCAACGTCAGCTCAGAGCCATTGTCCAGTAGTCCCCAAAATGTCTGATCATTTCCCTTTCCCCAGTGCACAGTTACCCTGGTAAAAGGCCAGAGGTCTCCTTGGGGAAGGGTGGGAGAAAGATTCACTGCATAAATTGTCGGTAATGTACTGGGGTCCTTCCTCCAGGGGATCTGGCCTCCCTTTCATTCAAGGGATTGTGGGTTTGTAAACTGGCTCAAGTCTGGAAATTGATTGAGGGGTCATGATTCTCTGTTTTTATAATTCAAATTAGCCTTTTGTCCATTCGACCTAGAAATTTTCAGATTGTGTAGATTAAGTAGGAACGCAGTAGGTTTCCTATCAGTTTCACTTCTAGCTCTACATAAGTCAGACTATTCTGATTGCTGCATTGCCTCTGCTCTCTATTACGGTAGCTCCACCCACCTTGCGTTTGAAGGTTGAGTGTGGCCACTTGGCCCCTGCCACCTCAGGATCCAATTATTCCCATTGTATTTAAATTTTGTAGTTGAGTGACTGTAGTTCCCATGTTACATCTGACATGCAGAGGAGAGCAAGTGCAAGGCTTTTCAAAGATGTAGGTGCTACCCTCACAAATCTGCTTTGCAAGACATTGGTCAAGGGTATATCTTCTGGACCCACCCTACTGGGATGAGTCAGTCTAAAGTGACTAATCCATTCCACCACCCCAATCTCCCTAAGCCTTTGGATCCCTTCCTCTACATTAAACCAAGGCAGATCAGGCATTTCCAGCTCACTCACAGTGGGCAATCTTTTAATCCATATTTCAGCTAACCAAGTAAATAAACTATTAGAACTTTTTGTAACCCCCTGAGCTGCAACATTAAATGCAGAGTTCCTATTTAGTGGCCCCAAATCAATAAATTCAGCCTGATACAACTCTATTTTCCTTCCAACATTATTCCACACCCTTAATATCCACTCACATGCCTGTTCTCCAGATTTCTGCTGATATAAATGGGAAAACTCAAGCAGTTCTTTTCAAGCATAACGCACCTCCTCATGGGTCACACTTTCAACCTCACTTCTAGGGGCCTGCCGGGACTTTTGTCTAGTTATAGGTCTAGAAGCAAACAGAGGTGTTGGGGGTGGCTCCTGAGGAGAATCAACATTATCTTGAGCGCCTCTGCCCAGCTCCCGCATCGTCTGGGATGTGAAGAGTGCCTCTGCCCGACCACCCTGTCTGGGAAGTGAGGAGTGCCTCTGCCCAGCCCCTGCCCTGTCTGGGATGTGAGGAGCGCCTCTGCCCAGCCACCCCATCTGGGAAGTGATGTGCCCCTCTGCCCAGCTGCCCACCATCTGGGAAGTGAGGAGCGCCTCTGCCTGGCCGCTGTGCAACCTTCCAAGTGAGAAGTGACAGCCTTGTGTGTGATCTTTTCTGTCTTCCCCAAGTTTGCATTTTCAACATTAAAGTTTACTTTTTAATTAAAAGTTTAAATTGGAGAATATAAAAAGAAAAAAGAAAAAAAAAAACATTATCTTGCCTGGCAACTGCCTCAGGGGAGGCCATCACTGTTGCCTCAGGTAGCGCAGGGTTTATCTCCTCAGACAAAGGTGGAAAGGCTGATGGCATCATGGGTCCAGGAGGGGATGTTGCCACTACTGGAGATGGGGAAGCTGTTCCTTCTGGAAAAAAGAGTTCATCAGAGTTTACAAACTCAGTGTCCCCAGTTTCATTGGGGTTCTCCCACACATCCCCATTCCAAGTTGCATGGTCCCATTCTTTTCTAATCGATGCCCTCACTTTAACAGTAGACACCTGGCAAGGCTGTGCATGCACCTTTCATTGCAGGTCAGCCACTTGCACAATAAGAGCTTGTGTCTGTTTTTCCACAATTTCAGCTCTTTCTCTACAGGAGATAAGACTCTCACTCTGAGCAATCTTAGCAGATTTGAGGCTCAGTATATGCTTCTGAAGCCAGGAGATACAATCTCTGAGTTCATCATTTTCTTTCATAACTTTGTCCACTGAACTTAGGAGCAACCAACCAGCTTTATTATGGTCGTTGGTTCACCACATAGGCTCAAAGATATTAGGTATAGAGTCACTAAACTCCTTGCCTCTCATGAGTGATGAATCGGGAGTGTCAAATGCATATATTTTGCATAACTCTGTAAACAGTTCACGCCAAGGACTATGAGTGTTTTCCATGCTATTAGAAGTAGAGTCCTTAGCATTTTGTGGTCTAATCATATTAGGCAGCCAACTCCCAAAACCCCAAAACCAATGAAAGAACTCCATCCTTAATATTCTTTTCCACTAGAACCACTCCTTATACCAAAATCTGTATTAGTCAGGGTTCTCTAGAGGGACAGAACTAAATCTGAATTAGTCAGGGTTCTCTAGAGGGACAGAACTAATGAAATATATATATATATATATATATATATATATATATATATAGAGAGAGAGAGAGAGAGAGAGAGAGAGAGAGAGGGGAGTTTATTAAGTATTAACTAACATGATCACAAGGTCTCACAATAGGCCATCTGCAGGCTGAGGAGCAAGGAGAGCCAGTCCGAGTTCCAAAGCTGAAGAACTTGGAGTTCGATGTTCGAGGGAAGGAAGCATCCAGCATGGGAGAAAGATGTAGGCTGGGAGGCTAGGCAAGCCTCTCTTTTCACATTTTTCTGCCTGCTTATATTGTAGCCACACTGGCAGCTGATTAGATTGTGCCCACCCAGATTAAGGGTGGGTCCACCTTTCCCAGCCCACCGACTCAAATATTAACCTTCCTTGGCAACACCCTCACAGACACACCCAGGATCAATACTTTATATCCTTCAGTCCCATCAAGTTGACAATCAGTATTAACCATCACAATTGGGATATCTCAAAAGCCATAGAAGCCAGCTTGAAGGGCCTCCCTCTGGCAAACCTGGGACAATTTGGCCATCAGATACATTATATTTGCAATAGATTAAAACCTGTTGAATAAGATAATAAACTATGAGCCCATACTGATCTGAATAAATTGAAAGTTGGATGAAGAAACAGTATACTTACAGAGTTTTGAAGAATCCTTTCACAAAATACTTGTTAAATACAAAGGTAGGAAAGAATGACTTTGCAGTAAAGAAGCCTGGAGGACGCCACTTTAATCAAGTGTTAAATGTGAACATCATCACTAATAGGACCGGTCGGCAATGGTGCCACCTGATAGTAAACAATGAGAAGAAGCCAGCATCACTTCTGTAATATTACTGCAAAAGATGTATAATCTCAGTCTAATTATGAGCAAACAGTATGCAAACTCAAATAGAGGGACATTCTATAAAAACACTAAATTGTTCATAAGTATCAATGTCTTGAAAGTCAAGGAAAGACTGAGGAAATGAGATTGACCAAAGAGACCTGACAACTAAATATTGCACAGCATTTTGAACTACTCTTTATTATGAAGGACAATATTGGAACAACTGGTGAAATGTGAATGATGTCTGAGGATTAGATGGTAATAATGTGTCAATATTAATTTTCTGGTTAAGATTATGTAGGAGAATATTTTTATTTGTAGGAAATGCATTACATCATTTGGTAGTGATGCGGCATCATGTTGGCTATTTAAATCATAGTTCAGGAAAAAAAAACAATTTTATGTAATGTACTTCAAAGAAGAATTCAAAGAATTTACTGCACTTAATGATCATATTGATCTGTGCTTTCTTAACATTTTTTCCCCTTGACTTCCTTTGGCTTCAGAAACACTGGTTGTCTTACCTGTTAGATCATTTTCTTCTCAAAGGCCATTCTTAGTCACCTTATTCTTTTATTGTGGGTACTAATTTGTAATGTTTTTCCTTGGCCTTCTCTTCTTTCCCCTTTAATAATTCTTCTATTTCTTGCAACTCTAGGCATATCTATCCTAAATTTGCATCTTTATCCTAGCTATTTCCTGATCTTTAGACCTACATTTTACTTGAAGTTAGCTTTTTTTAGTACTTCTTTTTCTGTCAGTCCAGATCTTTGGTATATAACTCAGCGTTGGCTTAACTCACAGGGCTCACTAATGCATACTCACATTTTGTGAAAAATGTGGGGTTTACTTTTCTTATTTCAAAAGATAGTAAAATTGGCTTCTGTAATGGAACAGAGGGTTATTAAGAAAATTTCAGAATGGCTACTACCTGTACTGATCCAGGATCAGGGTCATAAACTTATCTCCAAAATGAAATACAAGTTTGATTACAGTAGAAAGTTGCATGTTATAAAAAGGTGAATTTTATCTTGATACGAAATAAACTTTTAGGGATATTATCTGAGATAACATGAAGAAGTAAGAATATTATCTCATCTCCCAAATCTGTTTTGAAGGAAGAGGTTATGAGAAAAGTTTGAACTATATATATGAAAAAGCATCCATATTTTAAAATTGTCTCAATTCTAACATGAAACAAGAACAAAAATAGGAGTATTCTTAGTTGGCATGTCTAAAATTAAACATTTTAAATTGATCAAGAATAACAGGGATGGTGAAAAGGTATTCATTATAATTCCATTCATTAAAAAATATTGATAAATACCTTTCTTATTTAAACTTTTTTATTTTATAACTGTATATATGTATATGTTGAAAATTAATGTTTTTATATCCAACTGTGTACCAGAAAGTATGAGTCATTTCTGTGCCAAAACACTTTTGGATATCTCATTCGGTTTCTAATTATGAAACATTTCAGGAAGTATTGCAAATAACTCAAATAGCCCTCCCGAAATGCTTGGTTTTGGTGGGACGTTACCGGTCCTTTATTTGTTGAACTCTCTTCAAAAGTAATAATTCTTTCTATGAATGAATCTCTACTCAGTGCAAGAGATTACAGGTGGCCAAATGACTCTTATTCTGAAGCTGAACTCAGATATAATAAACATTGGCATTTAATTGGTGTTAATTTTGGTGTAATTCATTGTCTCTCTTATTTAAAAAAATGGTGTTTCCTGAAACCAGTGTTATTTGGAAAACCTTGGCTAACTAACAAGTTCCTGAGAAATATTACTGGATACCCCAAAGCCTTGACTTGACCACTGTGCAAGCTATGCATGTAACAAAATTGCACTGGTACCCCCTAAATTTATACAAATAAAAAATAGTATATTGCCAAGAATGTCTTAGTAATTCAACAAAAGTGCCTTCTTTAAAAAGTTCAAAAATATTTTAATTTTATAATTATTTATTGAGATCCTGCTGATTTTATAGGCTCACATTGGACTATGACAGGGATCCAAAAGAAATATATACCTTATAAAGAACTTATAATCAATTTTGAGAAACAAAATACATTCATATGAAACAGCAAGAAAACCATGAAAGGATATAATGTAGTGTCAGCTTAGTAAGTTAATATTCTTGTTGAGTCAGACAGTCATCAGTAATCTTCCTATAGCACTGACGTAATTTTGGGTTACTTAATGAGTCAATATTAGGCTGGATTTATTTCATGTTTTCTGTGCTTTATAATATTTGATTATAAAAGCCTTATTTTTCAGCACTGAAGTCAGCACATATTGTTGGATACATACTACTTGCTAGCACACTTATAGGCATCAGGATTACAAATGTAAGCAAAATAGAGATTCTTTGTACTTAAGCACCTTGCTGCTTTGTGTGTACATGTACGCTGGGTGATGATGCCAGGGAAGACACAGACAGTTAACATTTGAATACATAAATAAATAATTCTAGATGTTTTTAAGTATTGTGAAGGTGATAAAAATGTTGGGGTGGAGGTGCACTGACTACTGTTATCAGAGAAGGCCTGTCTGAGGAGCCAAGATTTTAGCTGAAGATTGAATAATGAGAAAGAATTAAGTAGGTAGTTAGATTTATAGTTTGGAGCTCAAGGAGAGGTCTAGAGTGATGATAGAAGTTTGAGAGTCACTACTATGAATATGATATTTAAAACCACGAGAGGCCAAGTGCCGTAGCTCACGCCTATAATCCCAACACTTTGGGAAGCTGAGGCAGGCGGATCACTTGAGGTCAGGAGTTCAAGACCAGCCTGGCCAACGTGGTGAAACCCCATCTCATGTCTACTAAAAATACAAAAATTAGCTAGGCGTGGTGGCAGGCGCCTGTAATCCTAGCCACCTGAGAGGCTGAGGCAGGAGAATCGCTTGAACCCAGGAGGCAGGGGATGCAGTGAGCCAAGATTATGCCAATGCCCTCCAACCTGGGTGACAGAGCGAGACACTTTCAAAAATAAACAACCAACCATGAGAGTGCTTAAGTTACATCAGTGAGTGTAGCTGGAGAAGAGAGGAGTATAGAGCCCTGAAACAGTTCAACATTAAGAAGACAGAGAGGAGGAGGAGGCAGCAAAGGAACCTGAGAAGAAGCAGGTAGTGATTAGGAGGAAACGTAGGCAAATGTGGTATCTCAGCAGCTAGAAAAGAAAGTGTTTCACAAAAGGGAAAACCAACAATGTCAAACAGTCAAGAGGTCAAATGAGATGAGAGTTGAGAGCTGACCTTTGCCTGACCACTTTCTGCTCAAGGAAACAGATTAGAAAAATGGCTCATTTTAGGTCTGGGCAGAACATTTTCAAAATAGACCTGGAACATTTGATCATAACAGAGCAAGGAATCTATCCAAAACTACTATAGACATGTCAAAAGGACTCAGGGGACAGCATGAAGAGTCTTTCACTTGCTCAAGATGAGATAATATGAATATCAATAAGGAAAATAACTATAATGGATTGAAACACATCAAATATGTTTAAATCCATGAGTTCAAATTGATCAAAAAAAGAAAACCAAAAACAAAACCACACACACACACACACAACAACAACAACAACTAAGTGGAAACCTCTGAAGAAATGTAGTTAACCAGCTTTTTAATTTAAAAACTGATAAAGAGAATCAAGCATTTTTCCTTTTTCTATATCAACCGTATCCTTGGATACCCAAATAGTAGATGTGGTGAAATTTCTCTTTAAAGGGGTGTTCCAGTAAATACATAATGAATGATACAATTGGAATATCACCATTTTGTAATGCCAGATGAATTCATGAATTTAGACATTTAGCAAAATAAGCTACTAACATCACAAAAAGGAATACCAAATATGGTGTGCCTTCTGATAACATCAACCCATGAAATGTCTTGTCCAAAAAAATTGAACATAAATCTGATTATGCTTCTAGATTCAATTTTCAATTACCAATTTTCCAAGAATACAGAAGAAAGATTAACATGTTAACCTATATCATAGGGATGTAATTAGCCAAATCTATATTGAGGGAAACTCTACCAGACAAATTAAACAATAGTGCCTATGGAAGGTTTATGATTTGGTGATAAAATAATAAATTAACTATAAAGGATGTGATACCATAAAAGTGAGGATAGTGGTTACACTTAGAAGGGAAGAGTCTTTGGGAGAAAACCCGGGATGGGTTTTGGGTAGCTGGCAAGATTCTGTTTAAATGAATATTATGTAGAAATGTGGTTGTCTTATAACAATTCATTAAGCTATATGTGGTTCTCTGTATGTGAGTCACATTTAACAATACTAGAGCAAAACTTTTAAATGAGGATAAGGCATTTACATATTTTAAATTCTATTATTTTAATTTGTGAAGTTACTTGTTAAGATTTTGTAGGAAATGGGAGGGGCAAGCAGTGTTAAAGACTTTAGAGTAAATAACAGAGTTGCAAACGGCAACTAAGATCACAAATCAAAGAAATCAAGTGAGCTCCACATGAAAGAACTACTCAGCATTAGTCAGTCACTTCAGCCATCTCTAACACATGTTCTCATCTTCATGTTGAAAATGGATTAGGTGGCATATACGTTGGAAATACCTGTTTACAGATGCTTCATGTTGCTTTTCAAAGTGCTTTTATATATATTATATCATGACAGATTCTAAATGAATTTGTGAGTGGAACTGATAATGGTATCTAAATTCTCTGTACATAAAAATAGTAAATGTTTATTAATTTAAAAATATTTTAAAATATCTAAGAGAACAAATCTCCCTTTATTGTAGATGTCAATATATTATTTCAAGTAATTTCTCCCTTACTTATAAGAATTCCTGCCCCTTATTTGTTTAAGGAAATAATGTCCACCAGTTTGATAAAAATTGAGATAAATTAAATTGTTGTTTGAAAAAAAATTTAAGATATTCATGGTAGTTTGACAGGCCTGAAGTAAATGTAAACTACTCCTTTTTTTTTTTTTTTTTCTGCAGAGGTCTCTTTATTACTATCCACGATCGAGGGCATATTGCTTCAGTTCTCAATGCATGGCCAGAAGATGTCATCAAGGTAAGTTATCATGTTTTTCCACTATAGCAAATTTTTTCTTTTTTCTGTCCCATAAAACAGTTTAAAATATACTGACAATTCTCATGATAATAGGTAGCATTCATTAGCTTTTCTAGTGAATATCACCTAATTTATATCCCTTTGATTTTTACATAGTGGGTTAATTTTATTCTGATGCCATTTAGATACTAAGTTTTCCTATTATTTCTATCTAATTTCTTAGTACCTCCATTCTAAGTAATGATAAATGTTGAATATGTGATAGCATCTGAATTTCTTTAAGCAAACCCTTAAATTCTATCTGTTGTGTTTAATTATCCACTAAGAGGAATCCAAGTAGGCAAGAAAAAAAGTCTGTTAATTCATTTCTTTTATCATTATGACTTTAAGTAGTTCATTTGACTTACCTCTGTAAGTGAGCTAATGAAAATAAAAGTAATAATAGTACTTGACATTTGGTAGCATTCTGAATGAGACTTTTTACATGGATTAACTCTTATAATAATAATAATTGATTGAGGAAAGAAAGGCACAGATGGGTTACAAAGTAGCTTAAGATAGTGGTGGGAACTGCATGCAGGCCCCAGAGCTGGCCTCTGAGTCCCTGTTCTTAGACACAGGGCTATGCCATCTTCCTTGTCTAAGGGAGGTGAGAAGTGTTTGTTCTCCCTTTGGTTCCCTCTTTCTTTTCTGTTGAATGCCTAGCAACTTTGTGGTATCTTTTAGTACCAGGATGGAATAAATCAATGCCTTTTGGTGGTACAAAGGCACTTCAGCTATAACTTCTGAATGTAAGTCCGTTAATGATCTTTTTAAAATTATTTTAATTTTTTTAGAGACAAAGTCCCACTATGTTGCTCAGTCTGGTCTTGAACTCCTGACCTCACGCAGTCCTCCTGCCTGAGCTTCCCAAAGTATTGAAACAATAGGTGTGAGCTACCATGCCTTGGTGATCTTTCCTATTTGAGACATTGTGGCTATAATTGATTAATTTGGTTCTCTAGGGCTCATGCCAGGAAAACTTGTAAATTAAAATGGTTTTTATTATTTCCAGTGTCCTCAATTTTTTTTTTTTTTTTTTTTTTTTTTTTTGCTTTCTCCACCTAAGTTGCTTCCTCAGCTTTTCTGCTATCAACAGGACCATGTTATCCACAGATTCTGGTCTTAGAAACTACCCTAAGAAACATCTTAATTGTATAAAGCATAAATGTCTGATCACCTAAGGATGTTTACTTTTAATCAGGAATCTAAAGAAAATTTAAGGAATCAACAAGTTGGCCAGAAGTGGTGGCTCAGGCCTGTGATCCCAACACTTTGGGAGGCCGAGGTGGGTGGGAGGATTGCTTGAGCTCAGGAGTTTGAGACCAGCCTGGGCAACATAGTGAGACTCCATTTCTAGAAAAAATTTTAAAATTAGCTGGAATGGTGGTGCATGCCTGTAGTCCCAGCTACTTGGCATGCACCCAGCTACTTGGGAGGCTGAGGTGGGAGGATCACTTGAGCTCAGGAGTTCAATTCTGCAATGTACTATGATCACACCACTACACTCTAGCCTGGGCAACAGAGTGAGACCCTGTCTCAGAAAAAAAACAAACAAACAAGAATTAACAAGTCAATAGAGGAAATAGTTCTGCAGTAGAGAGTTCTAGCCAATATCCCTGTAATCGTCCTAACAGCTAGGCAGTAAGCTATCACACCATGTTTCTTGTTCTTCCAACTAACTGATCTCTGCATCTTTAACTTTATTCATAAGCTACTTTTATCCTTTGGACTCTTAATATTGGGCCCTTACTGATGTTCTTATCCCTAACTATGCCCTCTTTTATTTAAAAATCTTAGCATAGTGCCTGGCACATAGTAGGTACTTAGTAAACGGCAGCTATTGATTGTAAAAGAATGCTGAAGATAGGTAAGTGTATCTTATATGGTCTGTACTATATACTTGAAAGTACCCATGAAATAAAGGCAATTATTAAGCAAAATATAATCAAAATGTGTGGTATTATAGGTGCCTTATTTATTCATTCTGAGGAGAATATTATTTAGAGAAGGCTGGAATAGTTAAGAAAACTTTTCTAGCAAAGTTGAAACTTAAATCCAACCTTTGATAGTTAGAAAGGGAAGAATATACTATTCTAAGAAGGGAACAGGTGAATGTAGATATCAAGTTCGGTAAGAGAATGGGGTGTTTTTAGATAATAAGGAAATTCACTTGCCTGACTAAAGCTGAGTGTTAATATTGGAATATAGTGGAATTAAGATTGTTTAAGGGGTAATCAAATTACTGTAAAAGGTTTTGAAATTCAGAAAGAGATTTAGATTTGAAAAAATAGAATGTCATATTTAACAAGGAAATTATATAAGTAATATTTGAAGAAGGTTCACTGGAAACAGATTTTAGAATAGTTTCAAGAAAGCAGGAAAAGATGCAAAGGTTCTGCATTTAGGTAGGCTACAAGAGGATGGGCCTTGGGAAATTAAATGAAGGGATGAAGACAGGACACATGGAGAGTATCTTTGTGTGTTCAGGAGAAATCTGCGTATTTCATACAGAAGTTTCTATTCAGGTAATGCCTAGATAATAATTTGTATAGTGGGGTGAAGATTTAATTTTTGAAAAACAGACATCACTGATAGAATTGTAGTTGTCTTACTGATATTAATCCTGCAGTTGTGACTTAATTATCGTACAGAAAACATCCAACTGCTTCATTTTTCTGAAGCAGGAGATAAAGTAGGTTAAAAAAAGCAAGAGAATATTAATTTAGTGATAAACTACATAAGTGACAAAACTTTTTTTCTTTGAGAGAATTCTTTTACTGTTAAAATCTACTCTTTTATATGGAAGTATTTATGAATTAATGCTATAAATGTACGTTTGTAATAAAGCATAAATATCAAATGTCTCAAAACATATTTTAAAAACTTCTCAAACTACTACATATCTAAATGTTCATGTATATGTATATTATTAAATAATATAAATAATAGCTTTGAGAGAAGAACTTAGGGAATAAAAGTTATGAAGAAATAAGAAAGAATGCACTGTTTTTTGTTTTTTGTTTTTTTTTTTTTTTTTGAGACAGAGTTTTGCTCTTGTTGCCCAGGCTGGAATGCAGTGGTGTGATCTCTGCTCACTGCAACCTCCGCCTCCTAGGTTCAAGCAATTCTTCTGCCTCAGCCTCCCGAGTAGCTGGGAGGCTACTCGCCACCACGCCCAGGTAATTTTTGTGTTTTTAGTAGAAACGGGGTTTTGCCATGTTGGTCAGGCTGGTCTTGAACTCCTGACCTCAGGTGATCCGCCCATCTCGGCCTCCCAAAGTGTGCTGGGATTATAAGCGTGAGCTACTGCAATTGGCCCACTTTTTTTTTTTTTTAATGTTCAAGACATATATTTAGTTTAACATAGATGAGCTATCAAAAATAAGTGAAAAGTTATGCCACTTGAAATCCCTTCAGAATTTTGAAACCAAATAACAACTCTCTGTGTTTAAGCACTTTTGATGAAATCTGGAAAGCATTTTATAAATTATTATTCAGGTCATAACTAAGCTAAGCTAAATGACTAAGCTAACTAAGCTAAATGACAATATTACTCTCCTTATAAAACATATCATTAAAAATATTTGTAAGTATAGGCAGGCCAACTGGACTTTACCTATGTAAAGATCACATTCATAAAAGTATATATTATCAACGATATGTAAAAATACCTCTATTTGTGGTAATGCAGTAAATAAAACTGTCTGTTAAATACACATTAGAAGTACCAGGACTTTGAAAATTTGGCCTTAATTTAATTTAAAAAACAAAGTTATAGTTATCTGCAGTATTTATCTTTTTTACCTTAAATCAGGGCTAAGTTAACCCAGTAGTATCGGATTGCTTCCTCCAAAAGAGCATCACATATTGATCCACTGCTATTTGACATGGAAAATCTTCCAAAGACAAATGTATTGAATGTGCAAAAATGATTTTCACCTACCTCCCAAATGTATTTGCTTTTAAGACAATTTTTCAAGAGCTGAATAATATAGGTGAACAGGAAATTAAATAAAATATCTTAGAAGTATATTTTAAAATATATTCTGCAATGTGGTATGGTGAAAAGAGCACTGTACTAGGAATTAACATATGTGGGTTTCTGGTTCTTTGATATTAACCAAGTAAATCACTTTAGGCAAATTATTTCAGTTCTCTGATTTTTCAGTTAACTAATTTATAAAATAAGAGGAATAGATGGAATATACTTTAGATTTCTCTTTACATCTAAAATGCTATAACTTTATAATTAGCTCCAGTGAAATAATAGTAATAATAGCTATAAATTTTTAAGAATTTGTAATGTACCAGGTACTGTGGTAAGTTCTTTATATATCATGATTTCATTTTATGTAATCATAGTTTTATTCAATTTACTAATATTTATTGATTGTTTACTGTGTGCCAAATGCTATACTAGGTGCTGATGTACAGTGGTAAGCAAAAAGACCTGGTTCCCAATTTTATACAGCTACTCTGAAAAGTACCTTTATTACTCCCAATTTACCAATAAGAAACAGAAGCTTAAATTCACCCAAGGCCAAATAACTGACATATTCCCACGTTTCTCTGAATATGATGAGTGTAGCAGTTTGTAGACTATCTAATAAATTGTGTTTCATAAGATTGGTTTTGTTTAAATTCATATAACTGACATGAATCACAAAGATGTTCAATAATGATATCAAATTACATAGAATTAAAATCTCCACATGATTAAAGTATATGCTTCATAAATATTCAAGTTAATTAGAAATAAACTAAACAGGCTGGGCACGGTGGTGGCTCATGCCTGTAATCCCAGCACTTTGGAAGGCTGAGACGGGTGGATCACGAGGTCAGGAGTTTGATACCAGCCTGGCTAACATGGTGAAACCCTGTCTCTACTAAAAATACAAAAATTAGCCGGGCGTGGTGGCGGGCGCCTGTAATCCCAGCTACTTGGGAGGCTGAGACAGGAGAATTGCCTGAACCCGGTAGGCAGAGGTTGCAGTGAGCTGAGATTGTGCCACTGCACTCCAGCCTGGGTGACAGAGCAAGACTCCGTCTCGGAAAAAAGGGAAAAAAAAGAAAGATAAAAGAAGGAAGGAAGGAAGGAAGGAGAAAGACAAAATTCATTAAGTCTAGTGGAAAATTTTCAGGTAAGAAGTAGCAGACTGTACTGGACATGTTTCAAAGATATCAAGTGATTATAGGAGTTAAGGAGAATGGGTCAGATTGTTGTAAAAATAGGAGGATAGGGCCAGGATGCATAAACTGAAGATCAGAGCATTTAGGGCAGAGATATAACCTCCTCAATCTCTTCAGTAACTATGCAGTACTTTACTAAGGACACTCTTGCTCAAAACCACCCTGTGTTTCTTTTGGTTCCCAGTCTGAGCTCTTATTTCCCTATACTTTACCCACTTGCTCTTCTTGATTGAAAAGTTATTTGGTATGTTTGAATCTTTATGTGCACACTTGCCCTTCTTTTTAAAATAACCTAATTAAGCATATTTATAAATCAAGTTCATTTCTTCACCCTATTCTTCCACAATTACAATTTATAAAATCTTTTTCATAAATATTCAATTTATGTTTTTTAACAGCTTACTATTTCACTAGTAGTAACTTCAGAAATAGAGTCAGAAATTGTGTCTCAGGATTTGTGAAAACTTGTTAATAGGTAATTTTTCTTTTTCTTCCAGGCCATTGTGGTGACTGATGGAGAGCGTATTCTTGGCTTGGGAGACCTTGGCTGTAATGGAATGGGCATCCCTGTGGGTAAATTGGCTCTATATACAGCTTGCGGAGGGATGAATCCTCAAGAATGTCTGCCTGTCATTCTGGATGTGGGAACCGAAAATGAGGTAAATAATTTACGTCTATAAGGCAGCTATGTACCTTTAAAAATGGCATCAATTCTTGCATTTTGAACTTATTCCAGGAACTCATAAAATTCATTCTTTTTTGTCTGGTTCTCTTTCTCTCTCCAAATCTGCCCTTTACTGTTGTAAGAAAATTACTTCTCCTGTTCTCCTTTTCCCATCTTAATAACGTGATTAATCTTTTATTTGCTTCCCTAGTGCCTTATGTTGCTTTGATATGTATTTACACCATTAT
This sequence comes from Homo sapiens, assembly GCF_000001405.40. Taxonomy (NCBI): domain Eukaryota; kingdom Metazoa; phylum Chordata; class Mammalia; order Primates; family Hominidae; genus Homo; species Homo sapiens. The sequence continues at coordinate 83,345,919 of NC_000006.12, read as the reverse complement.
TCTATAGAATATATGTTTTACTTTAAGGCAATAGTTTTAAAAATTATTTTTTTATTATATAGGAACTAATACCATGGGATTTATTAAATTTAATCAGTCTGAAATATTCTTGTTTTAAAAACCATATTGAACCTAAAATAGATCATTTGGAGTTTAACTTTTCTCAATCATGACTTTATATTTTAGAATCTTAAAGTCAGATGTTAAGTACTACTTTTTTTTTGCTCATCCTTTACTGCTAATATTTAGGATTAACTAGCTAACTAGATACTAGAAGTTAAACATAGAATTCTCTGAAATAGAAATGAAAGATAATAGTCAGTTAAGGATGAACTTTTAAAAAGTTATTTACAAATTTCAGACCTAGGTCCCAAACAGATATATCATCAAATAAGACCTTGACACAAATACATACATGCATTATGTTTGTTTTCTTTGTCTCCTTCTAAAACAATTGAAGATATAACTTTTGATCTGTAAGTAATGTGAAATATATTTTTGCATGAGCAAAAATACAGATAGTGACTTAAACAGTTATGTTTTTAACCTACACATAGAAAGTTACAATGTTTAACTTGATCTATGCATGAATGCTCACTTAACCTTTATCAAAGGATACATTTTAATAAAAATACATTGCTTATCTGGCATTTTCTAATACCAATAGAAGTGGCTTAGAAATTATCAAAGCTGGCCTCTTTAAACAATTGTCCTAAAATTGTGTGTATACATTGAACATTAACATTTCCTCTTTAAGCCAGGAGAGGTGGTGTGTACCTACAGTCCTAGCTACTCAGGAGGCTAGAAGGTAGGAGGATTGGTTGAACTCAGGAGATTCAGGATGCAGTGAGCCATGATCGCGCAATTGGACTACAACCTGGGCTACAGAGTGAGACCCTGCTCTAAAAAATTTAAATTAAAATAAAATAAATATATTTCTTCTTTATTTTAAAAATATATTTTAAAAATTGTTATGTGATAAGTTGCATTGAAATAAAATAGTTTATTTATTATTATTTTATTTTATTTTATTTTTTTTTGAGACGGAGTCTTGCTGTCACCCAGGCTGGAGTACAGTGGCTGATCTCCGCTCACTGCAACCTCCGCCTCCCGGGTTCAAGCGATTCTCCTGCCTCAGCCTCCCAAGTAGCTGGGACTACAGGCACATGCCACCATGTTCGGTGAATTTTTTGTATTTTTAGTAAAGAGGGTGTTTCACCGTGTTAGCCAGGATGGTCTCGATCTCCTGACCTTGTGATCTGTCCACCTCGCCCTCCCAAAGTGCTGGGATTACCGGCGTGAGCCACCGTACCCGGCCTATTTTTTTATTTTCTTTAAGACAGGGTCTCACTGTTGTTGCCCAGGCTAGAGTGCACTGTCATGATCATGGCTCACTGCAGCTTCAATCTCCCATACTCATGTGATTCTCCCACCTCAGCCTCCCAAGTAGCTGGGACTACAGTTACATGCCACCACAGCCAGCTACTTTTTTGTTTACATTGAAATCAAATTTTAAAAATCACAAAAATATGTAATATATCTTAAAAATCCTGTGGAGAAATGAGGAGGAATATATAACAACAAAACAGACATGCAAAAATGTTAGAATTTGGCTTTTTTTTTTTTTTTTGTAAGAGATAGGATGTTGCACTGCCACCCAGGCTGTAGTGCAGTGGCACTATCATAGCTTATTGCAGCCTTAAACTCCTGAGCCCAAGTGGTCCTCCTGCCTCAGCCTTTCGAGTAGCTGGGATTCCAGGTGTGCACCACCACACCAATCTAATTTTTTTTAACCTTTTTTTTTTTTTTTAGACGGGGTCTTGCTATGTATGTTGCTCAGGCTGGTTTTGAACTCCTGGTATCAAACAATCCTCCTGCTTCACTGGGATAACAGTGAAGTTTTAAACAGTTTTAAACCTTGGCCATTTATTGAGATTGTTTGTATAATGTGGACATTAAAAAAAAGCTGTGCACTAGTGAAACTGTAACACTAGGACACTTGCATTGATAGATATGTATTATATGAAAGAATTGATTTCATGAGAGAGATTGTATTATATGAAAGAGTTGATTTCATGAAAGTAGGTCTTAAAATAGCCAAATTGATGGTTGTCTTGAATTTTCCACATTATCTCTGTTTAGTGTATGTTTCTTTCCTGTTTTGGTATTCATTGCTTTTATGTTATTACATTTCTATCCAGTATCTTACTTCCTCAGCCTGCAGAACGCATCCACCTATCCTTCACGAAATTTCTTACTTTAACCAGCTGTAGATCTAGCTTTTTCTCTCTCTTTTTATTAAGACATGTCTGGTTCATACTACATTTCAAAATTTTTAAGCTGATAATTAGAAAATAATCTGATTATCTAAATGAATCTACTGTTAAAATGCTGTGTATTATTTGTAGAGATTTTGCTTACTGCCATTCGACTTTCAGGAATATTAAGGGCAGAAAATTAAGTGAATGGTGAACCTTTAACTCTTTGACAGGTCACCGGAGAATACCTTTGTCACTTTGAGAGTGACAGAGGTCTTTGAGAGACCTTTCTGAAACTCCTCAAATTGCATTTGGTAGATTTAATTGAATTAGACCAACATTGAGTACCTACTCATTATGTTAAGTGAAATAAACCAGGCACAGAAAGACAAATATCCCATGTTCTCACACCCGGGCTAAAAAAGTTGATCTCATGGAGGTAGAGAGTAGAATGATAGTTGCCAAAGGCTGGGAAGGGTGTGTGTATGTCAGGATAGAGGGTGGGAGGATGAAGAGAGGTTGGTTAAGGGGTACAAATATGTCAATTGAAGGAATAAGTTCTAATGTTTGATAGCAGAGTAGGGTGACTACAGTTACCAACACTGTATTGTATATTTCAAAATAGCTAGAAGAGAAGACTTGAAATGCTACCAACACATAGAAATGATAACGCAAGGTGGCCGGGGGTGGTGGCTCCTATCTGTAATCCCAGAACTTTGGGAGGCCAAGGCGGGCAGATCACCTGAGGTTGAGAGTTTGAGACCAGCCTGAGCAACATAGAGAAAACCCGTATACTAAAAATACAAAATTAGTTGGGCATGGTGGCACATGCCTGTAATCCCAGCTACTTGGGAGGCTGAGGCAGGAGAATCGCTTGAACCCAGGGATGGAGGTTGCAGTGAGCTGAGATCACAACATTGCACTCCAGCCTGGGCAACAACAGCAAAACTATGTCTCAAAAAAAAAGAAAAGAAATAATACTCAAGATGATGGACTCCCTAAATACCCTGACTGGATCATTACACGTTCCATGCATGTAACCAAGTATCACGTGTACCCTATAAAAATATACAAATTTATGTATCAATAAACAAATTTTTAAAAAGTATTGAATATCTGCTATCTATCAAAGCCTAAGCAAAGCCTAGGTAATATCGGTGTAAGAAACTAGATTTTGCCAGCAGGATGCTCTGAATCTAGAAGAGGAGATACACATGTAACTAGTTGCAGTATGTATTAATTGCTTTCTTTGGTAAAGGCTTTTGAAGGCATTTAGCAAACCAATTCTCTGACAGTTATTATATACTCTTGTTACTGGTGAACAAAGAATTGGACAAAACACACAACGCAAGGAAAGAATAAAGCAAGAAAAGAAGAGATTTAATGAAAATGAAAGCATACTCCACAGGGTGGGAGCAGGCCTGAGCAGCCGCTCAAGGACCTGGATACAGAATCTTCTAAGGTCCAAATACCCGCTAGAGGTTTCCCATTGGCCAATTAGTGTTCACCCCATTTAAATGAAGTGGTGGCCTGCAATCAGTCTGATTGGTTGCAGAAAGCAACCAATCAGAGGCTGAAGTGAAGTTACAAAGGTCACACTCCTAGCAAACATCTGATTGGTTGTGGAAAGCAACCAATCTGAGGCTAAAGTGGAGTTACAAAGCTGCCCTTCTGTGCAAATGAAGACTTGGCCCACAGTCAGTGTGATTGGTTGGGGACAGCAACCAATCAGAGGCTGATGTGAAGTTACAAAGTTACACTCCTATGCAAACGTCTGATTGGTTGCAAAAACCAACCAGTCAGAGGTACTTTCAATTTCTCATCTGCCAGCAGAAAAGGTAGGGGTTTGCAAAGGGAGTAGCCTCTGGTCATTTTGTTACTTAGGCGTAGAAAGTTAGGGTTTTCCTTTCAATTTTGTTCCAGGAAGTCAGTGCAAAACGGCCTTAGATTCCCCGCCTCCAGACCCTATTCTCCTGCCTCATTCTTAGTCTTAAACTCTGTATTACTGTTATCTTCTTATATCTTGTCTTTTTAAATAAATCATATTTTGGGAATTTAATTGTAAAAATGTATACTAGTAAATGATCAACTAGAGTTCTTGTTCTAAAAGGAGAGTAAATTATTTGTTCCCTTTATAAAAGGTAGTTTAGCTGTACCCAGAGTTAAACTACAGAGTTTACAGGTATACGTACTCTTCAAGACTGCCCTCATTTCTGACATCAACTGCAAGTTGAAGAGCTTCCCGAAACCAACTTCAGGCTTGATAATTTGCTAAGACTCAAAAAACTCACTGAAAGCTATTGTACTCACAGTTACAGTGTATTATGGGCTAAAGATACACATTAAAATCTCACAAAAGAAGAGATGCATAGGGAAGAGTCTAGAAGAGTCCCAAATGTGAAGTGTCCATTTTCCTATAAAATCAGGACATGTTACCCTTCCAGTATGGATATGAAATATCAACATGTGTCCCACTGTTCAGAGTTTTATTGGGGCTCCATTACCTAGTCATGATTGATTGATTGATTGATTGCCCAGGTGGTTGAACTCAGTCTCCAGGTTGACCGATACTGTATGACGCAGATGCCCTACCCCAGATCACATGGTTAGTCTTTCTGGCATGGCCAGCGTTCACCCGGTGACTCTCAGTTATGGTCGCTAAGCTACTAGATAAAAGGATTAGGCCCTTATTCAAACTGGTTGAATGCTTGTCAACTGTCACCAGAGTCCATCCACAGAATAAATAGAAATATAAGAGGCAAACAGACAAAAAGGAAAATAGATGTAAATTTTATTGTTAATTAAGCAGAATTAAGTTTTAAGCTCAGATAAGATTAAGGATTTGATCATCAACCTTTTAAGGAAATATAGTTCCTATGCTATATAAACTGTCCCAGAGCATACTAAAATTGACAGCTTAACATTTCAGTTTTTAAAAAGAGCATAACCTTGATATCCAAACTTGGTAAAAAAAAAAAAATAGCACATAACAAGAAATTGCTAATTAGTCTCATATTTACCCATGCTCCCAGTTTCACCACTTACTAGTGGTGTTTCTGTGTTTTGCTCATGTAAAATGAGTACTTACCTCATAGAGGTGTCATGGTTTAATACATTTAGAATGCTTAAAATTGTGACTGGCATTTTGAAAGCACTTGGTAAATGTTACCTCACGTGAACATAGATGTAGAAGCAAAAGTTCTTTATAAAATACTGGCAAGTAAAATCTTGCAGAATATTTTAATGTTGAAATAATGTTTGAAATCTATTCAAACCATTAGCTGCATCATAATTAATGGTGATATATTAGAGGCATTATTTTAAAAGACAGGACACCCGTTATCACTGCTGTTTTCTTTTTTATTATTCAGAAAATTCTAGCCTGTGTAATAAGACAATAAAACAAAGGAGATATAACTGACAGGAAAAGACAAAATTATCATTATTTATAGGTAATATGTTTATCTATTACTGAAACTCAAGAAAACCAACTAAAAAATACTGTGGTCAAATTATAGCACTCAGTAAAGTGGCTGCCTATAAAACAAATATTCAAAACTTAATAGCTTTTCTATGTACTTGTAATAACCAGTTAAAAATTAACTCATTCACAGTAGCAACAATATTCTATTCTGCTATTCTTCTAATGTTATATAGTATTTCACATTTCTTTTCTTTTCTTTTTTTTTTTATTATACTCTAAGTTTTAGGGTACATGTGCACATTGTGCAGGTTAGTTACATATGTATACATGTGCCATGCTGGTGCGCTGCACCCACTAACGTGTCATCTAGCATTAGGTATATCTCCCAATGCTATCCCTCCCCCCTCCCCCGACCCCACCACAGTCCCCAGAGTGTGATATTCCCCTTCCTGTGTCCATGTGATCTCATTGTTCAATTCCCACCTATGAGTGAGAATATGCGGTGTTTGGTTTTTTGTTCTTGCGATAGTTTACTGAGAATGATGGTTTCCAATTTCATCCATGTCCCTACAAAGGACATGAACTCATCATTTTTTATGGCTGCATAGTATTCCATGGTGTATATGTGCCACATTTTCTTAATCCAGTCTATCATTGTTGGACATTTGGGTTGGTTCCAAGTCTTTGCTATTGTGAATAGTGCCGCAATAAACATACGTGTGTATGTGTCTTTATAGCAGCATGATTTATAGTCCTTTGGGTATATACCCAGTAATGGGATGGCTGGGTCAAATGGTATTTCTAGTTCTAGATCCCTGAGGAATCGCCACACTGACTTCCACAATGGTTGAACTAGTTTACAGTCCCACCAACAGTGTAAAAGTGTTCCTATTTCTCCACATCCTCTCCAGCACCTGTTGTTTCCTGACTTTTTAATGATTGCCATTCTAACTGGTGTGAGATGATATCTCATAGTGGTTTTGATTTGCATTTCTCTGATGGCCAGTGATGATGAGCATTTCTTCATGTGTTTTTTGGCTGCATAAATGTCTTCTTTTGAGAAGTGTCTGTTCATGTCCTTCGCCCACTTTTTGATGGGGTTGTTTGTTTTTTTCTTGTAAATTTGTTTGAGTTCATTGTAGATTCTGGATATTAGCCCTTTGTCAGATGAGTAGGCTGCGAAAATTTTCTCCCATGTTGTAGGTTGCCTGTTCACTCTGATGGTAGTTTCTTTTGCTGTGCAGAAGCTCTTTAGTTTAATTAGATCCCATTTGTCAATTTTGGCTTTTGTTGCCATTGCTTTTGGTGTTTTGGACATGAAGTCCTTGCCCACGCCTATGTCCTGAATGGTAATGCCTAGGTTTTCTTCTAGGCTTTTTATGGTTTTAGGTCTAACGTTTAAATCTTTAATCCATCTTGAATTGATTTTTGTATAAGGTGTAAGGAAGGGATCCAGTTTCAGCTTTCTACATATGGCTAGCCAGTTTTCCCAGCACCATTTATTAAATAGGGAATCCTTTCCCCATTGCTTGTTTTTCTCAGGTTTGTCAAAGATCAGATAGTTGTAGATATGCGGCATTATTTCTGAGGGCTCTGTTCTGTTCCATTGATCTATATCTCTGTTTTGGTACCAGTACCATGCTGTTTTGGTTACTGTAGCCTTGTAGTATAGTTTGAAGTCAGGTAGTGTGATGCCTCCAGCTTTGTTCTTTTGGCTTAGGATTGACTTGGCGATGCGGGCTCTTTTTTGGTTCCATATGAACTTTAAAGTAGTTTTTTCCAATTCTGTGAAGAAAGTCATTGGTAGCTTGATGGGGATGGCATTGAATCTGTAAATTACCTTTGGCAGTATGGCCATTTTCACGATATTGATTCTTCCTACCCATGAGCATGGAATGTTCTTCCATTTGTTTGTGTCCTCTTTTATTTCCTTGAGCAGTGGTTTGTAGTTCTCCTTGAAGAGGTCCTTCACATCCCTTGTAAGTTGGATTCCTAGGTATTTTATTCTCTTTGAAGCAATTGTGAATGGGAGTTCACTCATGATTTGGCTCTCTGTTTGTCTGTTGTTGGTGTATAAGAATGCTTGTGATTTTTGTACATTGATTTTGTATCCTGAGACTTTGCTGAAGTTGCTTATCAGCTTAAGGAGATTTTGGGCTGAGACGATGGGGTTTTCTAGATAAACAATCATGTCATCTGCAAACAGGGACAATTTGACTTCCTCTTTTCCTAATTGAATACCCTTTATCTCCTTCTCCTGCCTGATTGCCCTGGCCAGAACTTCCAACACTATGTTGAATAGGAGTGGTGAGAGAGGGCATCCCTGTCTTGTGCCAGTTTTCAAAGGGAATGCTTCCAGTTTTTGCCCATTCAGTATGATATTGGCTGTGGGTTTGTCATAGATAGCTCTTATTATTTTGAGATACGTCCCATCAATACCTAATTTATTGAGAGTTTTTAGCATGAAGGGTTGTTGAATTTTGTCAAAGGCTTTTTCTGCATCTATTGAGATAATCATGTGGTTTTTGTCTTTGGCTCTGTTTATATGCTGGATTACATTTATTGATTTGCGTATATTGAACCAGCCTTGCATCCCAGGGATGAAGCCCACTTGATCATGGTGGATAAGCTTTTTGATGTGCTGCTGGATTCGGTTTGCCAGTATTTTATTGAGGATTTTTGCATCAATGTTCATCAAGGATATTGGTCTAAAATTCTCTTTTTTGGTTGTGTCTCTGCCCGGCTTTGGTATCAGAATGATGCTGGCCTCATAAAATGAGTTAGGGAGGATTCCCTCTTTTTCTATTGATTGGAATAGTTTCAGAAGGAATGGTACCAGTTCCTCCTTGTACCTCTGGTAGAATTCGGCTGTGAATCCATCTGGTCCTGGACTCTTTTTGGTTGGTAAACTATTGATTATTGCCACAATTTCAGAGCCTGTTATTGGTCTATTCAGAGATTCAACTTCTTCCTGGTTTAGTCTTGGGAGAGTGTATGTGTCGAGGAATGTATCCATTTCTTCTAGATTTTCTAGTTTATTTGCGTAGAGGTGTTTGTAGTATTCTCTGATGGTAGTTTGTATTTCTGTGGGATCGGTGGTGATATCCCCTTTATCATTTTTTATTGTGTCTATTTGATTCTTCTCTCTTTTTTTCTTTATTAGTCTTGCTAGTGGTCTATCAATTTTGTTGATCCTTTCAAAAAACCAGCTCCTGGATTCATTGATTTTTTGAAGGGTTTTTTGTGTCTCTATTTCCTTCAGTTCTGCTCTGATTTTAGTTATTTCTTGCCTTCTGCTAGCTTTTGAATGTGTTTGCTCTTGCTTTTCTAGTTCTTTTAATTGTGATGTTAGGGTGTCAATTTTGGATCCTTCCTGCTTTCTCTTGTAGGCATTTAGTGCTATAAATTTCCCTCTACACACTGCTTTGAATGCGTCCCAGAGATTCTGGTATGTGGTGTCTTTGTTCTCGTTGGTTTCAAAGAACATCTTTATTTCTGCCTTCATTTCGTTATGTACCCAGTAGTCATTCAGGAGCAGGTTGTTCAGTTTCCATGTAGTTGAGCGGCTTTGAGTGAGATTCTTAATCCTGAGTTCTAGTTTGATTGCACTGTGGTCTGAGAGATAGTTTGTAATAATTTCTGTTCTTTTACATTTGCTGAGGAGAGCTTTACTTCCAACTATGTGGTCAATTTTGGAATAGGTGTGGTGTGGTGCTGAAAAAAATGTATATTCTGTTGATTTGGGGTGGAGAGTTCTGTAGATGTCTATTAGGTCTGCTTGGTGCAGAGCTGAGTTCAATTCCTGGGTATCCTTGTTGACTTTCTGTCTCGTTGATCTGTCTAATGTTGACAGTGGGGTGTTAAAGTCTCCCATTATTAATGTGTGGGAGTCTAAGTCTCTTTGTAGGTCACTCAGGACTTGCTTTATGAATCTGGGTGCTCCTGTATTGGGTGCATAAATATTTAGGATAGTTAGCTCCTCTTGTTGAATTGATCCCTTTACCATTATGTAATGGCCTTCTTTGTCTCTTTTGATCCTTGTTGGTTTAAAGTCTGTTTTATCAGAGACTAGGATTGCAACCCCTGCCTTTTTTTGTTTTCCATTGGCTTGGTAGATCTTCCTCCATCCTTTTATTTTGAGCCTATGTGTGTCTCTGCACGTGAGATGGGTTTCCTGAATACAGCACACTGATGGGTCTTGACTCTTTATCCAACTTGCCAGTCTGTGTCTTTTAATTGCAGAATTTAGTCCATTTATATTTAAAGTTAATATTGTTATGTGTGAATTTGATCCTGTCATTATGATGTTAGCTGGTGATTTTGCTCATTAGTTGATGCAGTTTCTTCCTAGTCTCGATGGTCTTTACATTTTGGCATGATTTTGCAGCGGCTGGTACCGGTTGTTCCTTTCCATGTTTAGCGCTTCCTTCAGGAGCTCTTTTAGGGCAGGCCTGGTGGTGACAAAATCTCTCAGCATTTGCTTGTCTATAAAGTATTTTATTTCTCCTTCACTTATGAAGCTTAGTTTGGCTGGATATGAAATTCTGGTTTGAAAATTCTTTTCTTTAAGAATGTTGAATATTGGCCCCCACTCTCTTCTGGCTTGTAGGGTTTCTGCCGAGAGATCCGCTGTTAGTCTGATGGGCTTTCCTTTGAGGGTAACCCGACCTTTCTCTCTGGCTGCCCTTAACATTTTTTCCTTCATTTCAACTTTGGTGAATCTGACAATTATGTGTCTTGGAGTTGCTCTTCTCGAGGAGTATCTTTATGGCGTTCTCTGTATTTCCTGAATCTGAACGTTGGCCTGCCTTGCTAGATTGGGGAAGTTCTCCTGGATAATATCCTGCAGAGTGTTTTCCAACTTGGTTCCATTCTCCACATCACTTTCAGGTACACCAATCAGACGTAGATTTGGTCTTTTCACATAGTCCCATATTTCTTGGAGGCTTTGCTCATTTCTTTTTATTCTTTTTTCTCTAAACTTCCCTTCTCGCTTCATTTCATTCATTTCATCTTCCATTGCTGATACCCTTTATTCCAGTTGATCGCATCAGCTCCTGAGGCTTCTGCATTCTTCACGTAGTTCTCGAGCCTTGGTTTTCAGCTCCATCAGCTCCTTTAAGCACTTCTCTGTATTGGTTATTCTAGTTATACATTCTTCTAAATTTTTTTCAAAGTTTTCAACTTCTTTGCCTTTGGTTTGAATGTCCTCCCGTAGCTCAGAGTAATTTGATCGTCTGAAGCCTTCTTCTCTCAGCTCGTCAAAATCATTCTCCATCCAGCTTTGTTCCGTTGCTGGTGAGGAACTGCGTTCCTTTGGAGGAGGAGAGGCGCTCTGCGTTTTAGAGTTTCCAGTTTTTCTGTTCTGTTTTTTCCCCATCTTTGTGGTTTTATCTACTTTTGGTCTTTGATGATGGTGATGTACAGATGGGTTTTCGGTGTAGATGTCCTTTCTGGTTGTTAGTTTTCCTTCTAACAGACAGGACCCTCAGCTGCAGGTCTGTTGGAATACCCTGCCGTGTGAGGTGTCAGTGTGCCCCTGCTGGGGGTGCCTCCCAGTTAGGTTGCTCGGGGGTCAGGGGTCAGGGACCCACTTGAGGAGGCAGTCTGCCCGTTCTCAGATCTCCAGCTGCGTGCTGGGAGAACCACTGCTCTCTTCAAAGCTGTCAGACAGGGACACTTAAGTCTGCAGAGGTTACTGCTGTCTTTTTGTTTGTCTGTGCCCTGCCCCCAGAGGTGGAGCCTACAGAGGCAGGCAGGCCTCCTTGAGCTGTGGTGGGCTCCACCCAGTTCGAGCTTCCCGGCTGCTTTGTTTACCTAAGCAAGCCTGGGCAATGGCGGGCGCCCCTCCCCCAGCCTCGTTGCCGCCTTGCAGTTTGATCTCAGACTGCTGTGCTAGCAATCAGCGAGATTCCGTGGGCGTAGGACCCTCTGAGCCAGGTGTGGGATATAGTCTCGTGGTGCGCCGTTTCTTAAGCCGGTCTGAAAAGCGCAATATTCGGGTGGGAGTGACCCGATTTTCCAGGTGCGTCCGTCACCCCTTTCTTTGACTCGGAAAAGGAACTCCCTGACCCCTTGCGCTTCCCAGGTGAGGCAATGCCTCGACCTGCTTCGGCTCGCGCACGGTGCACGCACACACTGGCCTGCGCCCACTGTCTGGCACTCCCTAGTGAGAAGAACCCGGTACCTCAGATGGAAATGCAGAAATCACCCGTCTTCTGCGTCGCTCACGCTGGGAGCTGTAGACCAGAGCTGTTCCTATTCGGCCATCTTGGCTCCTCCCCCCCTGACTTGGAGTTTTATATCAGTATTTCACATTTCTAAGCAAAGAAATAGTTACATATTATTTGGTTAATCAGAATAATTAATTTTGGGGCAAGTATTTTTTTTCTAAAAACTGATCAAGGTGTGTTGTATTTATTAAGCAAAATATGTTTTCATCTTTGACTCAATTTGCCCTTAATTTTATTGACTTTCGGGCTACACATATCAACTGTATTCCGTTAGCAATACAGTGCTGTTCAGGATAAAAATAGAAGTTGTTTAAGATTCTGGATTAACTTTTCTGTTGCTTAAAATAGATAGAAATGCTCCAACATATTACTTTCTCCATTTGAGCTCTTGGAGTTCAAAATATGTTAGTAATATTGTAACCTGTAAAACATCCTAATCTAAATTTTTATGGTCTTTAACTCATAATGTGTGTGAAGAATAGAAAAATATTTGGAATCAACTGAGTTGCTACTCATAATGTTCTTATTTTATTCATTCTGACATTTTGTATTTTTTGTATTTATTCTTTCACTGCTGCTTTACTGAGAAGACAGGAAGGAAAACTTAATTATGACTGAGTCTATGAGTTCATTTAAAATGTAATGGTGTTTTTATGTAGTGGCAGTTTCACATATGGAAAACTGATTTTAGTCAAAATGTTCCTGTAGTACTAATTTTTAATCTTAATTGCTTTTTTGAATCTCTGCATATTTTACACTTAATAATAAAAATATAGAAACTGCTTGATAATATCACTTAGTTTCTTATCCAGAATAACCTAGCAAATTTTAATAAAAGTAAATCCCCTTTAAATACAAATTATAAATGTTTTCCTCTTTTATCATACCTACATGTACTGGATAGTAATGAAAATAGAAATGGAATTAGCTGCCAGTTAATAAGACAGTCTTCACTTGCCATAAAGATACACTTGCCTGACTGCTTTTAAGCTTCTGCAGCTTTCAACTAAAGGAAATTTAAGGAACTAAGATGCCAAAACAGAAGTACACAGAAGTACTTGGCTAAAAAATATTCTTATTTTTTTATTTTTATTTTTTATTTTAATAGCCTTAAGGGTACAAGTGGTTTTTGGTTACACGGATGAATTATATAATGGTGAACTCTGAGCTTTTAGTGTACCCATCACCTGAAAAACATTGTACCCAATAGGTAATTTTTTATCCTTTACCTACCTCCTACCCTCCTCCCATCTGAGTCTCCAGTGTCCATTATACTGCTTTGTATACTCCTATGTACCCATAGCTTAACTCCCACTTATAAGTGAAAATATGCAGTATTTGGTCTTCCATTCCTAAGTTATTTCATTTAGGTTAATAGCCTCCAGTTTCATCCAAGTGGCTGCAAAGGACATTGTTTTATCCTTTCTTATGACTGAGTGGTATACTATGATATATATGTGAAAATTTTCTTTATCCACTCATTGGTTGATGGGCACTTGAGGTTGATTTCATATCTTCGCAATTGTGGATTGTGCTGTGATAAACATACATGTGCAGGTGTCTTTTTGATATAATGGCTTCTTTTCCTTTGGGTGGATACCCAGTAGTGGGATTGCTGGATTGAATAGTAGATCTACTTTATGTTCTTTGAGAAATCGCCATGTTGTTTTCCATAGATGATATACTAATTTACATTCTCAATAACAGTGTATAAGTTTTCCCTTTTCACCACATGGTGCCAACATCTATTGTTTTTTTTGACTTTAAAATAATGGCCATTTTGATTTTGTTTAGATGGAAAATACTCTTATTCTTTAAGTTAATAATACTAAGTATTAAATTAGGTAGGGTGTTTGTGTTTATATTTTCATCTCATCTTTCCTCTGTTATTTCACAGTCCATATTTTCTTTAATTGTGAAGCAGTTGCTATATAAAGTTTACTTGTTACGTGAAGTAAATTTTCTTTAGAACATGTCATGTTTAATTCCTTCTTTTTTTGCTGTTGCCAAATCTTTTCATAGAAATTATGTTGATTATATGTCTGTTTTTCTTGTATATGACTAATATTGAGGCTTGCTATTTGACTAAAAATAATTTGAGTAGATGTTCCTTGTGTTCCCTTCCTGCTTGTTTGGACATTATTATGTCTTAAAGAACCTTTTCATACGTTATATGGGATATTCTTTTTTTTAGGGTTATTGTAACAAAGAGCCATAGACTAGGTGGCTTAACTGACAGAAATTTATTTTCTCACAGTTCTGGGGGCTGGAAGTCCAAGATCAATGTGTTGGTAGGGTTGGTTTCTTCTGTGGTTTGTGTCCTTGACTTGTAGATGCCCGTCTTCCTCTGGTGTCTTCATACAGTTTTTCTTCTGTGTATGTCTGTATCCTAATTTCCTCTTCTTTTTTTTTTTTTTTTGAGATGGAGTCTTGCTCTGTTGCCCAGGCTGGAGTGCAGTGGCATGATCTCAGCTCACTGCAACCTCCGCCTCCCGGGTTCAAGCAATTCTCTGCCTCAGCCTCCTGAGTAGCTGGGATTACAGGCGCCCACCACCACGCCCGACTAATTTTTGTATATTTAGTAGAGATGGGTTTCACCATCTTGGCCAGGCTGGTCTTAAACTCCGGACCTCGTGATCCACCCGCCTCAGCCTCCCAAAGTGCTGGGATTACAGACGTGAGCCACCGCACCCGGCCAATTTCCTCTTCTTAAAAGGACCAGTCATATTGGATTAGGGCCCACTCTAATGACCTCATTCAACTTAATTACTTCTTTAAATACTCTGTCTCCAAATACGTCACATTCTGAGGTACTGGGATTAGGGATTCAACATATGAATTTGGGGGCAACACCTTTCAACCCATAGCACATGATCAGTCCTCAAGAGGTCACGGGCAGAATGAGTAGGAGAATGTGATTTCTGCGTATTCTTTGCTTATTAAACCATTGCTCCAGGTCTCAGCTTTTCTGTGTCTAGTTTTATGTTTAGTCTGGCCTCTGGTTGATGTGTACAGTGTACCCTTGCCACTTCAGACAAGTGATCCTGTATTGGAATGAATACCAGTCATCATTAGTAAAGCCAGGGGAGAGAAGAAAATTCTCAACTCCCAGGAGTTTGGCTTGGAGTTTCATTTGCTTGCTCTTTGTGGTCTCATTTTGCCCCACCCTCTCTAAATTAGAAGATCTTAATAGATTTTATCAAGAATTTATTTATCTGTTTCCTGAGACACTACACTAGTGCCTTGGGAAAGAGAATGGGGTCTTTCTTTAGTTTGATTTTATGCACACTATAACTAGCAGGAACTCCTTGAAATTTTTATGTAAATTTTAGAAATACTGATTGTATAGAACAAAATGGAAAATTTATTTAAATGAGACAGAAACCTAGTAGGAAGTAGAATGGTTTTATTTTAACTTAATAATACAAGTTCGAAATAACTTAATAATACAAGTTCTCACCACTTCAGAATTATCAGGGGCATGTGTTAAGAATGCAGAATTTTGCACCCTGCTCCAGACATACTGAATCACAACTAAATTTTAATCATTTTTATTTCTAGCACTTTTTAATAATCATGCCAGCTCATATGCATGCTGACATTTTAGTGGTACTGGTTTTAGACTCTTACCTGAATGTGATGGTTACTTTGCTTATTCTTATTGATGACATGAGGCAACAAAACAGCAAAAGTTATATATTATTTATTTATAGAATCCATAACAAAAAATGAGAAATGGTAACAAAGAAAATAATTTTCTGTAGATTATAAATTGAGTTTAAAAATAAATGCTAGAATGAGGAATAGTTACATCAGTATAGAAGATAAAGGTGTATAATGTTCTTAATATTTAAAGAATACTTTCAGGTCAGTAAGAGAATATTAGACTAGGCTCAGTGACTCACACCTGTAATCCCAACACTTTAGGAGGTGAAGTGAGAGGATCACTTGAGCCCAGGAGTTCAAGACCAGCCTGGGCAACATAAGCAAGACCTTGTCTCTGCAAAAATTAAAATAAAATTAGCCAGGTATGGTGCCTGTAGTCCTAGTTACTTGGGAGGCCAAGGTGGGAGGATTCCTTGAGTCTCGGAGTTCGAGGCTATAGTGAGCTGTCTATGATCATGCCACTGCACTCCAGGATAGACAACAGAGTGAGAACTTGTCTCTAAAAAATAATTTTAAAAGAAGACATAAAAAAAGAGAACACTTTAAAGTAAGTAAGAAAATGTGAAATCTCCACTATACAAATTGCCTAAGGACATATGGACACAGATAATTTACAAATGAAGAAATAAAAATGGTCAATAAACTTATGAAAAAATGCACAACAGTAATATAAAAGGAATATAAATGAATGCTGCTTGAGAACAGTTTTGTGCCTATGTGCCACACAGAGACACACATATAGCAGGTACAGATATGAATTTATTGTTACTTCTTATATATTTATATGTATATTTCATGATATAGGCATGATATGAAAAGATACCTTATTTGAGACTGCAACAAAATAGACATACTTATTATATACCACTGGAGGTGTGATGAGGTGCTGTTAATTTATTCATACATTCTAGGAGAGCAGAGTACCAGTACAGATGTTTGTCTATTGACACGAAAGCTTTCATCATATATTCCTTTGTGAAAAGAGGTTAAAATATACTCTATGCTATCATCCCAAATTTGGACAGATAATCTTATATATGCATAGATACAAAGAAAAGGACCTGGAAGAATATACATCAAGGTGCTAATGTTGGGTAGTTCTGAATGGGTAGAGATTATTGGTATTCTTTGGTTTTAATTTTACTTTTCAGTGCTCTCAAACATTTCTGATAAACAAATATTGCTTTTGTGATGAGAAAAATACTTATAATATTAAGATAATATTTTTAAATTCTCAGACACGTCAGATTGTAAAGATAGAAATGTGGGAGACAAAAACAAGGTGAGATTTGATAGTGATTACTATTAACTTCAAATAAATAGATGCTTCAGTTATAAATTCTGAAGGGTGCAGAATTGAGATAATGTGAATAGTAAGATCATTAGTATAATTACCAATATATACCCTCCTTATCTCCTTTTTTTGAGCTCTCTTATATTTCCATATGTCTTATTCCTTACTTTTGCCCCAGTCTTTTTCCTTTTCTCAGGCTTGTAAATTTTCATAAGTCTTCAGTGGCACCACATGCATTTAGTGTAACACCTAGTGCTAAAGAAGTTCCACCCTTTTTTAAGTGCTTCCTTAATACCAAGTATTTATTCTCTAACAGTGATCTATTGAGTGTTTGCTCCTGACCATAAGAAGTTTTTAATCCAGTAAATTAATATCACTTCTGTGCCAGTCTACTTTGTCTGTGGAACCATTATCAAAACTGAATAATGTTGTTAAATTGCTTTTTGTAGATACTAATTTTTTTGTCAGCCAAATCTCTGAGAATGCACTAATTATTCAAGCCTTGATTATCTTAATTAAAATTATGAAATTAAAAAAACTAATTTTTAACAGGGACATTATTATGATTGGAAGAATTTTTTTATATACTTTAAGTTCTGGGATATATGTGCAGAACATGCAGCTTTGTTACATAGGTATACATGTGCCATGGTGGTTTGCTGCACTCATCAACCCGTCATCCACATTAGGTATTTCCTAATGCTATCCCTCCCCTTGCCTTCCACCCCCTGACATGCCCCGCTGTGTGATGTTCCCCTCCCTGTGTCCATGTGTTCTCATTGTTCAGTTCCCACTTATGAGTGAGAACATGCGGTGTTTGGTTTTCTGTTCCTGTGTTAGTTTGCTGAGAATGATGGTTTCCAGCTTCATCCATGTCCCTGCAAAGGACGTGAACTCATTCTTTTATATGGCTACATAGTATTCCATGGTGTATATGTGCCACATTTTCTTTATCCAGTCTAACATTGATGGGCATTTGGATTGGTTCCAAGTCTTTGCTGTTGTGAACAGTGCTGCAATAAACATACGTGTGCATGTGTCTTTATCATAGAATGATTTATAATCTTTCAGGGGACCTGCCCCAAAAATCACGTAGGTTCTTTTCTATTTTCCTAAGCATCGGCTGGCTTGAGAAATAAAGGGACAGAGTACAGAAGAGAGAAATTTTAAAGCTGGGCATCCGGGGGAGACATCACATGTTGGTAGGATCCGTGATGCCCCAAAAGCCACAAAAACCAGCAAGTTTTTATTAGGGATTTTCAAAAGGGGAGGGAGTATGCAAATAGGTGTGGGTGACAGACATCAAGTACTTAACAGGGTAATAGAATATCACAAGGCAAGTGGAGACAGGGTGAGATCACAGGACCACAGGACCGAGGCGAAATTAAAATTGCTAATGAAGTTTCGGGCACCATTGTCATTGATAACATCTTATCAGGAGACAGGGTTTTGAGATCAACTGGTCTGACCAAAATTTGTTAGGCGGGAATTTCCTCTTCCTAATAAGCCTGAGAGCGCTATGGGAGACTGGAGTCTATTTCATCTCTGCAGACTCAACCATAAGAGACAGGTGTGCCCCGGGGGGGCCAGTTCAGAGACCTACCCCTAGGTGCGCATTCTCTTTCTCAGGGATATTCCATGCTGAGAAAAAGAATTCGGTGATATTTCTCCCATTCGCTTTTGAAAGAAGAGAAATATGCCTCTGTTCTGCCCAGCTCACCAATGGTCAGAGTTTAAGGTTATCTCTCTTATTCCCTGAACAATTGCTGTTATCCTGTTCTTTTTTCAAGGTGCTCAGATTTCATATTGCTCAAACACACATGCTGTGCTGTACAATTTGTGCAGTTAACGCAATTATTACAGGGTCCTGAGGTGACATACATCCTTCTTAGCTGACAGGATTAAGAGATTAAAGCAAAGATAGGCATAGGAAATCACAAGGGTATTGATTGGGGAAGTGATAAGTGTCCATGAAATCTTTACAATTTGTGTTTAGAGATTGCAGTAAAGACAGGCATAAGAAATTATAAAAGTATCAATTTGGGGAACTAATAAATGTCTATAAAATCTTCACAATCCACGTTCTTCTGTCATGGCTTCAGCCGGTCCCTCTGTTTGGGGTCCCTGACTTCCCGCAACAATAATCCTTTGGGTATATACCCAGTAATGGGATTGCTGGGTCAAATGATTTTTCTATTTCTAGATCCTTGAGGAGTCGCCACACTGTCTTCCATAGTGGTTGAACTAATTTACACTCCCACCAACAGTGTGTAAAAGCATTTCTATTTCTCCATATCCTCTCCAGCATCTGTTGTTTCCTGACTTTTTAACAATTACCATTCCAAAAGGCATGAGATGATATCTCATTGTGGTTCTGATTGGCATTTCTCTAATGACCAGTGATGATGAGCTTTTTTTTATGTTTTTTGGCCACATACATGCCTTCTTTTGAAAATGTCTGTTCATATCCTTTGCCCACTTTCTGATGGAGTGTTTTGGTTTTTTCTTGTAAATTTAAGTTCCTTGTAGATTCTGGATATTAGCCCATTGTCAGATGGATAGATTGCAAAAATTTCTCCCATTCTGTAGGTTGCCTGTTCACTCAGATGATAGTTTCCTTTGCTGTGCAGAAGCTCTTTAGTTTAATTAGATCCCATTTGTCAATTTTGCTTTTGTTGCCATTGCTTTTGGTGTTTTAGTCATGAAATATTTGCCCATGCCTATGGCCTGAATGGTATTCCCAAGGTTTTCTTCTAGGGTTTTTATAGTTTTAGGTGTTATGTTTAAATCTTTAATCCATATTGAGTTAATTTTTGTATAAGTTGTAAGGAAAGGGGTCCAGTTTCAGTTTTCTGCCAGTTTTCCCAACACCATTTATTAAATAGGGAATCCTTTCCCCGTTGCTTGTTTTTGTCAGGTTTGTGAAAGATCATATAGTTGTAGATGTGTGGTGTTATTTCTGAGGCCTCTGTTCTGTTCCATTGGTCTATATATCTGTTTTGGTTCCAATACCATGCTGTTTGGGTTACTGTAGCCTTGTAGTATAGTTTGAAGTCAGGTAGCATGATGCCTCCAGCTTTGTTTTTTTTTTTTTTTGTTTGCTTCGTTTTTTTGTGTTTTTTTTGCTTAGGATTGTCTGGGCTATATGGGCTCTTTTTTGGTTCCATATGAAATTTAAAGTAGTTTTTTCTAATTCTGTGAAGGAGGTCAGTGGTAGTTTGATGGGAATAACATTGAATCTATAAATTACTTTGGGCCCTATGGTCAGTTTCATGATATTGACTCTTCCTATCCATGAGCATGGAAGGTTTTTCCATTTGTTTGTGTCCTCTCTTATTTCCTCGAGCAGTGGTTTGTAGTTTTTCTTGAAGAGGTCCTTCACATCCCTTGTTAACTGTATTCCTAGGTACTTTATTCTCTTAGTAGCAATTGTGAATGGGAGTTCACTCATGATTTGGCTCTCTATTTGCTTATTATTGGTATATAGGAATGCTTGTGATTTTTGTATATTGATTTTGCATCCTGAGATTTTGCTGAAGTTGCCTATCAGCTTAAGGAGTTTTTGTGCTGAGACAATGGGGTTTTCTAAATATACAATCATGTCGTCTGCAAAGAGAGACAATTTGACTTCTTCTTTTCCTATTGGAATACCCTTTATTTCTTTCTCTTGCCTGATTGCCCTGGCCAGACCTTCCAATACTATGTTGAATAGGAGTGGTGAGAGAGGGCATCCTTGTCTTGTGCCAGTTTTGAAAGGGAATGCTTCCAGCTTTTGTCCATTCAGTATGATATTGGCTGTGGGTTTAGCATAAATAGCTCTTATTATTTTGAGATATGTTTCATCAATACCTAGTTTATTGAGTGTTTTTAGCATGAAGGGTTGTTGAATTTTATTGAAGGCCTTTTCTGCATCTATTGAGATAATCATGTGGTTTTTGTTATTGGTTCTGTTTATGTGATGGATTACATTTATTGATTCGCATATGTTGAACCAGCCTTGCATCCCAGGGATGAAGCCCACTTGATCATGGTGGATAAGTTTTGATGTGCTGCTGGATTCGGTTTGCAAGTATTTTATTGAGGACTTTTGTGTCAATGTTCGTCAGAGATATTGGCCTGAAATTTTCTTGTTTTGTTGTGTCTCTGCCAGGTTTTGGTATCAGGATGATGCTGATGTGATAAAATGAGTTAGAGAGGAGCCCTTCTTTTTCTATTGTTTGGAATAGTTTCAGAAGGAATGGTACCAGCTCCTCTTTCTTTGTACCTCTGTTAGAATACGGCTGTGAATCCATCTCGTCCTGGGCTTTTTTTTTTTTTTTTTTTTTTTTGGTTGGTAGGCTATTAATTAATACCACAGTTTTAGAACTTGTTATTGGTCTATTCGGGGATTCGACTTCTTCCTAGTTTAGTCTTGGGAGGCTGTATGTGTGCAGGAATTTATCCATTTCTTCTAGATATTCTAGGTTATTTACTAGTTTATTTGTAGAGGTGTTTGTAGTATTCTCTGATGGTAGTTTGTATTTCTGTGGGATCAGTGGTGATCTCCCCTTTATCATTTTTTTATTGTTTCTATTTGATTCTTCTCTCTTTTCTTCTTTATTAGTCTGGCTAGCAGTCTATTTTGTTAATCTTTTCAAAAAACCAGCTCCTGGATTCATTCATTTTTTTAAGGGTTTTTCATGTCTTTATCTCCTTCAGTTCTGCTCTGATCTTAGTTATTTCTCATCTTCTGCTTGATTTTGAATTTGTTTGCTCTTGCTTCTCTAGTTCTTTTAATTGTGATGTTAGGGTGTCAATTTTAGATCTTTCCCCCTTTCTCCTGTGGGCATTTAGTGCTATAAATTTCCCTCTAAATACTGCTTTAGCTGTGTCCCAGAGATTCTGGCACATTGTGTCTTTGTTCTCATTGGTTTCAAAGAACTTATTTATTTCTGCCTTAATTTCATTACTTACCCAGTAGTCGTTCAGGAGCAGGTTGTTCAGTTTCCATGTAGTTGTGCAGTTTTGAGTGAGTTTATTAATCTTGAGTTCTAATTTGATTGCACTGTGGTCTGAGAGTGTGTTTGTTATGATTTCCTTTCTTTTGCATGTGCTGAAGAGTGTTTTCCCTCTAATTGTGGGGTCAATTTTAGAATAAGTGCTGTGTGGTGCTAAGAAGAATGTATACTCTGTTGATTTGGGATGGAGAGTTCTGTAGATGTCTATTAGGTAGGCTTGGTCCAAAGCTGAGTTCAAGTCCTGAATATCTGTGTTAATTTTCTGTCTTGTTGATCTGCCTAATATTGCCAGTGGGGTGTTAAAGTCTTCCACTATTATTTTGTGGGAGTCTAGGTCTTTTTGTAGGTCTCTATGAACTTGCTTTATGAACCTGGGTGCTCCTGTATTGGTGCATATGTATTTAGGATACTTAGTTCTTCTTGTTGAATTGATCCCTTTACCATTATGTAATAGCCTTCTTTGTCTCTTTTGATCTTTATTTGTTTAAACTCTGTTTTATCAGAGACCAGAATTGCAACCTCTGGGGTTTTTTTTTTGTTTTTTGTTTGTTTGTTTGTTTTTGTTTTGCTTCCCATTTGCTTGGTAAATCTTCCTCCATCCCTTTATTTTGAGCCTATGTGTGTCTTTGCATGTGAGATAAGTCTCCTGAATACAGCACACTGATGGGTATTGACTCTTTATCCTGTTTGCCAGTCTGTGTCTGGCAAACTGGGGCATTTAGCCCATTTACATTTAAGGTTAATATTGTTGTTTGAATTTGCTCCTGTCATTATTATGCTAGCTGGTTATTTTGCCCATTAGTTGATACAGTTTCCTCATAATGTCAATGGTCTTTACATTTTGGTTTGTTTTTGTAGTGCCTGTCCCGGTTTTTCCTTTCCATATTCAGTGCTTCCTTCAGGAGCTCTTGTAAGGCAGGTCTGGTGGTGACAAAATCCCTCAGCATTTGCTTGTCTGTAAAGGATTTTATTTCTCCTTCACTTATGAAGCTTATCTTGGCTGTATATGAAATTCTGGGTTGAAAATTCTTTTCTTTAAGAATGTTGAATGTTGGCCCCCACTCTCTTCGGGCTTGCAGAATTTCTGCAGAGAGATCCACTGTTAGTCTGATGGGCTTCCCTTTGTGGATAACCCAACCCTTCTCTCTCACTGCCCTTAAATTTTTTTCTTCATTTCAACGATGGTGGATCTGACGATTATGCATCTTGGGGTTGCTTTTGTCGAGGAGTATCTTTGTGGTGTTCTCTGTATTTCCTGAATTTGAGTGTTGGCCTGTCTTGTGAGTTTGGGGAAGTTCTCTTGGATAATATCCTGAAGAGTGTTTTCCAACTTGGTTCCATTCTCCCCATCACTTTCAGGTACACCAACCAAACGTCAGTTTGGCCTTTTCACATAGTCCCATATTTCTTGGAAGTTTTCTTCATTCCTTTTCATTATTTTTTCTCTAATCTTGTCTTCAAACTTTATTTCATTAAGTTGATCTTCAATCTCAGATATCCTCTCTTCTACTTGATTGATTCAGCTATTGATACTTGTGTATGCTTCATGAAGTTCTTGTGCTGTGTTTTTCAGGTCCATCAGGTCATTTATGTTCTTCTCTAATCTGGTTATTCTAGTTAGCAATTCCTCTAACCTTTTATCAAGGTTCTTAGCTTCCTTGCATTGAGTTAGAACATGCTCCTTTAGCTCAGAGAAGTTTGTTATTACCCACCTTCTGAAGCCTACTTTTGTCAATTAGTCAAACTCATTCTCCATCCAGTTTTATTCCCTTGCTGGTGAGGAGTTGTGATCCTTTGGAGGAGAAGAGTTATTCTGGTTTTTGGAATTTTCAGCCTTTTTGTGCTGGTTTTTGCTGATCTTCATGGATTTATCTACCTTTGGTCTTCCCTGTTGGTGACCTTCGCGTGGGGTTTTTGCATGGTTGTCCTTTTTGTTGATGTTCATGCTCTTCCTTTCTGTTTGTTAGTTTTCCTTCTAAGAGTCAGTCCCCTCTTCTGCAGGTCTGCTGGAGTTTGCTGGAGGTCCACTCCAGTCCCTGTTTACCTTAGTGTCACCAGCGGAGGCTGCAGAACAGCAAAGATTGCTGCCTGTTCCTTCCTCTGGCAGCTTCCCCCAAGAGGGGCACCTGCCAGATGCCAGCCGGAGCTCTCCTGTATGAGGTGTCTGTTGACCCTTGCTGGGAGGTGTCTCTCCGTCAGGAGGCACAAGAATCAGGGACCCACTTGAGGAGGCAGTCTGTTTCTTAGCAGAGCTCAAATGCTGTGCTGGGAGATGTGCTGCTCTCTTCAGAGCTGTCAGGCTGGAAAGTTTAAGTCTGCTGAAGCTGTGCGCACAGCTGCCCTTTGCCTCAGGTGTTCTGTCCCAGGGAGATAGGAGTTTTATCTATAAGACCCTGACTGGGGCTGCTGCTTTTCTTTCAGAGATGCCCTGCCCAGAGAGGAGGAATCTAGAGAGGCAGTTTGGCTATAGTGGCTTTGTGGTGCTGTGGTGGGCTTCACCCAGTCCAAACTTCCCAGTGGCTTTATTTACACTGTGAGGGGAAAACTGCCTACTCGAGCCTCAGTAATGATGGACATCCCTCCCCACACCAAGCTCGAGTGTCCCAGGTCTGACTGCTGTGCTGGCAGCAAGAATTTCAAGCCAGTGGATCTTAGCTTGCTGGGCTCCATAGGGATGGAATCTGCTGAGCAAGACCAGTTGGCTCCTTAGCTTCAGCCCCCTTTTCAGGGGTGTGAATGGTTCTGTCTCGCTGGCATTCTAGGTGCCACTGGGGTATGGAAAAAAAACTCCTGCAGCTAGCTTGGTGTCTGCCCAAATGACCACCCAGTTTTGTGCTTGAAACCCAGGGCTGTTGTGGTGTAAGCACCCAAGGGAATCTCCTGGTCTGTGGGTTGTGAAGACCATGGGGAAAAGTGTTGTATCTGAGCCAGAGTGCATAGTCGCTCAGGGCAGGGTCCCTCACAGCTTCCCTTGGCTAGGGGAGGGAGTTCCCTAACCCCCTGCGCTTCCTGGGTGCAGCGATGCCCCACCCTGCTTCTCCTTGCCCTCTGTGGGCTGTACCCACTGTCTAACCCATCCCAATGAGATGAACCGGGTACCTCAATTGGAAATGCAGAAATCACCCACCTTCTGCATTGGTCTTGCTGGGAGCTGCAGACCGGAGCTGTTCCTATTTGGTCATCTTACCTGGGAATCGATAATTTTTTAACTTTCTGATTTACTTCAGAATCTCTATCTTGTTCATAAATCTTTGTAATCGACTACATTGTAGTCAGACTTCTTTATGGTGTATACTTTAATTATTAACATGGGAAAGGAGGGAGAAAAGAGAAGGGGAAACGTAGCATTTTTTTCTCAATTGTGTAATTTTTCTAATTCACATTTTAGAAGTCTAAATATATTCTAGACATGGAGAAAGTATTTTAATTCTGGCAGCCATTAGTAGCACATTGGCACTTCAACTTCAGCTGCTCAGAAGCCTGCCAGTAATTGTTTAAAGTTTTTATGCCTTAAGGAACAGCTGCAGTTTACAGCGGCACTTGATTTCAGATTTTACATTTCATCTGAAATATATTTATATGATATAACTTGTTAACTTTCAGCTAGCTGGAAATCCTTAACTCTTCTTATGCAATACATTATAAGTAAGATATATTGGCCAAACCAAGACAATTTCACAACGACAGAGGGTGCCATTACTAATTACAACAGGACAACAAGTGTGAAGAACTGGGCTATAATTTCTGTTGCCTGTAAGTAAACTCCTCTTCAGATTATTCTTAACATCTGAAGGTTTAACCTTCTTAACATCACCCTCTCAGTGGCTTAAAACAATTACTGTTTTATTAATGTTTATGATTCTGTTGGCTGGCAGTTTGGACTGGAATGGCTAGGAAGGCTAGGATGCCTGGCACAGCTGGACCTTTCTCCACATCAGTTCTCATTCTTCAGAAATTGGTCACATTCCACATATAAAATATGCTTATCACCATCCTAGGATTTCAAAAGTTTCATCCCACTAATAGCAACAGGTCCAAAGTTCAAGAAATTGTCATCTAAATCTGATCTAGATGCAAATGAGGTTTCTTGGGTTTTGCTCCTTGGTGGAACTCATTTCTGTGTTCCCACATATCAAACATACAACGGTGAGGCAGGGACAGAATAACCACCATCAACATTCTCATTCATAGCTGGAGGAGTAGGAATCATATGGCTCTAAATGGTACATAGCAATTCTGAAATCTAACTGGGCACATGTTGCCAGGCCACCTACATGGGGAAGAGAAGGGAATATTCTTTGAATAGGGCCCATTAAGTTTCCTCAGGGTGGTTCTGTAGTTCATTGTTCTTTTTTGGGCTTTTGGTTTTGCCTTCTGGGTTCTTGGC
Organism: Homo sapiens; assembly: GCF_000001405.40. Lineage (NCBI taxonomy): Eukaryota > Metazoa > Chordata > Mammalia > Primates > Hominidae > Homo > Homo sapiens. The sequence continues at coordinate 83,319,660 of NC_000006.12, read as the reverse complement.
TGTGTCCTCTGAGATATCCTTCCTCTTTCATAAGAAATGATCTGTATTAGCAGCTGAATAACTTTCTCAGTCTGCTTCCTGACTACAGAAAATTGGGGACCCAGAGAATTATTTTCATTTGAAGTGTCTCTGTCTTAATAATCCAAGATAGTGCCATACCCTTAAAAACTCTTTAGGCCTTCTCTGTTATCAGATTATACTCTACTCAATTTGACAGAGGCTCCATTCACAATTCTTTCAAAATAGGCCTCCTTCCTATGTTGGCTGGCATGTCAGAGTGATGCGGGACCAGTTCCTTTTTTGTTTTTTTTCCTATCTTTTTATTTTTTATTTTTATTTTATTTTATTTTTTTTATTATTATACTTTAAGTTTTAGGGTACATGTGCACATTGTGCAGGTTAGTTACATACATATACATGTGCCATGCTGGTGCGCTGCACCCACTAACTCGTCATCTAGCATTAGGTATATCTCCCAATGCTATCCCTCCCCCCTCCCCTGACCCCACAACAGTCCCCAGAGTGTGATGTTCCCCTTCCTGTGTCCATGTGTTCTCATTGTTCAGTTCCCACCTATGAGTGAGAACATGCGGTGTTTGGTTTTTTGTTCTTGCAATAGTTTACTGAGAATGATGATTTCCAATTTCATCCATGTCCCTACAAAGGACATGAACTCATCATTTTTTATGGCTGCATAGTATTCCATGGTGTATATGTGCCACATTTTCTTAATCCAGTCTATCATTGTTGGACATTTGGGTTGGTTCCAAGTCTTTGCTATTGTGAATAATGCCGCAATAAACATACGTGTGCATGTGTCTTTATAGCAGCATGATTTATAGTCCTTTGGGTATATACCCAGTAATGGGATTGCTGGGTCAAATGGTATTTCTAGTTCTAGATCCCTGAGGAATCGCCACACTGACTTCCACAATGGTTGAACTAGTTTACAGTCCCACCAACAGTGTAAAAGTGTTCCTATTTCTCCACATCCTCTCCAGCACCTGTTGTTTCCTGACTTTTTAATGATTGCCATTCTAACTGGTGTGAGATGGTATCTCATTGTGGTTTTGATTTGCATTTCTCTGATGGCCAGTGATGATGAGCATTTTTTCATGTGTTTTTTGGCTGCATAAATGTCTTCTTTTGAGAAGTGTCTGTTCATATCCTTCGCCCACTTTTTGATGGGGTTGTTTGTTTTTTTCTTGTAAATTTGTTTGAGTTCATTGTAGATTCTGGATATTAGCCCTTTGTCAGATGAGTAGGTTGCAAAAATTTTCTCCCATTTTGTAGGTTGCCTGTTCACTCTGTTGGTAGTTTCTTTTGCTGTGCAGAAGCTCTTTAGTTTAATTAGATCCCATTTGTCAATTTTGTCTTTTGTTGCCATTGCTTTTGGTGTTTTAGACATGAAGTCCTTGCCCATGCCTATGTCCTGAATGGTAATGCCTAGGTTTTCTTCTAGGGTTTTTATGGTTTTAGGTCTAATGTTTAAGTCTTTAATCCATCTTGAATTGATTTTTGTATAAGGTGTAAGGAAGGGATCCAGTTTCAGCTTTCTACATATGGCTAGCCAGTTTTCCCAGCACCATTTATTTAATAGGGAATCCTTTCCCCATTTCTTGTTTTTCTCAGGTTTGTCAAAGATCAGATAGTTGTAGATATGTGGCGTTATTTCTGAGGGCTCTGTTCTGTTCCGTTGATCTATATCTCTGTTTTGGTACCAGTACCATGCTGTTTTGGTTACTGTAGCCTTGTAGTATAGTTTGAAGTCAGGTAGTGTGATGCCTCCAGCTTTGTTCTTTTGGCTTAGGATTGACTTGGCAGTGCGGGCTCTTTTTTGGTTCCATATGAACTTTAAAGTAGTTTTTTCCAATTGTGTGAAGAAAGGCATTGGTAGCTTGATGGGGATGGCATTGAATCTGTAAATTACCTTTGGCAGTATGGCCATTTTCACGATATTGATTCTTCCTACCCATGAGCAAGGGCAATTAGGCAGGAGAAGGAAATAAAGGGTATTCAATTAGGAAAAGAGGAAGTCAAATTGTCCCTGTTTGCAGACGACATGATTGTGTATCTAGAAAACCCCATTGTCTCAGCCCAAAATCTCCTTAAGCTGATAAGCAACTTCAGCAAAGTCTCAGGATACAAAATCAATGTGCAAAAATCACAAGCATTCCTATACACCAACAACAGACAAACAGAGAGCCAAATCATGAGTGAACTCCCATTCACAATTGCTTCAAAGAGAATAAAATACCTAGGAATCCAACTTACAAGGGATGTGAAGGACCTCTTCAAGGAGAACTACAAACCACTGCTCAAGGAAATAAAAGAGGATACAAACAAATGGAAGACCAGTTCCTTTTGTCTAGTCAAGGTGATCTAGTAGTCTTCACTTTAAATCATTCAGAGATTTCTTAAAAAGTTATTAAAACCACACACTTAATTTCATGTTTGAAGACCTTATTTTGCTATGCACATCTTTTACCAGCAAGTCCTGTGTCCTCTATATTCCTTCAATTTTGCTCACAAACTGAACATTTTCTTCTCTAGCTCTTCTCTGTTTTAGACTTTATTATATAGCCACAAGAAGCCAAGTCAGCATTCTGCCTGGAAATCTCATTAGCCAGATTCACAAATTCATTATTTCAATTTTCTCTATTCTAGGTTACTGAAGGTGTCACTTTGGTCTTTTTTTTTTATTTTTATTTTTTGCAGGTTATTCCCAATTTAAGTCTTTTTGAGTTTCTTTCAGCAATATTTTGTAGTTTCCAGTGTGCAGGTCTTACACATATTTTCTTAAATATGTCCTTATGAATTTTGCATTTTGGGCTGGTATTATAAATGGAGTTGTATATTTTATTTCATTTTTAACTGTCCATTGCAAGTGTATAGAGGTAAAATTGATTTGTGTATATTTACTTTATAAACTGTGATTGTGTTAAATTCATGTATTTTTTTCTACTGGGATTTTTTTTGGTAGATTTCTTAGTATTTTCTATGTACACAATTATATGTGTACAAATAAAAAAGTTTTGCTTCTTTTTTTTTCAATCTATATTTCTTTCTTTTTCTTGCCTTATTGTAATAGCTAGGGTCTCCAGTATAGTGTAGAGTAGAAGTGATGAAGGTAAGTATTCTTGTCTTGTTCCCTATCGTAAGTGAAGAGCACTCAGTCTTTCACTGCTAAATATGCTATCAGCTGTGGGATTTTCATAGATGTCCTTTATTGCGTTAAGGAAGTTCCTTTCTGCTTCTAGTTTACTGAGAGCTTTTGTTATGAATGGGTATGTTATATTTAAATTATATCTCAATTTCAAAACTGATTTAATAAAAGTGATATTACATATTATATATACCAAAATTTACACAGGGCAACATTCTCAGATATATCAGTTTAAGAAACAACTTAAACTGTGTAAAGTTAAAAAATTTAAGAAAACACTAGTAAAGGCTAAAAAATTTATTTTAAAGTCTGTTAACTATCATAGTAAAGGTAAAGTAAAACCATTGTTTGATAATTTTGCTTTCGGAAGTGGAAAATTAAGAAAGGAATTGCTATCTTTCCATTCCTTAAGCTAATATTTCAAAACTAAATGTTATTTCTCTGTGTGATTACCTTTGTCTGTAAAATCTGAATTGCACTTTTCTAATTAACACAAATGAAATATTTTATTTTTTTCTTTTCCTCAGAATAATCTAGAATGTTTTTAACGTTTAGGAATTATTTTTCTTTCTTATTTATTTATTTATCTATTTTTATTGCAGCAGAGTCTCCTTCTGTTGCCCAGGCTGGAGTGCAGTGGTGCGATCTTGGTTCACTGCAACCTCCACCTCCCAGGTTCAAGTGATTCTTCTGCTTCAGGCTCCCAAATAGCTGGGACTACAGATGCACACCACCACACCCAGCTAATTTTTGTTCTTTTGTAGAGACAGGGTTTCACTGTTGTTACCCAGGATGGTCTTGATCTCCTGACCTCGTGATCTGCCTGCCTCAGCCTCCCAAAGTGTTGAGATTACAGGCGTGAGCCACTGCTCCTGACCAGAAATTATTTTTCTTATTTGGTGTATAAATACTACAGGTATATTCTATGTAACATTAAGTAATTACCCTGTAGGTTAATTCTGAATCAGTATGGTAAGATTTTATTTCTATTTTTGTCCCTTTTATACAGATGAAGAAACTGAGGCTCAATAAATGATTTGGTTATAGTTATTTCTATTTTTATGGTAACTTTTTTTAATAGGAGTTACTTAAAGATCCACTCTACATTGGACTACGGCAGAGAAGAGTAAGAGGTTCTGAATATGATGATTTTTTGGACGAATTCATGGAGGCAGTTTCTTCCAAGTATGTATCTTTATTTAACCTATATTTTAGTCAGTAACAATAACATAACAGACTATTAAAAAATCCAAGATTTATGCAATATGGTTTAATAATTAGAAGTAATTTGAATGAAAAATGCATATATCCTATCTATTTCCTCATAACTGTTAATGGACAAATGATAATATCATGTGTCTATCCAGAATAGATTATTTCTGTTGCTGTCCCTGAATATACTTTTTTTTTTACAAGAACCTTTAGAACCTGTGGCTGTTGAAATGCATGATTATGGTAAAGGAGGCAGTGACCAGTGACTAAATTACCTGCAAACCTTTTTACATTTATCGACAATCTGTACTTTCTGGTTGATGATAAAATCTGATCTTCAGTCATCTTTGTAGCTGGTATTTGACTCTCTTATGGTCAACCACCAGCCACAAAGGAAAAGCAGAAAAAGAGGTGGGGATTGAGCATGAGTTGGTACAGTCCACAGGGGTCCAGAATGGAGCAAGGACAGGGCATTCCATCATGATCCATGCATCTCTGATTAAATCTATAATATTTGATTAAAATGCAGTGCTATGTAGGTTGAGAGTCTCTTATCCAAATCACCTGAGACCATTAGTGTTTATGCAGATTTTGAAATATTTGCATATATATATAATGAGATGGTACCCATATCTACACAAGAAATTTATTTATGTTTCATATAAATCATATACACATAGCCTAAAGGTAATTTTATGCAAAAGTTTAAATAATTTTGTGTGTAAAACAAAGTTTATGTACATCGAACCATCAGAGGCAAAGATGTCACTGTCTCAGCTACCCATGTGGACAATGTATGGTTGTTTGGCATCACCATTATCCCTGATTCTGAATTTTATATGCTAGCAATAAGCAATCATTTTTTGCACTTATCATGCATAAATCCTTAACAGTATAAAACATAATATACCATTAATGCAATGAAAAAAATAATGTGTTCAGGGTAACTGGTGGCATCATATCAGCGCTCAAAATGTTTCAGATTTTGGAGCATTTTGGATTTTGGATTTTTGGATTAGAGATGCTCAACCTGTATCTTTTTAAGTTAGCATTTGATTGTGGGCCAGATGCTATTGTAAATTTTTCCATTTTTTTTCAGAAAAGAGACTCCCACCATAATTTAGTAATATATTCTAAGAGAATTTTATCACACTGACAGTCATCCCTTGGTTACTGTGTAGCCACAGAAACCACATACTATTTAAAAACACATATGTTGCCTTGGTTTTTCTTAGAAATAAAGTCATCACTAGAATTAACTCTAACTAGAGATGCACTTCTGGTTTCTTTTTATTATAATGTTTATTTTTAAGAAGTTTTATCCAACAGCAGAAAGTGCTTTCATCAGCTTGCACAACATTTAGAATGCATTGAACCTCTCATTACTCAAGGTTTTAATGCTGGGTACATTTGCCAATTAGTATGGACTACATTTTAGAACCACATGCTTGATTTATTTATTGTAATTATTTGAACTATACTTATTTATAGAAATAGTTGAGAAACTCTGCAGTTTGAGATCACATAATACAGTTAATTTCTAATAGTTTTTTATACTTAAAGTGCCTTATCTTGTGAAACGCTCATGTAAGGTTTTGAAATTATCCAACTTCCTCAGTAGCAACATTAATCAAGAGATTGTATAGATAATACCGTAAGGCTATATAAGAGGAAAGGAAATGCAGTCTGGAATAAAGTCTATCTAAATAAGACAACTTTAACAAACAGACGCTGCTAACAAGTTAGGTGCACTTAAACGCTGATGAAATAAGGGGAGAAGGAGTTTTTATTATTGGGAATCAATGAAAAGTTTTGGGAAAAAATGAGATACGAACAAATTTTGAATATTTTATATCAATCCAGAATGAAGAAAACTGTTTTTTTTTTAAATGTGGAATTGAGGAGTTACCTTAGTTCTTTGTAAGGAAACAGGGATTGACAAGTGTAAACAATAATTTTAAATGTAGATAGCACCTATGAATCAGGGTTTGTACTTCCAGAGAAAAATGCCAAAGACTAAAAAAATACTTTCTGTCATAACATTGTTTCAGGAAAATGATCTAGATGTGAAACCTAACACTACCCAATTAAATTGGGAAGTTGTAGTGAAGATAAACCCAAGATTATTTTAAAAAGAAACATAACTTAAATTCAAAGTGGGAAATGATTGTTACAGGTTACCTAGACATCAGACTCTGAGATAGAGTTTATTAAGGAGTACCCTTGGGCCAGGCACAGTGGCTCACACCTTTAATCCCAGCACTTTGGAAGGCCGAGGCAAGCAGATCACTTGAGGCCAGGATTTGGAGACCAGCCTGGCCAGCATGGCGAAACCCTGTCTCTACTAAAAAATACAAAAACATTAGCCAGGCATGGTGGCGTATGCCTGTAATCCCAGCTACTCAGAGGCTGAGAGACGAGAATTGCCTGAACCTGGGAGGCGGAGGTTGCAGTTAGCCAAGATCACACCACCCCGCACTCCAGCCTGGGCAACAGAGCAAGACTCTTTCTTAAAAAAATTAAAAAAAAAGGAGTACCCATTGGGATAAACCTCTTTGGAGGAGAGGACATAGTACAGAGGTTATACTGCAACATGGACCCACCAATAGCCATGGATAACTTAGTTGGGATTACCCCTGCCTGCTGTTTAGATACTTACATGGACACTAATTTCTGCCCATCAACCTCCCTCTCTTTCTCCTTCAATGCCCATCAACCTCCCCCTCTTTCTCCATCAATGCTATGTTGGTTTTTTTTATTTGCCATCTTGGCAGGTTTAGGGTAGAGCAGCTTCAAATTCTTCCTCTCGGTCTTCTCCACAATGAGAGCTCTTCACTCACAGGCTGAGGATTTGATATGGGTCTTGTGGCACTTACCAAGTCTGTCTTTTCTGATTACACATCTAGGGTCTGAGGAATCACCACCAGGTGGGTCTGTGGTGACAGTGGACCTATTATGAGCCAGAACTTGGCTGGGGCTCCATTTATTACTGGCTCCTGTATGCCTCTACTCTAACAGGGAGAGGGGAACAGTGTTTTGATGCTTCAAGTCTCCAGGTATCAGTGTCAACTGTGTGCTCATTAGTTCTCAGACATTTGAATAGTCCTTCTCCAGTGCATAGTTACTTGGGTAAAGGGCTGTAGTTCCCTGTGGATAAAGATTAGGGGGATTATTACCCTGTATTCTTGTCATGGTGTTATAAGGTTCTTTCTTCTGGGAACTAGGCCTCTTCTTCAGTTTATGGGTTCTGGGTCTAAAAATTAACTCAGGTTCGGAAGCTGAGCAAGAGATTGTGACTTCATTGGGGCAGCTACACTCAACTTTGTGGTCATTCATCTTTGGTTTCTTTTGATAGTAAATATTGAGTAGTAGCTTTGTTAGCTCTCCGTTTTGCCTCTAGGGATGCAAGATTCCGTTAATTATCTCAAAAACATTTTGTGGGTTAGCCACACACACCCCACTTTTGCCACTCTTATGATAATTGTGTCCATCTGGCTTCTGATTGTTAAGCATTCTCACCTGGTCTTAGCATCCTTATTGCTATCAGTCAGGCTGGTTATATATCATCCTTTTCTTCTGTCACTCCTGACCTTCAGGGGAGAACCACCACTGAAATTTTTAGTAATGTTGATGTCTTCTCATTGGCATATTCCTTATGGCTTTGGGAAATGGTGTGTTTTCTGGGCCTTCCTGTGGAATATGTTCATCTTATGGATTTTCTGGCTTTTACATGTGTCTATATACCAGACTGCCCAGTTCTCTGAGCCTCGCAATCCCCTCTTCTGTCATTTGCCACAGCATTCCTGGCATTTCAGTCATATTAGTATCAGCCATTAATTTGTCCATGTTTCTAGGAACCATCCTAGCAATGAGTTTGCACCATCTTCTGGGATTCTTGCCACATGTTAAATCCTGTATCTCAGGAGAGTGCCTGCAAATCAGTAAGCTCTCCCTTTTCCTAGGTTCCAGCCCTTTTAATCAAACACCCTCAGAATTTAATTCTACATGTATTCTCCTGGCTAATACAAATACTGGTCTTGTGGCTCCTTTGGGGTAAAGTCTCTTTCTTCCTTTATCAACTCTAGTATGTCCCAGATAGGTTATATTGTGATAAAACCTTAGTTATTGGCCCAGGGATCTGGAGGGGAGGCAGAGGTAGATGGTAGTTAAGGGGCACATGTTAACTTATGGGGGTGAAATCTCTACCCTTATCATCCCAAGAAAGAAGGGGAAGGCCACTTTGTGAGATGCGAAAGCTCTGGGGGAATCTGGGGATTCAGGATTTCGACAGACATCAAACCAGACATCCCATTCCATGTGGCAAATTCCCATTCTTTTGTAACTAGGATTCTGACTTAGCAGATCTGCTTTCCTTGAGTTTGGGAGCTTGAATATTCTGATGATTGAGCCCTGTTTCTGGACATAAGCTTTCTCTACCCAGCAGCTACAGAAGCTGAGAACATCTTTGTATCTACAAAGGAGGGCCTCTGGCTTTCTTGTTGGCAATTACTTTCTCTGAGCTTTTTGTGTTTTTTTTCCCATTGTCCTTATAGTTACTCTACTTCTCTCATATTTCTCAAACATCTGAAATATCATTCTAGCTAAGATGTTCCCTTCCCAACATCTCAACTCACCTCTGGTGAGTTTTAATAGTTGGACTGCTACCTTGGACCGGGCATGTGCTCCATCTTCTACCAGTGGTGGGGTCCTCATTACCACTGCAGCAGTGAGTTAACCAGTGCCAAAGCCCCATCTTATTACCAGCTTTCTCAGACTATTCCAAGATTAGGTTACCTGGGAGGCACATTCGGAAATGAAGTTTAGTGTTTAAGAGGTTTGTAAGAAGTGCCCTTGAGATTAAACTCTGTGGAAGAAATAACAAAGGAAGCAGGAATGGGCAGAAGGAGAAGTTGAGCTGCCTGCAGGCACCATGACAGCTTTCCCTGATCCCGTGGGGAACTCTGAAGCTACAGTGGCTTTTCAGAGTTGTTACCAGTTGGGCTGAGATGGTCAAGGCTTTATATTCCTGCATCAATTAGTCACTGGATGTGGATGTGGGTCACTCTGGGAAAGAGCATAGGTCGTGGTCTGTGGTGAAACGACTCTTTGCAGCTGAGGCAACCCCCAGGACAACAGTGGGGGATCCGAGGGGCATATCATGATATTCAGCATAATTTCTCAATTCAGAAAGTATTGATTAATTAGCTTGGATATTAATTAGCATCTCTAGTGGAGTAGCACAAATCCATTTCCTAGTACTGGCCTGTTCAACAAATTTATCAATTGGGCCTAGTAATTCTACATCTGAGTATATAGGTTAAGAAAATACTTTAAAATAAGAATATAGGTAAAGGAAAAATTTGAAGCCCAACATACAGAATTTCTTCTCTTTGCTTCCAGGATAGCACACTCCCCTTGCTTTCCTCCTGCCTCACTGATTGTTCCTTCGTAGTTTTCCTCAGCTTATTCCTTTTCATCTTCCCCACTCCCTGCCAGCTGTAAACATTAGAATGCTTCGGGGCTTGAAGCTTGAAACTTTTCTTTTTGCTATTAATCTCCACTTCCTTGGTAATCTCATCAAGTCATACATCTTTATATTTGTGACTCCCAAATCTTTATCTCTAACCTGTACCTCTTCTCTGAACTTCAGAATCACGTGGTAAAACTCCACTTCACATTTATACTCAGATCTGTAATAGACATAGCATATGTAACATGTCCAGACTTGGACTCCCAATCTCCCACTGACTCCCAGCCCTGCTCCTGTTGCAGCCTTTCCCATCTCAGTAAATGACAACCCCATTCTTCCTCTTCCTGTGACTAAAAATGTTGGAATTACCACTTTGTACCCAGGCCACCTACAAAACTTAGTAGCTTTAACTACAGAATGTATCCAGAATCTAACCTTTTCTCATTGTCAGTATCATTACTTCTCTTAACTGAACCTCTTTTACCTGGATTATTGTAACAATTTTTTAACTGTTAATGAAATTCTGCTTCCTCCTTTATTGCCCTTTAGCCTGAAAATTCTGTTTCACTGCTTCCTCCTTTATTGCCCTTTAGTCTGTCCTCAACACAAAAGCTGTGATGGTTCTGAGGTAATTTCTCTGCTCAAAACCCCAGGAAAGCTTATCATTTTATTCAGAATAAAAACAAATTCTTGCAATAGTGTAAAAGGCCCTGAGACTTCTGGCTTCCTGTTACCTTTCTCACATTATCTCCTCCTAGTTTCCCCCCTTGCCCACTTTGTTGTGGCCTGTTTGCTATTTTTCTAATTCAAACTAGGTCAAAGCTTGTCTTTCTGTCTACTTGACATCCTCACCATACCTGCCTCTGCCCAGTTTTCCACATGACTAGCTCTCTCACCTCCTTTAACATTTCCTCAAATATCCTTTTCTCAATAAGGCCTTCTTTGATCAACCTATGTAAAATTTTACCCTCAGCCCACTTTCCTCTTTTCATACATTTATAAATATCTGACATATTTGATATTTAATTATTTATGTTCTGTCTCTATTCATATACTGTTAAGTTCTATGAAAGCAGGGAGTTTTCTTTTTCCTCCACTGCCATATCCCTAGTTTCTAAAAAGTTATCTAGTATGTGATAAGTACTCAATAAATATTTGTTAAATGATGGTAAAATTTGATTTGTTTTGTTTATATAGCTTAAAATGAAAAGTATGAATGGAAGAACTTATTAGAATTTCTTTTCATGTGATTTAATTTCAGGAAATATTAAAGCTCTTAAATATGTGTGTTTGTTTTTGTAGTTGTACTCCTTATAGTATCCTTTTTTTTTTTTTACAGAATCAGTTGCCCCTGAAAATTAATAGAAATATAGAGACAGCTTCAGCTTTACTGCCTAAAATTCTCTATATTAGAATTTCATTAATGATTATTAACTAAATGAGAACAAAAGCTTTACCTCAAGTAAGCTTTTAAGAACTAATATTAAATTTTTTAAATGGAATAAATAGCTAATATTCAACAAAGACTATATTTAAAAATTGTGTTCTTTTTTATTTTAAATGACAAAAATTAAAAGTTATTGGGAAGCACTAGGAATGGCCACAAACGTAGTTATTATACTACACCCTCCTTCAACCTTGGCTGCCATCACAAATTGTTCTGTGATCTGTCACATAAAGTTTAAGAGAAATAATCTTAGTCTGAAGCCATATCATCTGCCATTTGCTGCCAGGTGTGATAATGAGGTTTTCATACAATTATGCTTTTTTTGCTGAGTAGTGTTGAACAAAAGTCTTGGCTGTGTGCCTGAAACAGACCAGACTAGTCAGAGATACTATCAAGTTGGTAATAGTCCTTGAGGGTCACTTATCAGATTTCAAGATATATAGCCTGTGAATTATCATGGCCAGATATACTAAATTTATTTCTTTAATTATTAATATCATCTTTTCTAAAGAAGGCATCAAATATGTAAATTAATATGTGCTCTTCACCCTTATTCAGGGTTGCAGTTAGATAGAGTTTCGTCCAACTCTACACTAAATCCCTGGCTTCCCAACAGGGAAGGGTCTTTTTCTACTGCCCTCCTTCTTTCTCCATTTCTTCTGCAGTTAATTTCATGGCTAACTTTCTGTACTACCTTTTTCTACCTGTTCTAATCATTGCTTTTTATGCCTGATCATTTTTTAGATGACGGGGATATATTTATAACTTACGTGATTTTATCTATAAGTCTGTGAGGCTCTTTAGATTCCACCTGTCACTTTGATCAGCATGAGTTACTTTGCTTTTCATAAGAAATTTAATGAAAGCATATGATTATATGGGATTCCACCTGCTATTCTTCCCTGTGGACCCAGGGTGAAATAACCAGGTGAAAAAAATAAAATGCAAAGAATGTCTGTCAATGTGAGAAAAATCAGCAGTCATGTTACTAGGGAACATGACTCAAATCAGGTTTCTGACTCAGAATTTTTTTCCATTTTCCCATCCAAAGAAAGATCAGATTCACAATTAACTATAGCCATATTTTCCTTAAAATCCCAACTATTTCTATTTATACCATTCTCTCTACTTTTTTTTTTCAAGTGAACAAAAATGGTGGGTCATGAAAGAATTAGAAATCTAAAGGTATGCATTATGTGTATGTATGTGTAAAAACATGTGCACTTATATTCCATAATGGATTTAAAGTGGATGTATACTTCAGTATTTTGATATTTGATTTGCATCCCTGTCAGTATCCCAGTCCAACCTTGGAGAAGCCAGAACTTTAGCAAGTCAAGTTTACTGTTTCATTCTGAACATGGTTTACAACTCTTCCTTTTAGATGCTTTTTGTGCCTAATTCCATTTTATTCTAATCAATTGCATTAATTCCACCATTCCTTTAATATGGATATAAATGTTTTACACTGTTTTTGTTCTGGTTACATGAGTCTTATGCATGCATTATTTCATTTAACCCTATTTTCCTTACTAGAATATAAGCTGTGTTAGAAAAAGTACTGTATTATCAAGGGATTGCTTTTTTCTGACTATCCCATATTATATTTTACCCTACAGTAGGCATAAAATAACTGCTGTTGAAAGCATTATTTAAGCATTGAGTCTAATGTTCTTGAAACTACAGTGGCATATATCTGAAGTAAAGGTAGCTCCCCAACATAAACTAGAGAAAGACACAGTTTTCCAAATAAAGAGTCTCTGCCTATAGTAAACTAAAGATTTGAGTTTTAATTATATGGATACATTTATGTTTTAGGTTGTAACTTTTATCTAAAGAAAAGAAACATTTTAATAAATTCCTGTTGTATCCATTGTTACCTATCTTTTTCTCTTAGAATTTGTAAACATTGAGATTTATATAGAGAAAGCCCTTAATATTTTATCTGAATTTATTAAAGCTAAATTATTAGATTATTAAAGATAATCATTACGATTTGAAAATTAGATTATTAAAGATAATCATTATGATTTCAAAATAATCTGTATACCATGTTTCTTTTCTGTATCTCTCTCCTTTTTTATTCTCTTAACTTTAATTTAGCAAGATTAAGCCCAGTTTCTTAAAAGCTTGTGTTTCTTATTGTTTTCCATCTATAGTCCCACATATAATAAATTAGAAAATAAGAATGATACATCCGCTCATTGGTAACATAAAAAAAGAAGATTCAATATGATTTCCTGAGTTATAGATCAACCTAAAAACAAAACAAAAAACACTATCAATAGCAATATCTTGTAGGTTAAAATAAGGTCTTTTGTTTATAATATTTTTTCTTGCCATCCTTAATTTACGTGTGTTTATAGACAAAGGTAAAGCAGGTATGAACATGTGAAAGCAATTTACTTTTCCTTTTGAAAGACCATCTATGTGGCTGGTTTGGGGAAATCTTATAACAATATTAGAATGAAGTACATATATTTTAATTATTAGAGATTAAAGATGCGGAAAGGAAAAGAATAATTAAAGAGGCAAACTTAGAAAATTGATTTGGGGGTAAGGTCAGAAATTAAGGGTACTTTTTTGGTTCTGTAGGAAATTGAAACCCTAATTGCAACTAATATCGTATCTGGACCTAACATTAGTATTGACAGTCAGTGCATTTCAGTTAATGAAAGCCAAAGTCCTTATAATGGCCCTCAAGCCCTGATGTGGCCCCCTTCCTGACCTCTATGATGTGCTCACTCTCCTGCACCCACATTCTCCACGCTGCCTGTACTGTCATTGAACTCTCAAGGCATGTTCCTTAGAATATTTTCACTTGCTTTTCCCTCTGTCTAAAATATTCTTCTCCCAGAAATGTGTTTGGTTAAAAACTTAATCTTTTTCATATATTAGCTCAAATCTTAACCTTCTTTTGAGGTTTACCCTGACTACCCTATGTAATACTGAAACCTGTCCCATCTTCTCCCCACCCTGGCTCTCCTGATCACCCTTGTTTTGCTCTACTTTTCCTTTTTTAAAATACCACTTATTACCATTATTCATTTATTATGTTTATGCTTATTGTGTGTTTCTTCCACTAGAAGATATGCTGTCAAGGACAGGGATCTACTTTGTTCATTTTATGAACAAGTTCCTTCCTGTATCAATGCTTGGCACAGAGTAGATAAACAATAAATATTTGTTGAACTCAATTGAGATACTTAAAGGGAGGCCACACAAGACAATGTGAGTGGTTTTGCAGAAATCTTTCACCATTACTAGAAAATTATTTCATTTAAACATGTCTTATTTTTATTGAATTACTAGCATCATTTTTATATGGAAAGGAGAGCCATCAGCACATGGTAAGTAATGAATACCCGATTGTCTCAGGTCCCAGAAGCAGATTATCCCTCAAGGAATTAGAGGTTAGTTCTAAAGTTAGCATGTTACATAGAGTAATCTAACGACATTTAATGCAAGTTGGTAGTAAATATTGTTTGAGCTGACATATGTCAAAGTCTCATTATTTAAAGCTACAACAAAATTTGTATAAAATTTGCCATAATCAAAATGTAAGAACAAAATAATCATTCCTGTTGCCAAGATGATCACATTCTGGCTAACTCAATTTTCCATGATTTGACTGTTACTTTTATTTCACTAACTATAAAGCAAGCCAGAATTAACACAGTGTGCCATGTTTTTTATTTTACCAATATGTAGTGATTAATTCTCAAGAGTGTTTTTCTTTGTGGTATCCACAGATGGTGACCCACTTTTTTCATATCCTCATGAAAATAATATCATATTCTGTATATACATGGTAAAAATGCCACATTTGTGAATAGAAAACAAAATAAGCTATTGTTAAAGTTTTGTTGACCAATATTGTTAGATTGAGATGTGTCGAAATTTAGATGGAAAGAAAGGCTCATCCTACTGAGCACAGGTTGGAATGGTGCTGCCTGGGACAGGTTTGCAGTCCATTTCTTCAGAGGTGTCATAGAATGACATTTCTTAATTCAGTTAATTTACCATGGTTTGGAGCCTGACTCTCAGCTCAGGAAGTTTAGAAATCTAATTTTGACAGCTTGCAAAGCTCATATCTCAGGTACATGTGATAAGTAAAACTTGCACTTTGGAGTCAATCCTCAGCTCCACCAACTACTACATTTGTAACCTTGGAAAAATTACTTACCTTCCTCAAGGCTTAATTTTCTTGCCTGTAAATTGGGGTAAAATGCTAATAGTACCTTCAGTAGTACCTTCAGACAGTTGTTATGATGATTGAGAGAAAACATATAAAACAAATTACTTTTATCAAGTGCTATAAATAGTAACTATAATTTTTATTTTTCAGGAAGGATTACTAGGACCATAATTTAGTTAAAAGATGTAGGCTGGCAAATTTGGCTTAATATTAAATAGAGCATTTAATAGTTGGAATTGTCCCCAAAGAAAATAATGTATATAAAAGTACTTGCACATAAAAATTACTCAGAGGTTGTTATTCCTTATTGTTTCTGTTGTTAATATTATTTGTGAACTCTCCATCACTCTGAGAACATGGACAGATGTGCTTAAAGATATAAAGATTTCTACTTTTATGTGAGATGATGGATTAGAATTAAATGTTTCTAAAGTGTTCCAACTTTAGGATTCTATGAAAGTGGTAAAAAAAAAATCGTATTTTGTTTCAACATTCAGGACTGGTTGTTTCATAAAATTCAGTGATTCAGCCATGCTTGTGATCATTATGAGTCAGTTGAAATTGATCATCACAATATATTTGACCCAGAGGAATAAACTTCTCATTCAACATTGTAAATTATTTTGTTTTGCATAACAAAACAACTTTAATAAACTTCAGTAAGCTTTAGCTTTCCCTTGCTACCCAAAGTTTATTTCATAAAGAGCTCAAGAGACAATTGGCAAGTTAAATAATTCAAGAGAAAAAATGTTCACAAGAAGTTTTTATTTGCTTTGCATTCTATTCCCTATGCTACATATTAATTGTACAGTTAGCTTCAAAGTAAGTTTGTAGTAAAAATTACTTTCACAATAAAAAAGGTACATAGATACAAGCAACTAGCAAATTAACTTCGCAAAGAATAAGATGTGGGTTTACATAAGCCATTTATGCCAGTTAACTAGACCAGTTCTCAACTCTCTCTTTTTTTGAAACATCTGTATCAGTATCATCTGATTGTATCCTAAAGCAGATATGGAAATAATTTATTATTCTTGGGTCTCTTCTGTGACCCCATTATTGTCCTGTGCATTTATCTCAAGATCAGATTCATTATTAAATCTATCCAGACAATTCCTCTATCATGTCCTTGATCCATTTCTATAACCATAACCCAGTTTCTATAATCATAACCCAACTTCACCATTTTATATCTTTACACCATCTCGGTAACTTCTGATTTTCTTTAGGATCATATTAATAAGTATTCAGGAACTTACCTTTACCCTGCTATTGACTGTTTTCACCTACATATAAATCC
The DNA here is from genome assembly GCF_000001405.40 of Homo sapiens. Taxonomy (NCBI): domain Eukaryota; kingdom Metazoa; phylum Chordata; class Mammalia; order Primates; family Hominidae; genus Homo; species Homo sapiens. Next base: position 83,302,867 of record NC_000006.12, on the reverse strand, counting down.
CTTTGTGATCTGGCCCATGCACTTCACCTTCCTGTCTGCCATCCTCCACCCCTCCGTGTATCCTTTACACCATTGTATAAATAAATAGTTTTAGTTGGCTGCACATGTCATTGTTCTGTCACACTTCTTCTCTGTATAAACTGCTCCTTCTTCCCCCAGTGCTTTTGCTTATTTAATTCATGCTTATCTTTCATAACTCAGGTTAAATATCTAGACTGGATTAGAGAAGTTTTCTGTATAGTATCCTAGCATGGATACACCAAAATAGCATGTATCACACTGTATTGTAATTATATGTATTTATTTGACTTAGCATTAAGTCATCAAGATATTAGAGGTCAGGGCCTCATTCTTTTCTCTCTTCCTTTATAATATATGTTGTTACTGTGATACTTCTTTTTAATAACTTTAATTTTAAGTTCAGGAGTACATGTGCAGGTTTGTTACATAGGTGACCTTGTATGATGGGGGTTTGTTGTACAGATTATTTCATCACCCAGGAACTAAGCATAGTACTCGTTAGTTATTTTTTTTTTGCTCTTCTCCCTCCTCCCAACCTCCTACTCTAAGTAAGCTGCAGTGTCTGTTGTTCCCTTCTTTGTGTTCACATGTTCTTATTATTTAGGTTTCACTTATAAGTGAGAACATGTGGTAATTTGTTTTCTGTTCTTGCATTAGTTTGCTAAGGATAATGGCCTCCAGCTCCATCCAAGTTCCTACAAAGGACATAATCTCATTCTTTTTTATGGCTGCATAGTATTTCATGGTGCTTATGTACCACATTTTCTTTATCCAGTCTTCTATTGATGGGCATTTAGGTTGATTCCATATCTTTGCTATTTTGAATAGTGCTGGAGTGAACAACGTGTGCATGTGCATGTGTCTTTATGGTACATTGATTTATATTCTTTTGGGTACATACACAGTAATGGGATTGCTGGGTTGAATGGTAGTTATGTTTTTAGCTCTATGAGGAATCTGCACACTGCTTTCCACAAAGCATGAACTAATTTACACTCCCACCAGCAGTGTATAAGTGTTTCCTTTGCTCTGAAAGTACACCAGGATCTGTGTTTTTTGATGTTTAAATAATAGCCATTCTGACTGGTGTGAGATGGTTATCTCATTATGGTTTTGACTTACATTTCTCTAATGATCAGTGATATTGAACTTTTTTCATATGTTTGTTGGCTGCATATATATCTTCTTCTGAAAAATATTTGTTGGCTGAGCACAGTGGCTCGTGCCTGTAATCCCAGCACTTTGGGAGGCCGAGGTGGGTGGATCACCAGAGGTCAGGAGTTCAAGACCAGCCTGGTCAACATGGTGAAACCCCATGTCTACTAAAAATACAAAAATTAGCCAGGCATGATGGTGGGTGCCTGTAATCCCAGCTATTCGGGAGGCTGAGGCAGGAGAATCGCTTGAACTCAGGAGGCAGAAGTTGCAGTGAGCCAAGATTGTGCCACTGCACTCTAGTCTGGGCGACTGAGCACAACTCCATCTCAAGAAAGAAAGAAAGAAAGAAAGAGAGAGAGAGAGAGAGAGAGAGAAAGAAAGAAAGAAGGAAAGAAAGGAGGGAGGGACGGAGGGAAGGAAGGAAGGGGAAAGAAAGAAAGAGAAAGGAAGCAAGGGAGGACATTTGTTTTCCTTTGCCTACTTTTTTTTTATTATTATACTTTAAGTTCTAGGGTACATGTGCACAACGTGCAGGTTTGTTACATGTGTATACATGTACCATGTTGGTGTGCTGCACCCACTGACTCGTCATTTACATTAGGTATATCTCCTAATGCTATCCCTCCCCACTCCCCCCATCCCATGGCAGGCCCTGGTGTGTGATGTTCCCCTTCCTGTGTCCAAGTGTTCTTATTGTTCAATTCCTACCTATGAGTGAGAACACGCAGTGTTTGGTTTTCTGTCCTTGCGATAGTTTGATGAGAATGATGGTTTCCAGCTTCATCCATGTCTCTACAAAGGACGTGAACTCATCTTTTTTATCACTGCATAGTATTCCATGGTGTATATGTACCATATTTTCTTAATCCAGTCTACCATTGATGGACATTTGGGTTGGTTCCAAGTCTTTGCTATTGTGAATAGTGCCGCAATAAACATACGTGTGCTTGTGTCTTTATAGCAGCATGATTTGCAATCCTTTGGATATGTACCCAGTAATGGGATGGCTGGGTCAAATGGTATTTCTAGTTCTAGATCCTGCACAACTCCATCTCAAAAAAAAAAAAAAAAAAAAAAAGAAAGAAAGAAAGGAAAATAAAAGAAAAATATTTGTTGATGTCCTTTGCCTACTTTTTAATGGGGCTGTTTTTTGTTTGTAGATTTAAGTTCTCTATAGATAATGGATGTTAGACCTTGTCAGATGCATAGTTTACAAATATTTTCTCCCATTGTGTAGGTTCTTTGTTTACTTTGTTTATAGTTTCTTTTGCTGTGGAGAAGCTCTTTAGTTTAGTTAGATCCTATTTATAAATTTTTGCTTTTGTTGTGATTGCTTTTGGCATCTTTGTCATGAAATCTTTGCCAGATCCTATGTTCAGAATGATATTTCCTAGGTTATTTTCCAGGGTTTTTATGGTTTTGGGTTTTATATTTAAGTCTTTATTAAGATGATTGTTGTATATGGTGTAAAGAAGGAGTCTAGCTTCAATCTGTATATGGCTAGCCAGTTATCCCAGCACCATTTATTGAATAGGGAGTCCTCTCCCCATTGCTTGTTTTTGTTAGCTTTATTGAAGATTAGATGGCTGCCTGATACCAAAACCTGGCAGAAAACCAACAGAAAAAGAAAACTTCAGGCCAGTATCCCTGATGAACATTGATGCGAAAATCCTTGATAAAATATTGGCAAACCGAATCCAGCAGCACGTCAAAAAGCTTATCCACCGCATTCAAGTCGGTTTCATCCCTGGGATGCAAGGCTGGTTCAACATACACAAATCAATTAATGAAATCCATCACATAAACAGAACTAAAGACAAAAACCGTGTGATTATCTTAATAGAAGCAGAACAGGCCTTCGATAAGATTTGATATCCCTTCATGTTAAAAACTCTCAATAAACTAGGTATTGATGTCACATATCTCAAAATAATAAGAGCCATTTATGACAGACCCACAGTGCATATCATACTGAATGGGCAAAAACTGGAAGCATTACCCTTGAAAACTGGCACAAGTCAAGGATGCCCTCTCTCACCACTCTTATTCAACTTAGTATTGAAAGTTCTGGCCAGGGCAATCAGGCAAGAGAAAAAAATAAAGAGTATTCAAATAGAAGGAGAGAAAGTCAAATTATCTCTGCTTGCAAACAACGTAATCCTATACCTAGAAAACCCCATGGTCTCAGCCCAAAAGCTCCTTAAGCTGATAAACAACTTCAGCAAAGTCTTAGGATACAAAATCAGTGTGCAAAATTCACAAGCATTCCTATACACCAAAAATAGACGAATGCCAAATCATGAATGAACTCCCATTTGCAACTGCTATAAAGAGAATAAAATATCTAGGAATACAGCTAGCAAGGAAAGCGAAGGACCTCTTCAGGAAGAACTACAAACCACTGCTCAAGGCAGTAAGAGATGACACAAACAAATGGAAAACCTTCCATGCTCATGGATAGGAAGAATCAATATTGTGAAAATGGTCATACTGCCCAAAGTAATTTGTAGATTTATAAATTCAATGCTATTTCCATTAAACTACCATTGACATTCTTCACAGAACTAGAAAAAGCTACTTTAAAATTCGTGTGAAACCAAAAAAGAGCCCGAATAGCCAAGAAAATACTAAGCAAAAAGAACAAAGCTGGAGGCATCACACTACCCTACTTCAAACTATACACAAGGCTACAGTAACCAAAACAGCATAGTACTGGTAAAAAAAAAAAAAAAAAAAAAAAAAAAAAAAAAAAAAAAACAGACACATAGACTAATGGAACAGCATAGAGATCTCAGAAATAAGACCACACATCTCCAACCGTCTGATCTTCAAAAAGCCTGACAAAACCAAGCAATGGGGAAAGGATTCCCTATTTAATAAATAGTTCTGGGAAAACTGGCTAGCCATATGCAGAAAACTGAAACTGGACCCCTTCCTTACACATTATACAAAAATTAACTCAAGATGGATTAAAGTCTTAAATGTAAAACACAAAGCTATAAAAACCCTAGAAGAAAATCTAGGTAATACCATTCAAGACATAGGCATGGACAAAGATTTCATGACAGAAACATGAAAAGCAATTGCAACAAAAGCAAAAATTGACAAATGGAATCTAATTAAACTAAAAAGCTTCTGCACAGCAAAAGAAACTATCATCAGAGTAAACAGACAGCCTACAGAATGGGAGAAAATTTTTGCAATCTATCCATCTGAGAAAGGTCTAATATCCAACATCTTCAAGGAACTTAAACAAATTTACAATAAAAAAAAACACACAGCCCCATCAAAAAGTGGGCAAAGGACATGAACCAACACTTCTCAAAAGAAGACATTTATGTGGCCAACAAACATATGAAAAAAAGCTCAACATCACTGATTGTTAGAGAAACGCAAATCAAAACCACAATGAGATACCATCTCATGCCTGTCAGAATGGTGATTATTAAAAAGTCAAGAAACAACAGATGCTGGTGAGGCTGTGGAGAAATAGGAACTCTTTTACACTATTGGTGGGAATGTAAACTAGTTCAATCATTGTGGAAGACAGTGTGATGATTCCTCAAAGATATAGAACCAGAAAAACCATTTGACCCAACAATCCCATTACTGGGTTTATACCCAAAACAATATAAATCATTCTATTATAAAGATACATGCAAGCGTATGTTCATTGCAGCACTATTCACAATAGCAAAGGTAGTGAATCAACCCAAATGTCCATCAATGATAGACTGGATAAAGAAAATGTGGTACATACACACCATGGAATACTATGCAGCCATAAAAAGGAATGAGATCATGTCCTTTGCAGGGACATGGATGAAGCTGGAAGCCATTATCCTCAGCAAACTTACACAGGAACTCATAAGTGGGAGGTGAACAATGAGAACACATGGACACAGGGAGGGGAAGAACACACACTGGGGCCTGTCGGGTGTCGGGGCAGGGAGAGCATCAGGGTAAATAGCTAATGCATGCGGGGCTTAATACTTAGGTGATGGGTTGATAGGTGTAGCAAACCACCATGGCAAACGTTTACCTATGTAACAAACCTGCACATCCCTCACATGTATCCTGGAACTTAAATAATATTTAAAAAAAAAGAAGATTAGATGGTCGTAAGTGCTCAGCCTTATTTCTGGACTCTCTACACTGTTCCATTAGTCTCTTTGCTTAGGATTGCCTTGGCTATTCAGGTTTTTTCGTGGTTCCATATGAACTTTACAATAGCCTTTTCTAGTTCTGTGGAGAATGTAATTGATAGTTTGATTGGAATAACATTTAATTTCTAAATTGCTTTGGGCAGTACGGCCATTTTAATGATATTGATTCTTCCTCTTCATGGGCATGGAATGTTTTTCTATTTGTTTGTGTTGTCTCTGATTTCCTTCCGCAGTGTTTTGTAGTTGTCAGTATAGAGGTCTTTCAACTCTCTGGTTAGCTGTATTGCTAGGTTTTTTTTTATTCATTTTATGGCAATTGTGAATGGGATTGAGTTCCTGATTTGGCTTTCAGCTTGGCTGCTGTTGGTGTATTTTTATGTGCAGGTACTTTTACATCCCTTGGGTAGCAAGGAGAATCTAAAGTTTATTGAAGTTTATTAATGTTATTTTCTTATGGAAAAGAAAATCATTTAAAATGTTGAATGAGAAGTTTATTCCTCTGAGTTAAATACGTTGTGATGATCAATTTCAACTGATTCATAATGATCACAGGTATCACTGAATCACTGAATTTTATGATACAACCAGTCCTGAATGTTGAAACAAAATACAATTTTTTAGCACTTTAATAGAACCTTGAAGTTGGAACACCCTAAAGATGTTTAATACAGGTGATTTTTGTACATTGATTTTGTATCCTGAAACTTGGCTGAAGTTGTTTATCAAATGAAGGAGCTTTTGGACTGAGAAAATGGTGTTTACTACATGTAGAATCATGTCATCTGCAAACAGGGACAGTCTGACTTCCTTTCTTCCTATTTGGATGCCTTTATTTCTTTCTCTTGCCTGATTGCTGTGGACAAGACTTCCAATACTGTGTTTAATAGGAGTAGTGAGAGAGGGCATCCTTGTCTTGTGCCAGTTTTCAAGGAGAATGCTCCCAGCTTTTACCCATTCAGCATGATGTTGGCTGTTGGTTTGTCATAGATGGCTCTTATTATTTTGAGGTATGTTCCTTCAATACATAGTTTATTGAGCATTTTTAACAGAAAGGGATGTTGAATTTTATCGATAGCCTTTTCTGCATCTATTGAGATAATCATGTGTTTTATCTTTAGTTCTGTTTATGTGATGAATCACATTTATTGATGTGTGCATGTTGAACCAACTTTGCATCACAGGGATGAAGCCTACTTGATCGTAGTGGAGTAACTTTTTGATGTGCTGCTGGATTCAGTTTGCAAGTCTTTTTTTTCTTTTTTTGAGGATTTTTGCTTCAGTGCTAATCAGGGATATTGATCTGAAGTTTTTGTTGTTGTTGTGTCTCTGCCAGCTTTTGGTATCAGGATGATGCTGGCATCATAGAATGAGGAGAAGACTCTCCTCAAATTTTTGGAATAGTTCCAGTAGAAATAGTACCAGCTCTTCTTTGTACATTTGATAGAATTTATCTGTGAATCTTTCAGTTCCTGGGCTTTTTTGGGGGTGATAGGCTATTTATTACTGATTTAATTTTGGCGCTCATTATTGGTCTGTTCAGGGGTTCAGTTTCTTCCTGATTTAGTCTTGGGAGAGTTTATATGTCCAGGAATTTATCCATCTCTTCAAAGTTTTCTAGTTTGGGTACATAAAGGTGTTCATAATAGTCTCTGGTGGTTATTTGTGTTTCTGTGGGATCAGTGTTAACATCCCCTTTGTTGCGTCTAATTGTGTTTATTTGGATCTTACCTCTTTTCTTCTTTATTAATCTAGATAGCAGCCTATCTTATTAATTTTTTCAAAGAACCACTCCTGGATTTGTTAAACTTTTAAATAGTTTTTCATGTCTTATCTCCTTCAGTTCAGCTCTGATTTTGGTTATTTCTTGTCTTCTGCTAGCTTTGGGGTTGGTTTGCTGAGGCTGGAGAATTGCTTGAACCCAGGAGGCAGAGGTTGCAGTGATCTGAGATTGCGCCATTGCACTCCAGCCTGGGCGACAAGAGTGAAACTTCATCTCAAAGAAAAAAAAAATAGATTTATTGAGTTGGATTTCAATGTTCTTCCAACTTTCAATGATCTTCATTCCTATCCATATTCTGAATTTTATTTCTGTCATTTCAGTCATCTCATCCTGGTTAAGAATCCTTGCTGGAAAACTCTGTGGTCATTTGGAAGACAGAAGATACTCTGGCCATTTGAGTTGCTCAAGTTCTTGCTCTGGTTTTTTCTCATCTCTGTGTTTGAGTGTTCCTTTAACTGCCAGGTAGATTGAGTACAGGCAGTAGAATTCTTTTCTAGATGTCTCTAGAGGGCTGAGCCTTTGTGCAGAGTCTTTATTTCTAGCTGTCTTCTTGTCTTTGGTTTCACATGGGGGTATGTTACCAAAGTATTTTTTGGTGTTGAAGTTTTGAGGTGTGATCCAGTAGGTGGCACTTAAGCATAATGGTCAGTTGGTAGGCTCTTAATCATGTGGCTCCTCTATATTTACCCACAGTTGCAGCCATGCTCCCTCTTAATGCTCTGAAAGTGGGTTCCTCTCCTATTTGAGTGCTGGCTGCAGATCGCAGTGTGGCACTCCGGGGCTGCACACCACGGTTCTGGAGCAATCTCAGTGTTTATGTTCCTTCTCCAACTTGGAAGCAGCAGTGGTTGTGGCTGAGGGTCTCTCACTTCCCCTTTTCTTCTGGGGCTCTAACCCAGAGAGATGTGGCGCTGCAATCTATCAGTGCAATTGCCCTGGGATGGGGGGCGGCACTGCCTATTGAGGAGCAGGGGGAGTCGGGGGGAACTGTGGAAGACAGATTGGCCTCCCCTCCTTGGGGTAACTGCAGCTTGCTGGAGATGTGGATAAGGCACTTAGGGTCTTTGCTCCTTACCCATTCTGAGGACAATAGGGGCAGTACCACTGCAGAGGCAGTGGCAGAAGGGCTTTTGGTTGCCCCTGGGTTCTCCACGTCCAAGAATTGTTTAGCTGCTGTCACTGGTAGTGTTCAGCCAGGGGGTTGGGTGGCTGCAATGCTGGCCTGAGCAGGGGGCTCTGCTTGTTGGGGAGCAGGGGATCGAGGGCTCACCAGGAGGAAAGACCATTCTCCTCTCTGTATGGTGACTGTGTGTGCTGCAAGCTCGGATAGAATATTTATTAGGTGGTCAACAACTGGTTGCTGAATGAGGGCTGAGGTAAAATCTTAGAGTTGGAATGTCAGAGATGGTGTATCTGAAGACTCTGTAACCTTAAGGGAATTGGATGATTACTTGAAATTAATTCAGAATTCTGGATGAAATAGTGTTTCTTTTTCCAATGATTTACAGTGTAAAATTAGCAGTTCTTAATAATACACAGAGTAGTTGTATATTTGTCCAGTGTTTTTGGAAAAGTATTGTGCATGTATTTCAGTGGCAAAAGAATTTCTTGCACAGAAAGTAAATGTTTAGCTTCATCCATGTCCCATATTTAATATATAATTTAATATGCAAACATTTATGTTGTTTTCTGGTTACAAATAGTTGAGGATAATACCAACTTCAGCCCTGTCTTAGTTTTCTTATTTAAACTCTGGATTAGACTATAACTGTAGTCTCTGCCTAGAAGTATATATAGCTAATATAAATCTCAAGTGCACACAGAGAGTAAATAGATGCTACAACTAAATGCGAAAGAAGAATTAAAATGAGTGTAGTAGCTCGCTTCAGTGGTGTTTTTTATAAAAGTGACTCTGGAGAATTTGTATGTTAGAGATGTCATTTGGAAATAGGAATTGGGCAAAAGAGAAATTGAGGAGATACCCTGGAATGAAGGCAAATCTAGTGAAACAACTGAGTCAGAAGCAGATACATTATGACAGCTCCTTTCGCTTACTTCATTTCACCCCTTTCCCCATCCCACACATTTATGCAGTTGATTTCCTGGGCAAAATTCATTTCTATTCTATTCAGTTAATTTTTTTTTGTTCTGGTTAAAGCTCTAGGCATGGCTGAATCTTCAGTTTCAGTAAAACATACCTAAATAAAATTTTGCCTGTGGAAAATTGTAATATTATTTCACACATATGCAATATCTAAAGTAGGCAAAATCATACAAACAGAAAGTAGAAACAGAAACTAGAAAGTGGTTGCCAAAAGCTGGGGGAAGAGAGGAGGGAGAATTAGTATGAGTATAGAGTTTCAGTTTTGCAAGATGAAAAAGTTCTAGAGATCCATTGTACGATGCTGTGAATACACTTAACATTTCTGAACTGTACATTTAAAAATGATTATGATGGAGGTCACTTCCAAGATGGCCGAATAGGAACGCTCTGGTCTACAGCTCCCAGCAAGATCGATGCAGAAGATGGGTGATTTCTGCATTTCCAACTGAGGTACCTGGTTCATCTCATTGGGACTGGTTGGACAGTGGGTGCAGCCCACAGAGGGCAAGCTGAAGCAGGGCAGGGTGTCGCCTCACCTGGGAAGTGCAAGCGGTCAGGGGATTTCTCTTTCCTAGCCAAGGGAAGCTGTGAGTCACTGTACCTGGAGGAGTGGTATGCTCCTGCCCAAATACTGTGCTTTTCCCATGATCTTTGCAACCGGCAGACCAGGAGATCCCCTCCCATGCCTGGCTCAGTGGGTCCCATGCCCACGGAGCCTTGCTCACTGCTAGCACAGCAGTCTGAGATCGACCTGGGATGCGGGAGCTTGGCGGCGGGAGGGGCGTCCACCATTGCTGAGGCTTGAGTAGGCGGTTCTATGCTCACAGTGTAAGCAAAGCGGCAGGGAAGCTCAAACTGGGCAGAGTCCACCACATCTCAGCAAGGCCTACTGCCTCTCTAGATTCCACCTCTGGGGACAGAGCATATCTGAACAAAAGGCAGCAGACAGCTTCTCCAGACTTAAACGTCCCTGCCTGACAGCTCTGAAGACAGCAATGGTTCTCCCAGCATGGCGTTTGGGCTCCAAGAACAGAAGCACTGCCTCCTCAAGTGGGTCCCTGACCCCTGTGTAGCCTGACTGGGAGACACCTCCCAGTAGGGGCTGACAGACACCTCATACAGGCGGGTGCCTCTCTGGGATGAAGCTTCCAGAGGAAGTATCAGGCAGCAATATTTGCTGTTCTGCAGCCTCCACTGGTGATACCTAGGCAAACAGGGTATGGAGGGGACCTCCAGCAAACTGCGAAGTAACTGCAGCTGAGGGGCCTGTCTGTTAGAAGGAAAACTAACAAACAGAAAGGAATAGCATCAACATCAACAAGAAGGACATCCACACCAAAACCCTATTCGTAGGTCCCAACATCAATGACCAAAGGTAGATAAAACCACAAAGATGTGTAGAAACCAGAGCAGAAAGGCTGAAAATTCCAAAAAACAGAACACCTCTTCTCCAAAGGAACACAACTTCTCTCCAGTGAGGGAACAAAACTGGATGGAGAATGAATTTGATGAATTGACAGAAGTAGGCTTCAGAAGGTTGATAATAACAAACTTATCTGAGCTAAAGGAGCATGTTCTAACCCATCGCAAGGAAGCTAAAAACCTTGAAAAAATATTACACGAATGGCTAACTAGAATTACCAGTGTAGAGAAGAGCTTAAATGACTTGATGGAGCTGGAAAGCACACTACAAGAACTTCGCGAAGCAAACACAAGCTTCAATAGCCGATTCGATCAAGCAGAAGAAAGGATATCAATGATTGAAGATCAAATTAATGAAATAAAGCGAGAAGACAAGATTAGAGAAAAAAGAGTGAAAAGAAACGAACAAAACCTCCAAGAAATATGGGACTACGTGAAAAGACCAAATCTACATTTGACTGGTGTACCTGAAAGTGACAGGGAGAATGGAACCAAGTTAGAAAACACTCTTCAGGATATTATGCAGGAGAACTTCCCCAACCTAGCAAGGCAGGCCAACATTCAAATTCAGGAAATACAGAGAACACCACAGAGATACTCCTCAAGAAGAGCAACCCGAGACACATAATTATCAGATTCACCAAGGTTGAAATGAAGGAAAAAATGTTAAGGGCAGTGAGAGAGAAAGGTTGGGTTACCCACAAAGGGAAGCCAATCAGACTAACAGTGGATCTCTCTGCAGAAACCCTACAAACCAGAAGAGGCTAGGGGCCAATATTCAACATTCTTAAAGCAAAGAATTCTCAACCTAGAATTTCATATCCAGCCAAACTAAGCTTCATAAGTGAAGGAGAAATAAAATGCTTTACAGACAAGCAAATGCTGAGAGATTTTGTCACCACCAGGCCTGCCTTACAAGAGCTTCTGAAGGAAGCACTAAACATGGATAGGAACAACTGGTACCAGCCACTGCAAAAACAGGCCAAATTGTAAAGACCATCAATGCTAAGAAGAAACTGCATCAATTAACAGGTGAAATAACCAGCTAACATCAAAATGACAGGATCAAATTCACACATAACAATATTAACCTTAAATGTAAATGGGCTAAATGCCCCAATTAAAAGACACAGACTGGCAAATTGGATGAAGAGTCAAGACTCAGTGGTATACTGTATTGAGGAGACTCATCTCACGTGCAGAGACACACATCAGGCTTGAAATAAAGGAATGGAGGAAGATCTATCAAGCAAATGCAAAGCAAAAAAAAAGCAGGGGTTGCAATCCTGGTCTCTGATAAAACAGACTTTAAACCAACAAAGATCGAAAGAGACAAGGCCATTACATAATGGTAAAGGGATCAATTCAACAAGAAGAGCTAACTATCCTAAATATATATGCACCCAATACAGGAGCACCCAGATTCATAAAGCAAGTTCTTGGAGACCTACAAAGAGACTTAGACTCCCACACAATAATAGTGGGAGACTTTAACACCCTACTGTCAATATTAGATCAACAAGACAGAAAATGAGCAAGGATATCCAGGACTTGAACTCAGCTCTGGACCAAGTGGACCTAATAGACATCTACAGAACTCTCCACCCTAAATCAACAGAATATACATTCTTCTCAGCACCACCATACACTTATTCTAAAATTGACCACATAATTGGAAGTAAAACACTCAGCAAATATAAACGAACAGAAATCACAACAAACTGTCTCTCAGACCACAGTGCAATCAAATTAGAACTCAGGGTTAAGAATCACACTCAAAACCACACAACTACATGGAAACTGAACAACCTGCTCCTGAATGACTACTGGGTAAATAATGAAATGAAGGCAGAAATAAACACGTTCTTTGAAACCAACTAGAACAAAGACACAATGTACCAGAATCTCTGGGACACATTTAAAGCAGTGTGTAGAGGGAAATTTATAGCACTAAATGCCCACAAGAGAAAGCAGGAGAGATCTAAAATCGACATCCTAACATCACAATTAAAAGAACTAGAGAAGCAAGAGCAAACATATTCAAAAGCTAGCAGAAGACGAGAAATAACTAAGATCAGAGCAGAACTGAAGGAGATAGAGACACAAAAAAAACCTTCAAAAATTAATGAATGCAGGAGCTGGTTTTTTGAAAAGATCAACAAAATAGCCCTCTAGCAAGACTAATAAAGGATAAAAGAGGGAAGAATCAAATAGATGCAATAAAAATGATAAAGGGGATATCACCACCAATCCCACAGAAATACAAACTACCATCAGAGAATACTATAAACACCTGTATGCAAATAAACTAGAAAATCTAGAAGAAGCAGATAAATTCCTGGACACATACAACCTCCCAAGACTAAACCAGGAAGAAGTTGAATCTCTGAATAGACCAATAACAGGTTCTGAAATTGAGGCAATAATTAATAGCCTACCAACCAAAAAAAGTCGAGGACCAGATGGATTCACAGCCGTATTCTACCAGAGGTACAAAGAGGAGCTGGTACCATTCCTTCTGAAACTATTCTGATCAATGAGAAAAAAGGGAATCCTCCCTAACTCATTTATGAGGCTAGCATCATCCTGATACCAAAGCCTGGCAGAGACACAACAAAAAAAGAAAATTTCAGGCCAATATCCCTGATGAACATTGATGTGAAAATCCTCAATACAATACTGGCAAATCAAAAAGCTTATCCACCACGATCAAGTCAGCTTCATCGCTGGGATGCAAGTCTGGTTCAACATATGCAAATCAATAAACAAAATCCATCACATAAACAGAACCAATGACAAAAACCACATGATTATCTCAATAGATGCAGAAAAGGCCTTCAACAATATTCAACAGCCTTTCATGCTAAAAACTCTCAATAAACTAGATATTGATGGAACATATCTCAACATAATAAGAGCTATTTATGACAAACCCATAGCCAATATCATACTGAATGGGCAAAAACTGGAAGCATTCCCTTTGAAAACCAGCACAAGACAAGGATGCCCTCTTTCACCACTTCGATTCAACCTAGTATTGGAAGTTCTGGCCAGGGCCATCAAGCAAGAGAAAGCAATAAGGGGTATTCAAGTAGGAAGAGAGGAATTCAAATTGTCTCTGTTTGCAGATGACATGATTGTATATTTAGAAAACCCCATCATCTCAGCCCCAAATTTCCTTAAGCTGATAAGCAACTTCAGCAAAGTCTCAGGATACAAAATCAATGTGCAAAAATCATGAGCATTCCTATACACCAATAACAGACAAACACAGAGCCATGAGTGAACTCCTATTCACAACTGCTACTCAGAGAATAAATACCTAGGAATACAACTTACAAGGGACGTGAAGGACCTCTTCAAGGAGAACTACAAACCACTGCTCAAGGAAATAATAGAGGACACAAACAAGTGGAAAAACATTCCATGCTCATGGATAGGAAGAATAAATATCATGAAAATGGCCTTACTGCCCAAAGTAATTTATAGATTCAATGCTATCCCCATCAAGCTGCCACTGACTTTCTTCACAGAATTAGAAAAAACTGCTTTAAATTTCATATGGAACCAAAAAAGAGCCTGCATAACCAATACAGTCCTGGGCAAGAAGAACAAAGCTGGAGGCATCACACTACCTGACTTCAAACTTTACTACAAGGCTACAATAACCAAAACAGCATGGTACTGGTACCAAAACAGATATATAGACCAATGGAACAGAACGGAGGCCTCAGAAATAACACCACACATCTACCACCATCTGATCTTTGACAAAACTGACACACACAAGCAATAGGGAAAAGATTCCCTATTTAATAAATAGTGTTGGGAAAACTGGGTAGCCATATGCAGAAAACTGAAACTGGACCCCTTCCTTACGCCTTATACAAAAATCAACTCAAGATGGATCAAAGACTTAAATGTAAGACCTAGGACTGTAAAAATCCTAGAAGAAAACCTAGGCAATACAATTCAGGACATAGGCATGGGCAAATACTTCATGTCTAAAACACCAAAAGCAATGGTAACAAAAGCCAAAATTGACAAATTGGATCTAGTTGAACTGAAGGGCTTCTGCACAGCAAAAGAAACTATTATCAGAGTGAACAGGCAACCTACAGAATGAGAGAAATTTTTTGCAATATGTCTATCTGACAAAGGGCTAATATCCAGAATCTACAAAGAACTTAAACAAATTTACAAGAAAAAAGCAAACAACCCCATCAAAAAATGGGCAAAGGATATGGACAGACACTTCTCAAAAGAAGACATTTATGCAGCCAACAGACATATGAAAAAATGCTCATTATAACTGGTCATTAGAGAAATGCAAATCAAAACCACAATGAGATACCATCTCACTCCAGTTAGAAAGGCAATCATTAGAAAGTCAGGAAACAACAGATGCTGGAGAGGTTGTGGAAAAATAGGAATGCTTTTACACTATTGTTGGGAGTGTAAATTAGTTCAACCATTGTGGAAGACAGTGTGGCGATTCCTTAAGGATCTAGAACTAGAAATACCATTTGACCCAGCTTTCCCATTACTGAGTGTATACCAAAAGGATTATACATCATTCTACGATAAAGACACATGCACACGTATGTTTATTGCTGCACTATTCACAATGGCAAAGACTTGGAACCAACCCAAATGTCCATCAATGATAGACTGGATTAAGAAAATGTGGCACATATATACTCTGGAATACTACGCAGCCATAAAAAATGATGAGTTCATGTTCTTTGCAGGGACATGGATGAAGCTAGAAACCATCATTCTCAGCAAACTATCGCAAGATCAGAAAACCAAACACCGCATGTTCTCACTCCTAAGTGGGAGTTGAACAATGGGAGCACATGGACACAGGGAGGGGAATATCAAACACCGGGACCTGTGGTGGGTGTGGAGCTAGGGGAGGGATAACATTAGGAGAAATACCTAATGTAGGTGACAGGTTGATGGGTGCAGCAAACCACCATGGCTTGTGTATACCTATGTAACAAAACTGCATGTTCTGCACATGTAACCCAGAACTTCAAGTATAATTTTAAAAAAAGATTATGATGATAAGATTAATGTTACATATTTTTACCATAATAAAAACGTTTTTAGTATTTGTCGATGAAAATTTTCATAAAAACAGTTTTTAAAGGATTGTTGAAATATTTAGTGTTATATACTAACCTGTTTTATTATTTTTACAGTTCATATAAAGTGCTTGGACTAATACCTATAGTAAGTGCTTAATAATATCATGATTGAATATGTAACATTTACTTTCCAATGCAATTTGATGCTTTCTTTTTAAGCTGCTTTTACGGAAAGGGTACTTGCACTGTAACTCAAAATCATCTGATGTAGTTCATGAGGGCTATTTATAGTCATAGAGTACTGTGAGGCTACAAGGAAAATTTTAATATAAATATACATTCTTCAGGAATATTTTATGCTTTGTAACAACTCATTTTCCTTGAAATAGCCAGCCTGCTCCTGTGTTTATCACTTCTTTGTGTTTTTCTCTTAAATGTTATAAATGCAAAAGAATTTTCTTTCAAGTATGCCTTTTATATACTGCTGAGCACTCATAAATATTAGGTATTAAAAAGGATATTTTCTTCTAATTTAGATATTATGAGAAGGTAACTTAATTTGAACTCATTGTTTCTCAATATTTAAAAATATCTCTTTAAGTGTAAGAATGAATACTTGATATGTATTCAAATGTTATCATGGATTTGAATCTTCAGGAATTGAAGAATGATTTTAACTATTGACATCAAGGGAGAAAAATAGAAAAGTTAAAGAAGCATTATTTTTTCTTATTTTGACTATGACACATCAAAATACCCACCTGATCTCTTCCATCAATGTTAATAACGAGTCACAGCTAGTACATTTGTTAGTTATGTACCAAGCTCAGTTCTAAATGCTTTAAATTATTTTTATTCTCAAAACAACTATGAGATACTTACAATTATTTATCTTAATTTTTCAGGGTAAGAAAACAGAGGCACAGAGTAACTTATTATAGCCACCCAATCAGAAAGTGACAGTCTGAGATTGAAATCCAGACTCTCTGGCTCCAGAGCCCATACTTTTAATCAGTGCACGACACTCCTGTCTTATTTAAAGAAATCTTATTCAGATATGTCAAGTGCAAACAGGATGGCATCTCTAGTACATTCTGAATTCGGAAATCTTATAAGCACCACTTTTGGTATAATGTGAAAATAGAAATGACAATGACTGTATGCTTTTGGCTGAATTTTAAACATGAAGATAAGCCGTATCCGAACAACTGAAAAAACAACTATGGAAAACTCGGTTATTCAGTTGAAAATTATGCATTCGCCTCTTTTCCTAAACATAACTTCCCTAAAAAAGACAAAACAGTTTGATAATCTTTTGTCGTATTTGAAATTCAAACAAATAGGAAATGTGTGTGAATTCAATAGAAGTTTCATTCAATGGCATTCCAAATCTTGCTATTTCTTGTACACTTCAGGTGCACTCCCACCTCAGGGTCTTTGCTTTTGCTGTTCTCTTGAACCTGAACACTCCTCTAGGTGTCTCCATGCCTTTCTTTATCCCTGTCTCCTCTTCTGCAAGTCTTTACTAACTTGTCACCTTCTCAGTGAAGACTTCCCTTCAATATTTGCATATCTTACAGTGGCTTTCTCCTTCTTCCTTCTCTACAGCATGTATCACCTTATAACATGGTACATAGTTTACTTATTCTTATTTATTATCTGTCTTCAGCAAGTACAATAAAAACTCTATAAAAGCAGGGATTTTTTATGTCTATTTTGTTTCCTGCAATATCCCCAGAGTCTGATTGCAAGTAAGCACTCACTATAATTTGTTAAATGTATTCACTTTATCTCTGGTTTCAAAGCAGTTTACATTAAGATTTATCTGACAGTCTAGTAGAATTAAAGCTTTTATGCTTTTTGATGCAGGCAAAAGAATAAAAGAGAGAAAAACCAATCCATTTTGTTTTGAACAGTCCCTAATACACATACATTTTCAATAACTGTTAAATATATATTATACTCTGCTGGTTAAGGTTGTCGTATTAATCAGTTTTGTGATATATTATACCCCCATTCACTTATTTTCAGTCTAATGTTAAGAAAAGACAAAACGGGAAAACAGATCATCATATGAAAAAGATACCTGCACTGATATGTTTATCACAGTGCTATTCACAATGGCAAAATCATAGACTCAATCTAAGTGTCCATCAACAGATGATTGGATTTTTAAATGTGATAAATATATACCATGGAATACTACTCAGAGAGATTATTTACTTCTTCTTTCCTATTTGGATGCCTTTTATTTCTTTTTATTGCCTGGTTGATCTGGCTAGGACTTGCAGTACTATGTTGGATAGGAGTGGGGAGAGTGAGCATCATTGTCTTGTTCCTGATCTTAAGGAGAATGCTTCCAGGTTTTGTCAGTTTAATATGATGTTGGCTGTAAGTTTGTCTTAGATGGCTCTTATTATTTTTAGATATGTTCATTCTATGCCTAGTTTGTTGAGGTTTTTTATAATGAAGGGATGTTGGATTTTATTGAAAGGTTTTCTGCATCTATTGAGATGATCCTATGGTTTTTGTTTTTAAATCTGTTTATGTATTCCAAGAATAAATCCTTCTTGATCATGATGTATTAACTTTTTATGTGCTGCTGGATTTGGTTTGCTAGTATTTTGTCGAGCATTTTTGCATATGTGCTTATCAGTGGCATTGGCCTGTAGTTTTCTCTTTTTTTGTTGTGTCTTTGCCAGGTTTTGGTAGAAGGGTGATGCTGGCTTCACAGAATGAGTTAGGGAGGAGTCCCTCCTCCTTGATTTTTTTTGGGGTAATTTCAGTGGAATATGGACCAGCTTTTCTTTGTACATCTGGTAGAATTTGACTGTGAATCCATTTTCTGGGTTTTTGGGGGATTTTTTTGGTTGGTAGGGTTTTTATTACTAATTCAATTTTGGAAGTTAATATGTTCTTATTAGGGTTGCAACTTTTTCCTGATTCAATCTTGGGAAGTTGTGTGTTTCCAGGAATTTATCCATTTTCTCTAGATTTTCTAGTTCATGTGCATAGAGGTGTTCATAATAGTCTCTGAGAATCTTCTGTGTTTCTGTGGAATTGGTTGCAACATCACCTTTGTTGTTTTTGATTGTGCGTATTTGGTTCTTCTTGCTTTTTCCTTGTTAATCTAGCTAGCAGTCTATTGATCTTGTTCCCTCTTTCAAAGAACCAACTTTTGATGTCATTGATTCTTTGTGCAGAATTTTGGGTCTCAATTTCATTCACTTTTGCTCTGATTTTAGTTATTTATTTTCTTCTACTAGCTTTAGGTTTAGTTTGTTCTTGTTCCTCTAGTTCCTCTAGGCATGATGTTAGATTGTTAATTTGAGATCTTTCCAAATTTTGATGTGGCAAGATTAGGGAAATTTTCTTGAATTATTCCCTCAAATCTATTTTTCAGGTTGTTTACTTTTTCTCCTTTTCTCTCAGGAATGCCAGTAATTCCTAGATTTGGTTGCTTTATATAATCGCATATTTCTTTAAGATTTTGTTAATGTTTTGGGGTTTTTTGTTTGTTTGTTTTTGTTTTTGTTTTTTATTTTAAGTTCTGGGATACATGTGCAGAACGTGCAGGTTTGTTACACAGGTATACATGTGCCATGGTGGTTTGCTGCACCCATCAACCTATCACCTAGATTTTAAGCTCTGGATGCATTAGGTATTTGTCCTAATGCTCTCCCTCTCCTTTCCCCCCACCCCATGAGAGGTCCTGGTGTGTGATGTTACCCTCCCTGTGTCCATGTGTTCTCATTGTTCATTTCCCACTTATGAGTGAGAAAATGCAGTGTTTGGTTTTCTGTTCCTGTGTTAGTTTGCTGAGAAGGATGGTTTCCAGCTTCATCCATGCCCCTGCAAAGGACATGAACTCATCATTTTTTTTTTTTTTTTTTTTTGAGACGGAGTCTTGCTCTGTCGCCCAGGCTGGAGTGCAGTGGCGCGATCTCGGCTCACTGCAAGCTCCGCCTCCCGGGTTCACGCCATTCTCCTGCCTCAGCCTCCCGAGTAGCTGGGACTACAGGCGCCCGCTACCACGCCCGGCTAATTTTTTGTATTTTTAGTAGAGACGGGGTTTCACCTTGTTAGCCAGGATGGTCTCGATCTCCTGACCTCGTGATCCGCCCACCTCGGCCTCCCAAAGTGCTGGGATTACAGGCTTGAGCCACCGCGCCCGGCCGAACTCATCATTTTTTATGGCTGCATAGTAATCCATGTTGTATATGTGCCACATTTTCTTTACCCAGTCTATCATTGATGGACATTTGGGTTGGTTCCATATCTTTGCTATTGTGAATAGTGCTGCAGCAAACATACATGTGCATGTGTCTTTATAGTAGAATGATTTATAGTCCTTTGGATATATACCCAGTAATGGGATTGCTGGGTCAAATGGTATTTCTGGTTCTAGATCCTTGAGGAATCGTCACACTGTTTTCCACAATGATTGAACTAACTTATACTCCCACCAGCAGTATAAAGTGTTCCTATTTCTCCACATCCTCTCCAACGTCTGCTATTTCCTGACTTTTTAATGATCGCCATTCTAACTGGAGTGAGATGATATCTCATTGTGGTTTTGATTTGCATTTCTCTAATGACCAGTGATGATGAGCTTTTTTCATGTTTGTTGGCCACATAAATGTCTTCTTTTGAGAAGTGTCTGTTCATATCCTTCACCCACTTTTTGATGAGATTGTTTGTTTTTTCTTGTAAGTTTGTTTAAGTTCTTTGTAGATTCTGGATATTAGCCCTTTGTCAGATGGATAGATTGCAAAAATTTTCTCCTATTCTGTAGGTTGCCTGTTCACTCTGATGATAGTTTCTTTTGCTGTGCAGAAGCCCTTCAGTTTAATTAGATCTCATTTGTCAATTTTGCTTTCATTGCAATTGCTTTTGGTGCTTTAGTCGTGAATTCTTTGCCTATGCCTGTGTCCTGAATGTTATTGCCTAGGTTTTCTTCTAGAGTTTTTATGGTTTTAAGGTTTACATTTATCTTTTTTCTTTATTTGTCTGCCTTGATTAGTTCAAAAGACTAGTCATCAAGTTCTGAAATTCCTTCTTCTATATGGTCTAGTCTATTGATGAAACTTTCAATTCTATTTAGAAATTCCTTAAGTGAGGTTTTCAATTCCAGAAGCTCTGATTGATTTTTTTTTTTTAAGTTGTATTATCTCTTCCTGCATTTCCTGGATTTTCTTACAAGTTTCTTTGTGCTGAGTGAGAACATTCAGTGTTTGGTTTTCTGTTTTTTTCTCTCTTTTTTTTTTTCTCTTTTTTGTTTTCTTTTCTTTTTTTTTTTTTTTTTTTTTTTTTTTTTGGAGACAGAGTCTCAGTCTGTCACCCAGGCTCGAGTGCAGTGGCACAATGTTGGCTCACTGCAACTTCTGTTTCCCAGGTTCAGGTGATTCTCATGCCTCAGCCTCCCGAGTAGCTGGAATTATAGACTCCCACCACCACACTCGGCTAATTGTTGTACTTTTAGTAGAGATGGGGTTTCACCATCTTGGCCAGGCTGGTCTCAAACTCCCGACCTCAAGTGATGGGCCCACACCTGCCTCCCAAAGTGCTGGGATTACAGGTGTAAGCCACTGTGCCTGGCCGGAAGTTTGTGTTGATTTTCAGCCTTGCCTTGACATTTTCAGTAAGCCCTGTAGTAAAAATTAGTTTAGATAATGTAAGAGGATATAGAAAGAGTACCTAATAAGTAATGTTGTTAGATGAGTTATCAGAGATGATGTCTCACTTACCTCTTCTGGCTTTTATAGAACGAATGGTTTAGTAGTAATTGTTGTTTTTTAAGTGCCAAGCCACATGAAATTAAGATTAGAGGCAGATTTTTGCTCACTTTATTCATTTTCATTCACTATAGACCCATGATGTTTTGAAAGGTTATATTAAACATCCATGAAATTTTACCATGGCATAAGTCTTCCTAAATCTGCATATATATTTGAAAAGCTTTGAAGTATTTTTTCACAAGGGAATGGTTTATTTTCAAAGACTTGTATAGCTATTCTAAACACCTTTTAATGTGCCAGATATATGATCTTTTCTTAGCATGCTCTTCAATATTTTTGTAAAGTTAGATTCAGAACTGCAAAACAATATAGTAGACTTCATTTTATTTGTGAGATGGTTGTTAAAGCAAGTTGACAATAATAAAAATGATTTTATTAGTCCTCAACAGGGATTAAATATTCTCCCTTTTAATGTCAATTAATTTATTTCTTCAACAAATATTGACTATTTGCCATATGGCAGGTTTTGTTCTAGGCACTGCAGATACAAATATATTATTATGAGTATAATCAGACTCACCCACACAGTTATATCAACTAATACCTAATTATATGTTCATGGTGAGACACAGGCTATAAAATTCTGACACATTTCCACCTGTTTAGCTACTGTAGTTGTTGGATCAATTCTTTTAATTTTATGGGCAGCATTTTTTGTTTATTTACCATCTTGCCAAAACATGGGCAGCAAAAGGAGCAGTTAGTGGAGACAAAATGTGAAATATAAGTAGCTCCAAAAGAGAAGTTTAGCAGATATTGCAAGTAAGAAGTTAATTCATTTAAGGAGAAACAAATACTAACCCTAAGTTCGTTTTCTCTCCAGTTTTAGCCTATCAATTATATACTTGTTTTTAAAAAATGTTTATTGGTTGCCTCAGAGTTTATAGTATACATTTATAACAAATCCAAATCCACTTTTAAATAATAGTATGCTGCTTCATGAATACTGCAGGTACCATATAACAGAGTATTTCCAGTTCTTCCCTGCTGGCCCTTGTCACATTGCTTTCATTTGTTTCACTTGTCCATAAACTATAATTATGGAATATATTGTTGTTGTTATTATTTTTTAAAAAAATGGTTGTTAGGTCAGTTGAGAAAAAGAAAAATATTTTATTTTACCTTAATGTATTTCTTCTCTAATGCTCTTCCTTTCTTTATGTGGATCTAATATCCGACATAATTCCTGACATATCATTTTCTTTCTTATCTTTTAATATTACTGCAAGGCAGGTCTACTGACAAGAAATGTCTTCATTTTTGTCTGAGAAAGTCTTTATTTCTCCTACAGTATATCAGTGTATTACATGATGCAGAATTGTAGGTTGGTGGGGTTTCTTTTCAAAACTTGAAATATTTAACCCCACACTCTTCTTGCTTGTGTGGTTTCTGAGGAGGAGTTTCATGTAATCCTTATTCGTCTTCCTGTGGAGATAGTTTTCTTCAAACTTTCAAGATTTTCTTCTTCTCTTTAATTTTCTACACTTAACTCTGATATGCCTATGTGTAGATAATTTGGTATTTATACAGCATGATGTTCTTTGAGCTTCCTGGATCTGTGCCTTGGTTTCTGTCATTAATTTTGTAAAATTCTCAGCCATTATTACTTCAAATACTTACTTCTTCCTTCTCTTTCTTGTATTCTCATTGTGATTATTTTACAACTTTTGTAATTGTCACACAGTTCTTGGCTATTCTGTTATTTTTTTCTCTCTCTCTTTTTTCTCTTTGCATTTCAGTTTTGGAAGTTTCTGTTGACGTTTCTTTGAGCACACAAATGCTTTCCTTGTGGTGTCTGGTCTACTGATGAGCCCATCAAAGCCAGTCTTTATTTCTGGTACTGTTACTTTGACTTCTATCATTACCTTTCGATTCTTAGAGTTTCTATTGCTCTGCTTAGATCACTTAGCATATTAATCATAGTTATTTCAAATTCCCAGTCTGTTTATTCCAAAATTTCCACTATATCTGAATCTCATTCTGATGCTTGCTTTGTGTTTTCCGACTATATTTCTTGCCTTTTAGGATGCCTTGTAATTTTGTTGACAATTAGACCTGCTATATGGGGTAAAAGGAACTTAGGGAGATATGCCTTTAATATGCTGGGTTTTGTTTATCTGGCTAGGAGTTAAGCTGTGTTTGATGTTTGCTGTAGCTGTAGTATTAGAGGCTAAAAGTTCTTCAGTGTCATTGTTTTTGTCTAACCTCTTGTCTTTGGATTTTTCCAGCGTCTCCTTAAATAGACTTTGAGGCTAGAATTTGTTTTAGCTGTAATCTGCTGTTATTATACCAGAGCCCTGTTGGGGCAGTGATAGGGTTGGGGGGGAAGGGGTTGTTTACTATAGTCCTATGATTGGCTGTCAGTTTTTTAGTGAGCCTGAGTTTTGAGTATTTTCTTTCCTCCATTTGAAAGCCCAGGGAGGACTGTAGTTGGATATTTCCCTTCCCCCAGTTTAGGTAGGCTTTGGTGAACCCCATTAAGTTAGGATCTGGTAAAATAGTTTCTCTTGAGGGTAAGTCCTATTAAGAAGAACAGAATGCTCTGGCATTTTAAAAAATGATAAATAGGCTTGGCATAGTGGCTCATGCCTGTAATTCTGGTGCTTTTGGAGGCTGAGGTGGGAGGATTGCCTGAGCCCAGGAGTTCAAGACCAGCCTGGGCAATGTAGGAGGACCCTCATATCTACAAGAAATTAAAAAAAAAAAGACTCTAGTCAGGCACCAGGCGTGGTGGCAAGCATCCATAATCACAGTTAGTTGAGAGGCTGAGACAGGAGGATCACTTGAGCCCAGGAGTTCTAGGTTACAGTGAGCTATGACTGTGCCCCTGCACTCTAGCCTGGGCGACAGAGCAAGAGCTCCTCTCTAAAAATAAAATAAACAATCAAATTTTTTAAATGGTTACTATTCTCTCCCCGCTTGCTGGAAGCACAAGGGGGACTTTTCCTCAAATCTTCAGTCAAAACCTAATGAAGCTCCTGGAGATAAAACTTATGAAAGTGTGGAGGCCCCCATAAGACTGGACCTCCTAGTAGTTTTTAATTTGCAAGTTAGTATACACTGAGTCTCCAGCAATTCATTAATTACAGTTTAAAGCTTTGCTGCTGATACTGGCTCTTGCTGCACGGTTCTGCTCCTGGGCTTCTACTCAAAGCCATGATTCTCTGTATTTGCCTGTCTTTCTAGTTTTGGGGGCAACCTAATGCATCATGATGGATTGAGTTGTTAACGTGTAGTTTGTTCAGCATTTTTCTTGTGAGATGGGAGTAACAGTTTCCAAGCTCTTTACATGTAAGAACCAGAAACTCTGACCCTAGATTCAGAATTCTAGGGTTCAAATGGCAGGAGGTCCAAGAAGATAAGCAAGCTTTCTGGCACACTGTGTTGAATTCCAAATATTATTATTATTATTATTATTATTATTTTGAGATACAGTCTCACTATCGCCCAAGCTGGAGTGCAATGGTGCGATCTCAGCTCACTGCAACCTCTACCTCCCAGGTTCAAGCGATTCTCCTGCCTCAGCCTCCCGTGTAGCTGCGATTACAGCCATGTGCCACCACGCTAGGATAATTTTTGTATTTTTGGTAGTGACGGGGTTTCACCATGTTGGCCAGGCTGGCCTCGAACTCCTGACCTCAAGTGATCTGCCTGCCTCAGCCTCCCAAAGTGCTGGGATTACAGGCGTAAACCACCACACCTGGCCCCAAATCTTATTTTTGTTCTTAGTTTTAGTTTGATAATCTAAGATATAGATTAGAATGTACTGTATGAATCCTTTCCCCATGTTTTGTTACCTTAAATAATATGGTATTCTAACTATTCTGCCATAATCCTGAGTCTCGTCTTCCTTGGCCTGTGGCTGTCCATGACACAGAGCCAACATACTTGTAGTGGACATTGGTTTTCAGTTGTGTTTTCTGCTAATGTAGAGTTACTGGTTAGTTCTAATTAAACTGGGGGTGCTGAGGCTAGGCCTGCTGAGGAATTTATACCCAGATTCAAAAGGCATTGAGTTTCATGTTATAAAAGAAGTTGTGTAGTTAAGGAGTCAGCATTACACAACTTATAGACAGTGAATATGAGAATGTAAATATTCTCTTTATAAAAGACAATATAATGGATATGTAAGTACCCAGGCTTGTTTTGTTTGGTTCACAAAATATATTAAAAGTTTTATTTAAGAGAATGTTTATTGCTGTTTTTTCTTCTAAAGAAATGCCATCTTATACATTCATCAATTGTTAAATATTTCTTTGAGGTGGGATGCAGTTTACTTCAATACAGATGGCTGTCTGTCTTAAGACAATATGCTAAAATTCAGTTTTAAAATCTTAACCACTTAACAGTTTATTGCAGAGCTAGGGAACTGTAGTGTAGCATATAAGTTATTTGTCTCTTTCTTATAACAATTTGTTATCAGTGACAGAACTTTTTGTAAGTAAATCAGTGATAATTCTAAGTGACCAGGGAAGCTGAAACTGTGATTATTAGGTTATCTTAATAACCAATAATAAAAATTAAGATCGTTCTATGACCTTTAAAATTTTTTTTGTCAAGACATTAAAAACTTCTTAATGTTGGTTATAAGTATATTGGGAAATGAAAAAATAGTAAAACTAATTTTTTTTTAGTATACTGTAATTGTAAACATCAGAAACATTCAGAATTAAAGTTTTATTTCTTTGTAAAAACTTTTCAAGAGTAGTTTGAACACTTCTTGCCTTGTTTTCATTGTATGGAGCAAGAGGTTTTCTATGCCTTGGCAAATTATCATACTCCTTTCCAAATGTGGATAAGCTGTCCACTTTTGATCTGTGCATTTTTAATGTCATGGAATATCTGAGAAGTCTTTTAATGTGGAGGTCTTTGCTGGCTGGCATCACTGCTCCTGGGACATTGTCATGCTTTGCATCACAACTACTTTCCTGAGTTTATAAAGTTTTCCTGGGTATGGATTTCACAGCAGAATCTTTATCTGCACCAGCAGTTCACCAGCTAGCTTAACATTATCAATTCATGCTGACTTTTGAAACAAAGAAATCAGCCTTTACTGGAGGTTAGAGATTCATCTTCAGTCTTCTTGTAATTACTGCTTTCAATTACTGTATTCAAAGTTGGTTCTTGGACCTAAATGCTAGCCAACTGCATCGTGAATTTGTTTTATTACAGAGTCTTCAATGCAAAAAAGTCGGTGCTTCGTTTCAACCGTAAGTGACTTTCTGTATGTTGTGCAGATTAAACTAAAAAATGTTGGCCGGGGCGCGGTGGCTGACACCTATAATTCCAGCAGTTCCGGAGACCGAGACGGGCAGATCACGAGGTCAGAAGATCGCGACCATCCTGGCTAACATGGTGAAACCCCGTCTCTACTAAAGATACAAAAAAATTAGCTGGGCGTGGTGGTGTGCACCTGTAGTCCCAGCTACTCCTGAGGCTGAGGCAGAATGGCGTGAACCCGGGAGGCGGAGGTTGCAGTGAGCCGAGATCGCGCCACTGCACTCCAGCCTGGGCGACAGAGCAAGACTCCATCACAAAAAAAAAAAAAAAAAAAAAAAAAAGGCCGGGCGCCGTGGCTCACACCGGTAATCCCAGCACTTTGGGAGGCCGAGGCGGGCGGATCACGAGGTCAGGAGATCGAGACCATCCTGGCTAACACGGTGAAACCCCGTCTCTACTAAAAATACAAAAAAATTAGCCAGGCGTGGTGGCGGCGCCTGTAGTCCTAGCTACTTGGGAGGCTGAGGCAGGAGAATGGCATGAACCCGGGAGGCGGAGCTTGCAGTGAGCCAAGATCGCGCCACTGCACTCCAGCCTGGGCGACAGAGCAAGACTCCATCAAAAAAAAAAAAAAAAAAAAAGATCAAAACTATTTTACCTAATTTTCAAAATATTCACTAGACTTTTCAATATGGTTCGGTTTATACTATAACCTCATGTAGTGCTAGTTTATTATTATTATTATTATTATTATTTGTTTGTTTCTTTGTTTGAGACTGAGTCTCACTCTGTCCCCCAGGCTGGAGTGCAGTAGCACGATCTCTGCTCACGGCAACCTCCAGCTCCCAGGTTCCAGCGATTCTCCTGCCTCAGCCTCCCATGTAGCTGGGATTACTGGCGCCTGGCACCACACCTGGCTAATTTTTGTATTTTTAGTAGAGACAGGGTTTCACCGTGTTGGCCAGGCTGGTCTTGAACTCCTTACCTCCTGTGATCCGCCCACCTCGGCCTTCCAAAGTGCTGGGATTGCAGACGTAAGCCACTGAGCCCAGCCTGTTTTTGTCCTATCTTAACATTGCTGTTACCATTTTAAAATCTTCTAGTCACATCTAATTTCACTTCCAGTGTCAATTTTCATTTCTTCATTGTACTTTCCTGGGGCATTTTTGGAAATTTCCTCTTTTGATTAAATATTTTTGTAAAATATCACTGGGAGTTTATTACTTGGAGAAACACAATTACATACTTTGCTGTCTGTGCATGAGCCGACTAGCAGAAAAGAAGTGACGTGATTTGTCACTGATCGTGATGTGCATCTCTTATTTGTGTAGTGATTTGTAAATAGCAGCAAGCACATCTGGTTTGGTATATTTTCCATATCAGATTTCAAAATGTAAATCGATTGCTTACTTGTTGGTTTTAAGTCCCAATATATGTCTTATACTCTGAAATAAACACTTCTAGATGTATTTTATGTTGATGCTTAGTGGTAGTTTAAATGGCCTTCTATCCTGGAATTAAACTACAAAGATTCTCACTTATATTCAACAAAAATAATGGATACTAAATAGAAGAACTGAAACAACCTTTTATGAATCCTTTGAAAAAAAGTTTTTTAGTAAATTTCTGCTAAATTAACTATTAGATATAGGCTTATCTATAATATACTATTTATGTGTTTGCATAAAGAGAAATTACTACCAAAAGATCAAATCCTTCAATTTTTTTTAATGTTCCCTGGAGTTGAAGAGATGGAGCATTTTTATAAGCTCCTGTACTTCACTTTTTCCATCTATCCACTGCTTAACTTCAGGCAGTATTTTTATCAAACATGTTCTTTTTCTCCATTATCATGACCCAAGATACATGTTCCATTTATTCTTTTTAATTTAACCATGGGCATGAACACTTATCAATATAGTAAGAGAAGTCTGAATGGAAATTTTAAAAATCAGGTAGCAAGCATAAAATAGTTTCATATTATTCTTCTCCATATTTCATTATTAGCAGAGCATTAGGTGACAATATTTGAGTATTAGCACATCAGAGGAAAGGAGCCAGATTTTGGAAAGGTAGCAGTGAAGCTGAGGGATACGAGTTTGAAAACAGAAGGGATTAATAGGGCCAAACATAGTGAATCAAGCAAGATAAGCATTTAACAGTTTCCACTGAAAACTCACTTTTACACTGTAAAAGTAGGATACTTTTACATGAAGGAGTTAAAAGGCACTTAACCAAATAACTGAAAATGTCAGTGGAGCACACTGGTGAGTATAGTTAGAAAGGCTTGGCAGAATAAGACTTAACTGAAGCAGCAGAGATGGTGTCATATAACGTTCATTTCATAACACATAACATGAAGTAGATTCTTGTCAGCTGACATAAAATCTTCTTTCTAAAATGGTAATGATTTTACCTGATTTGTCACTGTAAATTCAATCATCTGAATCTATTAGTATAATTATATTTCAGGAGTTTAAAGGAAAATCAACCTCTTTTTTGTATGTAGAAAATACTTCATCATAGAAGAAAACTTTCTTTTTAATCATGGAATGTTGTTTTAGTTCATGGAATAAGACTTAAGTTTAGGATTTTTGTTGAAACGTAAGTGTTGAGTTGAGGTGGTTGATTGTTTTAGAACCTTTTAAAAACTTCTTAAAACTTTATTTAAAAGTTTTTAAAAACAAGTCTTAAAAGAACTTGGAGAGCAGTGTTTAAACCAAGGTTCTTATGAAGCCAACCTAGAAAAAATAACATTCCTGTATATTTTTAGTCAATTGTTTATCTTTATTGTTTTACAAAAGATTTGCTCATAGTTACATTAAAACCTTCTTATTTTATGTC